>NC_000016.10:10000-635000 GCF_000001405.40 Homo sapiens
TAACCCTAACCCTAACCCTAACCCTAACCCTAACCGACCCTCACCCTCACCCTAACCACATGAGCAATGTGGGTGTTATATTTTAGCTGTCATGGGTGCATTAGGAATGCTGCATTTGTGTTTCAACGCTGCAACTGGACCCTGCAATGCAGCCCCTCGCCTTGCCTTGGGAGAATCTCGGTGCCCAGGATTCAGAGGGGCTTTTAGTTTCCCATTTTCCACACTGAACCGTTCTAACTGGTCTCTGACCTTGATTATTCACGGCTGCAACCGGGAAAGATTTTATTCACTGTCAATGCGCCCCGAGTTGTCCCAAAGCCAGGCAGTGCCCCCAACGTCTGTGCTTAGCAGAATGCTGCTCCACCTTTACGGTGACCCCCAGGTCTGTGCTGAGCAGAACGCAGCTCCGCCCTCGCAGTACCCTCAGCCCGCCCGCCCGGGTCTGACCTGAGCAGAACTCTGCTCTGCCTTCGCAGTACCACCGAAATCTGTGCAAAGGAGAACGCAGCTCCGCCCTCGCGGTGCTCTCCGCGTCTGTGCTGAGGAGAACGCAACTCCGCCGTCGCAAAGGCGCGCGCCGCGCCGGCGCAGGCGCAGAGGGGCGCGCCGCGCCGGCGCAGGCGCAGAGACACATGCTAGCGCGTCCAGGGGTGGAGGCGTGGCGCAGGCGCAGAGACGCACGCCTACGGGCGGGGGTTGGGGGGGCGTGTGTTGCAGGAGCAAAGTCGCACGGCGCCGGCCTGGGGGCGGGGGGTGGGGGGCGCCGTTGCACGCGCAGAAACTCACGTCACGGTGGCGCGGCGCAGAGACGGGTGGAACCTCAGTAATCCGAAAAGCCGGGATCGACCGCCCCTTGCTTGCAGCCGGGCACTACAGGACCCGCTTGCTCACGGTGCTGTGCCAGGGCGCCCCCTGCTGGCGACTAGGGCAACTGCAGGGCTCTCTTGCTTAGAGTGGTGGCCAGCGCCCCCTGCTGGCGCCGGGGCACTGCAGGGCCCTCTTGCTTACTGTATAGTGGTGGCACGCCGCCTGCTGGCAGCTAGGGACATTGCAGGCTCCTCTTGCTCAAAGTGTAGTGGCAGCACGCCCGCCTGCTGGCAGCTGGGGACACTGCCGGGCCCTCTTGCTCCAACAGTAGTGGCGGATTATAGGGAAACACCCGGAGCATATGCTGTTTGGTCTCAGTAGACTCCTAAATATGGGATTCCTGGGTTTAAAAGTATAAAATAAATATGTTTAATTTGTTAACTGATTACCATCAGAATTATACTGTTCTGTATCCCACCAGCAATGTCTAGGAATACCTGTTTCTCCACAAAGTGTTTACTTTTGGATTTTTGCCAGTCTAGCAGGTGAAGCCCTGGAGATTCTTATTAGTCATTTGGGCTGGGGCCTGGCCATGTGTATTTTTTTAAATTTCCACTGATGATTTTGCTGCATGGCCGGTGTTGAGAATGACTGCGCAAATTTGCCGGATTTCCTTTGCTGTTCCTGCATGTAGTTTAAACGAGATTGCCACCACCGGGTATCATTCACCATTTTTCTTTTTGTTAACTTGCCGTCAGCCTTTTCTTTGACCTCTTCTTTCTCTTCATGTGTATTTGCTGTCTCTTAGCCCAGACTTCCCGTGTCCTTTCCACCGGGCCTTTGAGAGGTCACAGGGTCTTGATGCTGTGGTCTTGATCTGCAGGTGTCTGACTTCCAGCAACTGCTGGCCTGTGCCAGGGTGCAAGCTGAGCACTGGAGTGGAGTTTTCCTGTGGAGAGGAGCCATGCCTAGAGTGGGATGGGCCATTGTTCATCTTCTGGCCCCTGTTGTCTGCATGTAACTTAATACCACAACCAGGCATACGGGAAAGATTGGAGGAAAGATGAGTGAGAGCATCAACTTCTCTGACAACCTAGGCCAGTAAGTAGTGCTTGTGCTCATCTCCTTGGCTGTGATACGTGGCCGGCCCTCGCTCCAGCAGCTGGACCCCTACCTGCCGTCTGCTGCCATCGGAGCCCAAAGCCGAGCTGTGACTGCTCAGACCAGCCGGCTGGAGGGAGGGGCTCAGCAGGTCTGGCTTTGGCCCTGGGAGAGCAGGTGGAAGATCAGGCAGGCCATCGCTGCCGCAGAACCCAGTGGATTGGCCTAGGTGGGATCTCTGAGCTCAACAAGCCCTCTCTGGGTGGTAGGTGCAGAGAGGGGAGGGGCAGAGCCGCAGGCACAGCCAAGAGGGCTGAAGAAATGGTAGAACGGAGCAGCTGGTGATGTGTGGGCCCACCGGCCCCAGGCTCCTGTCTCCCCCCAGGTGTGTGGTGATGCCAGGCATGCCCTTCCCCAGCATCAGGTCTCCAGAGCTGCAGAAGACGACGGCCGACTTGGATCACACTCTTGTGAGTGTCCCCAGTGTTGCAGAGGTGAGAGGAGAGTCGACAGTGAGTGGGAGTGGCGTCACCCCTAGGGCTCTACTGGGCCGGCGTCTCCTGTCTCCTGGAGAGGCTTCGATGCCCCTCCACACCCTCTTGCTCTTCCCTGTGATGTCATCTGGAGCCCTGCTGCTTGCGGTGGCCTATAAAGCCTCCTGGTCTGGCTCCAAGGCCTGGCAGAGTCTTTCCCAGGGAAAGCTATAAGCAGCAAACAGTCCGCATGGGTCATCCCCTTCACTCCCAGCTCAGAGCCCAGGCCAGGGGCCCCCAAGAAAGGCTCTGGTGGAGAACCTGTGCATGAAGGCTGTCAACCAGTCCATAGGCAAGCCTGGCTGCCTCCAGCTGGGTGGACAGACAGGGGCTGGAGAAGGGGAGAAGAGGAAAGGGGAGTTGCCTGCCCTGTCTCCTACCTGAGGCTGAGGAAGGAGAAGGGGATGCACTGTTGGGGAGGCAGCTGTAACTCAAAGCCTTAGCCTCTGTTCCCATGAAGGCAGGGCCATCAGGCACCAAAGGGATTCTGCCAGCATAGTGCTCCTGGACCAGTGATACACCCGGCACCCTGTCCTGGACAGGCTGTTGGCCTGAATCTGAGCCCTCGTGGAGGTCAAAGCAACCTTTGGTTCTGCCATTGCTGCTGTGTGGAAGTTCACTCCTGCCTTTTCCTTTCCCTAGAGCCTCCACCACCCCGAGATCACATTTCTCACTGCCTTTTGTCTGCCCAGTTTCACCAGAAGTAGGCCTCTTCCTGACAGGCAGCTGCACCACTGCCTGGCGCTGCGCCCTTCCTTTGCTCTGCCCGCTGGAGACGGTGTTTGTCATGGGCCTGGTCTGCAGGGATCCTGCTACAAAGGTGAAACCCAGGAGAGTGTGGAATCCAGAGTGTTGCCAGGACCCAGGCACAGGCATTAGTGCCCGTTGGAGAAAACAGGGGAATCCCGAAGAAATGGTGGGTCCTGGCCATCCGTGAGATCTTCCCAGGGCAGCTCCCCTCTGTGGAATCCAATCTGTCTTCCATCCTGCGTGGCCGAGGGCCAGGCTTCTCACTGGGCCTCTGCAGGAGGCTGCCATTTGTCCTGCCCACCTTCTTAGAAGCGAGACGGAGCAGACCCATCTGCTACTGCCCTTTCTATAATAACTAAAGTTAGCTGCCCTGGACTATTCACCCCCTAGTCTCCATTTAAAAAGATCCCCATGGCCACAGGGCCCCTGCCTGGGGGCTTGTCACCTCCCCCACCTTCTTCCTGAGTCACTCCTGCAGCCTTGCTCCCTAACCTGCCCCACAGCCTTGCCTGGATTTCTATCTCCCTGGCTTGGTGCCAGTTCCTCCAAGTCGATGGCACCTCCCTCCCTCTCAACCACGTGAGCAAACTCCAAGACATCTTCTACCCCAACACCAGCAATTGTGCCAAGGGCCATTAGGCTCTCAGCATGACTATTTTTAGAGACCCCGTGTCTGTCACTGAAACCTTTTTTGTGGGAGACTATTCCTCCCATCTGCAACAGCTGCCCCTGCTGACTGCCCTTCTCTCCTCCCTCTCATCCCAGAGAAACAGGTCAGCTGGGAGCTTCTGCCCCCACTGCCTAGGGACCAACAGGGGCAGGAGGCAGTCACTGACCCCGAGACGTTTGCATCCTGCACAGCTAGAGGTCCTTTATTAAAAGCACACTGTTGGTTTCTGCTCAGTTCTTTATTGATTGGTGTGCCGTTTTCTCTGGAAGCCTCTTAAGAGAAGAACACAGTGGCGCAGGCTGGGTGGAGCCGTCCCCCCATGGAGCACAGGCAGACAGAAGTCCCCGCCCCAGCTGTGTGGCCTCAAGCCAGCCTTCCGCTCCTTGAAGCTGGTCTCCACACAGTGCTGGTTCCGTCACCCCCTCCCAGGGAAGCAGGTCTGAGCAGCTTGTCCTGGCTGTGTCCATGTCAGAGCAACGGCCAAGTCTGGGTCTGGGGGGGAAGGTGTCATGGAGCCCCCTACGATTCCCAGTCGTCCTCGTCCTCTGCCTGTGGCTGCTGCGGTGGCGGCAGAGGAGGGATGGAGTCTGACACGCGGGCAAAGGCTCCTCCGGGCCCGTCACCAGCCCCAGGTCCTTTCCCAGAGATGCCTGGAGGGAAAAGGCTGAGTGAGGGTGGTTGGTGGGAAACCCTGGTTCCCCCAGCCCCCGGAGACTTAAATACAGGAAGAAAAAGGCAGGACAGAATTACAATGTGCCGGCCCAGGGTGGGCAGCGGCCCTGCCTCCTACCCTTGCGCCTCATGACCAGCTTGTTGAAGAGATCCGACATCAAGTGCCCACCTTGGCTCGTGGCTCTCACTGCAACGGGAAAGCCACAGACTGGGGTGAAGAGTTCAGTCACATGCGACCGGTGGCTCCCTGTCCCCACCCCCATGACACTCCCCAGCCCTCCAAGGCCACTGTGTTTCCTAGTTAGCTCAGAGCCTCAGTCGATGCCTGACCCAGCACCGGGCACTGATGAGAAAGTGGCTGTTTGAGGAGCCACCTCCCAGCCACCTCGGGGACAGGGCCAGGGTGTGCAGCACCACTGTACGATGGGGAAACTGGCCCAGAGAGGTGAGGCAGCTTGCCTGGGGTCACAGAGCAAGGCAAAAGCAGCGCTGGGTACAAGCTCAAAACCATAGTGCCCAGGGCACTGCCGCTGCAGGCGCAGGCATCGCATCACACCAGTGTCTGCGTTCACAGCAGGCATCATCAGTAGCCTCCAGAGGCCTCAGGTCCAGTCTCTAAAAATATCTCAGGAGGCTGCAGTGGCTGACCATTGCCTTGGACCGCTCTTGGCAGTCGAAGAAGATTCTCCTGTCACAGTTTGAGCTGGGTGAGCTTAGAGAGGAAAGCTCCACTATGGCTCCCAAACCAGGAAGGAGCCATAGCCCAGGCAGGAGGGCTGAGGACCTCTGGTGGCGGCCCAGGGCTTCCAGCATGTGCCCTAGGGGAAGCAGGGGCCAGCTGGCAGGAGCAGGGGGTGGGCAGAAAGCACCCGGTGGACTCAGGGCTGGAGGGGAGGAGGCGATCTTGCCCAAAGGCCCTCCGACCGCAGGCTCCAGGGCCCGCTCACCTTGCTCCTGCTCCTTCTGCTGCTGCTTCTCCAGCTTTCGCTCCTTCATGCTGCGCAGCTTGGCCTTGCCGATGCCCCCAGCTTGGCGGATGGACTCTAGCAGAGTGGCCCAGCCACCGGAGGGGTCGACCACTTCTCTGGGAGCTCCCTGGACTGGAGCCGGGAGGTGGGGAACAGGGCAAGGAGGAAAGGCTGCTCAGGCAGGGCTGGGGAAGCTTACTGTGTCCAAGAGCCTGCTGGGAGGGAAGTCACCTCCCCTCAAACGAGGAGCCCCGCGCTGGGGAGGCCGGACCTTTGGAGACTGTGTGGGGCCCGGGCACTGACTTCGGCAACCACCTGAGCGCGGGCATCCTGTGTGCAGATACTCCCTGCTTCCTCTCTAGCCCTCACCCTGCAGAGCTGGACCCCTGAGCTAGCCATGCTCTGACAGTCTCAGTTGCACACATGAGCCAGCAGAGGGGTTTTGTGCCACTTCTGGATGCTAGGGTTACACTGGGAGATACAGCAGTGAAGCTGAAATGAAAAATGTGTTGCTGTAGTTTGTTATTAGACCCCTTCTTTCCATTGGTTTAATTAGGAATGAGGAACCCAGAGCCTCACTTGTTCAGGCTCCCTCTGCCCTAGAAGTGAGAAGTCCAGAGCTCTACAGTTTGAAAGCCACTATTTTATGAACCAAGTAGAACAAGATATTTGAAATGGAAACTATTCAAAAAATTGAGAATTTCTGACCACTTAACAAACCCACAGAAAATCCACCCGAGTGCACTGAGCACGCCAGAAATCAGGTGGCCTCAAAGAGCTGCTCCCACCTGAAGGAGATGCGCTGCTGCTGCTGTCGTCCTGCCTGGCGCCTTGGCCTACAGGGGCCGCGGTTGAGGGTGGGAGT
Source organism: Homo sapiens (assembly GCF_000001405.40). Classification (NCBI taxonomy): domain Eukaryota; kingdom Metazoa; phylum Chordata; class Mammalia; order Primates; family Hominidae; genus Homo; species Homo sapiens. The sequence goes on from NC_000016.10 coordinate 16,367, forward strand.
GGGGGTGCACTGGCCAGCACCTCAGGAGCTGGGGGTGGTGGTGGGGGCGGTGGGGGTGGTGTTAGTACCCCATCTTGTAGGTCTGAAACACAAAGTGTGGGGTGTCTAGGGAAGAAGGTGTGTGAGCAGGGAGGTCCCCGGCCCAGCTCCCATCCCAGAACCCAGCTCACCTACCTTGAGAGGCTCGGCTACCTCAGTGTGGAAGGTGGGCAGTTCTGGAATGGTGCCAGGGGCAGAGGGGGCAATGCCGGGGCCCAGGTCGGCAATGTACATGAGGTCGTTGGCAATGCCGGGCAGGTCAGGCAGGTAGGATGGAACATCAATCTCAGGCACCTGGCCCAGGTCTGGCACATAGAAGTAGTTCTCTGGGACCTGCAAGATTAGGCAGGGACATGTGAGAGGTGACAGGGACCTGCAGGGGCAGCCAACAAGACCTTGTGTGCACCTCCCATGGGTGGAATAAGGGGCCCAACAGCCTTGACTGGAGAGGAGCTCTGGCAAGGCCCTGGGCCACTGCACCTATCTCCACCTCTGTCCCGCCCCTCCCACCTGCTGTTCCAGCTGCTCTCTCTTGCTGATGGACAAGGGGGCATCAAACAGCTTCTCCTCTGTCTCTGCCCCCAGCATCACATGGGTCTTTGTTACAGCACCAGCCAGGGGGTCCAGGAAGACATACTTCTTGTACCTACAGAGGCGACATGGGGGTCAGGCAAGCTGACACCCGCTGTCCTGAGCCCATGTTCCTCTCCCACATCATCAGGGGCACAGTGTGCACTGTGGGGTCCCAGGCCTCCCGAGCCGAGCCACCCCAGTCACCCCCTGGCTCCTGGGCTATGTGCTGTACCTGTGTCTGATGCCCTGGGTCCCCACTAAGCCAGGCCGGGCCTACCGCCCACACCCCTCGGCCCTGCCTTCTGGCCATACAGGTTCTCGGTGGTGTTGAAGAGCAGCAAGGAGCTGACAGAGCTGATGTTGCTGGGAAGACCCCCAAGTCCCTCTTCTGCATCGTCCTCGGGCTCTGGCTTGGTGCTCACGCACACAGGAAAGTCCTTCAGCTTCTCCTGGGAGGGCCAGGATGGCCAAGGGATGGTGAATATTTGGTGCTGGGCCTAATCAGCTGCCACCCCATCCCAGTCAGCCTCCTCTGGGGGACAGAACCCTTGGTGGCCCCGGCTCCTCCCCAGTATCCAGTCCTCCTGGTGTGTGACAGGCTAAGTTATGTGCGCAGCCAGCAGACTTGCAGGGCCCGCTCGTCCAGGGGGCGCTGCTTGCTCTGGATCCTGTGGCGGGGGCGTCTCTGCAGGCCAGGGTCCTGGGCGTCGGTGAAGATGGAGCCATATTCCTGCAGGCGCTCTGGAGCAGGGTACTTGGCACTGGAGAACACCTGTGGACACAGGGACAAGTCTGAGGGGGCCCCAAGAGGCTCAGAGGGCTAGGATTGCTTGGCAGGAGAGGGTGGAGTTGGAAGCCTGGGCGAGAAGAAAGCCCAAGGTACAGGTGGGCAGCAGGGCAGAGACTGGGCAGCCTCAGAGGCACGGGGAAATAGAGGGACTGCCCAGTAGCCTCAGGACACAGGGGCATGGGGACTACCTTGATGGCCTTCTTGCTGCCCTTGATCTTCTCAATCTTGGCCTGGGCCAAGGAGACCTTCTCTCCAATGGCCTGCACCTGGCTCCGGCTCTGCTCTACCTGCTGGGAGATCCTGCCATGGAGAAGATCACAGAGGCTGGGCTGCTCCCCACCCCCTGCACACCTCCTGCTTCTAACAGCAGAGCTGCCAGGCCAGGCCCTCAGGCAAGGGCTCTGAAGTCAGGGTCACCTGCTTGCCAGGGCCGATCTTGGTGCCATCCAGGGGGCCTCTACAAGGATAATCTGACCTGCAGGGTCGAGGAGTTGACGGTGCTGAGTTCCCTGCACTCTCACTAGGGACAGGCCCTATGCTGCCACCTGTACATGCTATCTGAAGGACAGCCTCCAGGGCACACAGAGGATGGTATTTACACATGCACACATGGCTACTGATGGGGCAAGCACTTCACAACCCCTCATGATCACGTGCAGCAGACAAAGTGACCTCTGCAGAGGGGGAACGGAGACCGGAGGCTGAGACTGGCAAGGCTGGACCTGAGTGTCGTCACCTAAATTCAGACGGGGAACTGCCCCTGCACCTAGTGAACGGCTCACTGAGCAAACTCTGAGTCCCGACCACCGCCTCAGTGTGGTCTAGCTCCTCACCTGCTTCCATCCTCCCTGGTGCGGGGTGGGCCCAGTGATATCAGCTGCCTGCTGTTCCCCAGATGTGCCAAGTGCATTCTTGTGTGCTTGCATCTCATGGAACGCCATTTCCCCAGACATCCCTGTGGCTGGCTCCTGATGCCCGAGGCCCAAGTGTCTGATGCTTTAAGGCACATCACCCCACTCATGCTTTTCCATGTTCTTTGGCCGCAGCAAGGCCGCTCTCACTGCAAAGTTAACTCTGATGCGTGTGTAACACAACATCCTCCTCCCAGTCGCCCCTGTAGCTCCCCTACCTCCAAGAGCCCAGCCCTTGCCCACAGGGCCACACTCCACGTGCAGAGCAGCCTCAGCATTCACCGGGCACGAGCGAGCCTGTGTGGTGCGCAGGGATGAGAAGGCAGAGGCGCGACTGGGGTTCATGAGGAAGGGCAGGAGGAGGGTGTGGGATGGTGGAGGGGTTTGAGAAGGCAGAGGCGCGACTGGGGTTCATGAGGAAAGGGAGGGGGAGGATGTGGGATGGTGGAGGGGCTGCAGACTCTGGGCTAGGGAAAGCTGGGATGTCTCTAAAGGTTGGAACGAATGGCCTAGAATCCGACCCAATAAGCCAAAGCCACTTCCACCAACGTTAGAAGGCCTTGGCCCCCAGAGAGCCAATTTCACAATCCAGAAGTCCCCGTGCCCTAATGGGTCTGCCCTGATTACTCCTGGCTCCTTGTGTGCAGGGGGCTCAGGCATGGCAGGGCTGGGAGTACCAGCAGACACTCAAGCGGCTTAAGTGTTCCATGACAGACTGGTATGAAGGTGGCCACAATTCAGAAAGAAAAAAGAAGAGCACCATCTCCTTCCAGTGAGGAAGCGGGGCCACCACCCAGCGTGTGCTCCATCTTTTCTGGCTGGGGAGAGGCCTTCATCTGCTGTAAAGGGTCCTCACCCTGACCCTGACCCTCACCCTGACCCTGACCCTAAAACCCTGACCCTAAAACCCTGACCCTAACCCTGACCCTGACCCTAACCCTGACCCTGACCCTAACCCTGACCCGGACCCTGAACCCTAATCCGGACCCTGAACCCTAACCCGGACCACTGAACCCTAACACCGACCCTGAACCCTAACCCCGACCCTCACCCTGACCCTCACCCTACCCTGACCCTCACCCTGACCCTGACCCTGACCCTCACCCTGACCCTGACTCTGACCCTGACCCTGACCCTGACTCTAACCCTAACCCTGACCCTGACCCTGACCCTGACCCTGACCCTTGACCCTGACCCTGACCCTGACCCTTGACCCTGACCCCGATTTCATTCATTTGATCTTCAATCACTGATACCCTTTCTTCCAGTTGATCGCATCGGCTACTAAAGCTTGTGCATTCGTCACATAGTTCTCGTGCCATGGTTTTCACCTCCATCAGGACTTCTCTGCATTGGTTATTCTAGTTAGCCATTCATCTAATCTTTTTTTCAAGGTCTTTAACTTCTTTGCACTGGGTTCGAACTTCGTCCTTTAGCTCGGAGAAGTTTGATCATCTGAAGCCTTCTTTTCTCAACTCGTCAAAGTCATTCTCCGTCCACCTTTGTTCCATTGTTGGTGAGGAGCTTTGTTCCTTTGGAGGAAGAGAGGCGCTCTGATTTTTAGAATTTTCAGTTTTTCTGCTCTGTTTTTTCCCTATCTTTGTGGTTTTATCTACCTTTGGTCTCTGATGATGGTGACGTACAGATGGGGTTTTTGTGTGGATGTCCTTTCTGTTTGTTAGTTTTCCTTCTAACAGTCAGGACCCTCAGCTGCAGGTCTGTTGGAGTTTGCTGGAGGTCCACTCCAGACCCTGTTTGCCTGGGTATCAGCAGTGGAGGCTGCAGAAGAGTGAATATTGCTGAACACCAAATGTTGCTGCCCGATCGTTCCTCTGGAAGCTTGGTCTCAGAGGGGTACCCGGCAATGTGAGGTGTCAGTCTGCCCCTACTGGGGGGTACCTCCCAGATAGGCTACCCGGGGGTCAGGGACCCACTTGAGGAGGCAGTTTGTCTGTTCTCAGATCTCAAACTCCGTGCTTGGAGAACCACTACTCTCTTCAAAGCTGTCAGACAGGGACATTTAAGTCTGCAGAGATTTCTGTTGCCTTTTGTTCGACTATGCCCTGCCCCCAGAAGTGGAGTCTACAGAGGCAGGCAGGCCTCCTTGAGCTGTGGTGGGTTCCACCCAGTTCAAGCTTCCCAGCCACTTTGTTTACCTACTCAAGCCTCAGCAATGGCGGGCACCCCTCCACCAGCCTTGCTGCCACCTTGCAGTTCAATCTCAGACTGCTGTGCTAGCAATGAGCGAGGCTCCGTGGGTGTGGGACCCTCCGAGCCAGGCGTGGGATATAATCTCCTGGTGTGCGGTTTGCTAAGACCGTTGGAAAAGCGCAGTATTAGGGTGGGAGTGACCCTATTTTCCAGGTGCCATCTGTCACAGCTTCCCTTGGCTAGGAAAGGGAATTCCCTGACCCCTTGTGCTTCCCGGGTGAGGCGATGTCTCGCCCTGCTTCGGCTCAAGCTTGGTGGGCTGCACCCACTGTCTGACAAGCCCCAGTGAGATGAACCCAGTACCACAGTTGGAAATGCAGAAATCACCCATCTTCTGCGTCACTCAGGCTGGGAGCTGTAGACTGGAGCTGTTCCTATTCCATGTCTTTATCTTTTAATTGGGTTGTTTTTCTTCTTGTTGAGTATTAGAATGTCTTTGTATATTTTGCATGCAAGTCTTTTTTTCAGGCTTGTTTTATAAATATTTTCTCTCAGTGTGTGCCTTATTTTTTGATTCTCTTAGCAGGATATTTCACAGAGTAGTCATTTTAAATTTTAATGATGTCCAAATTATCATTTTTTTTCTTTTATGGACTGGCTTTTGGTATTGTATCTAAGAACTCATCACCAACCCAAAGTCACGTGGATTTTCTTCTATAAAACTTTTACAATTTTATATTTGATCATTTAAGGCTACAGACTATCTTGAGTGATTTTTTGGGGGTGAGCTATGAAGTTTTTGTCCACATTCAGTGTTTTCCGTATGGTTTCCGATTGTCTATTGCCATTTGTGGAACAGACTTTTCTTTCCCCAGTGAATTGCTTTTGCCCCTTTGACAAAATCAATTGAATGTATTTACTCGGGTTTTTTGGGTTCTGTATTGTGTTCTGTTGAGCTGTTTGTCCATTCCTTCACCAATATCACTCTCTTCATTGCTTTAGCTTTGTGGTAAAGCTAACAATAATGAGTGTACTGCTCCTAAACAAGGAGTATCTGCATTTATTTAATATTTTTTATTCTTCTCAACCGTGATCTAAAGTTTTCTGAATGCATATTTGTATGTATTTTGTTAGATTTATACCTAATAAATTAAATTTTGGGAATGCTATTGTAAATGGTATTTTTTTCAAATTTCAAGTTCAAATTATTCCTATACATTATTGCTGATGATAGAAAGAAAATCAGGCAGTGTGTGGTGGCTCACGCCCGTAATCCTAGCACTTTGGGAGGCCTAGTTGGGAGGATCATTTGAGCTTGGGAGTTCTAGACCAGCCTGGGCAACATAGTTAGACCTGCCCCGCCCATAAAAAATAAAATAATAAATAAAGGAAAATCAGGTGGTGCCGGACACAGTTGTTCACACCTGTAATCCCAGTGTGTTGGGAGGCTGAGGCTGGAGAATTTCTTGAACCCGGGAGCTGGAGGCTGAACTCGGGAGCTGTGATTACACCACTGCACTTCAGCATGGGTGACAGAGCGAGACCCTGTCTCTTAAAGAGAAAAGAAAGAAAATCAATTAAGTTTTGCCTACTGGCCATCTTTTTTTTGAGATGGAGTTTGGCTCTGTCACCCAGGTTGGAGTGCAGTGACATGATCTTGGCTCACTGCAACCTGCGCCTCCTGGGTTCGAGCAATCCTCCTGCCTCAGCCTCCTGAGTAGCTGGGATTACAGGCACGTGCCGCCATGCCCAGCTAATTTTTGTATTTTTAGTATAGACGCGGTTTCACCATGTTAGCCAGGCTGGTCTCAAACTCTGGACCTGAAGTAATCCGCCCGCTTCAGCCTCCCAAAATGCTGGGATTACAGGCATGAACTGGCCATCTTCTTTGCTTCCTTGCTCCATGAGTTCCGATCAAGGCATGGGATGGTGGGCTCCATTTCAGTCGTAATTTCCAAAATCCACAGCCTGGAAAAATCTAGACGCTGATTTTCAGAGACTCCCCATGGCTGCCGCAAGGGGGCGCATGGCCCCTGGCAACTCGGGGCGCCGTGCACGCACCGCGTCTCATCCACACAGCGGCAGTCACTTTGCGGCCACTATGAGGACTGAGCTTCCTCTCCCCAGGACCCGCATGGGAGAGACCGCGGCTTCGAGACACCTGGGGACACCTGGGGACACCTGGGGCGGCGTCCGCGGTGAGGACTGGGAGACGCTGCTGCATCTCCGGGACACCACTTGGGGCCGAGGCCAAGGTGAGGAAAAGGCTTCCCGCCCCCGCTGTGAGTGTGGCGGAGCGAGCGCGGCTGCATTTCCCGTCGTGCACTTTGTAGCAGGACCTCACTTTGTAGGAGATTCCCCTTCATGGAGGCTTGGGCGGGTCACCCCCAGTGCAGGCCAAGATGCAGGTTACGGATGTGAGTTTCTTTCTGGGAAGAGACCCTGGTACCGGGAGAGGAGGAAGAACGCGGAGACGCTGTCGGGAGATCAGCCTGAGGCCGAGGAAACAGGCCCCTGGGATCAGTGCTGGATGTTTGTTTTTGATTTTGTTTTTTGCTTTTTGTTTTTTTTTTTTTTTTTTTTTTTTTGGAGACGGCGTCTCGCTCTGTCACCCAGGCTGGAGTGCAGTGGCGCAATCTCCGCTGACTGCAACCTCTGCCTCCATGGTTCAAGCGATTCTCCTACCTCAGCCTCCCAAAGCTGGCACTACAGGAGCAGGCCACCATGTCCAGCTAATTTTTATATGTTTTGTAGAGACGGGGTTTCACCACGTTGAGCAGGATGATCTCAATCTCCTGACCTCGTGATCTGCCCGCCTCGGCCTCCCAAAGTGCTGGGATTACAGGTGTGAGCCACCATGCCCTGCCCTCTTTCTTTTTGAGAGGAAGCCTCACTCTGTCGACTAGGATGGAGTGCAGGTGTGCAATCTCTGCTCACTGCAACCTCCGCTTCCTGGGCTCAAGCGATTCTCCTCCCTCAGCCTCCCAAGTAGCTGGGACTACATACAGTTGTGCGCCACGGCGCCCAGCTAATTTTTTTTTTTTTTTTTTTTTTTGTATTTTTAGTAGAGACGGGGGTTTCACCATGTTGGCCAGGTTGGTCTCGAACTCACTGAGCTCAAGTGATCCTCCTGCCTCGGCCTCCTAAAGTGCTGGGATTACAGGCGTGAACTGGCCATCTTCTTTGCTTGCTGTCTCCATGGGTTTCGATCGGGGCACGGGATGGTGGGCTCCATGTCAGTTGAAATTTCCAAAATCACGGCATGGAAAAATCCAAACGCTAATTTTCAGGGATTCTCCACGGCTGCCATTAGGGGGCCCGGCCAAACCCGGAGCGCCACAGTAGAACTGCGTCTGATCCGTACAGCGGCATCCCTGGGTGTGAGGACTGTGAGGACGGAGTTTTCTCTCCTCAGGACCCACCCAGGAGGGGCCATGGCTTCGAGACACCTGAGGACACCTGGGGCCACGTCCGCGATGAGGACATCTCTGGGACACCTGGGGCTGCATCTCCGGGACACCTGGGGCTGACCCTGGTACGGGGAAAGGAGGAGGAACACAGAGACGCCCTCGTGAGGTCGGGGACCAGCAGGCACCACAGTCTAAGGCCAATGAAACAGGCGCCCCTAGATGAGTGCTCGGTGTTTGTTTTGTTTTGTTTTCTTTTGAGAAGGAGTTTCGCTCTTGCTCCCCAGGCTGGAGTGCGATGTCGCGATCTCGACTCACTGCAACCTCTGCCTCCCGGGTTCAAGCGATTCTCCTGCCTCAGCCTCCCGAGTAGCTGGGATTACAGTCATGCGCCATCACGCCCGGCTAATTTTGTAGTTTTAGTAGAGACGGTGTTTCTCCATGTTGATCAGGCTGGTCTCGAACTCCTGATCTCAGGTGATCCACCCACCTCGGCCTCCCAAAGTGCTGGAATTACAGGCGTGACCCACTGGGCCCGGCCAGTGCTTTGTGTTTTAAGGCTCTTTTGTTAACGCAGTGGAAACAACACAGGAAATGGAAAAGCAGGCACATTATCATTCTCAGGCCACTGCATTTAGCCTGGGCGACAGAGCGAGACCTTGTCTCAAAAAACAAAAACAAATGAAAACAAAAACAAACCATTTTGTGTGTCTAATGGAAGTGACCTCGTCAACAACAGTCTTTTGTTGAGAAAGTCTGTTTAATTGGCAGTGTATTTGTAATGGTACATAAAATGACGTCTGCTTTATAAGCATTCTCATTCCTATATTAGATGAAATGTATTAACTATATCAAGCTTTGATATTATACCATAAAATTACTTGAAGAAAGTCACTACTCTTTTTTTTCCTTTACCTTGACCATTTTAAATAAAATCATATTTCATTAAGGTTAGTTAATACTGAGCTGTAAATATGTATGGTCCTGGGGTCTTTTCTTTCTTTTTTCCTTTTTTTTTTTTTTTTTTTGAAACGGAGTCTCGCTCTGTCTCCCAGGCTGGAGTGCAGTGGCGCAATCTCGGCTCACCGCAACCTCCACCTCCTGGGTTTGAGCAATTCTCTGCCTCAGCCTCCTAAGTAGCTGGGATTATAGTCACTTACCACCATGCCTGGCTAATTTTTTTTTTTTATATATTTTTAGTAGAGATGGGGTTTCACCATCTTGGCCAGGCTGGTATTGAACTCCTGACCTTGTGGTCCACCCACCTCGGCCTCCCAAAGTGCTGGGATTACAGACATGCGCCACTGCTCCTGGCCTCTTTTCTTTTTTTGACATGGAGTCTCACTTTGTTGCCCAGGCTGGAGTGCAGTGGCGTGATCTCGGCTCACTGCAACCTCTGCCTCCCGGATTCAAGTGATTCTCCTACTTCAGCCTCCCGAGTACCTGGGATTACAGGCCTGAACAACCATGCCCAGCTAATTATTTTTGTATTTTTCATAGAGATGATAGGGTTTTGCCATGTTGCCCAGACTGGTCTCAAACTTCTGGGCTCAAGCAGTCTGCTTGCCTCAGCCTCTCAAAGTGCTGGGATTACAGGCATGAGCCACCATGCCAGGCCTGTCTCATTCCAATAAGGAATTATTAGCTTTTTCTGAGCACCACTGTGTGCAGGTGTCTTGCTCAGGTGAACTCACAGCAGTCTGCTAGGTATGGCTAGCACCCTGTGCAGAGGGGAGGGCCAGGCTTAGGTGACTGAGTGACTCACCTACAAATTACACAGCCTCCAGTGGCTTCACTCTCAGGTTCCAGCCCAGAACCAGCTCTCCAGGGCCCACTCAGGGAAAGTTTATGAGTTGAATGAAGACGTGTCCAGGCCACACAGGAGAGGCATCCCAATTGTGGGTTCGTTTATGTGATCATGAGGTAGCCCAGGTCACACATGGAGCCTCATGAGCCACACAGCCCCTGTTATAAATACACTAGCCCGGGGCTCCCCAGAGCCCAGCTCCAGGAAGTGGATTCACACTAGTATTTTTATACTTGGTTAGAGCTGAGGATGCCTGTACCTCGCTTCCGTCCACACCCCTCCCACTCTCTGGATGCTAAAGATACATTCTGGGGCCTGCCTCGCCCCCACAGACCAGGATCCAGCTCTGCTGAGGCTCCCCACAAAACCCCAGAAGCTCTGCAGGCATGCAGGGTGGGAGGGCTGCCTATCTGAGCCAGAAGGGGCTTTTGCCTTTGGGGGCATCAGGCTACAGGTACTTCTTTCTGCTCAGGTTGCAGGAAGCATGAGAGCACCCAGGAGAGTTGCTCCCTGTAGCTCAGGACCCAGGGAGCTAACAGTCTCCATTTCATCCTGCCTTCAAAACTTCAGCGCTCCCAGCCCCAAAACACTCTTGATGCAGGAAAGGTGAGCCCAGAAATTGGGGTTTAGCACAGGAGGGCTTTTGGCTTCACCCAGGAAAGAATTCAAGGGCGAGTCGGTGGTATTAGAGAGCAACTTTTATTTAAGCAGCTGTGCACAGTGGCAGCAGAGGTACTGCTCCTTATGGAGCAGGGATGCCCCATAGGCAGTGAGCCCAGAGTAGCAGCTCAGAGGCAGTTCTGCACACATATTTATACCCACTTGTAACTATATACAAATTAAGGAGGAGGTTATTTAGAAATTTCTAGAAAAGGGGTGGTAACTTTCAGGTCATTGCCATGGAAAGGGGCAGTAATTTCCAGCTGTTACCATGAGAACGGCAAACTCACTTGGCACCAGTGGGTGTGTCTTATGGAGGGGTGCTTTTGCCTGTTTCAGCTAGTCTGTAATCTGGTCCAGAGTTCAAGCCCTGCCTCAGGAGTCAGGTCCCACCTCCTATCTCAGTCTGGTCACAGCCCTAACTAGGCAGATGATCCCAATGTCAGCCCAAAGCCCAGCAGTCAGGCCCTCCTGTGATCTGCCTGGGGCACCCAGGAAGGGGATGGGGCATGCTGGGATGGGCCATGATGTGTTGGGCCAGAAGTCAGGCCCTCTAGGTTGAAGTCCTAACCCCAGTAGCTGTGAATGTGACCTTATATGGAAATAGTGTCTTTGCAGATGATCAAGTTAAGATTAAATCGTTAGGGCCAGCCTTAATTCACTATTATTGTGATTTTAAAAAGGGGAAATTTGGACACAGAAATGCACACAAGGAAAAATCCCTGTAAAGACTGGAACTTTGGCCAGGCACGGTGGCTCATGCCTGTAATCCCAACACTTTGGGAGGCAGAGACAGACGGATCACTTGATATCAGGAGTTTGAGACCAGCCTGGCCAACATAGCGAAACACCGTCTCTACTAAAAATACAAAAACTAGCCAGGCGTGGTAGCAGGCGCCTGTAATCACAGCTACTCCAAAGGCTGAGGCAGAAGAATTGCTTGAACCTGGGAGGAGGAGGTTGCAGTGAGCCGAGATTGTGCCATTGCACTCCAGCCTGGGCAACAAGAGCAAAACTCCGTCACAAAAACAAAACAAAAGAAAGATTACAGCTTTGGTGTCACAAGCCAAGAAACTAACAGAAGCTGAAGAGAGGCCTGAAACTAATCCTTCCCTAGTGCCTTCAGAGGGAGCATGGCCCTGCTGAGAGAGTATAAATGGGACTCGGCCCACCCCCACTAACGTATTGTTCCATACGTGCCCGCTGACCACTAGACCTTGCAGCACCACCCTCCAGGTGCCATACTCGCTGGCCAGACCTTGCCAACTGTCTGAAATAAACTAAGATAAGCAGCATCCCGCCATAAGTCTTACTGACGGGAGTTGACTCCATCACCTGCTTGTGCACAAGGCCAGGAGAATGACCCTGGTCTTATGATAATACTAAAGTCCTCACCCAGGGAGGGGCTTATCTGCCATTTTCTGATCATGCAACGTATGTGTTAGCATGCGTCTGAGCACCCTTCACTCCACCCCATACGTGCAATGACACTCATGTAGCTCATAAATTATGTATGTCACCCTCCTTAAGACACCACAATGCATTCCCCTTGGGGAGTCAGCCAAGAATTCTTCCTCCTGCACCGTCTCTCTTCTGCCCAAACTTTCGGGGCATAAGACTTAATAAAGTCTTGTCTGGGAAGCTTCCTTGGCCTCATATCAACTTCTGTTTCATGGGAGCCCAAGAACATGTGGTTGGGAACACTGCCAACATCTTTATTTCCAACTTCTGGACTTCAGAATTGTGAGACAACAAATCTCTGTGGTTCTAAGCTAACCATTTTGTGGCACTTTGTTACGACAGCCCTAGGAAACAAACGCAGGCACGTTCTGCTCCAACTGCCACTCTCTCCAGACCACAGCTCCTCCACAAGCCCACCCCATGAGAGGCTGAGGACAGAAGCAGGACCCTTCACAGGCCACCATCACTGCTGGATGGTCACCCCCAGCACTGACTGTCTGGAAGCTCCAGGCTCAGCTCTCAGTTTCCTGGAGCAAGTGGGAGGATGAGGACAAGGAGGAACGAGGGCACTGGCCTCCCAGGAATTGTCCCTGAGCCTCCATCCTGCTGTCCTGAAGCTGCCCCTGAACCTCCAACTTGCTGTCCCCAGAACTGTCATTGAGCCTACACCATGCTATCTCTAGAGCCCGGAAAGCCCAGGGCTGGACAAACCCCACCCCTCACTCCTCCTCTGGCCCCTTCTCCCAGCCATCAACACTTTGGAACAGCCATCAAGCCCCTTTTAATCTCTAGAAAGGTGCCTCAGTAAGGCACAGAGAGGTCACACCAGGTGGTCATGGTGCCTTACCTGTGTCCACTGGGCCCAGGCTGGCCCTTTAAGGGTATGAGGGCAGAACAGCTGAGAGACCACACCCCACTTCTCAGAGAGGTCAGGGATAAAGAAAAGGGACAATGGAAGGAAGAACTTGTGGCCAGGATGCTGAGGGTAGAGGCTGCTCCCCACAGGCACTGAGCAGAGGGGTTGAGGGGGGAGCCTCCAGCCTCCATCCAGACAGGACCTCTGACCGCTGCTAGGGGCCCCTTCTCAGGAGGTTCAGTCTCAGACAAGGGCTCCAGAAACTTCAGTCCATTTTCCCAAAATGGACATGATGCATCTGGCGAGTCAGGGACCTAGAATGTCCAGGACCGAGCCTTGCTGAGGACAGAAGGGAGCAACATGCCCTGGAGGTCCTCATGCAGCCCAGGCCTCTGGCAGTGACCAGCCAGCACCCAGGCAACTCCTTGCTGGGTCTCCAGGCCCTGATGGTCACAAGAAAGGCCACAGGCCAGGGCTGGGATGGGCCCAGAGCTCTGTGTGTTTCCTGGGAGGGCTGAGAGGTGCCATCCCCCATAGCAGCCCAAGGCACAGTAGTTGTTGTTGTTGCTGCTGCTGCTGCTGCTGCTCCTGCTCCTGCTGCCCTCTGAGTCTGGGGGAGCCGGCCTAGTCAGGGACGTGGGGGCCCAGTCCTCCTGTGGCAGATAGGCAAGCGTCTGTACCCTCCACTCCGTACACCCTGCTGGCAGCACATCCTCTGAGCTCAGGTTCCCCGGGAGCCTGGTCCCAGGGCCCTCCTGTTCCTCCTCCAGGGCCACAGATTTCCAAGGATGCGCTGGGCCACAAGTGAGCAGTGCAGTGGCCTCCTGGACGCAGGGCTCCAAGGCTCCCTGTGGGGTGCCAGCACAGTCCTGGCTCAACAGCACACCGGCCCTGTGGGCCCCCATCCAAGTCTGGAACAGAGCACGGGAGGAGGGAAAGGCTCAGGCAGCATGTTTAGAACTCATCCTGGGAGCAGCTGCCTCCTTTCTGGCAAGCCCAGCATCCCTCCTCCTCCAGGAAGCCCTCCTGAGGTCCACACCCAGAGGCCAAGCAGCGCCTGTGTCTTGGACATTCTGTCTTTCCTCCATGTGCCAGCCCAGCCTCATCACGGGACCCTGAGTCCCTTCAGGCTCCTCAGCACTCCCCCAGCACAGGGCCTGGTGCCCACGGCAGCCTGAACCAAGGTACAGATGGTGATATCTGCCCAGGACAGAGCCAGCTCCTGACAGCATGTGCCTCAGGGCCTTTCAGCAGCTGCAGAGACTGGGCATTCCCAACACACACACACACACACACAAACATACACAAACACACACACACACAGAGACACACACACACACAAACACACACAGATACACACAGACACACACACACGAGACACACACACAAACACACACAGACATAAACACACACAGACACACACACATATACACACACACACAGACATACACACACACACACACAGACACACACACGAACACACACAGACACATAAACACACACACACACACACACAGACACACACACGAATCGCTGTCAGGACTGGTGACTTTCAAAGCACTCGGCTATGGCCAGCAGACCTGGATCCTTCTGTGGGGCCACAGGAGGCCCCCGCCTCCAAAAGGAAGCTGTTCCCTTGGTGGGACCAGGAGCCTCCATCCCATGCATCACACACACAACACCCTCCATCACTGCAGTGCTCCCTGGAGACCAACCTATGGCACCAGATCCTCACCCGCGGGTCTAAATAACCCGTGGCAGGTGTCCTAGTTCTCTAGGGAACAGCTGGTGCCCGCAACAGGATGACAGTCCAGGGAACAGTCACAATCTGACCTGCTCAGCCTTGTCGTCAGCTGCCCAGACTCCTGACAGTCACATCTACCACCTTGGGGAAAGAGGGAGACTCTGCCAAGAGCCAGATGCCCGGTTCATGGTTCAAATTATATTTTTGGACAAAAATCTTGAAAACTAGGCTCCTCATTGAGAGAGAAAAGGATTTTTCTGCATAGTAAGCTGGAGCCACAGTGTGAAGGGGACAGGGAGGGAAGATTCTGGAGAAGAGTGGTCAGCTTGGCCCAGACCCCAGGGAGGGGCCCTCACTGCCTCTTGTCCTTTGCCCAAAGTGAGGAGTCTGAGGGGAAAAACCAGAGACCACTCACTGGAGCTCTCCCTCTCCCCCTCCTCCCACCCAGGGGGCATGAACCAACAGCCCAGCAGGGAGGGGAGGGGCTGATGCAACCCCCAAGTTGCTCACTGGTGCCTGGGCTGTAGGAGCCCAACATGAGTGGAAGGGGGGGAAGTGCAGAGCCCACTCCTCAGCTGTGGTGCCATCATGTGATCCGGGGAGACCAGGGGACCAGGCAGAGCAGGAGCCCAGAGGCAGTGAGAGCCCCAAGGGCAGCACACACACCACAGACCCTTCCCCATGGCCACAGGACAGACACCTTCGCAGAAGGAGGAGGTGAGGCACATGGTGGGTGCAGAAAGCTGCAAACCAGAGGGGACAGAGATAAGTCATGAGAAATTTACATTTTTTCAATCAACAATGGAACTAGAGACCTGAGAACAAAAAGAAATCAGCAATGGAAAATAAAGCTAATTTTTCCCCATTTGAGATCCGCGTATAAATTGAAATTCACTGAATATACAAAAAAGGCTCCAAGCACTGACAAGCCTCCCATACTGGCCGCCAACCCTCATGAAAGCCAACATCTTGGGCAGGCCAGAGCTCTGGGCAACCCCTGCCCCCCATGTCCTGCTGTGGTCTCTGCACACACCTGGAAGTTCCCATTGTGTACACTGTAGAGGGGCTGGAAGAACATCGCTGGAGAGGGCACGTTCTGGTAGAAGATTCTCTTCACCCTGAGGCCAAGAGAGGCCAGTCAGAGGCCTATGGCGACCCAGGTGGCCTGAGGTCACTGCAGAGGCTGAGCTTCCTTCCATCAGCAGGAGGCCCACCTCGTCCCTGCCACTGCCTCTCTCCCATCTCATCACATTCCAACCCACTCTCAGGGCAGGACCCAACTGGGCCTCCTTGCCTAACGGCCGCATAGAACTGATTTATACTGAGGCGCGCGTCCTTTACAGCGTGAGCTGCGATGGCGGGTTCAGAACGGGGAGTTACTAGCTGGGTCCTCAGATCACAGAGGGAGCCAGCACCTCCAGGAACCCTGTCTTTGCCATCAGCAGAAGGTCTGTGGCTCCCACCCCACCCAGTGTCTCCCTGAGCACCAGACTTGCTGCCAAGGATCCACTGACCCTCCCACAAGGATGTCACCTGGGGCTCCAACCCAACAGGTGCAAATAGACCTCGCCAACCTCCCCGCAAGGCTGTGCCCCATTTCCCCACCTCAGGGTTCACCACTCATATCTCATCCACCCACATGTCCCTTCTATTTCCCCTCATGAGACCCTGCAATTCTCTCCACTTTTCTCTATCTCCACTTCTTTCACTGGCTCATGCCAAATCGTCTCCCTGTGGGCACCTCACTGGCCCCCATTGGCCTCCAGCAGGTCCCCCATGTCCCCTTGTCCCAGCAATCTATTCCTCAAAACATAAACTAGGTTGTGTCACACAGTTTTACACTTTCCTTTGCTCCAAGGAGAAGCGAAGCACCCTCCCACTTAGCCCCAC
This sequence comes from Homo sapiens, assembly GCF_000001405.40. Taxonomy (NCBI): domain Eukaryota; kingdom Metazoa; phylum Chordata; class Mammalia; order Primates; family Hominidae; genus Homo; species Homo sapiens. The sequence continues at coordinate 32,656 of NC_000016.10, forward strand.
CCAACACCCCTCTCCCCACACCCTCTTCCTCACATCCTCGGCCTGACATGGCCCCTGCACTCCCTCTTGTAACCTGACATGTGGTGCATGAGGCGTGACGGTTTATTTAAGGAGGGTCCTTGTCCATCTTGTTCTCTAAGGCATCGGCCAGGGTGAGAAGAGGGTCCTGTGTACACCAGATGCCCCAACTGACCTTTCATATAACGTGTGAACAAATGAACAAACCAAGCTCCTCCAGAGGCAGGAGACTAGGACCTCCGGCTCTTGATCTCGGTGACTCTGGGTCTGGTCGGGACCAAGCTGCCCTTATCTTCAGCCTCTGCCTCAGACCCCCCTTCCCTGCTCTCCCCTGGCAAGTTGAGAACCCTCTTCTGGACCAGGGTGGAGACTCGAAAAGCCCACCCCGTCCAGGTCCAGGCAGTGGAGAGGGGAGGGGAGGAACCAGACAAGGGCGGCCCTTGACGGCCCACCCACCACACACTCACACATGCACACAGTCACACATCTGCACACATACACTAACATGCACACTCTTGCCCGCTCACACATGTACACACACGCACACATCAGCCACCTACCTGGGCGACAGCTTGAACAGGAGGTAGGTCGGGCCAGTCAGCAGGAGAAAGATGGACACAGCAACAAGGGTGTTGCCTGGCCACCCCCAGGGTGGGATCAGAGGGCCCGTGGGCAGGAAGGGCCCAGGGCTGTGAGCAGCCTCAGTGCCAGGAGGCTCCCCCCAAACCCACCTGGCAAAGGTGCGCCCTTTAGTGCCCTGGGCCAAAGTGGAAGGTTTGTGATGAGCCTTGGAGGTTTGTGTCATCTGCTGAAGGACCTTGTGATGGGCCTTGGAGGTTTGTGTCATCTGCTGAAGGACCTTGTGATGGGCCTTGGAGGTTTGTGTCACCTGCTGAAGGACCTTGTGATGGGCCTTGGAGGTTTGTGTCACCTGCTGAAGGACCTTGTGTGAGCCCCACTCCTGGGCCTCACTCTTCCCATCTGCCACATGGTGGGTCATAAGGTCCCTGGGCCGTCTCAGCACTGCAGTGCGCAAGGGTCAGCCCAGCCCTCACTAAGGACACTGAGGTCATGTCCAGCCTCCAGGCAGGAGCACCAGCCCTGGTGTGCAGCCCTGCCACCCTCACTGCTAAGAGGAGCCACTGACTATGGGTTCCCAGGAAGCCCCAGAGTTGGCAGGTGTTTGTTTCCTCCCTGCAGACCTCAGAGCTTCCGAGGAAGGGGGTCAAAGTGGGGCATGGCTGCCTCAGGGAGGGCCTTCCAGGAGGCTGAAAGGGTGCAGGGGTGAGGTGATCAGGGGAGAGGATGCCCAGCCCAGACTCTGGAAGTGCAGCAGCCGTAGCAGCGACCACCTTGTCTCTGGGGAGCCTGGAAGCACACGGGCTGGCTACACTCGCTCCACTGGCCTGTGTAACGCTCCTCCTGTGCCCCGTCATCCTCCAGCATGGCCATCTGGACACGCAGCCCGGCCTCATGGATAAAGCCAGGGTCCAGCTCAAAGGCTCCAAGTATGAGCCAGGTCACCCCAACGATGTGATCCCTGTGCTGGGCCCACTGTGGGGGTGGCGACAGTTAGCAGGTGCTGAAGGTGGGGCTGGGTCCCCCTCGAGAATACACACACGCACACGCTCACATAACACACAGGAACACATCTGTGTTCACACAAGCACACTCAGCAGGTTCATGTGCACACACACACGGAGAAGGCACACTCACAGTCACACGCAGACACAGCTGCGTTTGCCCACAAATACACATAGGCACACACAGGCAAACGTGTCTACAGGCACTTTCACACTCATCACACTTGCATCACACTCATAAACACAAGTGTGTGCACAGAAGCAACTCACCACACTCACACACACACTCATACCTGTAGGCATGCCCAAGTGCACTCACGTATACAACCACGAGGCACACACTCATGTACAAACACAAACACGGGCACACTTACATGTGCACACACATAAACACAGGAGCACTCACCCTACTCACATACACACACGAGGCACACACATGTGCATGTCAGCATGTGCACACACACGTCTGGCTCTAGCTCCTCCCCTCCTCTTCACCCCAAGTTGACCTCTCCTTATTTAGAGTGGGGAGCCTGCCCTGGACTGCTGCTCCCAGGAGGGAGGCCCCCAGGGGAAGCCAGCCAAAGCGTTACCTCCCAGGCCTCTTCCTGCCTCTCGAAGGCCATAGGTCATAGCTGAGAAGTGTGGTCCTCGACTCCAAGGCAGGACCGATGCTCCAGGTCAGGATGCAGTGGCTAGAGCTGATGTTGCCCTGCAAGTCAGAGTGGGTCCAGCTTCACTGGAACAGAGTGAGTCTACGTAAGGCTGAAGCCCCATAGGTCTGGGTGTGTCAGTCAGCACATCCAAGACCGGGGATCTGAAAGATTCCCAAGGGGCATGGTCAAGGCCCTCTCAGACCAGGCACCTCACTGGGAGACTGGTCCAGAAAACCTTCGGGAGGGACAGGACAGCAATGACTTCCTCTGGCCTCTGCAGCTAGACTAGGTGGTTTCTAAATCTTGCTTCCCCTTTCCTTCACAGTCTGCTGCTGGCAGTCCTTCCTGGTATGACCGAAGTGCATTTCACATGACTCAAGTGCCAGCCCCTGCCCCAACTAGCAGCCCTGCATCTTTATTTTCTACAAAACCCTGCCCCTGCCGTCACCACGTCGGCCCTCCCCTCCCAGGGGCCAAGCCTGCCCCCAGCCCTGGATCTCACTTGGCTGGGACTGAGAACACTCACTGGGCCTCAGGGGTCACAGGCTGCAGGGCCCTGCTCCCAGCCCCCAGGCAGCCAGGATGTTCTTGCCAAAGGGCCCTGCCCCAGGCCTATAGCCGCTGCTCACCGTGTCTCCAGGGCAGGTACTCCGGGTCCACCAGGCTGACCTGCTCCCTCCCAGACACGCATTTGGAAAGTGATGATGCAACTGTCGGACGGCAGGAGCACTGCCTCGGGCGGCAGCACGACGGTGCACTCACTGCCTCGCAAGGTGCACTTACGTGTGCCACCAGGAGCCTGGTTGCTGGAAAGGGCATGTGTCAGCACCACGGGGCTGCTACACTATCCTGGCATATCTGCTGCCATCCTGGGGACCTCACCCTCATCCCTGTCCAGGTGGGCATGGCCCTCCAAGGTCACCTGGTGAAGAGGAGCCCGGGGCTGGAGCCCTGTCCCAGCTCTGGGGCAGACCAGTGGCAATCGATCCTGAGAATGTTGTTGGTGAGGCAGGTGGAGGTTCCAGCCCTTGGCCCTGGAGACAGTGACGGTCGGGAGCCCACAGTGAGTGCTCGAGGGCAGAGCTGAGTTGGGGGGTTGCGGGGGGATCTGACAGCTGACACCCTAGCAGGGCAGTCACCAGTGAATGATCCCAGAATCTGTCCAAGAAAGCACTGAGAGGCCTGGGAAGTGATGGGCTCTGACCCGTGGTACACAGGCAAGTCAGACCCAGAGAGGCGTCAAGAGGGTGAAGGAAGGGAGACTAAGGTCTGTCCAGGGACTGAAGATAGGGAGGTAAAGGAAGCAAGAATAGAGACTGAGGTCCAGGCTGAACCCTAGAGGACATGCCCCAGCACAGTTTGGGCCAAACCTTTCCCTAGGGTCTCAACATCGGACAAACCAGTCCCCCAAACATGCCCTAGTTCTCCACACACCTCATACAGACACTAGTGCCCAGCCCTCACCTCGTCCATCCCCCGAGACAGAGACTCCCGAGCAGACACAGGTGCAGACGCAGGTGCAGGCCAGGAGCCAGGTGCCCATGTCTTGCCTCAGGGCCTCACTCTCCAAGGTCCAGCCTGCAAGGGGCTGGGCTGAGGGCCTGTGCGAGCCATCCCTCTCTGGAGGGGTGCTCCCCATGAATTGCTCCCCAGCGGAGTGCTCAGCGGGTCTCCATCTGCACTCACACAGTGTCCTGTGAAAGACGCTGGGCACCACTGCCCAGGGTTTACTGATAAGGAACTGAAGCTCAGAAAGGCCGATTGACCCAGCTGCAGACTCGTGGCTGCAGGGTGTCAGATGCACCCTCAAACTTTGATCCGGACTCTGACTTAGCCAGGTCTCCACGTCCACCAAGAAGGCTCCTCTCTAGGACGGGCACCCTCTGCCAGCCCATGCCCTGTCCCTGGGCCCAGGCCCCATTCTGCAGGAGGGGTCAGGATTGGGGGAACCAGTCACTCCTTACAACCACCACAGGTGCATTTTCAATGAAAATTCTCACAACAGCGCTGTAAGGAAGAAGCACTGTCCCCGTTCACAGGCTGAGTCCCAAGGAGTGAAGCAGGGAAAATGACTTGCCCAGGGTCACACAGATGGCCTCTATGCATTCTTTTTTTCTTCTCTCTCTCTTTCTTTTTTTCTTCTCTGTCTCTCTCTTTTTTTTTTTTTTTTTTGAGACGGAGCTCCCTCTGTTGCCCAGGCTGGAGGCTGGAGTGCAGTGGCGTGATCTCGGCTCACTGCAACCTCCGACTCCTGGGTTCAGGTGATTCTTCTGCCTCAGCCTCTCAAGTAGTTGGGATTACAGGTGCACACTGCCACCCAGTTAATTTTTTTTGTATTTTTAGTAGAGACGGTTTCACCGTGTTGGCCAGGCTGGTCTCAAACCCGTGACCTCAAGTGATCCACCAGCCTCGGCCTCCCAAAGTCCTGGGATTACAGGAGTGAGCCACCATGCCTAGCCTCTATGCCTTCTCTCTCCCTTTTGTCTTAAATAAAGACCCATCCCAGGATTCTGCCCCAGGAAGGTGGACGAAAGTGGCAGTGGGGTATCGATGCAACAGACAGCACTTCCAGAGCTCTGTTGTACCCCTGTTCCAAGATGCCTCCAAGCGAGAGTACACCAGAAGGGCAAAGCCCTCTATGCTGGAGTGTTAGGCCTGAGCCCCAAGATTCCTGGGGTAGCCAGAGGCTGGCTGGAGATGAGGGGCTGGGTGTCAGGAAGCTCTTGAGTGTGGGAAGGCTACTGACGCCCTATCACCCTATTTGCAGCTCCAGATGATACACCAATAGCTTCTAAGCAGGAAGCAGGGCCAGCCTGGTTACACAAGACTGACTAGTGTTAAGGAGGAGAACAAAAACAGACATACACACAGACTACAGCATGCACGCCTTGTTTTTTCTTTTTTTTTGAGACAGAGGCTAGAGTGCAGTGGCACGATCTCGGCTCACTGCAAACTCTGCCTCCTGGGTTCCAGTGATTCTCCTGCCTCAGCCTCCTGAGTAGCTGGGATTACAGGTGCGCACCACCACTCCCAGCTAATTTTTGTATTTTTAGTAGAGACAGGGTTTCACCATGTTGGTCAGGCTGGTCTTGAACTCCTGACCTCATGATCCGCCCGCCTCAGTCTCCCACAGTGCTGGGATTACAGGCATGAGCCACCATGCCTGGCCCAGCATGCATGCTCTTAAGGAACTCACACACTCTCAACAGGCAGTAGGCACTACTCTAACCCCACTCCTGCAGCCTACCCAGGTACCCACAGGACAGTCCCCTGTTAAGACTGATGATCGGGAAGACTCACCCTTCCCTAGAATGGAGCGTGCAGTCTGGCACCACCGGCCACAACATGAAACACCGTGGCAAGTTCTCTGCAGCAACGTCTGTCCCTTCTTGCAGCAGCTACTGGAAAGGTGGGAATGGGGAAGACAGTCAGCCTGCTCTTGGGATATCTGAGGGCGGGGTTGGAGTGACCACCAGGACCTGGGGAAGCACAGGCACAACAGCCACAGCTGAGAGCTGACCCAGGCCCCAGGATGGCCGACCGCTGCCCCAGCAGTGGAGAAACACCCACGTCGGTGTAGAATCAGGCCAGGCCAGCCACAGGCTAACCCAGGAGCAGACGGCTTGAGAGCAGGGAGTGGGGCGGCTCCAAGCTCAGCAGTCCTCATTTCTAGAAAGGGAGAGGGGATGGTAGGGCAAGACCCACATGTGACACCTGAGAGCTACAAAGGAGGAGCCCAGGACACTCCCTAGGGGAGCATTAGAGTGTTGGGTATAGCGACAAGGGGGTATGGCCATCTGAGGGGAAGGTCTCTGCTTTTCCTCTGCACTGAAAACTCACAGCTGCACCTGGTAAGCTGAGCAGGGCAGGGTTACCACCCTCCTACAGATAAGGAGACTGAGGCTCAGAGACCTAGGACCTGCCCAATACCTGGCTCCTGACACCTCTGTTCTTGGCACATTCCCATCAGCTTCTACACAAGCCTGTGAACTTCCCGAGGGCAGTGCCTGCGAGGCACCACTCAGCACATGCCCCAGCAGAAGGCACCACAGTGCTTTACAAATAGGGTGGAGCTACAGGCAGATCTACCTTCCCCCATCCTTGACCACAGGACCAGGAAGTCAGGGCAGGTGCACACACCCCCACCCACATGCTCCGTGCTCCTCTGTGTCACCAGGGAGGCCTCACCACAGCTCAGACACCAGGTCACAGGACAGTTGTGAGAGCAAGAGGGGAAGCCAGTGTCTGCCACCTGGGAAAGAGCTGCCCCGACACCCCCAGTCCTGCTAGGGAGCCTGGCTGACATCACTGCCCAGGACACCCTCTCCTGCACTGGGTCTGTGGACATAGCCTCCAGCCCATGGTCACTCTGGGCCCTTCTTAGAGCCTCACCTGTTCCATGGCCTCAGCATCAAGGCCTGGCCCAGATGACCACTGGGCCTCACGGCCTGCCTGCCCTGGTTCCCTGGGCCACTGTGAAGCTGTGCGCTGCCCTGCAGCTAGACCCCTCCCTCAGACCACAGGCTCTGCCACACCCACGGGAGGGTCTTCAGGCAAGCTCAGCCATTCACCCTCCCTTAGCTGGGCAGGGTGGCCCACGCCTATAGTCCCAGCTCCTTGGGAGGCTGAGGTGGGAGGATCTCCTGAGCCCGGCAATTTCAGGTTGTGGTGAGTCGTTATTGCGCCACTTTACTCCAACCTAGGTGACAGTGAAACCCTGTCTCAAAAAAAAAAAAAAACAACTGCAGCAAGAATATTCCCAAAGATGAGACACTAATGCAGCAAAAAAGGAAGTGTAAATATGTGTTAAAACTGGCGGCGGTAAAAGCATGTGTGGGGCAGGAAAAAGCTTAGGTGGACAAATGTACGAAGCTTATGAAAACATAAAGTGCTTAAAGTGTATGGTTTTCACTCCATCATCATTATTATTATTATTATTATTATCATTATTATTATTGAGACGGAGTCTCACTCTGTCACCCAGGCTGGAGTGCAATGACACGATCTCAGCTCACTGCAACCTCTGCCTTCCAGGTTCCAGTGATTCTCCTACCTCAGCCTCCAGAATAGCTGGGATTACAAGCTGTGCCACCATGCCCAGCATGAGCCACTGCACCCAGATTAATTTTTGTATTTTTAGTAAAGATGAGGTTTCGCCGTGTTCGCCAGGCTGGTCTCGAACCCCTGACCTGAGGTGATCCGCCAACCTCAGCCTCAAAGTGCTAGGATTACAGGCGTGAGCCACTGTGCCTGACTTCACTGCATTATTCAACAGCAAGAACTCTGTGGGAAATATCTGAATCCATTATCAGTGGTGAATCTATTGACTCTATCAGTGGTGTCAATGGTATACTTCATTTGCTCTCCTGGATGTAACCAGCATTCACAGATGCACATTTGCAATTGATTTCAATGACAGGGAACACTAACTTTGAACCCCAATGAAGCAAAATGGCATCCACTCTTCTCAGTAATAGACCCACATTACAAAAATTAAACTCAATTATTATGTTTTGAATTTTGTCTATAATCACATTCTGAGGTTAAATTCAAAAAAATTAAATAAAAAGTATAAAATAAAAAAAATTGCCTATAAAAAACATATGGAAGTTACCAGCCTGGGCAACATGGCAAAGCCCTGTCTCTACAAAAAAATATATATAAAAATTAGGCCAGACGCAGTGGCTCATGCCTTTAACCCTAGCACTTTGGGAGGCTGAGGTGGGCGGATCACTTGAAGTCAGGAGTTCAAGCCCCGCTTGACCAGTATGGAGAAACCCCGTCTCTACTAAACATACAAAATAAGCCAGGCATGGTAGCACATGCCTGGAATCCCAGCTACTCAGGAGGCTGAGGCAGGAGAATAGCTTGAACCCGGGAGGCAGAGGTTGCAGTGAGCCGAGATCATGACATTGCACTCCACCCTGGGCAACAAGAGCAAAACTCCATCTCAAAAATAATAATAATAATAAATAATAATAATAATAATAATAACAACAAGCTGGGCATGGTGCGCACCTGTAGTTCCAGCCACTCGGGAGGCTGAGGTGGGAGGATCGCTTGAGCCCAGGAGGTCCAGGCTGCAGTGAGCTGGGATTGCGTTGGAACAGGAATTAAAAGAAATTAAAGAATGTGTAAGCAGAAACTCAGTTGTATGTAAGAAAACCCAGTTCCCCTGAGAAAGAGAAAGAGCTGGAGTCCTTTAAAAATTGACTGCCTGTTTTTCCGTGGCTAGTGAGCCTTATCTCTCCTCCTTTCCCAGGCATCGTGAAGACCCTGCTTCTCTAGCCGTGCAGCTGCAAGGTCACTAGACAGATAAACTCAAGTCGCAAAACATGTTTTTCTTTGAAAAGTGAGAAATGATGTAATGCATGTCTCAATTAATTAAATAACTACCTTCGTTTCTCACTTCTGTAATATGCTTCTCCCTGCACAGATCTCCCACCACCCCACAAAATACTTAAAAGGTAACTCTTTGCTCAGGGCTCAGTCCTTTGGATGTTAATCCGACTGGGCTGGTGCTCCTAAATAATAAATATCCTCCTCAACCCCATCAGTCTCTCTGATTCCTTATCAATCCCGAAACATTTCTGGGGGTTCATCCGGGATTGGAGACGACAGATTTACTTTCTCCTTTGCCTGCGGCACTAGAGCCCCAGGGCCAGGGGAGACCCAGCATCCAAGGTGCACCACGGGGGAGCTTCACCCGGATAGAAGCCGGCACTCCCCACGTCCCGGCGCCCTGTCCGGCAGCGCAACGGAACCAGGGATGGGGCTGTAGGATGATACCAGCACTTCGGGAACCATGGTAAGGAGTAAGGTAAGTAAGCAGACAAGGACCAAGGCAGGAAAGCCTGTCCCACAGGGATGAATGCGAGCTTGATCACCTCCCAGGGACCAACCACTAATCCAACCCAGAGCAGCTGGGGGCGGCAGGAGTGGCCTGCCAATTTGGATGAACCTCGCGTCCCCACTAACAAAGTGAAAGTGGTTCACTGGATCTGCAGACAGCGACTGGGAGTGTGTGGGTGTGTGTGAACCTACCCGGGACATGAGAGAGGCTAGTTTCCTCCAATAAGGAGTCCTGGGGTAGGAGTGGTGTGTGTATGTGTGTGAATGTAGGAGCCTAACTAGGCTCACCCGGGACACGAGAGAGGCTCGTTTCCTCCAATAAGGAGTCCTGGGGCAAAGGAGGTGTGTGAAAGTGTGTGAAAGAGACGGTCTCGGGAGAGGCCAATGCAGGGAGTGACATGGGGAAGCACAGATCCCTTAGTGCAGGCTGTGTGCTCCGAGGCGAGTGCGGGTGAAATCAGACGTAGGACGTTGCATATGGCAGATAAGACCAGCTCTACAGCCGCAGCAGGCTGTGAGAGGGGAAGGCACATTCCTGGCTAAGCAGCGTCCGAAACTCCAGGACCAGGTCTGGTGGACCCAAGAGTGAAAGTGAGTGAGAGTGTGCCACAAGGGAGGAAATGGGAGGGGAAGTGTCTAAACCAACTCCTTTGAAGTGCATGATAAAGAACTTTAAAAAAGGATTTAGAGGTGATTATGGGATGAAATTGGATGCTCAAAAGTTAAGGACATACTGTGAAATAGATTGGTCTGCTTTCAATGTGGGGTGACCCTCTGAAGCTACAATAGACAGGGAATTAATTGGCCGTGTGTTTAAGGTGGTCATTGGAGTTGGAGGACAACCAGGATACCCAGACCAGTTTCCCTGTATGGACACTTGGCTCAGTGTGGCACAAACTTGCCCCAGGTGGCTACAGCCCTGCCTAGAGGGATATTACAAGGCATCAGTGGCCCAGGCAGCCCAACCAAAGGAAAAAAGAAAAACCAAAAATAGAAACAAAGAGATGGCTCAGTGTATAGCTGACGCACTAGCAAGAAAGTAACCCTGGATTTGCTAGAGGGTGTGGCCAAGGAAGAGGCCAAGGAAGAGGGCAGACAAGACAGGGAGAGGAAGCTGGTCCCGGCTGGACAGGAACCAATGTGCAAGGTGCAGACAAATGGGCCACTGGAAACATGAGTGTCCCCAAAAGGAAACGGATGGAGATGATGGTCAATGGTCTAACACCCAAGTGTGGCATTCAGTTGCTGGTCATAGTGCTTCAAAGGCAGATCCTGATCTGACTGGCTTAGCGGGGGCTGAGAATTTTGAGGACTGAGACAGACTGGGCTCCATCTTTTTAGGCCCCAGGGAGCCTGTGGTCTCTATGGAAGAAGGGGGCCAATTAATGGATCTTTTGGTCAATACTGGTGCTGATTTCTCTGTGGTAACTCGCCCAATTAGCACCCACAAAAAGAACTATGCTGCTATCATGGGAGCTACTAGGGCCAAAGACGTGACACCTTTTTCCAAATACAGGAGATGTGTTATTGGAGGACAAGAAGTGCAGCATGAGTTTCTATATATGCCAAATTCTTCAGTGCCCTTGTTGAGGAGAGACTTGCTCCAAAAACTGCAGGCACAAATTTCCTTTACACCTAAAGGGAATGTGACCCTGGAGATAGGGAAGCCAAAGGCAATGGTATTGACTCATGGCTAAGTGAATGCAGCCCTGCCTAGCAGTTTATTGTAGAACGTCACAGCCCACGCCAAGAGAGAAATCAGCTGCGCTGGCAGCTACAGAGTTAAAGGGAAAGTCACAGAGGCTTGTAGCACCACTGAGCCAAAAGCAAAAGTAAAAATCAGCTGCCCTGGAAGCTATGGGGACGAATGAAAAGTCTCAGAAAAGAAAGAGAAAAACCGTTCTGCAAGAACCACAGGAGGGAATAGAGACCACCCCTCCCTATATTCCAATCTGCCCCCCTTTACCAAGGCTAACTGCACCTAAGGAGTCAAGTTCAAACAGATACATGCTCCCAGTCTCACCTGAGAGGGAGAAATCAGAGCTCCGGGAAGTTAAAGTGAAAGGCTCAAAAAGTCAGGCAGGCCGTCTCAGGCCCGGCCATGCCCAAGTTAAACTTACGCCTCTTCAGAGGACAAGAGAACCCCCACCAGGATCCGATGATGCAGCCCAGCTTCAGCACCTACAAAGGTGCCAAGAAACATTTCTGCAAAGGCTAAAGGAAGGTAAAAGAGAAAGGCAACCAATATAAAAAATCTCAGAGGACAGGCCGGGCATGGTGGCTCACACCTGTAATCCCAGCACTTTGGGAGGCCGAGGTGGGCGGATCGCAAGGTCAGGAGATCGAGACCATCCTGGCTAACACGGTGAAAACCCGTCTCTACTAAAAAAATACAAAAAAATTAGCCGGGCGTGGCGGCGGGCGCCTGTAGTCCCAGCTACTCAGGAGGCTGAGGCAGGAGAATGGCGTGAACCCGGGAGGCAGAGCTGGCAGTGAGCCAAGATCGCGCCACTGCACTCCAGCCTGGGCGACAGAGCGAGACTCCGTCTAAAAACACACACACACACACACACACACACAAAATCTCAGAGGTTCTCCAGGGTGCAAATAAAAGCACCAGTCAGTTTTATAATAGACTTCGTAAGGCATTTTGGTTGTACACTCCGTTTAACCCTGAGGCTGCTGAAAATCAGCACATGGTGAATACGACATTTGTAAGGCAGGCCCAAGGAGATATCGGGCATAAATTACAGAAGTTGGAAGCTCCGCAGGCGTGAATGCTACTCAGCTTATTAAAGTGGCTACCAAGGTGTACATTAACGGAGATCAGGAGGCTGATCAGAGGCTTAAGAAAGGCTAATTTACTAGCAGCAGCGCTTACAGGAAGAGAAGCTAGCTTTGCAAGAAGGCATGGACGCGGGCGTGAATGCAGTCGTGGAAAAAGCTAATAAACTGACTTTAGAGACTAAATACCCTAAACCAAGCTACACTGCTCCTCATCAAGTCAGTGCCAAGAGGCCCCCTTCATTGCTGTGTGGACTTGGTAGATAAAGTGTTCTCAAGCCAGAGAGATGTACCAGATCGGCCCCTCGGGGACTCAGACATTGAATACTCTACTGATGGAAGCAATTTCATACTAAAGGGAGTCCACCAAGCTGGGTACGCAGTGGTGACTTCGGACTCAGTAGTAAAGGTGCAGTCTTTGCCTACAGAAACTTCTGCTTAGAAATCAGAGCTGATAGCTCTGACAAGAACTCCCTGGCTAGGAAAAGACCAAAAGACAAATATTTACAAAGATTCCAAATATGCTTCTGCCACTTTGCATGTTCATGAGGCTATTTACAAAAAAAAAAAAAAAAAAAAGCCTTTTAACTACTGAAAGTAAAAAAAAAAAAAAGCACAAGGAAGAAATTTTGCAGCTCTTAGATGCTGTATGAGCCCCAAAAGAGGTGGCCATGATGCCCTGCGAGAGGCACCGAAAAGCAAGAACACCAAAGGCTAAAAAAAATAGAAAGGCAAAAAGGCAAAGCAGGCTGCAGTGACAACTCCACCTTCTAAAGAGGAGGCCTCAGCTATGCCTCTCCTCCCGGAGATTCCCTCCCAGAGATCCCAAGCACCCCTGCAAATAAAAGGGCTTGGTTTGCCCAGAAAAATAAGAACTACATTGAAGGAGGACGGTAAAATTCTCCAATGGGAGGCCATACCTGAAATGGTGACCCCGATTTGTAGAACAGTTCCACCAAGGAACTCACATGGGAAAAAAAACAAACAGCACTAAAGACATTATTAAGGCATCATTTCTATGTGCCATGGCTCGCTGCTATTACTCAAGCCATTTGTAAACAAACAGTGTTTAACTTGTGTTCAGAACAATCCATAACAAGGGCCTGCTTGGCCCCCAGGAGTTCAGGAAACATGAGCCAGCCATGCCCTGTGAAAAGCTGCTTATGGACTTCGCCAAATTGCCCTGAAAGGGGGGCTATCAGTGCATGTGGGTGTTCATTTGCACCTTTTCAGGATAAGTCGAGGCCTTCTCCATCTGGACAGAGAAGGCACTAGAAGTGACTCAGGTGTTGTTAGGAGACGTTATTCCCAGATTTGGACTGCCTCTGAGATCAGACAATGGACCAACATTTGTGGCTGCAAGAGTTCAGGACTTAACTAGACTATTAAAAATAAAGTGGAAATTGCGTACATCCTACAGGCCACAGAGCTCAAGTACAGTGCACGAACCAGACACTCAAACAGCTGCTGAAAAAATTTTGTCAAGAAACTCATCTAAAATAAGATCGGGTCTCGCCCATGGTCCTCCTCCAAGTCAGGTACACCCCCACCAAACAAACTGGGTATTCGTCCCGTGAAATATTGTTCAGAAGGCTGCCCCCAATCATTAATCAAATTAGAGGGGATTTAAAAGAGTTAGGAGAGCTAACCCTTAGAAGACAGATGCACTCCTAAAGGAGTGACAATGCAAGAGATGCATGGCTAAGTATTAAAAAAAAAAAAAATGCCTATAAGTCTAACAGACCCAGTACACCCTTTCAAACCTAGGGTCTGTGTTTAGGTTAAAAAATAAAATCCAACCACTCTAGGACCCATATAGGATAGGCCCCATATTGTGATCAGGAACTGATCAACATGTTCAAACAATAAGAAAATAGTCATATTAAATGTAAAGATTGGTGGGACACAGTGGCTCACGCCTGTAATCCCAGCACTTTAGGAGGCCGAGGCAGACAGATTATCTGAGGTCAGGAGTTGGAGACCAGCCCGACCAACATGGAGAAACCCCATCTCTACTAAAAATGCAAAATTACCCAGGTGTGGTGGTGCATGCCTGTAGTCCCAGCTGCTTGGGAGGCTGAGACAGGAGAATCCCTTGAACCCGGAAGGCAGAGGTTGCAGTGAGCTGAATTCGTACCACTGCACTCCAGCCTGGGCGACAGAACAAGACTCTGTCTTAAATAAATAAATAAATAAATAAAATAAATAAATAAATAAATAGTATCTTATACATTTAAAGCAACCCGAGGAAGCAAATCAGGGGAGGTTCAAAAAAATGAATAAGGGAGTAAGAATAGGAATAAAGAAAGAAATTGAAATCCCGGTGATTAACATTTTCGTAGCCTGTTCAAATGTAAGTATGTAGTCTATTCTGGGATCACTGTGATTTGGGGTTTGCTTTCTACCTCTTAAGCTATTTAAAACACTGAGAAGGCAATATTCCAACTTTCATTTAAATGAAATATTCAGAATTTTGATTAAAATAAATAATAAATTACACAAGTTTACAAGTAACAGTTAAATATTTAGGGACATGTACTAAGTTTTACAAACAGTACAAATATTTAAGAGTGTTGATTGGGAGTAAGGGAATGTCAACTGCCAATAAAGTGGAAGATGAAAGAATAGGACTTTACACAGAGCATATTTAGTTATGGGTCTCTGTCTCCTCCCCACACAGAAAAACTCCCAGACATTCATGACTTCATCCACCCTGCCTGGCAGATAGGCCATATTTCCTGACCCCCTGGCTCTTCACCTCAAAAGGTTTATCTTTCCACCACACTAGCAAAGACCCTCAGGACACACAACTCATACTGCCAGCTAAGCATCTACCCCGAGGGACAAGGCAAGCACACACTAGGGCAGCTGGGCCATCCTGGCCCTAATCCCTCCAGCGGTGTCCACACTGAGCATTGCAGCACTTGTAGAAGGTGGTCATCGGCTCATCTGCAGAGCGGGTCTGAAGCTGCATGAAGTAAGCACGAGGATGTTCGCATTTGGGACACGACTCTGGCAATGAGAAAAAAGAAGTGACCACATTTAAAAAAAGATGCTACTCATGGCTGTCAAAAGTAGGTATTACTTAATATGTGGGAGGCCAAGGCGGGCGGATCACCTGAGGTCAGGAGTTCGAGACCATCCTGGCCAACATGGTGAAACCCCATCTCTACTAAAAATACAAAATTAGCCAGGCGTGGTGGCGGGCGCCTTTAATCCCAGCTACTTGGGAGGCTGAGGCAGGAGAATCGCTTGAACCCAGGAGGCAGAGATTGCAGTGAGCCAAGATCGTGCCACTGCACTCAAAAAAAAAAAAAAAAAAAAAAAGTAGGTATTACTATAATATCTTTTTTTTTTTTTTTTGAGATGGAATCTCGCAGTCACCCAGGCTGGAGTGCAGTGGGGCGATCTCAGCTCACTGCAACCTCTGCCTCCCGGGTTCATGTGATTCTCCTTGCCTCAGCCTCCCAAGTAGCTGGGATTACAGTTGCCCGCCACCACACCCGGCTAATTTTTTTGTATTTTTAGTAGAGACAGGTTTTCACTATGTTGGCCAGGCTGGTCTCGAACTCCTGACCTCATGATCCGCCCACCTCAACCTCCCAAAGTGCTGGGATTACAGGCATGAGC
The DNA here is from genome assembly GCF_000001405.40 of Homo sapiens. Taxonomy (NCBI): domain Eukaryota; kingdom Metazoa; phylum Chordata; class Mammalia; order Primates; family Hominidae; genus Homo; species Homo sapiens. Next base: position 48,176 of record NC_000016.10, read on the forward strand.
CACCGTGCCCAGACTACTTAATATCTTTAAAGATGGTAAAGAACCTCCCTGCTCATTTGATCCCCCTTGACAAGGGTAGATCTACAAACAGTGATGTCATTCCCACCACGCTGTAACACTAAGGGAATCTGGGAGACCTGTGACTCACACACTCTCCCCCTCCCCTCCCTGAGTCCCATGGTTCTTCTCAAATCCAGCTGAAGGCTGGTTGGAAACGTAACATGGAAGGTGACTGTTTTGGTCCATTTTGTGCTGCTGTAACAAAATGCCTAAGACTAAGTAATGGTTAGATGGTGGAAGAGTTTTGAAGTAAATGCTGGGAAAAGCCTGCATTGTCAAGAATTGAGCATTAAGGGCCGGGCGCGGTGGCTCACGCCTGTAATCCCAGGACTTTGGGAGGCCAAGGCAGGCGGATCACGAGGTCAGGAGATCGAGACCATCCTGGCTAACATGGTGAAACCCCGTCTCTACTAAAAACACAAAAAATTAGCCAGGCGTGGTGTCGGGTGCCTGCAGTCCCAGCTACTCGGGAGGCTGAGGCAAGAGAATTGCGTGAACCCGGGAGGCGGAGCTTGCAGTGAGCCGAGATCGCGCCACTGCACTCCAGCTTGGGCAACAGAGTGAGACTCCATCTCAAAAAAAAAAAAGAATTGAGCATTAAGGGCGATTCTGGTGTGGGCTGAAAAGAAGAGAAGAGGCCGGGTATGGTGGCTCTTGCCTGTAATCCCAGAACTTTGGGAGGCTGAGGCAGGTGGATCACGAGGTCGGGAGGTCAAGACCAGCCTAGCCAAGATGGTGAAACCCCGTCTCTACCAAAACTACAAAAATTAGCCGGGCGTGGTGGCAGGTGCCTGTAATCCCAGCTACTAGGGAGGCTGAGGCAGGAGAATCGCTTGAACCCGGGCAGCATAGGTTTGCAGTGAGCAGAGATCGTGCCACTACACTCCAGCCTGGGCAAAAGAGACTCCATCTCAAAAAAAAAGCCAGGCACAGTGGCTCAGGCCTGTAATCCCAGCACTTTGGGAGGCTGAGGCCAACAGATCACCTGAGGTCGGGAGTTCGTGACCAGCCTTATCAACATGGAGAAACCCCATCTCTACTAAAAATACAAAATTAGCTGGGCGTGGTGGCGCATGCCTGTAATCCCAGCTACTCATGAGGCCGAGGAAGGAGAATCACTTGAACCTGGGAAGTGGAGGTTGCAGTGAGCCGAGATCACACCATTGCACTCTTCAAAGCGATTTCACTTTGAGAAACTTATCCTACACCTGACAGAAATGGCTTCAAACACTCTATTTCTGACATTAGGTAAAAAGATTTTTTTTTTTTAGACAGTCTCACTCAGGCTGGAGTGGCATGGTCTCGGCTCACTGCAACCTCCGCCTCCTGGTTCAAGCAATTCTCCTGCCTCAGCCTCCTGAGTAGCTAGGACTACAGGCACGCGCCACTGAGCCTGGCTAATTTGTTTTTTTTTTTTTTTTGAGACGGAGTTTTGCTCCTGTTGCCTGGGCTAGAGTGCAATAGCACGATCTCAGCTCACTACAACCTCCGCCTCACAGGTTCAAGCGATTCTCCTGTCTCAGCCTCCCAAGTAGCTGGGATTACAGGCAGGCACCACCACGCTCAGCTACTTTTTGTATTTTTAGTGGAGACGGGGTTTCACCATGTTGGCCAGGATGGTCTCGATGTCTTGACCTCGTGATCCGCCCACATTGGCCTCCCAAAATGCTGGGATTATAGGTGTGAGCCACCGTGCCAGCTGCTAACTTTTTCACATAGCAGATTTGTATGTTCTTTTTTTTGACAGAGTTTCGTTCTTGTTGCCCAGGCTGGAGTGCAATGATGCAATCTTGGCTCACTGCAACCTCCACTTCCCGGGTTCAAGCGATTCTCCTGTCTCAGCCTCCCGAGTAGCTGGGATTACAGGTGCTGCCACCACGCCTGGCTAATTTTTTGTATTTTTAGCAGAAATGGGGTTTCACCGTGTTAGCCAGGCTGGTCTCGAACTCCTGACCTCAGGTGATCCGCCCGCCTCGGCCTCCCAAAGTGCTGAGATTGCAGGCGTGAGCCACCACACCCAGCCTATATGTTCTTTTATAGGGGGAAAACCACAGTACTAACCATCAGTTATCTCTCTCACCTCTCAATATAACTTACATTTACGTCTTCCCCTTTCCTCTCCTGGCCACATCTATGTCTACCAGACATGCAATAAACATGTATTTTACCCAATCTGCAGTTTAATGCTCACTGGTATTAACTTCTAAAAATCTATATTAGAAGCGTGTATTAGTCCGTTCTCACACTGCTATGAATACCTGAGACTGGGTAATTTATATAGACAAAAGGGGTTTTGTTTGTTTTGAGACAGAGTCTCACTCTTGTCACCGAGGCTAGAGTGCAGTAGTGTGATCTCGGCTCACTGCAACCTCTGCCTCCTGGGTTCAAGCAATTCTCGTACCTCAGCCTCCTGAGCAGTTGGGTCTACAGGCGAGCGCCACCACACCCGGCTAATTATTTTATCTTTAATAGAGACAGGGTTTCACCATGCGGGCCAGGCTGGTCTGGAACTCCTGACCTCAAGTGATCTGCCTACCTTGGCCTCCCAAACTGCTGGGATTTACAGGCGTGAGCCACGACACCCAGCCAAGAAAAGAGGTCTAATTTACTCACAGTTCTGCGTGGCTGGGGATGCCTCAGGAAACCTACAATCATGGCGAAAGGAACCTCTTCACAGAGCAGCAGGAGACAGAATGAGTGCGAGCAGGGGAAACGCAAACGCTTATAAAACGATCTGATCTTGTGAGAACTCACTCACTATCAGGAGAACAGCATGGGGGGAAACCGCTCCCATGATTCAATTACCTCCCACTGGGCCCCTCCCAGGACACCTGGGGATTACGGAAACTATAATTCAAGATGAGATTAGGGTGGAGACACAGCCAAACCATATCAAACAGAAAGAACATACTTTTTTCCTTAGACTCTTATTTTTATTAATCTACTCATCATTGCCATTATCAAAGCTATCACCTGTTGAGTGCCTCTTATATACCAAGCACGGTATAATTCACTTTATGCTCTCGCGGTCTACGAATATGGATTAGCCCCAGAGAAGTCAAGAGACCCAAGGAAGGTCCTACAACAATACAAGGTTGCCCTGAGAATCTGACCCGGGCCTGTATGACTCCAAGGCTGGCACAAATATTGCTTGTCTGACAGATTATTAAACAGTAACAAATACAAATAAATTATTCAAGAACCATTTTCTATTTTTAGAAACCTACATCATTTATATGACATCATAGACTCTGCCAAGCAGTGGCATCAACAGCCTCATAATTATCCACAGTTTAGCAACAGAAACAGTTTTCCCTCTTACCTGCAGTAGAGTCAACATTCTCCCAGGCAGCTGCTCCACCAAGCACATCATCCACTTCTTTCAGTTTTGGGTACTTCCGATTTGTTACCTAACAAAAACAACACTTCAGACTCCAAGTAACTGAATAGCGCAAACCTGGGCTGCCAAACCTTAAATTTCAGGATTACATAAGAGTTCACTCGGCTGGGCGTGGTGGCTGACACCTGTAATCCCAGCACTTTGGGAGGCCAAGACGGGCGGATCACGAGGTCAAGAGATCGAGACCATCCTGGCTAACACGGTGAAACCCTGTCTCTACTAAAAATACAAAAAATTAGCCCGGCGTGTTGGCGGGCGCCTGTAGTCCCAGCTACTCAGGAGGCTGAGGCAGGAGAATGGTGTGAACCTGGGAGGCGGAGCTTGCAGTGAGCCGAGATCACACCACTGCACTCCAGCCTGGGCTACGGAGCAAGACTCCATCTCAAAAAAAAAAAAAAACAAAGAGTTCACTCTTCCCGTAGTTTCAAACTCCAAACTCCCACAACACAGTACAAACTGGAGTAGCATGCAAACATTAAGACTGACGTAGCACCAACATATTCTAACTGCTAAAAAGTAAAGGTATTCTGGCCAGGCGTGGTGGCTCACGCCTATAATCCCAGCACTTTGGGAGGCCAAGGCAAGCGGATCACCTGAGGTTGGGAGTTCGAGACCAGCCTGGCCAGCGCGGTGAAACCCCGTCTTTACTAAAAATACAAAAATTAGCCGGGGATGGTGGCAGGCGCCTGTAATTCCAGCTACTCGGGAAGCCGAGGCAGAAGAATTGCTTGAACCCGGGAGGCAGAGGTTGCAGTGAGCCGAGATTACGCCATTGCACTCCAGCCTGGGAAACAGAGCGAGACTCTGTCTCAAAAAAAAAAAAAAAAAAAAAAAAAAAAAAAAAAAAAAAAAGGTCGGGCGCGGTGGCTCACGCCTGTAATCCCAGCACTTTGGGAGGCCGAGGCGGGCAGATCACGAGGTCAGGAGACCGTCCTGGCTAACACACGGTGAAACCCCATCTCTACTAAAAATACAAAAAAATCAGCCAGGGGTGGTGGCGGACGCCTGTAGTCCCAGCTAATTGGGAGGCTGAGGCAGGAGAGTGGCGTGAACCCGGGAGGCAGAGCTTGCAGTGAGCCGAGATCGCGCCACTGCACTCCAGCCTGGGCGACAGAGCGGGACTCCGTCTCAAAAAAAAAAAAAAAAAAAAAAAAAAAAAACAATAAAAAAAAATAAAGAAAGCACACAATACATTACATAATATATTAGAAGGTAATAAGCCCTATGGAAACAATTACAAAGGGAAGGAGAATAAATTGGAAGGAGGGGCTGAAATTTAAAATACGGTAAAGACAAGACCAATGAGTAAGGTGGCGATCTAGGGGAAGAGTGAACTGAGCAACAGCAAGTGCAAAGGCCCTGCTAGCACCATGAGCACGATGAGAGATCGTCCAGGAGGCGGTGTTGATGCGGCAAAGGGCAACAGGAAGGGCATTAGGACTTGAAATCGGAGACGCACGCAGGGGAGGGAGTCAGTGTCGGAACCTGGTAGGCCCTGGGAGAACTCCGGCTTTTCGTCTGCGTGAGCTGGAGAAGAGCCGAAGGTTTCTGCGCACAGCACGGACCTGCGTGCCTCAGCTTTAAGGAAATCACCGTGGCCGCCGCTGTGAACGCAGAGAAGGGCGCGAGCGTGGGAGCAGGAACCCAAGGCGGTGGGAAACGGTGGGGCTTTCTGAGTGTATTGGAAAGTAGAGCCCACAGATCTGCTGCAGACCAGAAAGGGGCGCGAGAAAGAGCGGACAGAGGCAGACGCCGGGGCTGGCGGCGATGGAGCAGCAGTCGGAGGACGCGGAAGGCCTGCGAGAGTCGCCCGCGCCCAGCGCCGGCCTTCGGGTCCCACCTTGCGGGTGATGTTGTGCACGTAGGGGCACGTGTTGCAGGCGAAGCGGTGGCAGCGTTGTCCCTCCTCCACGATCAGCCCGTTCCCGCAGCCGGGGCAGAACAGCAGCATGGTCTCGAACTCCGCAGGCTCCAACTCCCGGCAGCTCCCACTGCCGCTCAGCGCCGATGCGCCGCCCGCCTCGAGCTCACATTGGTCCTGGCAGCCTTCCCGCCACACCAACCAACCAATAGACAGGGCGATTCTGCGCTCCCGGCCCTGCTGCAGGCTGTCTCGCACTTGTCATTGGTCACTGCAGCCGCCCCACCCCCCCCGGCGCGCCAGTGGCTGGGCGGCCTCGCTGGGGCGGGCCGCAGTTCCTGCGCGTGCGCGCTTGGCCTCCCTAGTGCGGGCTGGCAGTGCGGGCAGAGCCCGGCTGAGAGGGGCGGCCCTGGAGGAGACGGAGGCCGCGGGTGGGCCCGAGGCGCAAGAGGAAGATGAGGACGAAGAAGAGGCGCTGCCGCACTCCGAGGCCATGGACGTGTTCCAGGAGGGTCTGGCTATGGTGGTGCAGGACCCGCTGCTCTGCGATCTGCCGATCCAGGTGTGTGCGGGCGGGGGCTGGGGGCGCGGGAGTCGTTCCCCGGGGTCCGGGCATCCGGGCGCCGGCAGCCTCCGAAGGTGCTGGTGGGAGACTGCGGCCCAAGGCTGAGGAAGGCGCCTCTGGGCGTAAACGAGGGTTTTAACCTTGACCGGGCGCACTCGCCTGGGGCGCGAAGCTTAAAGAGGAACCAAAAACCTCATTAGTGAGTGACATCAAATGACATTTTAATGTAATTGTATTTAGGGGGCTCGGGGGACAGGGTCTTGCTGCGTTGCCCGGGCTGGAGTGCAGCGGCGTCCTCCCACCTCAGCCTCCCGAGTAATTGGGACCACAGGTGCGCGCTACCACACCCGGCTAATTTTTAAATATTTTGTACAGAGGGAGTCTCACTATGTTGCCCAGGCTGATCTGAAACTCCTGGGCTCAGGCGATCCTCCTGCCTCGGCCTCCCAAAATGCTGGGATTTAGGTGTGAGCCACCCGCCTGGCCTGTAATACCTTTAAAAGTCAAAGTTGAGGCAAAAAAAGAGCCTACGGTAAAAGAAAAATTTAGTTTTAAATAAGAGCAAGATTAGTAGTACTGATTGTTCCATTTGCCTCAAGCGTCAATCATGTGTCAAAGCGTCAGTATCATGCTTTGGGACGATACTGTCTTTTTATTTATTTATTTATTTATTTGAGACTGAGTCTTGGTCCGTTGCCAGGCTGGAGTGTAGTGGTGCCATCTCGACTCACTGCAACCTCCCCCTCCCGGGTTCACTACAGGCACGCGCCACCACGCCCGGCTAATTTTTTGTATTTTTAGTAGAGACGGGGCTTCACCATGTTGGGCCAGGATGGTCTTGATCTCCTGACCTCATGATCCGCCCGCCTCGGCCTCCCAAAGTGCTGGGATTACAGGCGTGAGCCACCGCGCCCGGCCAATTTTAAATGTTTTATATTTTGCTCATCATGGATATTTTAATTGCCTTGTATTTCTTAAATGTTGTATTAAAATATTTATTGTTATTACCGTGTTTTGCTGCCCCGGTAAATTTTGCACACCTGCCTTACTCAGTCCCGAAGCCTGGCCTGGGTCCTGATGATCAGGGATATACTCAGCGTGAACTGACAGGCCTCTACCCACCCCTGGGGGCAGGTCCTCATGTGAGTTTATTCTCTTGCCTGTTTCTTAGCACCTCTTTCCCCCAGAGACTCTGTCCACTATGGACATTAAAATGTGAGTGGAACATGAGATTGGGGCTCTGATGAATTGGGAAACCATAACGTACAGGCAACCACCCTTCCTTGCCCTTCGTAAAATGGAGCACCACTTTTTGGCCACTATCGGCTTGTTCTTTGTTGTTGCTCAAGGTGGTAAAGAGAGCCAGGGTTCCCACTTCTGCCCTTGGTCTTTTGTAGGTTACTCTGGAAGAAGTCAACTCCCAAATAGCCCTAGAATACGGCCAGGCAATGACGGTCCGAGTGTGCAAGATGGATGGAGAAGTAATGCGTAAGTGCTACCCTCCTCCCTTCAGGTTATGTGGTCCAGGCTTTCACAGCAGGAAGACCTAACAGTGCTGGTCAGCCTGCTCAGAAACTCACAGGCCATGCCCAGGGGTACTGGGGCAACCACAAACCTGCCCTGTGCACAGAGGTGTTGGTTCCTTTCCTGCCATCGGAGGCTGTGGCTTTGGGTTCTCACCATGGATCTTCTCCCATCTGTGTCCGTGGTTGCAGCCGTGGTTGTAGTGCAGAGTGCCACAGTCCTGGACCTGAAGAAGGCCATCCAGAGATACGTGCAGCTCAAGCAGGAGCGTGAAGGGGGCATTCAGCACATCAGCTGGTAAGTGGAACAACATTCCCTTCATTATAGCCCTTCGTGGGGCTAGTGCCCTTCTTGGCACTGTCACCAGGCACCACCTGGAAACAGCTCTCAGCTCTGCATGAGTACAGCACCACTGAAGTGATGAGCTCCCTGTCACAAGAGTGATGAGCTCCCTGTCACAGACAGTGCGGGTCGTTCTGTGCCTGGGACTCCTGCCTCGGCCATCCCCAACATTCTGCTCTTCCATCGGCATCACCCCATCCGAGCTGCTGGGTATCTTCACTTGGGGACACTGTCGGGAATTTCCAGTGTGTCTGGAAGTGGCCTCCCTAGTTTTGGATGGTACACCTGTAGGGGCTCCCATCCCCTTCTCACCTGGGTGCTGTCAGCCCTCACTCTCCTATTGGATCAACTATCCTGTTCACTGAGTCTCAACACTGTCGCCTGTTGCATTAGCAAGGTTTGTTTGGCCAAGCCGCCCCAGACAGCCCTCTGAGAACAGAGCCTCCTTGTAGCTGCCTCAGACCCAATCTGCACATTGTACAGAACAGCCCAGGTAGGGAGGACAGCTGCCCCAGGTCCCATAGGACTGCATGCCTCAAGCCCACGTCATGCAGAGCCACTCAGCTCACCCTGCTCAGGGCACGTGGTTTACCTGCATTCCCCTCTTGCAGGTCCTACGTGTGGAGGACGTACCATCTGACCTCTGCAGGAGAGAAACTCACGGAAGACAGAAAGAAGCTCCGAGAGTAAGTGCCGGCCACGTCCTGAGCCGTAGGGCACCGCTGTTCTGTTGCCCCTTAGTCCCCCATGCTCTGCCAGAGGGCTGCGGCTCCCTCTCCGGAGATAACACCCTCCTCCAAGGAGCTTCCTTGGGGCCCTCCCCACTAGGAGAATGGCAGGCAGAGGGCAGCTGGAGGGGCCTTGCTGCTTCCCACCAGTGGCAGCTTAGGGCTACACAGTGCCAGGAGGGAGGAAATCAGAGTGGGCATGGAGGCGAAAGGCTGTGACTCTATCTGACACTCAGTTCCCTGCCCCGGGGACTTGTGAGTCGGAGTGCTTCTGGGTCTGTGAGAGGATGGCCACTGCACTTCCTGGCCTTCCCAGAAGCCACACGCCTCCCCTCTGTTGTTTCTTCGTGGTCCTCCACAGCCTCAGGAGGGGAGTCACAGATATGTCCTTCTGTAGGGCAGGTGCTTTATGCCTTTCCTTCTTTTTCAGCTACGGCATCCGGAATCGAGACGAGGTTTCCTTCATCAAAAAGCTGAGGCAAAAGTGAGCCTCCAGACAGGACAACCCTCTTCATCACTGGTGGCTGAGCTTTTTCCCAGCAGGAATGGGTCCTCGAATCATCGTGCCTCTTTCACAGAAAGGACGTTGTGGTGGCCTCACCCCAGGCATGCCCAACAGTAACTGTCAGCATAAACCTGGGGGCCCTCAGGACTAGGACAGGGTGAGCCAGTGCTCCCTCCTTTCATGTACTTGGCCTGAGACTGACCTCTCCCTAGGTCCAAATGCCCTAGTCACATGGCAGACCCACGGCCTGGCCCACTGTATAAAATAAACCTGTTTGCTTCTTAGTTTGAAAAGTAGAAAGCCACAGTAACCTGGGTAGCAAAGACTGAGATTGCCCCATCACAGAGGTGAGTTAAGGGGAGAGAATTGGTACAGGCGAGTCCTATAGTCCAAGATGGCGCCACACCACCAAAGCCTTGAGGCCACACCACTCCCCAAACCACACAACTGTGTTACCATGATCTCCACAGCAAGGAGGAAATAAAAGCAGAGCGGCTTTAGGGTTTGCATCCTGGAGCTCACAGTGGCAGCAAGCATAGCACAGCTGTGTGTGGGCCCTCCAGCCTCAGCCTTTAGGGTTCCCTGCAGCAGGTTCGGTGGACAGGGAGGGAGTGTGGGGTGGAAATTGGAGCTGCTAAGGGTGGGGGCGGGGTGCTTCCCAGCATGTGGGGAGGGTATGACAGTACATCCCTAGGTCCCTGTCCCAGCGTCGGCTACCAGCCACTCTAAGAAAGAGCAAGGTGCACGTGCCTGGCTGAAGGATTTCACTGGGAAGTGAAAGAGCCCGTGACTGTATCTGACACTCAGTTCCCTGCCCGGGTGAGTCAGCCACAAGGGGCCTGCAGGACCTCCCTCCACAGCTTCCAGCCAGAAACAAAGAAGGATAGGGAAGCCCTGGTCAAGTTAATGGCAGCTAAAACGCTCCCAGTCCATTTATTGGCCACATGAGGTGGTCGTCAAGAAACAAGTTAGAAGGTTATGACAGGAAGTAGTATAATAAATGCCCGGCAGTACGAGGGGTTCAACAGAAGTGAACAAGGCACAAGAAAGAGGTCTGTGTTCAGGAAACAGGCCAGTCCCCACATGGAGCAGGTGACTCCTGTAAGCCTGTGAGGCTCAGGGAGGTCGTGTCTGGCTCTGGCCTGCTGGAGCACACGGCCGCTGGAGCCCGCAGCCAGCTCAGTGGAGCTGAGCGTCCAGTTCGTACTTCTCACAGAACTTGTCAGTGAAGGGGATGCAGGTGAGGAACTCACACCACTCACAGCGGACAGGATAGACGTAGAAGAGGACCACCAGGCCAGCCAGGAGGCCCAGGAAGACCACCTGAAAGATGATGATCTGGCAGCGTTTCCGGTACAGGTCGAACTTGCCAAAGCTGATGTAGGGCAAGAAGGCGAAGGAGAGGAAGAGGCCACTGATGAACCCTGAGATGTGGGCAAAGTTGTCAATCCACGGCAGCAGCCCAAAGGTGAAGAGGAAGAGCACCACAGCCAGCAGCTTGAAGAAGGCACGCCAGGGCCGCGCCAGGATCTGCCAGCTCTGGAAGAGCTCCACGAAGAGGCAGGCCAGGATGCCGAACTGGGAGCCAGCAGGACCCACCTGGGGGATGGTTGGGGTAGCTGTAAGGCAGTGGGGCTGGGCAGGCCCCCTGGACCCAAGGCCTCATCTTTCTGCCCCACTTCCCATGGCCCAGAGCATATTGGGACCGAGGATCCAACTGGAGATGCTCCCAGACTCAGTGCTCGATATGGACAGGTTCACAGCAGGCTGCAGGTGCACACGGGAGGATCCCCACCCTGAGGGCCAGCCTTACCTCTGCTCGGTATGGCAGGAAGATGGCACTGGCCAGGTTGCCGGTGACACCACTCAGCAGGTAGATGATGGCTATGCGGTGCCAGCCTGCCAGCTTCTCCAGGTCCCGCAGGACAGTCATCTGGAAGCAGATGGACACCAGGCAGTGCAAGATCCTGTAGTCAGTAGCAGGCGGGGGTCGGGAGACATTCAGCAGGGAAGTGACCTTTCTGCCACCCCCAGCCAGCCAATCCTGAGGGCCCTGAGACCCCCGACCCGGCCCACAGTGTCACTTGCCCGGCGTGCAGGAAGAGGGATAGCCACAGGCGGTAGAACTGGTCAGGCACCTCGGGGTTGAGAAAAGGCAGGAGCCCACACACATCATCCATGCAGTGCACCTGCGCAGAGCAGCATATCAGCATCACAGTAGCTGGGGGAGGGGAACGACGGACACTCTGCAGACCTACCTGAGAGCAGAGCGTGGCCTCCTCATGGAAGTAGCCCCTCATGAAGTCACAGTACTCCCGGGAGGTGATCTCACACCTAGAAAGGCAGGCCAGGGTTCGGAGACTGCTGCCTTGCAGAGGGGGATTGCTGGCATCCAGGGCGAGTTTCAGCCGCACCTACCCACCTTTGTTGGCCCCAAGGAAGTCCAGACCCCCTCTAACCCCACATCCTTGGTATACTGGCTTATTTCAGGATTTGGTTAGGGAGAAGGCACACCCTAGGGCGATGCTCTGAGCCCAGAGACCAGCTGCACTCGCTGGCACGCACACGTACCTGCCCTTGGTGCCAATGCAGCAGGGCCGTCCTGTGATGACACAGTCCATGTGGGGATGGTTGGTGTGGTTCCCAGCGCTGTTTTTGGTGCAGATCTGGGTCACAAATGAGGACGAGCTGAGTCAGGGCCTCCCCCAACCTTTGGCCCCACACCACGTTTGGGGGTAGAGGCAAAGATGGGTGGGCTCATAAAGCAGAAAACGGTGTGGCTTCCTTGACTTCAAGCAGGCCACCACACTGAGTCTCTATCAAACTGGAATAATGTCACTTGACCTTTCAAGTCTCCATCTAGTTCTCTTGATCTACTTGCTCAGAGGGGCAGGCGCTGGTTGATGGACAGGCTGTACAAAGGGCAGGTGCACAGCCTCTGAAAACGTGAGGTGGTCCCATGATGGGAATCTCTGGTATCACCAGTGGGTGGGGTGTGGCATTCTCTCCCACATGACACGGAGGGCTCCCTAACAACCCCCCCACTGCAGCTCACCGGCCACTTGGTGATGTCTTCTGGCCACTCATGAGGGTCTTCGGAGGAGGGCTCATCACACACCCTGCATGAGCCAAGTATGTGGTCAGACCGGCTTCGAGCCCCTAGCATTGGCACCCTTCCAGCCAAGTCGCCAACAAGAGGAGCCCCTACACCCTCTGCACCACAGCCCCCGGGGAAGGTGTGGACAAAGGCAGGTGAGAGAGCTGCCGGCAGGACTAACCTGGGATCCTGGTGGCAGACAGAGCCAAACTGTCTCTTGTGGCCCGCAAGCTCTGGGGCGCTGGGATGGATGGGCCACTTCACCCACACTGCCAGCGTGGACTGTGGGAGGGGGACACAGGGTCAGGTCCAGTTGGGTCAGGGCAATGAGGGGCACGCAGGGAGTCAGGAGTCGAAGGCAAAACCACTGAGCTCTTCCCTCCGCTTCTACAAGTCACCCCCACTCTTGAGATGCACGTGCATGTTGGAAAAGACTCTTACAAGGAGTTTGACGGCATAATTCCTGTTAGCTGAAAATCAGAAACAACCTCTGTGTCCTAAATCAGGGAACTGGTATGGACTACGGCACTTCCACATAAGATGATGTGATGAAAGTTGGGATGAATTTTTTTAAAAATTGCTTAGTGGAAAAGAGGCAAATACCACTTATGTAAGCTTTAAGACACATGCTGGAAGAGTACACCCAAATCAAAAGACCAAATCAGATGATGGTCTACGGGGCGAGGAGCTGGAGATGGGGGAGGGTGGGGATGAGGAGGAATGAATATGACAAGGCCTTGCGCGTAAGGACGGCGGGATGTGCCAGGAACGAGGGCGAAGGATCACTCTGCCGAGTCTATCTGAGGTCTGAAGAGCGAACACCGGGCAGACGAAGGCGGGAGTCCCGGGCGGGGAAACGCACCGAGCACTCCTCCTCCGAGGTCTGCACGCAGCCCGACCTGTCGTTGCGCACGCAGCAGGCGGAGTGCTTCTCGCGCTCGCGCGCCGAGCGAATGAAGCTGTGCACCTGCGGGTCCTGGCGCATGCAGGGCGAAAACTTGGCGCCCAGGTGGATGAGGGCCTCCTGCGGGCGAGGGAGACGAGCGGCCGCAGTCCGGGGCCTCCTGCCCCCGCCGGGCACCTCCAGGTCCCGCCCCCGCCGGCCCCGCCCCCAGCCCCGTCCTCACCGAGCTGGGCCCGATCCAGAAGTTCTCCTGCTGCACGTACTTGACGTTCTCGTAGACCCCGCGGTTCCGCAGCACCTGGGAGGTTGGGGAGCGGGATCAGACGGGCCCCGACTCTGGCCCTCTCCTCCCAGAGCGGGTCGGGAGGGGGTCCAGTGCCCGGACTCCACTCGTCTGGGCCCAGGGAAGGCACAGGGGCTCACCGAGTCCACCGTCTCATGCTGCGAGAAGCCCACGGGCGCGATGCCATAGATGCACACGGCTAGGATGGTGACGAGCGAGTGCACGAAGGTAAGCCAGTAGGTGAAGAAGGGCCTGCGGGGTGGAGCGTCAGCGGGGGCCTCATCCCCGACCCGGAGCCCCCACCCTCCCCCGGGAGCCTCCATCCCAACCCAGGCCTTGCCTGCCACGCCTACCTGTGGTCGTCCATGTCCTCGATCTGGCGCTTGACGAAGCTGTCGATGCGCTTGCGGTAGGTGCGGTTGGTGAGCCGTCCCACCATGCCCAGCCCATACGGCCGCTTCTCCCGGGCGAAGAGCTTGCGCACCGGCACCGCGATACGCTGGCCCCGTCGCGGCCCCGCGGTGCTCACCACCTCCTGTCGGAGCCGCACCTTGGGCTGCGGGGCTGCGGCGCCCTCCTTCTGCTTCCGCCAGCCTCGCTCCAAGGGCCTGGAGGGAGCCGGCATTCACCTCCCGCCCCAGCCCCGCAAACTGCTGCAGTCCCTCCCCGGGGGGCACCAGGGCACCCTGTCTCTATCCTGGCGAATATACTGCGCAAGTCGCCCGGCATCTGCCTTCTCCTTGCCAGTAAAAAAGCAACACTGCGGGCCTCCGGGGATGGCAGGGAGCTGGAACGGGGACACACTGACTTCTGCAACTCAGCAAGTATCACCTCTGTCACCTCCGCCTCCCCGTTGGATTCTGCCCAGCCCCTGGGTTCTAAGATTGCTGTCCCATTCCACAGGCAAGCCATGAGACTGGGGCCATGCCCAGCTCTGCGTCTCCCACCCCTGGTGGCCCAGTGAGTAGTGAGTTCCCAGTCCCTGAGGCTACCCCTTCCATCGCCCACAGAGGTGAATGCCGATACTCGCCCAGCTGTTCCTGACGGGCCCCGGGGTCTCTCTCTGCCCCTCTTCCCTGCCTGCCGCACTCACAGCATCAGGTGGCTGCGCTCAAGCTCGCTGCGGTCCAGGGCCCCGCCGGTGAGGTCCGCCTGCTCCGGTGCCTTCTCCCAGTCCTTTAGCGCTGCCTCCGATGGGGACTCGAAAACTTCATCCGGGTATGTGGACAGCTCTTCATGGAGGATACCTTCCTGAGCAAACACATGAGGTCAGGGTGGACACAGGCAGGAAGGGAACGTGGGGTGGGGGGACACCCCGGGCACTTCTTACCCGGGCAAAGAAGGATGTGTCCAGCTCATCGGGGAAATCAGTTGTGTCCTCCTCCAGAAAGCTAGCTGGAGTGAAGCTTCGACGCTGTGCCCGGCGAAAGGTGCCATCCCTAACGGAGCGGCCCTGGGGACGGGGAAGTGAGCATGAGACCCGGCTGCTGGGTCGGCCCCCAACCCCGCCTTTGGCCCCTGCACCCACTTTCATCAGCGCTGCGGCCGCCCGGAAGCTCATCTTGGCCACCGACTCTCGCTTGCGCCGCCGCGGGAGCCGGTGGAAACCTGAGCGGGAGCTGGAGAAGGAGCAGAGGGAGGCAGCACCCGGCGTGACGGGAGTGTGTGGGGCACTCAGGCCTTCCGCAGTGTCATCTGCCACACGGAAGGCACGGCCACGGGCCAGGGGGTCTATGATCTGGAGGAGGGGAGGAGATGCTGGAGTCAGGACCATGGGGGCTCCTAGCTCACCCAGAGGCACAGAGGCCTTGCAAAGACAGCGTGACTGCTGCTCCTGACTCCTCACGGGCCCCTGGACAGCTCTATGGCCACCACTCCCACCCCACAGCACCTAGAGGTCCTGCCTGGAATGCTCTCCCATCCAGACACTGGCCCCCTGGTGCAATCCCAAGACCATGTCCCCATCCCAAGGTACCCCTTCCCAGAGACTGTTTCAGGTGCCTTCACGAGCAGGCTGTCTGACTGCCCTTCCAGACTGTGAGCTCCCAGAGAGTCCCTTCTGCTCAGGCTGGCTGTGTCCGCAGCCCCAGCCCCTGAGAGCGGAAGGAGGGGCCTGCAGGAGGCAGCAACAGGCAGGCATACCTTCTGCATGCCCAGCTGGCATGGCCCCACGTAGAGTGGGGGTGGCGTCTCGGTGCTGGTCAGCGACACGTTGTCCTGGCTGGGCAGGTCCAGCTCCCGGAGGACCTGGGGCTTCAGCTTCCCGTAGCGCTGGCTGCAGTGACGGATGCTCTTGCGCTGCCATTTCTGGGTGCTGTCACTGTCCTTGCTCACTCCAAACCAGTCGGCGGTCCCCCTGGCATGGCAGGGACTCAGCAAGGGGCGGCCAGATCGCCCCTCCCAGGCAGGGGACTTCAAAGGCCCTCCTCCGGGGCAGCATGCTGCCCCCAGGCCTGTAGTCACTCCAGGGACCAGGGTCTGAGTGGGCAAGGTCTAATAAGAGGATGAGTGGGTTCCAGCCACCCCCTGAACTGTTAGCCAACTCCAAGTTTCCACTAGACCGCAGCTGGCCTTGCCCGGTTGAGTGCTTCATAGAGGCCCTCACCCCACCATCCCTGAGGGGCAGTTGAGGGGAGGCACTGAGTCCAGAGAAGGAGCTGAGAGCTCAACCCGAGAGAGCTTGGCCCCAGGACACCACAGAGCTCAGACAGCAGGTGCTTACGGGCCCAGGCAGGCTGTCCACAGCACTTGGACATGCAAACAAAAACACTGCCAGCACCTGCCGTTAGGAGCCCCAGGGAATGCCAACCACACTGGCAGCTCCCAAGAGGTCACATGCCAAGCACATGCCAGAAAACACCAACACACTCATGACCTGTATGAGATACCTGAGCAGGGACCAAGAGAGAGACTGGCGCTGTGGGAAGGCCCTGCGGGCAGCCCGGGGACCCAAGAGGGGCAGAGTGTGGACACGCCCGAAGCGTACTTGTCGGCTGCTAAGAGGCAAGAGCATCCGGGCGGTGGAGACAGAGAAGGAGAGAGTGAGTGCTGAAGAGAAGGGAGTGGAGCAGGGTAGTGGGGTGAGAGCGGTCAGTATCCAGAACAGGAGGAGGGCAAGGGGATGGTGGGGACCGAGATGGAGGAGGAAGCTGAAACAAGAGGGCCCTTGTTCTCATTTCCATCCTCTGTGTACCTGCCTCTGCCCCACCAGCCCCCAGCTCCCACCCCATGGAGCAGCTGGGCGGTGTTGGTACCTGCGGATGGTCTGTGTGATGGACGTCTGGCGTTGCAGCACCGGCCGCCGGAGCTCATGGTGGGGTGAAGAGATGTGGGCTGTCTCGGCTGGCATACTCACACTCCTCAGGAAAGCCTGTCGCCTCAGGGGCTGGGCAACAGGGTCATGGTGAGGGTACTGGACAGGGGGCACCCACAGTCCCTGCAGGCCAGGGCCTACCTGCAGGAAGCTGGGCTCTTCTGCCGTCAGGGGCACCGCAGAGGGAATGTCCAGCTTTAGCCAGGGTGGCTTCTTGCGCTGCAGGCTGCTCGTGCTGTCCCTGCGGGCCTCACTCATGGTTCCTGGCAGAGCAAGGCAGGCCTGCGGGGCATGGTGTGTTATTCAATAATGACAAAGCTGACATCTGAAGATTCATTGCACCCAGACCCGGGAGGAGGGAGAAGCAGTGATGAGCCCAACCGTGGTGCTCATGTCCCCCACTGTCAGAGCACTACTGTGTGCTCAGCACCGACTTTCTCTGTGCCTGCCTTGTTCATCCCAGCAGACAGTGCTGGGCACAGCCTAGGTCCTCAGACAACATAAGTCCATGGGACAACTATCTGAGCACACACTATGGTCAGGATACTGCTCTAGGTGCTTGAGGCACATTGGTGGAGAAACGAGACAAAATCCCTGCCCTCCTGGAGCTTACAGTCTAGACAATATTTTTAAATGAGTGAATGTACTGGTTAAAAGATGCTAAGTATGATGGGAGCGGGGGAAGCAAACTAGGGTTGCTTGACAGGAGGCAGTGAGGCCTCCCCATGAAGTAACAGCTGAGCAAAGGCTTGAAGGAGGGGAGTGAGCACAGCTGGGGTTGCAGGGGTTTCCACACACAGGGGACAGCCGATCTGAGGTCTCAGTGACAGGAGGCTCACCCTAGTCTGTGCCCAGGGCAAATCTCACACCTGTCTTACCA
This sequence comes from Homo sapiens, assembly GCF_000001405.40. Taxonomy (NCBI): domain Eukaryota; kingdom Metazoa; phylum Chordata; class Mammalia; order Primates; family Hominidae; genus Homo; species Homo sapiens. The sequence continues at coordinate 65,638 of NC_000016.10, forward strand.
GGCCTCACCCTCTTACCCACCCAGACTTCCACTCCAGGGACAAAGGGCCCACTATGCACATGACAGCCTGCAAGAGGTGTGTGATCGGTCCAGTGCATAGAGTCACCACATTCAGGAAAGAGGGTGACACAGCAGCAGCTAGTGGCCCCAGGCTCCTGGGCACAAATGACTTTCCAGAAACCACCCGGGCGCAGACACCGTAGTGACCACCAGGTGACGCCACGCGCCCAGAAACAGCAGTGAGGCGGCTCGGTGCCGGGGCTGCGGGGCATTGCAAGCTTGGCTCTACCATGACATGCCAGGCACGGGGCCAGGGCCCCACGGAAGGCCCCAGAGCAGATAGGCCAGGGTTCGATTCTGGCCACCACTGCCTGGCCATATGACTACGACTCCATTTCCCCCTTACACCTTCCTGGCAGACCTGCAGCTGTCCCCAACCCAGGGGGACCACACGGCGATTCCAGTGGAGACCCAGATTGAGAAGGGCCCCTGAGCATGACACGAGACAGATAGTGGGGGGCTGGCCAGAGCTGAAGCAATTTTGGACAGAAAACCCCAAATTCCTCAGCCTCTTTAAAGAGCTGCAGCCTCTGACAGGCTCGGAGCCGCTGGGTCGGCAACCCACCCACCAAGGCCCCAGAAATGGCTTTCACTCACAGGTCTCCCTCCCAACTGCTTGGAGGAAAGCCCCACCTATGCTGTACAAATAGGGAAACTGAGGCCAGGAAACACAGGCTTGCCTCGCTCACGGTCATATATGGAGGGCAGCACAATTAGAGACAGCCCAGGGTGCTGCTCACAGCTCCTAATGGTCTTATGCCAGCCAGGGACAGGCCTGGGACAGAGCTCACGGCTCCTTCCGACCCTGTACTACCAGGGAAAGGCTGGGAATGCTGCTCACAGCCCCTACTGGTCCTACAGGGACCAGAACAGACACAGGTGGGAGGGGGTACTTCAGGGATGCCTTCTGCTGGCTCTTACCCCACCCCTCACGCTCCAGCCCCTTATCTGAGCTGACTGTGCACTTCAGGTCCCAGGTGAGAGCTGGGGGGCAAAGCTTTGGGGCACTCCCCAGGCATGGTGCCCAGGGATCATTCCATCCACATGGCCCCCTAAGGCTGAGTTCCTGTCCCTGGCCCATACTTGGCCTGGAATCAGGGGCACGAGCCAAGGGCAGCAACTCCACATCACTGGGAAATCCCTCCAGGGCCCCTCACCCATGCAGAGCCCCAGAGTGCAACAGGGTCGGACAGAAAGGCATCCTAACTGAGAACTGGGTGGGTCAAGGTCCCTCTGGGAACTGCACCAGGAGACCCCTCTGCATCTGACTCGTGACCCAAACCCAGCCCAGACCTGCGTGTCCTGGATACGGCCCAGCCACAGCGTGAAGGGGTCACAGCTAGACTTCCTCATCGTCCCCCAGCCCTCCCTCCACAGGGTATATGGACTGCAGTACCATCACCCTGCTGGTAAGGAATAGCCAGGAGGGGCCACCTCTGAGTCTCAGACACTAAGGGTGGAATTTCAGACAGCATCAGACACGTTGGGAAGGCAGGTGGTGCTCGGCAAGGGGCTTCCGGAACCCACAGTGCTGGGACAGCATTCTGAGTACACTCCCAGCATGTTCTCACCCAGAAAATGGACGAATGCTCTTAGTGAGGCCATTATGGGGGCCAGAGAGGAGCAGGGCCCAGCGTAGAGACTGGGGCCACTGCCAGGAATCAGCAGGCTGAATCCAGGGGGCCAGCCTCTCCAGGAGTCTCCACCTGTGCCCAGCAGCACTAGGCGACATCCAGCTGGTTCTTCACTCAGGAGTGTGAGTGACCTTTGCCAACAGAGACCGTTGCCAGCTGATGGGCTCACACACATCCATGACTTCCCTGGCTCCTGCTCTCCGCTGCTCCTCACACCTGACTCCCTCCCATCTCAGAGCCCTGCAAATGCGCTCTGCCCACCCTCCCCTGTGTGGGAGGACCTGCAGCCTCAGGCTGCCCTACTACCCAAAGGCGGTCCTTGGCCTGGATCCCTGGGCACAGCACAAGGCAGGAGTTCATTCACATATGTATGGGCCACTGTCCTGTCACTGCTGCCTCCACAGTGCTCAGGACTGGCCTGCTCTGAAGCCACCGCTGGGTAGGCACTGATCACTGAACAACGCAGGCCATCGGGGTCCCTAATCTGGGGTAACGGAGGATTCCTCAAGATGACCTCTCAGCTGGGTCTGGGAAGACGAGCTGCCTGGCATGAGCGGATGCAAGCAGGAACAGTCAGGGGGTGAGAAGAGCCGAGAGCTGTGAGCGTGTACGGGGAACCTGACCTCCCCAGGACTGTTTCGGCCGGGGACCACAGCCGGCCCCAGGAACCTCCCCAGGACTGTCTCAGCCGGGGACCACAGTCGGCCCCAGGAACCTCCCCAGGACTGTCTCAGCCGGGGACCACAGTCGGCCCCAGGAGACAGCAGAGTGCTCAGCTCATGAAGGAGGCACCAGCCGCCATGCCTCTACATCCAGGTCTCCTGGGGTTCCCACCTCCACAAAAACCCCCACTGCTAGGAGTGCAGGCAGGAGGGGACCTGAGAACCGACAGTTATAGGTCCTGCGGGTGGGCAGTGCTGGGTGTTCTGGTCTGCCCCACCCCTGTGTGCCTAGATCCCCATCTGGGCCTCAAGTGGGTGGGATTCCAAAGGAAGAGCCGGAGTAGGCGTGGGGAGGGGCAGGCCCAGGCTGGACAAAGAGTCTGGCCAGGGAGCGGCACATTGCCCTCCCAGAGACAGTGGCTCAGTGTCCAGGCCTTCCCCAGGCGCACAGTGGGCTCTTGTTCCCAGAAAGCCCCTCGGGGGGATCCAAACAGTGTCTCCCCCACCCCGCTGACCCCTCAGTGTATGGGGAAACCGTGGCCCACGGAAGGCCTCACTGCCTGGGGTCACACAGCATCTGAGTCACTGCAGCAGCCTCACAGCTGCCAGCCCAGGCCCAGCCCCATCAGGAGACACCCAAAGCCACAGTGCATCCCAGGACCAGCTGGGGGGGCTGCGGGCAGGACTCTCGATGAGGCTGAGGGACGAGGAGGGTCAAGGGAGCCACTGGCGCCATGCATGCTGACGTCCCCTCTGGCTGCCTGCAGAGCCTGGTGTGGAAGGGCTGAGTGGGGGATGGTGGAGAGTCCTGTTAACTCAGGTTTCTGCTCTGGGGATGTCTGGGCACCCATCAAGCTGGCCGCGTGCACAGGTGCAGGGAGAGCCAGAAAGCAGGAGCCGATGCAGGGAGGCCACTGGGGACAGCCCAGGCTGATGCTTGGGCCCCATGTGTCTCCACCACCTACAACCCTAAGCAAGCCTCAGCTTTCCCATCTGGAAATCAGGGGTCACAGCAGTGCCTGGCACAGTAGCAGCGGCTGACTCCATCACAGGGTGGTGTAGCCTGTGGGTACTTGGCACTCTCTGAGGGGCAGGAGCTGGGGGGTGAAAGGACCCTAGAGCATATGCAACAAGAGGGCAGCCCTGGGGACACCTGGGGACAGAACCCTCCAAAGGTGTCGAGTTTGGGAAGAGACTAGAGAGAAGCTCTGGCCAGTCCAGGCATAGACAGTGGCCACAGCCAGTGGAGAGCTGCATCCTCAGGTGTGAGCAGCAACCACCTCTGTACTCAGGCCTGCCCTGCACACTCACAGGACCATGCTGGCAGGGACAACTGGCGGCGGAGTTGACTGCCAACCCCGGGGCCAGAACCATCAAGCCTGGGCTCTGCTCCGCCCAAGGAACTGCCTGCTGCCGAGGTCAGCTGGAGCAAGGGGCCTCACCCCGGGACACCTTCCCAGACGTGTCCTCAGCTCACATGAGCCTCATCCCAGGGGGATGTGGCTCCTCCAGCATCCCCACCCACACGCTGCTCTCTGACCCTCAGTCTTCTGTTTGACTCCTAATCTGAAGCTCAATCCTAGATCTCCCTTGAGAAGGGGGTCACCAGCTGTCTGGCAGCCCAGCCTCCAGGTCTTCTGGATTAATGAAGGGAAAGTCACCTGGCCTCTCTGCCTTGTCTATTAATGGCATCATGCTGAGAATGATATTTGCTAGGCCCTTTGCAAACCCCAAAGTGCTCTTCAACCCTCCCAGTGAAGCCTCTTCTTTTCTGTGGAAGAAATGAGGTTCAGGGTGGAGCAGGGCAGGCCTGAGACCTTTGCAGGGTTCTCTCCAGGTCCCCAGCAGGACAGACTGGCACCCTGCCTCCCCTCATCACCCTAGACAAGGAGACAGAACAAGAGGTTCCCTGCTACAGGCCATCTGTGAGGGAAGCCGCCCTAGGGCCTGTAGACACAGGAATCCCTGAGGACCTGACCTGTGAGGGTAGTGCACAAAGGGGCCAGCACTTGGCAGGAGGGGGGGGGGCACTGCCCCAAGGCTCAGCTAGCAAATGTGGCACAGGGGTCACCAGAGCTAAACCCCTGACTCAGTTGGGTCTGACAGGGGCTGACATGGCAGACACACCCAGGAATCAGGGGACACCAAGTGCAGCTCAGGGCACCTGTCCAGGCCACACAGTCAGAAAGGGGATGGCAGCAAGGACTTAGCTACACTAGATTCTGGGGGTAAACTGCCTGGTATGCTGGTCACTGCTAGTCCCCAGTCTGGAGTCTAGCTGGGTCTCAGGAGTTAGGCGAAAACACCCTCCCCAGGCTGCAGGTGGGAGAGGCCCACATCCCCTGCACACGTCTGGCCAGAGGACAGATGGGCAGCCCAGTCACCAGTCAGAGCCCTCCAGAGGTGTCCCTGACTGACCCTACACACATGCACCCAGGTGCCCAGGCACCCTTGGGCTCAGCAACCCTGCAACCCCCTCCCAGGACCCACCAGAAGCAGGATAGGACTAGAGAGGCCACAGGAGGGAAACCAAGTCAGAGCAGAAATGGCTTCGGTCCTCAGCAGCCTGGCTCAGCTTCCTCAAACCAGATCCTGACTGATCACACTGGTCTGTCTAACCCCTGGGAGGGGTCCTCTGTATCCATCTTACAGATAAGGAAACTGAGGCTCAGAGAAGCCCATCACTGCCTAAGGTCCCAGGGCCTATAAGGGAGCTCAAAGCCTTGGGCCAGGTCTGCCCAGGAGCTGCAGTGGAAGGGACCCTGTCTGCAGACCCCCAGAAGACAAGGCAGACCACCTGGGTTCTTCAGCCTTGTGGCTGTGGACGGCTGTCAGACCCTTCTAAGACCCCTTGCCACCTGCTCCATCAGGGGCATCTCAGTTGAAGAAGGAAGGACTCACCCCCAAAATCGTCCAACTCAGAAAAAAAGGCAGAAGCCAAGGAATCCAATCACTGGGCAAAATGTGATCCTGGCACAGACACTGAGGTGGGGGAACTGGAGCCGGTGTGGCGGAGGCCCTCACAGCCAAGAGCAACTGGGGGTGCCCTGGGCAGGGACTGTAGCTGGGAAGATCCTAGGGGAGGGCCTGATGGTCCCTGAAAGGCAGGGGAGACCTGGACGACTCCCCCTAAACCAAGAGCGCACCCTAGAAAGTCAGCTCCCCAAGGTGGGGACCGGCCAGCTCATGAGGGGTGCTGGTTGAGGGGCCTGCTTGTGCAACGGAGGCCACCCAGCCAGTGAAAGCTACTTGGAAGGGCTGGGAAAGGGTCTGAGGCCCCTTCAATCTGGCACCACCAGACTCCCATGCACTCCATTTGCCCCTGCCCCATTCTCAGGAAAAGGGGCCCGGCTTGCCCAGAATGACCCCTGGTGGCAGGGGGCTCCGCCTCAGGGACCCCTTGAGCCCCAGCCAGCTGCTTGGTCCCCAGCTTCTGCCCACCCTTGGGGTCGGGGCTAGGAGGTTGGGGTTAGCTCCACAGGGGTGAGGAGAACCGAGCCTGGGACTGCCCAGGCATCTAGCTGGGTCAAACCTGAAAAGCCAGTTTCATCCTTGAATCTTCTCCCGGTCTCCAACAGGAAGTCCCGTTGGCGGGTGGGAGTTCCCAGGATAGGAGAAGGGCCTCCAGACCTAGGCCCCACCCACCGGGACAGACACACACATTCACCATCTCAAGCGGCACACACAGAAGAAACTCTGGTCAGGACCACCTCGGTCGGAAGCAGGCCCTGGGGGGCCAGGGAAGATCCCCTGCCCATTCCCCGCCCAGCCCCACAAACATGCCCCCAGCATGACAGACAACCAGGCCCTCTGCCAATGCCCTGAGCATCTGGGGTCTGGCTGTCACCCCAGCCGGGAGAAGGCCTGTCCCCGTTGGCCTCTGCGCACAGAGTGAGAGTCTGTCTTCGGGAGTCGCTCCCAGCCCACCCTGGAGCTTCGAAGTGTACAGATGGGGGAGTCAGTGTCGTGGGGCAGAAGGCGGAGTCAGTCCCCCACCCCCAGCTCCACGGCTCCTGCTATTCCCATCGGTGAGGGCAGCCGGGACAGGGACCATCCCGCCCTGGGCTGGAGTTTCAGCTCGGAGACACCACCCGCCGGTCGTGGCCGGGAAGGAAAATGCAGCGGGGGGAGTTCAGAGGAACCTGGGGCACCCCCGGACTCTAGACTCCCGCTCCTGGGACCCTCAGCTGTTGGGCGGGGGCTGGAGCCGAGCTGTCCCGCCCGGCCAGGCCGCTGGGGCTGCTAATCCGGCCACGGGCTATTTTTGCGGCGCGCCGGGCTAGGAATCCGGGGCTGGGCCGCCTCCGCGGGCGACTCGGGAAACTCCAGGAAGAAAAGCCCGGCCGCCCCGGGGGGGCCTCGCCGCGACCCCTCCCCGGCCCCGGCCCCGGCCCCGACACGGCCCCGGCCGCTCTGAGCAGCTCCGGCCCCGGGTGCTGAGGACTCGCCCCGCCCTCCGGACGCAGCCCCGGAACCCGCCCGCCCCCGGAGCCCTGCGCTCCCGGCCGCGCTCACTCACTGCCGCCGCCGGGGGCTCTGGGGGGTCCTGAGGGCGCCGGGGAGGAGGCTGCCGCCGCTGGCCGGGAGGGCCCGCGCCGAGTCCCCGCCCGCCCGCCGGTCCGGCCCGCCCGGGAATGCCCTGGAGCGAGGGGCGTGCGCCCGGGGGCGGGCCCGGCCGGAGCGGGGCGGTCGCGCTGACTCAGAGCTCAGGAATGCGCGCCGCCCGCCTGCCCGGCCCAAGTCACCTCCTCCCGGAAGGCCGCCGGGCTCCCTTCTCCCCAGGGTCCGCCTGCGGGGACACCTGGGGCTGGGGTCTCCAGCGCCTCGGCCCGACGGAGGACCTGGTGGGAGCGGACCGCAGTGTCAGCGCTGGGCGGCTCCGCCTCTCCCTGGCTCCAGATTGAGGCTTGAGCTGTCCTGCCCTGATTTGTGCTGAGAAGAGGGTGAGGAGGGAGAGCAGGCACGGGGTAAAGGGCGGAGGATGGGTGTGTATCCCTGGCTCCCCTAAACCCGACCTCCTCCAGAGGCCCACGCTGACAAGTCCTGTATCCCACACTCACCCAATCCCACTAAGCACTCACATTCCCTCACACACATTCATGTGCACCGATCACTCACAATCATACACACACGTCCCCACATCCTTCCACTTCATGCGTTCATTCGCCTGCACATGCACGTGCTCACATGCACCCACCTACTCATGTACATCTTTCATGGGTACATACACGTGCACACACACACGTGTACACACCGATGCACACACTCAGTTCAGGACCACAGTCATTACCCCTCCCCCTGCCCTGTGCCCCTACCCCCAGAAGCCCCGCTCCACCAGCAGGCACTCAGGCCAGGCTGCACCGGCCCCACCCGAAGCCACTCAGCAGAGGCAGCGCAGTGTCTGGTGTCCACTCTGGGCTCTTCTCACTGTCTCAGAGCTCAGCGGCCACCCCGGGGTGGGCTCATATCCCTGCACAATCTGGGCTGGACTCAAAATGGCACTCTGCTTTCCGCTGGGGCTGCTGGTGAGAGTTTCCCAGCATTTCTCTCCTGACACTGGGTGGGCTGACCCTCCCAGGGTGGGGGACAGGGGTGCCAACAGCAGAGTACGGGCAGGGCTGTCCAGGAGCTCTGAGTGGTGGGTGGCCAAGGCTTCCTCTGGATAGAGGGTGCAGGGATCCCTTCGTCCCATGGGTCCCTAAGGACCCCTCTACAGGGTGCCCCCCCATGCCTCGGACAAATGTGTCTTCAGGCCCTGTGCTGGTCACAAGGTGCTGCTGCTTCAGTGCCATCCTCTGGGTCTGGGTGGCACCAGCCCTCTCCAAACTGAGCTGTTGCACTTGAGGGCCCGACGCAGACAATGGCCTGCTCCTTGGCTAGACAGAAAAGGGGAGAATTTGAACTAAAGGTGCTGGTACACTTACCGGTAGATCCCAGAGCCTGGGCAAGATTCCCCTGCCCATATCCTTGTCCATGCCACGGGATAGGGCGGTGCCTGCACATAATGGGTGCTCTCTGAACACAAGCAATATCAACACAATTCTCATGTAGAAGGAGACAATGGAAGCTTTGGAGGGGGTGGAGGGTAACTCCACCAGGGGATGACTGCCAGTGCATCACGGACACCGGGTGAGAGGGAGCCTGCCCCAGTGCCAACACTCAGTGCTCCGATAGCCTGCACGTGCCACCCCTCCCATGCCAGGCTCACAGCCAGAGACAGGACAGTCTCCATGCTTAGCATTATTGACCTGCCAGGGATAAGCAAGCCCTATCGGGCCTGGATGCCCAGACTAGGCTGGCAGGGCCAGAAGTGGTGTCCTCTCTGGAAAGCTGGGGACTGGGCTTGCCTCCAAAGCATGCCACAGCTGGGCATCTGGTGTCAGCAGGTCTCCTCCTGCAGTGGACTCTGTCAGACCCCACCTAGACCCGCTCCAAGACCCAGACACTCATCGCCAGCTGCCAGGAGCACCAGTCACAGCTGGCTCAGAGCTGAAACCCCCCGCACCCAGGAGTCACCTTCAGTGGGGAGCATGCCCCAGTCTGCCTCTGCAGGCAAATCCCCAGCTCAGAGCCTGTGTCCAGGAATCCCCAGGCTCTCAGCCCACCCTGGCCTCCTGAGTGAGGTCATCAGAAGGATGATCAGAGGGGGGTCGATACACGTGTGCTCAGTGTCAGGCCTCTGAGCCCAAGCCTGCACGTATACATCCAGATGAAGCAAGTGAAGAATCACAAAAGAAGTGAAAATGGCCGGTTCCTGCCTTAACTGATGACATTACCTTGTGAAATTCCTTCTCCTGGCTCAGAAGCTCCCCCACTGAGGCACCTTGTGACCCCCACTCCTCCCCGCCACAGAACAACCCCCTTTGACTGTAATTTTCCACTGCCCGCCCAAACCCTATAAAACGGTCCCACCCCATCTCCCTTCCCTGACTCTCTTTTCTTCGGACTCAGCCCGCCTGCACCCAGGTGAAATAAACAGCCTTGTTGCTCACACAAAGCCTGCTTGGTGGTCTCTTCACACGGACGCGCACGAAACTCAGGATTGTACCCAGTCCACATAGACAAGTGTGTGCACATATGTGTGCTCTGCCTCCTGCCTGCCCTACTACTCTCTGTCCTGGTGGAGGAGCCCCCTATACGGAAACCCAGCTCCCGGCCCCTCTCTTCCCGCGTCATGCACCCTGGAGAAATGGAAATCAGCTGCAGTTGCCCAGCACTCCCGGGGCTGGTGGGCAGGCGTCTGAGAATGGGTTAGGGTTAGGGTCTAGACCAAACCCAGGGTTTGTGGCCCTCACACCAGGACACGAGGGAATGGGAGCCCTGACCAGTAAGAGGAGTGTTCCCAACAGCTACCCCAGAATCCTCTGCTACCCCAGAATCCTCAGCTCAGCTTCTAGGCCACAAGTAATCACCCAAGGGGTCAGACCCTGGGCTTTGGGGAGTCCCTGGAAGGATCAGAAGAAACCGCCCGGGGAGCAGGGCTCCAGGGATGGGCCCATGACCAGCTCCTGGCTATTTGGGGAAGAGGCAGAAGGGGGCCAGGCCAGCCAGTGGCCTGAAGTCATAGGCTATTTCTGAGGCAGCTGCCCCCTCCCCATATCCCAGGGTTTGGCAAGGGGTTCCCATAAGCACCTGGGCCCAGGGCCTGGCAGCACAGCCCCAGGCAGGGAGGATGTAGCTCACACACACCCAACCTCGGCCTGCCCAGTGGCTGCCTTCTCTGCCCAAGGAAGCTTTGGCCCTCCAGGGCTCATCAGACACAGATGGCCGCAGAGACCAGTCAAGAGGCCAGCAGCCACCCTGCTGGGAAGCTGCCAGCTCAAAGCTGTGTAGAGGAGTCCATGGGCTCTGACCTGACACCCACCTCAACAGCTGTCAGCACCCCCCTCCATCAGAGAGAAGACGGAGCCAGTGTGCTGGGCACCCTGGGGTCATAAGGCTGATACTAGAACCCTGGCCCCTGTAGCCAATACAGCCACATCTCTCAAAGACTTGTTTATAAAGGCTCCAGCGACTGATGGCCACACCTCCTACAGCTGGAGGCAGCTCCAGCCCCTCCACAGCCTGTGGCCTATTGTGGAGGTCGGGGGTCAGGGCTGCTCACCCCAGCACCAATACTAGCCTTCACTCCTTTCAAAGCCTCAAGGGTGTTCTCATCTCCATCTTCCACTGATATCCTTGCCTCCTCCAACAAGCCTGTTCCAGCCCAGCAGTGGGACAAACTGGGGACAGAGGAAGCCCCAGGCCCCCTCCTCTCACCTGGCACCACTTTCTCTTGTCCTGGACCAGCCCGCCAGCCCACTCTGCAGGCCACAGTTGGAACTCTCATCCCACCGCTTCCAGCCTGTGGTGGGAGCATGAGACCACAAACCAGGAAGTGGGGGGGGGGAGTGCCCAGAGATTGCGCAACCCCCAGCACTCAGTCCAGAACATCTGGAGAAGTTGGTTGCTGGCGCCCCGGTGCCGGCCTCTCCACCTCCTGGGGCAGGGGCCAATCTGCTCTCCAAGTGATTCTCTTTCCTCATAAGAAAGGTGGGGATAAAAACACCCCTCTGGGAGCCTCTGGACTCCCCGTGAGTTCTGCAAGGACCATGTATCACTTGTAACATCAGAATAAATATAAGTACAAAGTAACACCCATCCTCTCCCTGCCCATCAAGAGGACAAAGGCTCAACTGGGGCCTCAGTTTCCCTACTAGACTGAGGGGGAGCACTCGGGGGGATGGGGGGCTGTTCCCACAGGAAGGAGAGACTCATTGTTTGGGAGGCATGGCTGCAGATAAGCAGGGAGGGTGTGGAATCACATCCAGGGCTGCTTTATAAACACGGATTGATGACACATTATGCCCCCACCCCGGGAAGCGGCACACAGTGCTACAAACAGCTGGTGGCTTCCAGCCGGCTGATGGCCCCTCCCTCCCCAGGAAGTCCTGGCTGGGGCCCATGGGGGTGGGACGGCTGGTCAGAGGAGGAGAGGCAGTTGGAGACCAGGTCCTGCCCTGTTAGCCTTTCTGTAGGACCAGGTGTCACACTCATCTGAGGGCTCCAGACACATGGCCTGTGCGTCTGTCCTGCCCAGCGTCTCCCACCTGACGCGGCCAGGTGCCCAGTTGCTCTTCAAGGCCTTTTCAGGTGCTCCTTTCCAGGACCAGGGTCACAGAAGTCAAAGCTCAGGAAAAGCCCCTCGAGGGTTTTTGTGCGGCAGAGGTGGGTTGTGGGGTGGGATTGTGCCTGCCACAGTGGAGGGGCCCTGCAGACCCAGATAAACCTTCAAGTGGCCAGAAGCGGGGGATGGCTCTGCTGGGTGCTGGGGCTGCCATGGGCCGTGGGAGCCAGCAGTGTGCCCAGCTCCCTCAGGGCCCGTCCCCTAGGCCCTTCCGTCCACTGGGCCAAGCACCGTCCCTGCCCCTCCCTAGGGGCATGGATCTGACTTGAGAGGTTGTGAGAGCTTACAGGCGCTGGGCCGTCGGGGAGGCCTCAGAAGCGTAGGACGGCTGCGCACTGCCGGGCCGTGTTCAGCCCTGGTCTGGCCTCGGCCTCTAGAGGAGGCTGCCTGCGCTCCAGCAGGCCCAACCCAGAACGTGGGCGAGCTCCCTTCAGCATCCCTGGGCGGAAAGAGGGATGGGGGCTCTGCTGCAGAGGCAGAATCCGCGCCGCTCCCTCCTTCCTTCCCCCGACCAGCCTGTGACAACCCCGGCCAGGGGCGGGGGCCTCCGCACAAGCCTGGCGTCCACTTCCTGGATAAGGACTCCCCGGCCCACTCCGGACCAGGGCTGGGGCGGCCTCCCAGGCGCTCACTCCGCTGGCACCCCACCGGAAAACACGTCTGCGGCCCGCCCCCTCCCCCAAAGCACGACCACTCCGCCCGGGCCCCTCGAGGATCCACTCAGGTTCACGACGGGCCCGTCCTCTCGGTGGTCTGACCACCGGCTGGTGGAGTGGGCTCTGGGGCCGCCAGGCGACCAGGGCGCAGGCGGGGGCGGACAGCTCATTGGGAGGGGCGCCGGGGCACAGTGCGGGGCTCGCCCCACCCCCAGGTGCCCCTTCCCCGCTCTCGCCTCGCAGGCACCGCATCGGGCCCGGGAATCGGTCCGGACCTGGCGGTGGGCGCTGGGAAGAGGATCCACCTCCACGTGGCCCGCCCCGCCCCGGGGGCGCAGCCAGTTCCCGGCGCTCACTGCCCCCCTTCTCCCGGCTTCCGTCCCCTTCTGCGCAGGCGCCGCTCCGCCCCGGTCCTAGGGGTGCTTCCGTGGTCGGCGGCTGCTGGGCTCCGCGCCGGGGTCCGAGTCCCACGAAGCCCCGGCCCGAGCCGCCGGATGCCCGCGCGCAGCGGGGCCCAGGTGAGCGCGCGCCTCGGCCGCCCCGCGGAACAGACGCGCCCACCCCCAGGCGCAGCAGCGAGCGCGGCCGCGGGAGCGGGAGTGCCGGGGACGGGCGTAGCGCCCACCGCCCCGAGGGTTCGGGGCAGAGCCAGAGCATAGGCCAAGGGCCAAGCTCGGGCCGAGAGCAGTGGCCGCAGCGCCCGGGGGCTGAACCCACGGCGCGCTGGCAGCGCGGGCCGAGCTGCGGAGACGGTCACGTCAGCGTCCGTTCCAGGCCGACTGGCAGTCTCCGTTCTACATTAACGTCAGCACTCCCGTTAAAAATAATGCATCTCTCCCATGCCAGGAGGACTTAGGTGCTGCTAAAGACCAGCCCTCCGGGTGCTGCCAGGCCGGCGCTCACCCGCCACCTTCATCTTCCCTTCTCCTTTGCCCCAGGACAGCCGAGGATGTGTGGTTAGGTTCCCCCTACCCATGGGGAGGCCAGAGGTGGGAGGCTGGCGGCCTGCTCGGTCTCAGCAGACCCTCCTAGTCCCTCAGGAGACCTTGCCTTTGCCCCACTTGCTCGTTATCCAGCCTGGGCCATGAAGCAGAGGACAGTTAGGGACCCTGAGCACGCGGTGGTCACCCCGGTGCTCACCCCTCCCTGTGTGTCCGACCTTGGCCCTGCTAAGATCCTGTGTTTTGAATTCTGGCAAGGGTTGGATGAAAGGGCAGGGCTCCAGAAACCAGCTCAGACGTTTGCTTGGGACCTGCATGATGAGTGGGAATCGGAGGGCACCAGCCCTGCTGTCCCAGGCTCAGGCCCCCATCTGCTCCCCAGGTCATGCAGCCTGGGCCCCCATGCCGTGCAGCTCGCACATATGTGGGGCAGAGCAGCCACCCTGCCCCCAGCAGCAGCCGTCCATCGTCAGACGTGATCATTTCCTGAGGCCTCGAGTGTGTCAGGGTGTTTGTGCCTCATAACAACCCACAGGATGGTCACCCCCGCTTTGCAGATGAAGAAACCAAAGCAGGTGGTCAGATCCAGTCCTTGCACTTCCTGAGCCTGACCTTACCACACAGCTGTCTCCTATTCGGATGCTTATTTATTTTTTTTCCCATTACAGTTTTGCCGACGGATGGGGCAAAAGAAGCAGCGACCAGCTAGAGCAGGGCAGCCACACAGCTCGTCCGACGCAGCCCAGGCACCTGCAGAGCAGCCACACAGCTCGTCCGATGCAGCCCAGGCACCTTGCCCCAGGGAGCGCTGCTTGGGACCGCCCACCACTCCGGGCCCATACCGCAGCATCTATTTCTCAAGCCCAAAGGGCCACCTTACCCGACTGGGGTTGGAGTTCTTCGACCAGCCGGCAGTCCCCCTGGCCCGGGCATTTCTGGGACAGGTAATGTGAACATAGCAGCGAGGGCCCTCCTGAAGTGCCTGTCACTGCAGTTGTCCCTGAACCCCTGTCCGCTGCCTGCTGGATTGGCCCTCAGTTAGTCCTCCTTGTCCTCATGCATTTAGCGGCTTTGCTCACACTGGTCCCTGCTTAGCTTCATCTCAGTTGCCTGAGGTCATCTGGGAAGAATGTAGAGATTGTCAGTGCTGCTTGCCCAGGGTGGAGCAGGGGTGCCACTGTCTGCCCCCGGCTCTGGGCATCTAGGGCAGGAGCACTTGCACCGTTAGCCTTCCTCACCGGCAATCCACCTCAGTTTTTCCACACGTGGGAACTGTGGCTGTGGCCAGTGTCGGGCTGCCCCTTCCCGCTGTAGTGGCTCACAGTGCAGTGCTGGCTTCCCAGGGCCCCTGCAGCTTAATGTAGGTCAAGGATCTGGGCTCTGCCAATCAGACTTGGAGTAAGAAGCAGGGACTGCCCAGGTCCCATCCTGGTGGGGCCTACGGTGCAGCCTGTCCCCACGAGCAGATGCTCACACAGCCGTGGCATCTTGGCTGGATCTGTTGGGAGCGAGGTGGTGGCGGTGGTCCTCGATGCCAAAGCCCCAGGCCTGCCTTTCTGGTTCTCCAGAGGCTCCAAGGCCTTCCCTTTGTCCTTTAATGAGCCTACTTTTAGGTTATAATCACCAAGAAGAACCAGAAGAGAAATACCAGTGCCAGGAGTTGGGTGCTAAAGGAGCAGACCCTAGAATGTGGGCTCGACCTCATGGAGAACAGAGAACATTCTGTCCCCATGCGGATCCTTCTAAAAGCACCTTAAGTAATGGGCATTTGTGGCCAGGTGTGGTGGCTCATGCCGGTAATCCCAGCACTTTGGGAGGCGGAGGTGGGTGGATCACGAGGTCAGGAGTTTGAGACCAGCCTGACCAACATGGTGAAACCCCATCTCTACTAAAAATACAAAAATTAGCTGGGTGTGATGACGGGCGCCTCTAATCTCAGCTACTTGGGAGGCTGAGGCAGGAGAATCACTTGAACCCGGGAGGCAGAGGTTGCAGAGAGCTGAGATCACGCCATTGCACTCCGGCCTGGGCGACAGGGCGAGACTCCGTCTCAAAAATAAAAAAAAAATACAATGGGCATTTGTGATACAACAAAACAGCACGTGTGGCAGGTGCGTCGTAGGAACAGGGCAAGGGCGCAGCATGGCATCAGGGACCACAATACGTTTGTCTCTATTCAGCATCCTTGTCAGGCCACAGTCATGCCCACTTGAGCCCATTGGTGGACAAGATGATGTCCAGCAGAGAAGAGGGTGTCTCACCCTGTGTCCCTTGGATCAGGGACAGCCCTCTGCCCTCTCCATAACCTCCTAGTGGATGCCCTTGCAGACCCCTCAGCCAGGCTTGGGTCATGCACTCATCCCTAAAAGGGTCACTGCAGTGAGTTGCCATGAAATCCCAGGCCACTCTCTGGGCTGAGGAGGGTGTGGTCTCCCCCAGGAGGCTCTGCCAACAAGGAAGAGGGGTGTGTGTTGGCCATGGGGGTGGGGAGGGGTGAGAGGCCCCAGTATCTGCCACTGGTGGAAATGGTATCAGTGAAATCCTGATCAGAAATTTGGGATGGAAAAGGAAACAATGAGAAAAGGGCTGTGGGAACCTCCTCTCCAGAGTGGTAGTTGGGCCCCCCCAGTGTGCCCCCATGGAGGCACAGGAGTGTGCAGAGTGAAGCCCCTGGAGGGGCATTCCCTCTAAGCTCCAGGGAAGATGGAACAGGGCCACCCTTTCTCCCCTGGACATGGCCTGGCCAAGCCTGGCCTGTTCACTTCTGTCCTCATGGCTCTGGATGCCTAAGGATTTCTGGGCTTCCCGCCCAGGCACTGACCCCTTCTTCCCACCACCCTATCTCCAGGAAGGCCTCCTGAATGCTCCCCACACTGACCCCTTCTTCCCACCACCCTATCTCCGGGAAGGCCTCCTGAATGCTCCCCACACTGACCCCTTCTTCCCACCACCCTATCTCCGGGAAGGCCTCCTGAATGCTCCCCACACTGACCCCTTCTTCCCACCACCCTACCTCCGGGAAGCCCTCCTGAATGCTCCCGGCGCTGACCCCTTCTTCCCACCACCCTATCTCCGGGAAGGCCTCCTGAATGCTCCCGGCGCTGACCCCTTCTTCCCACCACCCTACCTCCGGGAAGGCCTCCTGAATGCTCCCCGCGCTGACCCCTTCTTCCCACCACCCTACCTCCAGGAAGCCCTCCTGAATGCTCCCCGCGCTGACCCCTTCTTCCCACCACCCTATCTCCGGGAAGCCCTCCTGAATGCTCCCCACGCTGGCCCCTTCTTCCCACCACCCTACCTCCGGGAAGGCCTCCTGAATGCTCCCCACGCTGGCCCCTTCTTCCCACCACCCTACCTCCGGGAAGCCCTCCTGAATGCTCCCCACGCTGGCCCCTTCTTCCCACCACCCTATCTCCGGGAAGCCCTCCTGAATGCTCCCCGCGCTGACCCCTTCTTCCCACCACCCTATCTCCGGGAAGCCCTCCTGAATGCTCCCCCGGCGAGCATCTAAGCTCCAGTGCCCCTCCTCCCCAGCCCGTGATACTGACCATGGCCTTTGGCACCACAGGGCTTCGTGGGCTGAGGTGAAGGTAGCCTGGCTGTCCAGCTGACCTATCTGGCCTAAAAACGAGAGGTGCAGGGGATGTGGTTGGTCCCCAGTGCTCTGCTGTTAACTCTGGGGCTCCGAGCAGTGACACAACTGTTGGCCGTTACCAGGACCATGGTCCAGGCTGGGGCACCGTGGGGCAGCTGGGCCTACTGCTCAGAAAGCCGGAGGGTGGGAGCTGAGTATGAGGGTCCCTTGTGGCCACCTCAGCAGCCCAGGTTTAGGGGACTTCACGGGCTCTGGGATTGCCCAGGTAGCTGGTGTGGGGACATCCTTGGGGTCCTGTGCCTTCCGTGATGCCTGGCCTCGTGCTAAATGCTGATGGTTTTCTCAAGGGCACTTGGGAAAGGAGGAATCTGGGGAATGGAGGGTCCTGCTGAGAGGACTTGACCTGCAAGGTGAATCCATGACTGCCGGTTCCCAGCCCAGCCTGGCTGTGGCCTGAGGTATCTTCGGCCTGCGGTCTGGTTGTCTAGCAGGGCTGGAGGAGACAACTGGTGCCCTCAATAGCCACATTCAGCCTCAGCAGGAGCAAGAGAAGAGGCAGGATGGAGACGGGGCAAGGTCCCTGGCTAGACCTGGGCGGCTGACACACCCTGAGCTGGGGAGATGAGGTCCAGGCTGGGCACTGTTAGGGTGAGTGGACCCCCATCCCTTCCCGCCCTGAGCAGAAACTGACTGCCCACAGGTCCTAGTCCGGCGACTTCCTAATGGCACAGAACTCCGAGGCCGCATCGTGGAGACCGAGGCATACCTGGGGCCAGAGGATGAAGCCGCCCACTCAAGGGGTGGCCGGCAGACCCCCCGCAACCGAGGCATGTTCATGAAGCCGGGGACCCTGTACGTGTACATCATTTACGGCATGTACTTCTGCATGAACATCTCCAGCCAGGGTGAGCAGTGCTGGGGCACGGGGGGTTGGAGGGCCGGCAGAGCCCTGTCCGCTAGCAGCCAGGGGACCACTAGGAGGACTGAGGTGGGGCCAGCATTTGAGCGAGGAGGTGCCACTTCCAGGCCAGGCCAGGGTTTCGGGAGCTCTGGCTACGCTGACGGGGCAGGGCTGGTTAGGTTAAAGGGGTAGAAAGGGCCGGGTGGGGCCGGGCGCGGTGGCTCACGCCTGTCATCCCAGCACTTCGGGAGGCCGAGGCGGGCGGATCACCTGAGGTCAGGAGTTCGACACCAGCCTGGCCAACACGGTGAAACTCTGTCTCTACCAAAAATACAAAAATTAGCTGGGTGTGGTAGTGGGCTCCTGTAATCCCAGCTACTAGGGAGGCGGAGGCAGGAGAATCGCTTGAACCCGGGAGGCGGAGGTTGCAGGGAGCCAAGATCGCGCCATTGCACTCCAGCCTGGGTGACAGAGCGAGACTCCATCTCAAAAAAAAAAAAAAAGGAAAGGAAAAGAAAGGGTTGGTTGGAGTGGAGGCAGAAAGAAGGCCGAGGACACAGTGTCGCCTGCCCTTGACGGAGGCAGCACATGAGGATGAGAAGCTGATTGGAGAAGAGGATGACTGCAGTGCTAAGAGCAGCGTGGTCAGGTTGCCAAGGATGGAGCAGTGGGCACAGCAGGGGGACTTAGGGTCGGCGGAGGAGTCGGTGAGGAAAGGGAGGTTTGGCAGGAAGTGATCAAAGGGGTCATGTTTTTGTCAGGATGTGGGACTTGGATGTGTTCTGTGTGAAGGAGCCAGGGCACGGGGCTGTGGTGAT
The DNA here is from genome assembly GCF_000001405.40 of Homo sapiens. Taxonomy (NCBI): domain Eukaryota; kingdom Metazoa; phylum Chordata; class Mammalia; order Primates; family Hominidae; genus Homo; species Homo sapiens. The sequence continues at coordinate 84,071 of NC_000016.10, forward strand.
GAGGGCGGCCAGGCTTTGACTCATTTGCAGGCGGCTCTGTGGGGGCTCAGTGAGACAACGAGGGGCGTGTGCCCTGCACCCACAGGGATGTAGAGGGTCCTGCTCCTCCCTACTGAGGTGGGTCAGGGTGGGCAGCAGGCACCCCACCTGGTGAGCTGGAAGCAGCGTGGGAATCACAGAATGGACGGGAACTTAAAGGCTTTGCTTGGCCTGGATTTTATCTTGAAATACTTTTGACAGCTGGCTGGTTGAGGGTATCTGCTCACAGGAACGCCGCATTTGCTGGCTTTGTCCACTAGTGCTCGCCCCTGGCTGCTGATGCGGAGCCTCACGTGGCCGCAGCCCAAGAGTAGGGACTGGCTTGGCCACCTCCAGGCTAAGCTTCGGACTCCCAGGTGGCTGGGAGGGCCAGGGGTGCACAGGTGCATCAGAGCAGGTGCTGCCTTGCTGGAGGGCCAGGGCTCTTCTGGCCAGGGTCCAGGTCATCATTGTCCCCAGCCAGGAATCCAAGGGGCCTTTCCAAACCTGCAGGGCAGAGGGAATTCGGGTATCTGTGCTTGAGTGAGCCCCTGGGCCCAGGAGCCTTCGCTTGCTGTCTCTGTTTCTCAAGGGGCCTGGCCTGGTGAGGGAGGGGGCTAGGCTGGAGGAGGGATCCCAAGGGAGGTGAGGGGGCTTTGTCAGCCTCCTCCTGCCCTGCCTGTGCAGGGTGTTGCAGTCAGTCCTTCCACTGAGTCATTGCATGGGCTCTCCCAACATCCGGTGCACACTGGCAGCTGCTCTAAGCCAACTCCTAGCCCCCACCACTTGACCAACACAAACACTGAGTGGGTGAGGCAGAAGGGGAGCGCTGGGGCCTGGCTAGGCCAAGGCTTCCTGCTTCCTGGCTGAATGATCGCACCCGAGGACTGGCTCTCTGGAGCTTCCTTTGCTGGCTTTATAGCTGCTGCCAGTCACAAGACCAGGGGAAGCCAGGTGGAAAGGAACTGATACCCAGCATTTGTCATGTGTTTTTAACAGTCTGGCTTTGTGGGGGCGGCCACAGTGGGGGAGGCCCTGCCTGGTGGTGGAAGCCAGAGGTGCCCACAGGAGGCACACCTCATGGTGCAGGCTTGGAGGATGGCAAGGTAGGCAGAGGGGTCTGGACACAGTGAGGTGCAGCCCCCTCCCACCAGGTCAGACCCAGGAGATGGTGCAGGTGCACAGAGCAGGTCCCTGGCCCAGGCAGGAAGGCAGCTGCACCCTCCCTGCAGCACAGGATGTCTGGATGTGTACTAGGGCAGAGAGGACAGGAGCCTAGGGAGGCTCCACTTCCAAACTGTCCGTCCCACAGGGGACGGGGCTTGCGTCTTGCTGCGAGCACTGGAGCCCCTGGAAGGTCTGGAGACCATGCGTCAGCTTCGCAGCACCCTCCGGAAAGGCACCGCCAGCCGTGTCCTCAAGGACCGCGAGCTCTGCAGTGGCCCCTCCAAGCTGTGCCAGGCCCTGGCCATCAACAAGAGCTTTGACCAGAGGGACCTGGCACAGGATGAAGCTGTATGGCTGGAGCGTGGTCCCCTGGAGCCCAGTGAGCCGGCTGTAGTGGCAGCAGCCCGGGTGGGCGTCGGCCATGCAGGGGAGTGGGCCCGGAAACCCCTCCGCTTCTATGTCCGGGGCAGCCCCTGGGTCAGTGTGGTCGACAGAGTGGCTGAGCAGGACACACAGGCCTGAGCAAAGGGCCTGCCCAGACAAGATTTTTTAATTGTTTAAAAACCGAATAAATGTTTTATTTCTAGAAAACTGTGCCTTAGCCAGAGCTCCTCTAGGTGATCAACCCATGTCTGGAGCTAGCTCTTCCTCCAGGACACGAGAGCTGGGGGCCTGAGTACGTAGCGCCAGGCCCGGTGTGGATGCTGGGGAGAATCATCAGTGTGGGAGCCGAAAGCCCCCGAGGGTGGGGTCCTGCACAGTGGGCCATGCCTCCACCAGCAAGATGTGCACAGGTGACAGGGCTTCTCCAGCCTAGCAGGGCCAGCCCAGGCCCTCGTGCCCCAGATGGTCAGGACCAGGTCACAGCTTGGCTATGAGCCTGTTTGCGGCTTCTGTGGACTGTGGTGAGGACTGGGCCAGGAAAGGCTCAGGGTAGCCTGGGAGGAAGAAGCGCATGGCAGACAGAGGTGCTGGGGAGGGGGCCACAGGGCACTTCACAAATAGAAGGCTGTCAGAGAGACAGGGACAGGCCACACAAGTGTTTCTGCACATTCTTCAGGGTGGCCACAGACTGGGGGGTCCAAGGAGCAGGTGTAGGGACAGAAGGAGGGTCTGAGAAACGCACAGCCCACATGGGCCTTGAAGGATGCGGCCTCACCCAGAGACAGGAGTCCTGGCAGGCCCCCCTCCAGCGTGGAGATGCCTACGCGTGCGGCAAGGACTGGAGGGAAGCGTAGGAACACAGAGGGCAGCAGCCCCACAGCGGAACCACCAGGGGCAAGGACAGCGGGGCTCTGCAGGCTTCACTGGGCCACGGCCAGCCCGCATCCACCCAATGCCAGGCCTCAGGGCCAAGAGGGCTCAGCCTCAGCACGGGGGGAGCCCTGGGGTGGGGAGACGCGAGCGCCCACCTGCGCACCCCAGCAGCCTTCCGCCCTCCGCCTGGGCTCAGGGGAGCAGAGCCTGGAAGACGGCAATGACAGGGTCCTCGTGGGTGGTCACCACCAGCACGCTGCGGAACTTGTCAAACAGCATGAGCAGCTGGGAGCGCCGCGTGTTCTCGTTGTACATAATCTCCTCCAGGTGGTGGCGGCCGCGGAAGTAGTGAAGGAGCCTGGAAGGGATGGGTGGGTGTGAGCCCAACCTGACACCAGCCCCCAGAGGCCTCTGCTGAAGAGCCACTGCTGGGAATCAGCTCTGAGCTGCCCACAGGCCTGAACAGAGCTGGTGGTGAAGGCCAGGGAGGCAGCCACCACAGCCCCCCAACAAGGGTGGGCAGGCCTCCTGGACCCCATGCCCACCACGGTCCCGCTGACCACCAGGTGGGCGGAGTGGGTTCAGGACGGCAGACGGCTGTTCAAACCCAGAGGTGCCCAAGCCTGCGTCCTGATGTTGGGACCAGGGTTCTGCTGGTGGCTTCTTTTTCGTGCTACAGTGAGTCCCACGTAGCTCTGGAGCCAAATGGTCACTGCTTTTTTTTTTCCTTTTTTTGAGAGACGGAGTCTCACTCAGTCACCCAGGCTAGATTGCAGTGGCTCGATCTCAGCTCACTGCAACCTCCCGCCTCCCAGATTCAAGCGATTCTCCTGCGTCAGCTTCCCAGGTAAGCTGGGACTACAGGAGTGCGCTACCACACCTGGCTAATTTCTCTCTTTTTTAGTAGAGACAGGGTTTCATTATATGTTGGCCAGGCTGGTCTCGAACTCCTGAACTCAGGTGATCCACCCACCTCAGCCTCCCAAAGTGCTGAGATTATAACCGTGAGCCACTGTGCCCAGCCTGCTTTTTTTTTTTTGAGACGGAGTCTCGCTCTGCTGCCCAGGCTGGAGGTGCAGTGGCGCGATCTGGGCTCACTGCAACTCCCGCCTTCCCGCCATTCTCCTCCTCCCGCCAAGCTCCGCCTCCCGCCTTCAGGCCATTCTCCTGCCTCAGCCTCCCCAGTAGCTGGGACTACAGGCGCCCGCCACCACACCCAGCTAATTTTTTGTATTTTTTAGTAGAGACGGGGTTTCACCATGTTAGCCAGGATGATCTCGATCTCCTGACCTCGTGATCCACCCACCTCAGCCTCCCAAAGTGCTGGGATTACAGGCATGAGCCACCGCGCCTGACTTTTTTTTTTTTTTTTTTTAATGTCACCATCATTTGGAAGGTCACTGCTTTAGGGTGCTTTCTGCAACTCAGGCTGGCACAGAGGAGGCTAGGATGCAGGTGAGACCTGGACCAGCTGCTCAGAAGAGTTGCAAGTGGTTCTCTCGAGGGCCGAGTGTGGTTCTCAACCGGAAACTCAGTCCCTGACAACCCGACCACTCCCGGGAAACTATGCCCCTGCACTGTCCCCCAAGTCAGGGTGGGGCTGACAGAGACCACTGAGCCACATCACCTTTAACATGGGGGACCCTGGATGCCCGCAGGGCTTACAGTCCTGGGCAAACCCCTGCCAAGTCCCATGAGGGTGAGAACTTGGCACTTAAATTAGCCGGGCGTGGTGGCGGGCGCCTGTAGTCCCAGCTACTCAGGAGGCTGAGGCAGGAGAATGGCGTGAACCCGGGAAGCGGAGCTTGCAGTGAGCCGAGATTGCGCCACTGCAGTCCGCAGTCCGGCCTGGGTGACAGAGCGAGACTCCGTCTCAAAAAAAAAAAAAAAAAAAAAGAACTTGGCACTGCCTCTCAAGGGAAAAGGAACATCTAAGAAGTACTGGAGAGAGAAGAGTCCGAAAAATAGGCATGCCAGGCCCATGGCCCGGCGTCTTGGTGACAAGCCGAACCCTCAGGCCTGGGCAGTGGCACCTGCCCCTACACACCTGAATGCAGAGACTCCATCTCGAACAGGGCCCCATCTGTTCTCAGTGGATTTGGTGGTTCTGTTGCGTACGTCCCTATCCACTTTCTGCCCTGACCCTGCAACTGGCCCCAGTCCCAACGGGTCAACCTACACCCACCTGGCAAACATGCGGAGGTCCTCAGGGTTCTGGGCTGCGGGTACACTGAGGATGGCTGCGCGTTCATGCTCCGACAGGCTGGCCAGCAGGTTCTCCGTCATCCTCTGGTTCAGTGGCGAGTCCCCGCTGGGAAGTAGCTCTGCGCTGGAGTTGTCCATGCTGGGGCTGGTGAGGGTCATGTCATCGCTGCTGGCTGTGGGGGACATGGGTCAGGGTGACCAAGTGGAATTCCAGGACACCCAGGGGAACAGCGAGGGCAGAGCCAGCAGCCAGCCTCCAATGACACCCCTAACTCCTACAAGGGTTAGGGTACATCTGCCTGCAAGCATTCGCTGCTGCCCCACCTCCTGGGTGTGACACGCCCCTCATACGGCTGACTTGGGAAACGGGTAGCCTCCCCTCTGGGGGCAACCTCAAGGGACCTGAACAGAGGTGCGATGTGTGCCCCACAAACACCCCAAGGTGGGCCTGGGCATCCTGTCCCTCACCCAGGATGGAGGACAAAGCACCCTGGGCAGGTGGGGTCCTCACATGAAGCATGAAGCCTACAGCCAGACCTCAGCCAAGGGGGGACTTTCAAAGTCTTCCACCCCCTTCCTTCCCCAAGCCTGGGGACCGGGGACCTGGGACCTGGCAACAGGCTGCTGCCCTCAAGCCACACTGGCCATGACGGCTCTTCTGGGGCGCAGAGGTGTCAGCTGTCCTGGTAGTGGTATGAGATCCTGCTCTGCTCCCAGGCTGGGGCAGAGATTCCAGCACTGATTTGCTGGGCTGGGAGCTGCCCCTAATTCTAGCAAGCCTGCTGAAGAGCCCGGAGACAGAGCTGCCACCTCAGAGTCACGGTGGTGCTAGGAGACAGGAGAGGTGTCTCCACGGGGGACACGAGGCACGTGCATGTGCGTGTGCAGCTGTGTGGAGGCCCCTCATCACTCACAGCACCACCCACGTTGAGCCTCCTGGATGCCACCCCCAAGCGTCTCCCCTGACTACCACAGCGGTGCCCTGGGGGTCCTACTTGGGGAGCCAAAGCTGAGGGCGTTGGGCGTGCTGAGGCTGCGACCGCCGACCCGGGCAGTGAAGGGGACGTCGTCCTCTCGCGGACGGGGCTCCTCCTCGCTGGGTGAGGCCATCAGGCAGACATAGGTGTGCAGCTGGATGAGAAGCCGGCGCTGCAGCATCCACACCACCATCTGGATGAGCTGGGTCTGCGGGTGGCAGCAGGTGAGGCTGGTCCCCCTCCCCACTCCAACTTCCTCCTGGGTGATCAGGGAGCCATGGCCCTAGACATGGCCACAGCACGCTCCCTGTGCTGACGCACAGGCAGAAAGGCCCTCTTCTCAGAAAGGGAGCCCCCAGCTGCCAGCCAGCTCTGCAAGGCCCGCTCACCCTCCTGGGAAGGGAGAGGGGCCAGGGGAACATCTGGATCACACCTGCACAGGCTCCCACCACACACCGGGGCCACCCAGCATCTGGCTGAGGAGCAGGACCTGAGACGTGGAGGCCCCTGTGACTGCTTCGCTGAGCAAACCCCCCACCCTGTGCTGCTGCAGCTGCCCCTCTGCCTCCTCTCTTCTTTGGCCCACTGGCCCTGGAGTTGGACCCAGCCAGCAAGTCCACCTCCACACAAGCCCAGACACTGTTTAAAAAGAGGCTGTGGGCAGGTACCCTGAGAGCAGAAAGTCCTCTCCTTGGATCTACCTGAAAGTCCACCCTGAGCACAAGAGTGGATCCACAAGAAAGCTGAGGCCAGTGACCCTGGGCTTGGGGGTGGAGCACCCCACCCCCACCCCCACCGTGAGAAGGCACGTCCTGGCCAGGCCCTCCAATGTCTCTGGGTTAGCAGGTGGGGCTGGCAGTGAGGAGCAGTGAGGAGCCTTGTGCCAGGTAGAGTCCAGTCCCCATGAGAAAGTACTGCCCAGACTCAGGCGTTGAACAGTAAGGAGTGTGAGACACATCAGTGTCCTCAGATACACATCTGTCTACTCATCTCTGGGAGGGTCAACAAGGAGCTGCTGGCCAGGGTCACCTCCTGGGAGGGGGCTGGGGAACTGGGGATGGGAATGGGGGATATATCCCAGGCAAGTAAGAAGACTTGGTCAAAAGGACTGCAAGATATCCAGACTTCACATGAATTTAAGAAATAAAACAGACGCGGGTGGATCACTTGAGCTCAGGAGTTCGAGACCAGCCTTGCCAACACAGTGAAACCTCATCTCTACTAAAGATACAAAAATTAGCCGGGTGTGGTGGCACACACCTGTAATCCCAGCTACTTGGGAGGCTGAGGCAGGAGAATCACTTGAACCTGGGAGGCGGAGGTTGCAGTGAGCCAAGATCACGCCACTGTACTTCAGCCTGGACAACAAAGCAAGTTTCTATATCAAAACAATAAAAAAAAAGCTGGGCGTAGTGGCTCATGCCTGTAATCCCAGCACTTTGAGAGGATGAGGTGGGTGGATCACCTGAGGTCAGGAGTTAGAGACCACCCTGGTCAACACGGTGAAACCCCGTCTCTACTAAAAATACAAAAAATTAGCCAGGCGTGGTGGCGGGCACCTGTAAACCCAGCTACTCGGGAGGGTGAGGCAGGAGATTGCTTGAACCCGGGAGGCAAAGGTTGCAGTGAGCCGAGATCATGCCATTGCACTCCAGCCTGACGTGCAATCAAAATTAAATAAAATCAATAAACCAAAAATAAAACAGAGGGGCTTCCCAGCACTGGAGCCCAGGCAGAACCTGGCTGACCTAGGCCCCTTGACAAGGCCTGGAGCAACCACTCAGTCATGGCCTGGAAAAGCCACTCCGTTATCTAGACCACAGGAGGCCTCTGAGAAGGGAGCACCAGCAGCTCCTCCCTAAGCACTGCCCCAAGAGCAGGGGTGCAGAGAGTGCCTTTTATTCAGCTGGTACAACCTGGCTCAGCTCCCAGAAACCAAGGGCTCTGTGAAAGACCGCACTGAGAGCTCTGTCAGGTTTAGCGTCTAACGGAGCTGAAAAGCCAGAATCGTTCTCATTCGTAATTTGAGAACGGAAAGGGTTTAACTTTAAGGACTGGTTTTGCCTAATAGATCTGGCACTTACTCAGATACTTCTGGAGACAAAGACTTGAGAACACCCAGCTCGTCTGTCTCCAACACCGTATCCTATCTGGCCCTGCTCTGAGTCTCTGCCCAGAACTCAGTGGAGGGGAGGATGGCAAAGCCACCTCAGCACAAGGCTATGACACCTGCAGCCCACAGGGGAAGCCACTGGCCCTGCCACAGATGCAGGTGCACCAGTTCATCCCACAGACCTGCAGGAGGCCTCCTATCCCCCAGCCACTCCTAGCTCCCAACCTGCCTGCCCGTTGCCCTGATCCAGGCCCACTAGGGTCCTCTCTAGGCTCTCTTGAATGAGGAGATTCTGGGGACCAGTGACCCCAGAACTCATACCCACAGACCCTGTGGCCACCTGAACCATGGCAGGGAGTGAAGACAGAAGCAGAACTCTCAGAGGGTCAGGCCTGGCCCAGTGAGAACAAAACTGCCTTTGCACCCTCATCTGTAGGCAGTCCCCAGTCCCAAAGGGGTACAAGGCAGGTCTGTAGGCCCAGAAAAGGTAAGCACTCTCCTGCTTAACTCGGTTCTAACACTAAAAACTGCCTGCCACAGCCAGGGTGGGCTCTATGGGGAGGGAACAACTGCTCAAGTGTTGGGTCACTGGCCAAGCATCTGCAGGTGGCCCGGCAGCTGACTTTTGGGTCCTGCTGGGCACGTAGCACTTGCACGGCAAGCCCCCAAAACCAAGGAGAAGCAGGTGGCAGTGCTGAGGGCTCTCAGATCAGAACCAACAGCCAGGCAGGTAGTGCCTATCCACTACACACCTGCCACTCTGGGCTCCTTGAGCTTCTGTGACTCACCTCCTGCACAGCGGGGGCCAGGGGATTCCTAAATTCTGACAAGGAGACCGGCAAGGAGAACTTGGCAAGAACGGACGGCAGGTCATGAGATGGGAACTGGTGGGAGAACTGCTCGGCCAGCGGGGAGTACCTGCAGGCAGGTGAGCATGCCAGTGAGTGCAGCAGACCCCCCCACCGTGTTCTCAACACTGGCCTCAGTGGGCAGCAGAGAAGCAAAGTGTGGCAGGTGGGTCAGGACAGTGCGATGAGGGCAGAACGGTATGAGGCCAGGCAGGCCTCCAGGTGGACAGAGCCTGGGCACTTCCCCTTGAGCAGCAGCAGGAGCCATGGGCACAGTTCATCCTGCATCTCACCTCTGATCCCTCAAGGTGGATTAGAAGAGCCAGCCTGGAGGAGGGGGCCAGGCATATGGGGGACACAGGAGAGCCACAGAGCACAGAGCCAGACCAGAATTGGGACCTGGGTATGCTAGTGGCCAGGAGTTAGGCTGAAGTGAGAGCCTGGCCTTGGGGCTTCCACAGCCTTTGGTGCCTGGCCAACACAGAGAACAGCATCTGGAGGGCCCTGCCAGCCTCACCCCTTCCCACTCGGGGCTCCAGGCTCTGGCAGCCAGCAGCACTCACAGACATACGCTGGCATTGGGAGACAGCATGTAGACGTTGTTCTCACACAGCGGGTAGATGATGATGGCCTTGCCCCAGTACACCAGATGAGCTGCAAGCTGGAAAACCTGCAGGCAAAAGGGAAGCTGCAAGGACCATGCCTGAGGCTGGCCCACCGGGAGCTGTCAGCAGCTCTCAGCCTGGGTGGCCATGGCCTACCAGCCTGGAGAAGCTGGCCCCAGCCTCATGCAGAACACACCTGGTGGCTATGGCCCGAGACTTCCTCCCTAACGTGGAATAGCACCTTCGCAACCTCTCACTAGGATGTGGGGCACAGCCAGCACACAGCACTTTCTGTGAGCAATGGTTTTTTTTTTTTTTTTTTTGGAGACAGTCTTGCTCTGTCGCCCAGGCTGGAGTGCAGTGGCACAATCTCAGCTCACTGCAACCTCTTGCCTCCCAGGTTCAAGCGATTCTCCTGCCTCAGCCTCCTGAGTAGCTGGGATTACAGGCACATGCCACCACGCCCAGCTAATTTTTGTATTTTTAGTAGAGACAGGGTTTCACCATGTTGGCCAGGATGGTCTCGATCTGACCTCGTGATCCACCCACCTTGGCCTTCCAAAGTGCTGGGATTACAGGCATGAGCCACCGCACCCGGCCACAATGGCCTTTTTGTCACTGCTCCCTGTGCTGTTTGGTGGCACTGTTTTCCCATCCTATGCTGTCTTGACTCCCACTGAAGAATGGTGGTCTCAGGCCACAAGCATGGGAATGTCTGGGGTGCTGGGAACACAGTGCTGGCCCAGCTGGGCAGGGGGCTTAGCTGGATGTCCTGGCAGGGGCACAGCCCTCTTATACCCCCTAAAACTCCAGCATGGCCTTGCCCGATGATGGGTGTGGAGTCACTCAGCATGCCACCCCTACATACCCAAAGGCCCCAGGTCTGCCCCATGTGCCCCGACTCCCACAGAGACCCCCCTCCCAGCTTTGCTCTTGTGGACCCTTGAACATCAGGAAACACAAACACAACCCAAACCCCTTCCAGAGGAAAGCTCAGGCCTGAGGTCTGAGAGCACAGCACCCCAGCACTTCACGAAAAGGTGTGTGAAATCCTAAGCTCTCGCACTTCTGCCTCTGCATCAGCCCAGGACACCACTCCACCCTCTTGGCGGGTAGGCCTCTGTGGAGGTGAGTCACCCCTGCCTGGACACCGTGCTGCCCTGCTGCTGAGGACACTTATACCTCAGCTCAGAAAACAGGGCCTCCAGACTGAGTGAGTGGCTCATGCCTGTAGTCCCAGCATTTTGGGAGGGCAAGGCAGGAGGATCGCCTGAACCTCGGAGTTCGAGACCAACCTGGGCAATATAGTGAGACCCTCATCTCTGCCAAAAATTTTTATTTAATTAGCCAGGCACTGCGGCACATGCCTGTAGTCCCAGCTACTTGGAGGCTGAGACAGGAGGATTGCTTGCACCTGGGAGGTGGGGGTTGCAGTGAGCCAAGATTGTGCGAGTAGTGCCCCCAATGGCTCCGCCAACCCCGACATGGCAGGTTTCAGCTCCATCACCGCCCTGTTCCCTCACCCCACGTGCCACTCGCATGTCTCTCTCAAAAAGACACCCCCACTTTCCCCCAGCTCTGCTCAGCATAGTGGTCTCCACCTCCTGCCTCTCCCTGCAGCAGCCTCTCCAAGATGCTGTCCATTCTGGAAATTGAAAATCCAAAATCAGTACTTAAGGGCAAGCATAAGGTGCCAGCAGGACCAGGCTCCCTCTGGAAGCTCCAGAAGAGAATTCGTCCTGCCTCTTCAACGGCCAGTGTCTCTTGGCTTGCGGTCACGTCACTCCACTCTGTCTCTGTGGCCACATCGCTGCCTCTTTTTATCAGATCTTCCTCTGCCTCCCTCTGATAAGGGCCTTAGAGATTACATTTAGAGCTCAACAGGATGATCTTCCCATCTCAAGATCTTCTACTTAGTAACATCTCCAAAGTCCCACATGAGTTCACATTCATAGATTTTGGGGATTAGGATGTGTATATCTGTGGGGGCCATTATTCAGCCAATCACAACGAATATACAGCACGATCCTAATTTTCATAATACAAAATAAAATGTTTGTGTGTGTATATATATATATATATATATATATACACACACACACACACACACACACACACACACACAATAAAATGTATATATACAGATAAAAAACCTGGAGGGATCTAGGTTACCTGTGGGATATGGGACTGTGGGAACTTTCTGTGTCTATAATTTGTGTAGTGTTTGAAGTCTTGTAACATACTAATTTTATCATGACACACCCAAAATTTACTTGTAGATTCTCTCTGGATTGATATAAACATGAAGAATTTTATTTTATTTTATTTTTTGAGACTGGGTCTTGCTCTGTTGCCCAGACTGCAGTGTGTAAAATCACAATTCACTGCAGCCTCGAACACCAGGGCTCAAGTGATCCTCCCACCTCAGCCTCCTGAGTAGCTGGGACCATGGGCACACACCACCATGCCCAGCTAATTATTTAATTTTCTGTAAAGACAGGGTCTTCCTATGTTGCCTAGGCTGGTCGTGACCTCCTGGGCTTAGGCAATCCTCCTGCCTCATCCTCCCAAAGTGCTGGGATTACAGGCATGAGCCACTGCACCCAGCCACATGAGGGACTTTAAACTATCTGGTGACATTCACACCTGAGGCAGGTGCTCCCCAGGGGGCTATCTCCGGAAACAGAGTGACCCACCAGGGCTGGGCCCCAGGGGCTTCCGCACCGCCACACCAGCAGCAACGCCCTGCTGACCTGCAGCAGGGACAGCAGGGAAGGGGTACAGACAGAAGAAAACAATGACAAACAGCCTTCCCTCTCCCCAGTCAAGGCCACGGCAGGGAAGTGAAGGGGACATCAAAAGGAGACCAAAGCTTTGTCCAAGGAGACTCTGAGAGCAAGGGTGAGAGGCACACTGTCCACACAAACTCCTGCCAGACAACCTCAGAAGAGGGCATCAAAGCTTTGTCCAAGGAGACTCTGACAGCAAGGATGAGAGGCACAGTGTCCAGCACAAACTCCTGCCAGACAGCCTCAGGAAAGCCAGGCCCAGCTCCTTTCAAAAGCTCAACACAGGACCAGTGAACAGCCACAGGCATTTACCATGTGGTCGGTGCTCATCAGGACACGGAGGGTCACTGCCTCCCTCACTCTGCAGGGTTGTATGGAGTGGTGAGTTCTTTTAAAATTCTCTGTCTCCTGAATGCTATGAAGGTGGGCAGGACATGGTGTTTACTGAGTCCTGTCCAGCCCATGAAGTCCAAAGGCACAGCTGGGCATGGTGGCTCATGCCTGTAATACCAGCCCTTTAGGAGGCCAAGGTGCGATGATCACTTGAGCCCAGGAGTATGAGGCCAGCCAGGGCAACATAGGGAAACCCCGTCTCTACCAAAAAAAAAAAAAAAAAAAAAATATTAGCCAGGCGCACACCTGTAGTCCCAGCTACTTGGGAGGATGCTTGAGCCTGGGTGGATCATGATGGCACCACCACATGCCAGCCTGGGAGACAGAGCAAGAACCTGTCTCAGAAAAGAAAAAAGAAATACAAGGGCACAATTTGGTAAGTGCTCTCACAGAGGATAGATAAAGGGTCCTGAGATACAGAGGCGGGAGACTTACTCTCAAAGACAGAATCCAAAAAGGCTGCTTTCGGGGAAAAGTGGCCTGAGAGTCAGGCCTTGTTGGACAAGTTCCCCTAACGTGCTAAGCAGAGACCTGTTTCACAGGCCAAAAGAGCATGGAAGCTCAGCCAGAGGGACCCAGGCGGGCCCACCTCACGCCTGTGTTCCTCGGCAGCCTCTGCTGCCCCCTGGTGGCCATGCTGTGCACACCGCCACCAGACGAGGGCGCCACCCACAGGCACCACCTGCTCCCACCCTCAGGCAGTATTTCAATGGTCCCGTGGCTCTGGGCCACGCCCACATGACTAGCAGCCACAGCTGATCCCATGGCCTGTTGGCCACCCCATCAGCAGCCCCTGCTTCTGATTTCTCCCCGTGCTTTTTTTTTTTTTGGAAACAGAGTCGCCCAGGCTGGAGTACAGTGGCACAATCTCAGCTAACTGCAACCTCTGCCTCCCAGGCTCAATTGATCCTCACACCTCATACCCCCAAGTAGCTGGGACTACAGGTGCACGCCACCACACCCAGCTATTTTTTTTTTTTTTTTTTTTGTATTTTTTGTAGAGACGGGGTTTTGCCATGTTGCTCAGGCTGGTCTCAAAGTCCTGGGCTAGGATGACAGGCATGAGCCACCGTGCCCAGCCTTGCCTGCGCTTTTCCTCCCACACTCCAACCAGATCCGCAGACGAGGCTGAGGGGCCCTCCATCTAATCAGAAAGGGCAGCCCTCTGCATGGACAGGCCCATAAGCATGTGGCTCAGCAAGGACGTGGCATCTTGTACAGAGTGCACAGGCCAACACATGTGCACACACAGGGGCGTAAGGCCACCAGGTTAGGTCTCTGTTCTGCACATGGGAGGGCCCCGCATCCAAGCTTCCTGCCCTTAGTTCCCGTATGTTGTTCATGCACCACTGTGAGACCCCCATGGCCCTGCCCGCTGCTGCCCTGCCCACCCCCTAGCTCTGGTGCCTCAACCTCCAGGACTGCAAGCACCCCAGTCCTTTCTCTCACAGACTCGCCTTACCTCTCTGAGACAGAAGAACAAGTCAGTCCCGTGGCTCACTCACAAAGCCAGCCCTGAACCCAGGTCTGACTCAGATGCCAAAACCTCCAGCCATCCCAGGGACTGGCCCCACCCCATGGTGGGCTGTGCCGCGGCTCTCAGCTGGACACAGCCCCTGTGGATGTACTGTGGCAGGCGGCCTGCCTTTCCTGATGCCCCAGCACCGCCACATGCCACCCATCTGGGCCTCCAGAGCTATACCTGCAGCAAGGCCAGGTCCGCATCTTGGGCTAGCTGCTGCAGGTTCTTCACAGCAGATGTGGTCTTGATCACCCGCACTAGGGCAGGGGAGCAGTCAATAGGAAGCTCACCCAGCAAGGACTTCTCATCACTGAGCAGCAGCAGGGCATGGTAGGGGCTGCAAAACAATCACCTGTCACGGAACACACGAAGTGCAGGAACCCTGCACCGGGTATGCACCAGGTCCTGCACCAGGTATGCACCGGGTATGCACCAGGTCCTGCACCAGGTATGCACCGGGTATGCACCAGGTATGCACCTGGGACTCAAACACACGGAACATACGAAGTGCAGGGAACCCTGCACCAGGTATGCACCAGGTCCTGCACGAGGTCCTGCACCGGGTGTGCATCAGGTATGCACCTGGGACACAAACAGGCAGCTGGAGCCTCCTGGCCCTTAACTGCGGAGAGAAGGGCCAAGAGCGGGATTTGAGAAAAGGGCAGTGGTCTGTTTGGAGGCCTTCACAAAATCTGCCAAGGACTGGCTCATGCCTATAATCCCGGCACTCTGGGAGGCCAAGGCAGGCAGGTCACGTGAGGTCAGGAGTTCGAGGCCAGCCTGGCCAACATGGTGAAACCCCATCTCTACTAAAAATAAAAAAATTATCCGGGTGTGGTTGCACCCACCTGGGGTCCCAGCTACTCGGCAGGCTGAGGCAGGAGAATCACTTGAGCCTGGGAGGCGGAGCTTGCAGTGAGCCGAGATTGCGCCATTGCACTCCAGCCTGGCGACAGAGTGAGACTCTGTCTCAAAAACAACAAAAACAAAACCTGCAAGGATTATGTCACCCTCGGAAAAAAACACGACAAAAGTGGGGAAGGCTCGAAGACTGGACTCTGTATCCCACCTCAGAGACGCCCAGCAAACATCTGTTGATTGAAGACATGAATGAATCTTTCCTAAGGAAATTGTCCCAAATATGGGAAAAGCAAAATCCTCCTCACAGACTAGGGACCAAAGTACATTAAAATATGCTTAGCTAGGATTGAAAGCAAAGAGCACGGACTGGGGAGGGTGGAACTAGGCAGCGCTTTGCTTTCTGTCATTTCCAAATTTTCAGCAATGTGCCCAGATATATTTTTATAATTAAAAAATGTTCAAGGTATTGGGGGACTTGGGAACAGGTGGTGCCAGAAGACTGGGCTCAGTTCTTTCCTTGCAGAAAATCAATTAAATTGCCAGGGCATGGTGGCTAACACCTGTAACCCAGCACTTTGGCAGGCCGAGGCGGGTGGATCACGAGGTCAGGAGTTCAAGACGAGCCTGGCCAACATGGTGAAACCCCATCTCTACTAAAAATACAAAAATTAGCCAGGTGTAGTGGTGTGCACCCATAATCCCAGCTACTCAGGGGGCTGAGGCAGGAGAATCGCTTGAACCCGGGAGACAGAGGCTTCACTGAGTGGAGACTGTGCCACTGCACTTGAGCCCCGAGCAAGACTACATCTCAAAAAAAAAAAAAAAAAAGTCAATTAAATTAAGAAAGTATATTTTGGGAGGCTGAGATGAGCGATGAGTGGATCACCTGAGGTCAGGAGTTCGAGACCAGTCTGGCCAACATGGTGAAACCCTGTCTCTACTAAAAGTACCAAAAAAATTAGCCAGGCATGGCAGTGGGCGCCTGTAATCCCAACTACTCGGGAGCCTGAGGCAGGAGAATCACTTGAACTTGGGAGGTGGACGTAGTGGTGAGCCGGGATCGCACTACTGAAATCCAGCCTGGGCGATAAGATCAAAACTCTGTCTCTCTCTCACACACACACACACCCCCGCAAAAAAAAAAAAAAAAAAGAAAAAGAAAAAAAAAAGAAAAAGAAAATAACTGAGATCCCATGAGTGCTGACTGAAATGCAAAAGACTGGGGTAGGGCAACACCATTAAGATGAAGTCCCTCCAGCCCTCCGGCCTCCCCAAGGACACTCAGCCCCACATCCAGGCTGCCCTGCCCAAGCCTAAGGTGGTGCCAGAAGGGCCCAGGAGAAACCTGGGATTGGTCATTTCTGGACACAACTGGATACAAAATTATGTGTTTTAACTTCTATAAACGGCAGAGCCCCACCTGCAAGCTTCCGCAGTGGGAAGAAGAAAAAGAGAAATTTTGGAACAAAGTAAGTGGTAAAATCTCAGGCAGAAGCTAAAGGGAAGGGCCCTGGCAGGGAGTGAGCACGTGGGGCTGGGCACTTACCGGATGGCTTTCAGGCTCCGTTCGATGGCCTCTGGGGGGATCAGACTGGAGGCCGCATAGTGGATCTTGTGGGGCAGGCAGAAGCTCACCTCCAGCCAGCTGTTGATGTGAAGCCGAACTACGCCCGACGTGCACAGGCTGCAGAGAGTGGGCGCTGTTACCCGTTCACATAAACTTTCTAACCATGCACACAGATCAGAAAACACCCTGCTCAATGGTGCTGATTCCCCTGCTGCTTAGGGGAAACTGCAGGTGGAGACCCGGGCAGGAGAGCATCTCTTAAGATCACATTATGTTTAAGAAAAGAAAATATGGGGGCCGGGCACGGTGGCTCATGCCTGTAATCCCAGCACTTTGGGAGGCCAAGGTGGGCGGATCACGAGGTCAGCAGTTCGAGACCAGCCTGGCTAATAACACGGTGAAACCCCGTCTCTACTAAAAATACAAAAATTAGCCAGGTGTGGTGGCGGGCGCCTGTAGTCCCAGCTACTCGGGAGGCTGAGGCAGGAGAATCACTTGAACCCAGGAGGTGGAGGTTGCAGTGAGCTAACATCACGCCACTGCACTCCAGCCTGGGCAACAAGGCAAGACTCTGTCTCAAAAAAAAAAAAAAAAAAAAGGAAGAAGAAGAAGAAAGAAAAAGAGAAACATATTTCTGGCTAGCCCTGGAATCTGTAGTCCAACCAGACTGCCAGGGCTTGAGAGAAGCCGTACCCTGTCCTGGGGACTCAGTGCACTAGAGGCACTCTAACTCAGGCCCCTGCCCGTCCAGACCCCTGGCAGACACCCAACACCCAGAGTACATCCTCCCTGTGAATGGGCCTGCCCTGCACACCTCATGAAGACCCGTCACAGGTGCACGTCCAGGCAGAACAGTGGCTGTCTCAGAGGGCGAGGAGGGCAGGGAAGGAATGCCAAGTCCCCCAGAGTGTTCCAGTGGTGAGAAGCACACAGTGCCCACCTCCCTGCAGTCTGCAGATGCCCACAGCACCTCAGTTGCAGTGCATGTGGATACCAAGTGGTCACCACAAGCCAGCCGTGCTAGCCAGCCCCAACACTTCACTACGACGGAAAACCTTTCACTCCACATTCTATCAGTAAGGGTAACTTGGTTCTTTCGGGTCCCAAAGCTTGCTCAGGCCAAACATAGCAACACCATCCCAGTTTCCTTATTTCTTTCACAGTCCACTTTAAACCATCAGCAAATCCCATCTGCTCCACCTGCAGGGATGTCCAAAATCCAGGCCTTTTCAGCATCACCAGGCCCAAGCCACCCAGAGCACTGGCCCCTCTGACTACCGCTCCCCACACTCCCACCTGGGCAGTCCCAGCCATGGGCCTGCAACACCCACGTTCCTGTGGCCTCACTCCCTGTGCCCAGTCACTCAGGTCCCGCTGTGCTCAGGGCCCTGGCATTTGCCCTTGCCCACAAACTCTCTGCAGACGCCCCAAGGCTCCTTTACTCCATCGGTCTCCACTCAAGTGTCACATTCTCAGTGAAGCACCCCTGACCCCAGCCCCATTGACACTCCAACCCCTGACCCGCTGCCTAATGCTGTCTCCCCAACCAGAACTCACTCCTGAGGAGGGGGGCTTGTGGGTTTCATTCTCTGCTCTCTACACATTGTAAAACGTGTCAGGCACATAGGCACGGAGCTGCATTTCCTGAATGAAGCCAAGGAACACACCGCCCTCCCTGCATGCACTGTCTTTCCTAGGAAGCCCTGCCCCAAGAACAGGCTCCACAGTGGGGATGCAGCCCACGTCATCCCCTCGGGGAACCACACAAAACAAGGAAGGAGTTGTTTTCACCAGGAGCTTCTAAAACTCCCTGATGGAGAAGCCAGGGCGCCACCCAACTCCACCGCTCACCACAAAGCGCCCTTGCCTTAAGTAAGAGCCAACAGCACTTGTTCTATGACACAGAGGAGATGCAACTGCTCAAGCAAAGCTGTCTGCAGCTGGCCTTCACCGCATCCCCGGAGGCTCCAGGCAACAGGGGGGATCTCCACCTACTCTTGTCAAGGCCTGGCTACTCAAAGTGGCCGGCACCTTCCTTGTGTCCTGCACAGGGAACGCAGCCTGTGAAGCCTCACAATGACACCAGTTCTAAAATAGGAGCAAAACACACACAAGTTCTTCTCCAAACTGCCCATTTCTACAGCACCTCCCCGCATCATGTTTCCTCTGTTCACTGCCCCACTGCCCAGGAGAGCAGCCAACTAGTGCTTTTCCCATCACCCCCTGACCCTATTCTGCTATTCTCAGCTCCCAGTTGGCGGGACAGGCCAACACACCCACATCCGGCTAAGTCCGGGAGACTTGGCCAGACTTCTGGCTGCCCCAGGCCAGAAGGTACAAACGGCCCCTCGGACGTCTCTTAGGACACGTCAATACGGGGTGCTCAGAGAACACCATGGCCCCAAGGTCCCAGAGGAGGGCAGCAGTCTCAGCTTCTTCCAGAACTGCATGCTAACCAAGTATGTCGGGGCAGACAGAGGCTCCCAGAACCTTACCTCTCTTTGGTCAGGGTCTTTGCAGGGTGAAAAACTCGTATCAAACCCTGAGAAATGTCCCAGCCGCTAAGGAATTAAAGATCACACCAGGAGAGATTTGTCCAGGGGATCCAGGTTACTCAACTTGAGTAAGCAATAGTTAGGATCTTGGCATCCGTATGCGACAGGGAAGAAAGGGCAAGCGAGAGGTGGCCCCATGCACTGTGCTGTCACCATCTGGGTCAGAAAGGAGGGCCACTGGAAATAAAAGGTCTATTTTTTTTTTCTTTTTTCTGAGACAAGGTCTCACTGTTGCTCAGGCTGGAGTGCAGTGGCGCCATCTCCGCTCACTGCAGCCTTGATCTCCCAGGCTCAAGACAACCTCCCAAGTAACTGGGACTACAGACGTGCAACATCACGCCTGGGGTGATTTTTTTTTTTTTTTTTTTTTTTTTTTTTGTAGAGACAGGGTCTATGTTGCCTAGGCTGGTCTCAAACTCCTGGGCTCAAGCGATCCTCCCACCTTGGCTTTTCAAAGTGCTAGGATTACAGGCGTGAGCCACCGCACCCACCCAAGGCCTTTCTGTTTCTGTCCTATTTAGGATGCAGCTCAAAGTGGCTGTTGGGACACCACAGAATCAGAATACGGAGGCTCCTATTGTTTCAAATGTAGCTGTCTTTGCTCCATCTAGGAGCACAGTGAGGCCTTATGACATGTGCTGTGGCTCCCAGCACCAGTTTAGGTACTTGGAGTGCAGCAGGGAAGAAAATAACTTGGCTGCTCTGCACGCTGGGGGCTTCACTCAGCGGCATCTAGACAGACACATAATTGGCCGGGCGTGGCGGCTCACGCCTGTAATCCCAAAACCTGGGAGGCCGAGGCAGGCCGATCACTTGAGGTCAGGAGTTCGAGACCAGCCTGGCCAACATGGTGAAACCCTGTCTCTACTAAAAATACAAATATTAGGCCGGGTGCCGTGGCTCACACCTGTAATCCCAGCACTTTGGGAGGCTGAGATGGGCAGATCACCTGAGGTCAGAAGTTTGAGACCAGACTGACCAACAGGGAGAAACCCCGTCTCTATTAAAAGTACAAAATTAGCTGGGCGTGGTGGTGCATGCCTGTAATCCCAGCTACTTGGAAGGCTGAGGCAGGAAAATCACTTGAACCTGGGAGGTAGAGGCGGAGGCGGAGGTTGCACTGAGCTGAGATCGTGCCATTGCACTCCAGCCTGGGCAACAAAAGTGAAACTCCATCTCAAAAAAAAAAAAAAAAATTAGCCAGGTGTGGTGGCAGGTGCCTGTAATCCCAGCTACTTGGTAGGCTGAGGCAGGAGAATCACTTGAACCCAGGAGGCGGAGGTTGCAGTGAGCCGAGATCGCGCCATTGCACTCCAGCCTGGGTGACAGAGCAAGACCCTGTCTCAAAAAAAATTGAAATTAACGTTTAAAAAAAAAGACACCTAATTGTAATCAAATTGTATGGAGCATTAGAAACTGGAGAGAGTTATAGGGAAAGGAACAGGGGCTTGGAACACACCTCATGGAAAGCCAGGAACAAGTTCCAGCTATGGGTATGGAGAAATGAGGGCAGGAGGGTCACATGAAGGTTCTTCTAGTGACTTCCCAGCTTGGTCATCTCTGCTGCCCTCACCGTGTCAGCTGTCCTTGGAGCCGCAGTCATGTGGTCTGGTTTGTACACTGGCATGGGGCCCTCTCCTCTGGCAGAGACACGCCATGTTGGTTCCTCTAACTTCCACGTGGACTTTACTCCATTTTCCCAAGCATCAGCTCACCCACCTGCTGCTTTCTCCCTCAGAGCACTCTGCACTGAGGCTGGTGCTTCTTTATGAACTAACCCAGCTCCCTAGAGCGGTGACAAGTGCTGCCACCAGGAGTGCCCCAAAGGCCATGGCAGACCTGGGCAAATTCCCTGAACATGTCAGAGGGATGACTGCTCTGGAAAGGTGCCGGCCCAACCTCCAGCCTGTAAATCCCCCACAGTAAGAGGGTAAGCCAGGAGCTGCACTGAGGTCTGTTAACAAGGGGAAAGAGAAAGGTTTGTCACTGTTTTTAAGTCTGCAGCTTTAAGACAAGAGCCCTTAGCACAAGCAGGGTTTGGGCCCTGAAAGGTTTCCTGCCGAGCTTGCACTTCTATTTGCAAGGTGTTTAATGGTTTGGTCTGAAAACACTCTGGAGGAAAACACTGTCCTCCTCAAGACTTATCCAGCCCCTCACACAGCTCTGGGCCAGCCAAGAGGGCCCAGCCCAGTCTGTGACAGGAGATAGGTGCCCCAGCCAAAGCCCTGCATCCTGACAATGACTATGCAAAAGGGAATGGCTGGCTTCAAACACACTCTCGCCGTTCATCTCCAAGACAGAAATGTGCACAAGCTTAGTCTAGTCCCCTCAGCTTTTAGCATCTGAGAAAGCATCCATTCCTAACCTTAGAACTAGACAGGACCTGTGAAGCTATCCTGCAAACCTCTGCATCCTCTGGTCCCACGGATGGGCCTGGCTTCCTACCATAAGTAGTGGGATGCTGCATAACCCAAAAGATCTATGTGGGTTCCAAACAGCCTACCTTGAAATTTCAAACGAAAGTTTATATATAGGTGCATTTTTATGGAAATGGGTACTACAACTCAGGATATTCACAGAGGGTCCATGGGACCAACCCTGCTCTCGACAGTTTGCAGTGCAAGGCTCCGCACCAAGTACCACCTACCCAGCCAGACCCTGGACATCACTCCCCACCACAGGTCCTGTTAACTCGGAGAACCATTCAGCAAATCACTTCTTCACACTCCATGGAATCTACACTGCTGTTATTCCCACCCACACATTCCGTCGACCCCTAGCGGATGAGCTGTGCTCCTCCACAGGCTGAGTGTAGGGGCTGTGTTGCAGAAAGTGAAGAGACATCCCTGCCCTCCTGGGAGACACAATTCAATGGTCATATGAATGAGTGACATGCTGTCACTGAGGGCCACTGGGATCCACAGGGAGACACAAGTGCTAGGTATGGCACAAGTGTTGGGGTGGCCTCCTGAGCGATTCACATTCCCAGCCTATATTCACAGATGTTAGGTCCTGCAGGACAGGGCCACCAGGCTATTCAGCCACACCATAACCCTAGCTTTAATTAAAATAGCAACTGGGGACCGGACGTGGTGGCTCACGCCTGTAGTCCTAGCACTTTGGGAGGTCGAGGTTGGCAGATCACGAGGTCAGGAGTTCAAGACCAGGCTGGCCAACATGGTGAAACTCCATCTCTACTAAAAATACAAAAATTAGCCAGGCCTGGTGGCAGGCGCCGTAATCCCAGCTGCTCAGGAGGCTGAGGCAGGAGAATCACTTAAGCCCGGGAGACGGAGGTTGCAGTGAACTGAGATTGTGCCATTGCACTCCAGCCTGGGTGACGAAGCAAGACTCCGTCTCAAACAAACAAATAAATAAATAAATAAATAAAATAGCAACTGGGGGCAGGGCATGGTGGCTCACGCCTATAATCCCAGCACTTTGGGAGGCTAAGGTGGGTAGATTGCTTGAGTCCAGGAATTCAAGATCAGCCAGGGTAACATGGCAAAATCCCATTTCCACAAAAAAATACAAAAACTATTCAGGCGTGGGGGCGGGTGCCTATAGTCCCAGCTACTCGGGAGGCCGAGATGGAAGGATCACCTGAGCCTGGGAGACAGATGTTGCAGTGAGCCAAGATTGCGCTCCAGCCTGGCAATAGAGTGAGACCCTGCCTTAAATTAAAAAAAAAAAAAAAAAAAAAAAAAAAAAGAACCAGGAACAATTCCTTTGAAAAATCCCACCCCAATCTCCAACCTCATTAATCTCACAGCTTCTGGTCTTTCAGTTCTGTTCTGAGATTCCCCCAGATCTGGCAGTCAGTCACCATCAGGAGAAAGGCGCTCTGTCCTAGGTCACCTGATCAGTAATGGAAACTCAGTCTCCTCCTCTCAGTGCAGAAGAGTGAGCAGCAGCAGACCAGACCCTTGAGGCCAACCATGGACCTGATGGGATGAGGACAGACGAGAGGCCACAGCCCAGAGGGGCTCCTGGGTGGCTGCAGAGCCATGCCAGTGCCAGACAAGGATGGGTACAGGGAGGGTACTACTGCCTGGACTCCTGCCAGAGAAACATAGCTGCCAGCATCCCTGGGGCAAGCTCCAGGACCCAAGACTGTTAGGGTGGGAGTTTGGATGGAGGAAATGTGATCCTGGGCACTAACAAACAGAATGCGTAGGTCAGGAAAGAATGCTACATGCTGAACAACAGCTTAGGAGCCTTTTTCAGCAAAACTCAGATTCCTGTCCTCCTTTAATATCCACTAGGTGGCGCTGGGTTGCCTCAAGTTCTGAGCTCCTCCGCAGCCTGCAGATCACACAACAGGCAGTCCAAGGTTTTGTCTCCTTTCAACTTTCCAGCACGATTCAAACCTAAGAAATCATAGTCCATTCTTCCTTTAGAAATATAAAGTCAACGAGCCGGGCACGGTGCTCACGCCTGTCATCCCAGCATTTTGGGAGGCCGAGCCGGGCGGATCTACAAGGTCAGGAGTTCGAGACCAGCCTGGCCAATATGGTGAAACCCCATCTCTACTAAAAATACAAAAATTAGCCAGGCATGGTGATGTGCACCTGTAGTCCCAGCTACTCGGGAGGCTGAGGCAGAAGAATGCACTCCAGCCTGGGCAACAGAAGGATATTCCATCTCAAAAAAAAAAAAAAAAAAGAAGAAGAAAAAGAAATATAAAGTCAATGGTTTGGTTTTTATTTAAACAAATTTTTAAGAGACAGGGTCTCACCATGTTGCTGGGGCTGGAGTACAGTGGCTACTCAGACACCAGCATAGAGCACTACAAGCTCGAACTCCTGGGCTCAAGTGATCCCCCAACCTTGGCCTCGCCTGTGAGATGGGACTACAGGAGCACACCACCGCACCAGCTTGGTTTTTATTTTAATTCCAAGTTAGCCTGATTTTTGTTTGTAATCTAATCCGAGTTGAGGCATACACTCAGAATAAGGGAACAATGTCCAAGGAAGAGACTGGATACCAGGCAATTCAAAGCCAGAGGGTAGTAATTCTCTCAACACAGAGAAAACATTAGTGTGATAACAATGAATCAAAGACAGGGTCAGACTACATGACCACAAAGGTCCCATTCTGCAACACAGAAGGGGCCAGAAAACAAAGCAATCACCTGGCAAGGGCTGATGTTCTCTCACACCTGGGGAGGCTCAGTCCCCAGGGTCACCAAGAGACAAACAAATGCTAGTTGCAACTTATATCACAAAAGACAAATCACTCTCCCATGTTTAAGGACTTATATCTCCCGATAGAAGAATGAACAAGGGATCTGAGCAGCGAGCTCACAGAAAAGACAGGTGGTTCAAACATGTGAAGAGATGCATCAGTGCATCACAATAAAGCTACACAGAGATCCCATTCCCCACTTGTTATACTGGTTAAGATCCACAATTTCACGAGACTCGATGTTGGCAAAGCTCGGGGGAAGAGGCATCTCGTGTGTTGCTGGTGGGACAGAGGTACAAACCCCTGAGAAGGAAACACAACATTACAAATGCCATTTTCCCTATTAGTAATGCCTTTAGGAATTTATCTTATAGATACAGAGGCGCACATACAAAATAACACAGGTAAATGGTTAGCACTGGAAGGCTGGAACAAACTCAATGGTGGGGGCAGTTGCGGCTCACTAGGCAGCCAAAAAAAGAATTAAAAAGTATTTTTTAAATTTTATTTATTTTTTATTTTACTTTTGTTTTTTAATTTTTATTATTATTTTTGAGATGACATCTAGTTCTGTCACCCAGGCTGGAGTGCAGTGGCGCCATCTCAGCTCACTGCAACCTCTGCCTCCTAGATTTAAGTGATTCTTCTGCCTCAGCCTCCTGAGTAGCTGGGACTACAGGCATGCACCACCACGCCCGGCTAATTTTTTGTATTTTTAGTAGACAGCGGGTTTCACCATGTTAGCCAGGCTGGTCTCGAACTCCTGACCTCGTGCTCCACCCGCCTCAGCCTGGCAAAGTGTTGGGATCACAGGTGTGAGCCACCGCGCCCGGCCTTTTTTTTTTCATTTTTGATACGCGGTCTGGCTCTGTTGCTGGGGCCAGAGTACAATGGTACAACCATGGCTCACCATAATCTTGATTTCCTAGGCTTAAGTGACCCTCCCACCTCAGCCTCCTGAGTAGCTGAGACTACACTTGTGCCACCACACTCAGATATTTTTTAAAAATTTTTTGTAGAAATGCGATCTCACATTGTTGTTCAGGCTGATCTTGCACTTCTGACCTCAAGAAATCCGCCCCTCAGCCTCCCAAAGTGCTGGGATTACAGGCGTGAGTCACCACGCCCGGCCTGCTTGTCCACATTTAATAAAGGTGATGCTCAGCCAATACAATCAGAACAACTGTGAGGTTTTCATGGTATCCTCAAGGCTTGCTGCCCTCACACAGTCAGTGTCGCAAACCCCAACTCTCTCAGACTGAGAGGAGACAGCTGGCCCCAGCCTCACCCACTGAGCCTCAATTTCCTCTTGAGTGACTGGAGTCAGTGACACCCACCTAGTGAAGGTGGCCCAGCACTTGGTGTTGCGTCATGCTCAGTAAAATGGCATTTTGCATCTGTTTGATTTAAAAACACTTTCGGACTCTCATGTATAACTTCGGGCTCGTTTTCTGTTTTAAGAGGAGTCTGGAGGTGGTGGTTCCAGCAGAGTGCATGCTACTCAGCAAAGGGGTTTAAAAAAGCAAAGGTACTCAGGGGTTTGTACCTCTGTCCCACCAGCAACACACGAGATGCCTCTTCCCCCGAGCTTTGCCAACATCGAGTCTCGTGAAATTGTGGATCTTAACCAGTATAACAGGTGGGGAATGGGATCTCTGTGTAGCTTTATTGTGATGCACTGATGCATCTCTTCACATGTTTGAACCACCTGTCTTTTCTGTGAGCTCACTGCTCAGATCCCTTGTTCATTCTTCTATTGGGAAATATAAGTCCTTAAACATAGGAGAGTGATTTGTCTTTTGTGATGTAAGTTCCAGCAGAGTGCACCCTACTCAGCAAACCATTTAAAAAACAGCCACTGGCCGGGCGCGGTGCTCACGCCAGTAATCCCAACACTTTGGGAGGCCGAGGCGGGTGGATCACCTGAAGTCGGGAGACCACCCTGACCAACATGCAGAAACCCCGTCTCTACTAAAAATACACAACTAGCCGGGTGTGGTGGCGCATGCCTGTAATCCCAGCTACTCGGGAGGCTGAGGCAGGAGAATCTCTTAAACCCAGGAGGCAGAGGTTGCTGTGAGCCGAGATCGTGCCGCTGCACTCTAGCCTGGGCAACAAAAGCAAAACTCCATCTCAAAAAAAAGAAATAAATAGAAATAGAAATAAAAAATAAACAAAAAAAAACGGCCACCAAGGTCACTTCTTTCAAGAGCAGCCACATGACCATCCCTTCCCAGTCCTCTCCGGCCCTAACCTCAGGGAACCCTGATGCTCACACCCCAGGAGAACAGTGGTCAGTACCGGGGAGCCCTACCTGTTGACGCTGCTCCTCAGGCCCAGGCAGGCTGGCCCATAAGAAGGAGGTTAATAAGCACACCCACCTGTCTTACCTGTCATAAGCTTCCTTGAGGTCCCTGGCCAGCTTGCACTTGGGCAGGATGTGATGGAATGGGGACTGAGGACCTTCATTTCCTACAAGAATCACAACACAAGATTTACAGCTCCCGGGTTCAAGCGATTCTCCTGCCTCAGCCTTCCAAGTAGCTGGGATTACAGGCGCCCGCCACCATGTCTGGCTAATTTTTTTGTATTTTTGGTAGAGACAGGTATTCACCATGTTGGCCAGGCTGGTCTCGAACTCCTGTCCTCAAGTGATCCATCCACCTTGGCCTCCCAAACTGCTGGGATTATAAGCATGAGCCACCACGCCTGGCCTAGACCTGCTAATTTTAAAATTTTTTGTCTGGGATTACAGGTGTGAGCTACCACATCCAGCCAAAAAGTCTTTTATTCATCCTTTTTCATAAATTTCTAAAAATATATACATAGACTTAAAATAAAATTTCTTTTTACTTCCTGTGATAAAGTCACAGACTCTAAAAAGATAACGTTTAAAAAAACAAAACTTTTGGATTGTTATTATCACAATTATAATTAGTATATAATTGGCCAAAACAGAAACATATTATAAATTTTGACAGGTAACCGGGCGCGGTGGCTCACACCTGTAATCCCAGCACTTTGGGAGGCCGAGGCAGGCGGATCACAAGGTCAGGAGATCAAGACCATCCTGGCTAACACGGTGAAAACCCCGTCCCTACTAAAAATACAAAAAATTAGCCGGGCGTGGTGGCGGGCGCCTGTAGTCCCAGCTACTCGGGAGGCTGAGGCAGAAGAATGGCGTGAACCCAGGAGATGGAGCTTGCAGTGAGCAGAGATCACACCACTGCACTCCAGCCTGGGTGACAGAGGAAAAAACAAAAGAAAAACTTTATATATTTGACAATTACCTGTCAAAATTTATTTTATTTTTATTTATTTATTTTTTTTTTGAGACAGGGTCTCACTCTGTCACCCTTGCTGGAGTGCAGTGGTGCAATCTCAGCTCACCCCAACCTCCACCTCCCAAGGCTCAGGTGATTCTCCCACCTCAGCATCCCGAGTAGCTGGAACTACGGGCACATATGACCATGCCCGGCTAATTTTTGGGTTTTTTTCGGTAGAGGCAGGATTTCACCATGTTGCCCACACTGATCCTGAATTCCCGAGCTCAAGCAATCTACCTGCCTCAGCCTCCCTAAGTGCTGGGATTACAGGCATGAGCCACCGCAGCCAGCCACAGGTAAATTTGTACTGAAAATGCACCTGAGTCAGAGAGGCTGTTCTTTATTATTGTTCATTCATGTCAATAACTAATTTTACTTATTGCTACAACAACTAGGTCTGACTTTAGTTTTGTTCCTAATTCTCTCTTTTGTTATAGAGGTGCTGGCCAAAGAAAATGGAGATGGAGAGTTTGTTACAGGTGTCTCTTTATGTTTTGAAATCTTTACAGTAGGCCAAAAAACACTCAATGTTCTGTCTGCAAAAATTATTTTTAATAATTGGTTAGTTGATAACCCAATTAGGTCCTCCTTCAATCTGGCTGAAAGCAAAGAACTGGAAACTGTCCACCTCACCAGCTGGATATTTCCAACGCCCTCTCCTGCCCCAGGGAGTAATAGTTTCTTCAACATCTCCAACAGGACCAGGGCTAGGCAGAGCTGCCTCACCTATGTGAACGGTGATCATGCAGCAGTGTGTGGGAAGAAAGAACATTTCTGGTCGGGAAATCTATTTCAACACATCCAGCCAGGAAAATTCATCTACAAATGTGCCCCTTGGGAGTCTTCCTGTGCCCCCCAGGCACAATCAGCCCCGTGTGAAGATCATGTAACTTCTCTGAGCCTTAGTTTCCACATCTGCAAAATGGGGATGATCATGGACACTGCCTAGCGAAGCTGTTGTGAGGACTTCATTTTCAATGCACAGCTCACCAAAAGCCGATGCTTGCAAGCTCCTGACTGCTCTGCTGGTGTTGGGGTGGGTGAGGCCCCGCCAACATCTGTATCATTAACACTGAATGACAGCCCCTCCACAGAGGTCTGCGCTGCAGAGAGGCCACCAGCCAGCCCAGACCCATGCCCATCACGCCCTGCTGCACTCACCATCAGCCATGGCGGACACCTCATCCTGGAGCGCCAGGATCAGCTTGGCCTCCCGGGTGAGGTACTGGCAGCGGCGCTCCTCGTGCTGCAGCACGGTGGCGATACGACGGGACAGGTTATGCAGACAGTTTATCACTGACGGGTCTGCGTTGGCCTGCAGGAGAGAGACCATACACAGACTCAAACGTGTGCACAGGGACACAGCTGGACACAGTTTAAATGGAGCTAACACAGGTACACAGCAAAAACTCAAACCATGAAAGAAAGCGTCTCTACTCCTTTCCCCCAGGCTCCTTTGCAGAGGCCACTGCTGCTCATTTCCTGAGTCCCCTCCAGGGCCCATCCATAGACATGTGGGCTGTCAGCCCCCATGCTCTGTTCTTGGGAGTGGCTGCCTGAATAGTAACAGAGATGGCTCTGGAAATGCCTGGGTGCCCTAAGGAGGCACTGTTGTTCTTAAGGAAGAACAACAATGGTGCCTCCCTCACCAAGGACTGAATGGAAGAAATTAGCGAGCCATGTAACAAACTAAGAACAGAACCTGCCCTGAGCAAAGACCCTGCTAGTGTCTGTGGTCACCACTGTACTGCTGACTACTGGTAGGCAGAACCAGTCTACAATTTGTAAGAATTCAGTCACGACAGGCCACGTTACTACAGGGATGCACGGTACAAAAAGAGAGGCACCAGGCCAATTGTTCACTGAATACTTTTGGTCCTGAAGGATGAGAAGCTCTTCCCAGCAGAAGTCACACTGGTTAACAAGAAAACCAGCAGGCTCCAGGCCCATATCTCTGCCCAAGAGCTCCTTCTGCAACCATGATGACTGGGTCAAAGGACAGTGCAGGAGGCTCTCAGGAACAAGAGGGGCCCTCGACCCTCTGGAACCTATCAGGGACCACAGTCAGCCAGGCAAGCACATCTGCCCAAGCCAAGGGTGGAGGCATGCAGCTGTGGGGGTCTGTGAAAACACTTGAGGGAGCAGATAACTGGGCCAACCATGACTCAGTGCTTCTGGAGGCCAACAGGACTGCTGAGTCATCCTGTGGGGGTGGAGGTGGGACAAGGGAAAGGGGTGAATGGTACTGCTGATTACAACCTCTGGTGCTGCCTCCCCCTCCTGTTTATCTGAGAGGGAAGGCCATGCCCAAAGTGTTCACAGCCAGGCTTCAGGGGCAAAGCCTGACCCAGACAGTAAATACGTTCTTCATCTGGAGCTGAAGAAATTCTCTATATTCTCATCAGATCCCATGTTCACAAACAGAACTCACACCTGGATGGACTTACAACAAGGCAGCATCCCTTGCCAGAGAAAGGACTGTTGCTCCCATGCTGTGCCCACCACTGGGCAGCAGACCTGCTCCTCCATGTCAAGGGCATTGCCTCAACAGTGTCCTTGGGACCAGAGGGCTGACATATGGGGTGTATACAATTGCCTCAAAACAAAATACCCACCTAGAAGAAGAATCTGTGTACAAATACTTCCACGAGCAAAGCAAGGAGGAGGACAATGATCCTGGATATGTGATTATTCAGCTGAGGCACAACAGTGTCCATGAGTTGGATGTCCAGGGCCCATATGCTTGACCTTTCCAGACATACAAAGTGGTGCAGTCCCCAGTGACGCTCAGTGACCTGCACTCATGGGGTGTCCCAGCATGTCCGGTTTGCAAAGGCCTGACATGGAGTGAGGGACATGCTGAGAAAGCTAACACCTAGGGTGTGCCAGCACTAATGGGAACTTTTAGAAACACCATATTTTCACCATACACGACATAAAGTGGCAGGAAGTTTAAGGCATCACGCATGAGACTTTCTCATCCCCAAAACTTGTACCCAAATAGAACCAAGCCTTCAGAGTTAACTTGTAGTTTGAAGGAAACACAGGGACAGAGAGCAAGTCTGACTGCACAATGAGATTAATCCAAATGTGGAACATTTGATGGAACAAAGGGAGGGGAGACCTCTGGATTGGCAGAGACATAAAGACACCACATGCACTAGCTGGGCTGGGTTTGCATCCTGGTTCAGACAGTCCAGCTGTGAAAAGGCTTTAGCAATCAGGAGAAGCTTCAATGGACCAGGTACTAGGTGATGCCAACTTATTACAGCAAATTTTTTCAGATGTACAAAGGGTATCATGGCCGAAAATTAAGTGCCCATATTTTATACAGATATCTTCTGAAGTATGTAGGGATGAACAGACATAAGGTCTGGGACTTGCCTTGAAATAGAGAGAGGGAAGGAAATATATGGAGCCAGGGTTTAAAGGCACCTGAGACAGGCATATAAGGTTTGTCAGTCTGCTCTCTCTATTTCAGGGTTTAAAATTTTTCAGAGTAAAAAAAAAAAAGTGTATTTCTTTTTTTTTTTAAGATAGGGTCTCACTCTCTTGCCCAAGCTGGAGTGCAGCAGATGATCACTGCTCACTGCCACCTTGACCTTCCAGGCTCAGGTGATCCTCCCACCTCAGCCTCCCAGGTAGCTGGGACTACAGGCGCACATCATCATGCCTGGCTAATTTTTGTATTTTTTGTAGAGATGGGGTTTCGCTATGTTGCCCAGGCTGGTGTCAAACTCCTGGGCTCAAGTGATCCACCCACCTTGGCCTCCCGAAGTGCTAGGAATACAGGAGTGAGCCACTGTGCCTGGACAAAAGTGTATATTTTAAAAAGAAAGAATATATATTTAAAATGACAAAAGTGTATATTTTAAAAAGAAAGAATATATATTTAAAATGACAAAAGTATATATTTTAAAAAGAAAGACTTGTCCACCCAAAAAATACAAACTCTTTACATTATCAAAATTTCTCCTACTCGTCAATATCACGGCCAGCTGAAGTCCTAGACTATCTTGTTTCCTGTTGCTTTTTTTTTTTTGAGCTGGAGTTTCGCTCTTGTTGCCCAGATTGGAGTGCAATGGTGCGATCTCTGCTCACTGCAACCTCCGCCTCCCGGATTCAACCGATTCTACTGCCTCAGCCTCCTGAGTAGCTGGAATTACAGGTGTCCACCACCACACCTGGCTAATTTTGTATTTTTTAGTAGAGACGGGGTATCTCCATGCTGGTCAGCCTGCTCTCAAACTCCTGATCTCAGGTGATCCGCCCGCTTCAGCCTCCCAAAGTGCTGGTATTACAGGCGTAAGCATTTGTGCTCGGCTCCGGTTGCTTTTACCTGTCCGTAATCAATCTATACTTCTCCAGGTTCTGGTCTGATCTCCATTTCTCACCCTTGATGGCAAGAGGATGGGCCAGTGTATAATAATCACCACATTGTTTAATCACTCCCCAACTACTACACACTATGATTATCTCCAGTTTAATTATTGTTATAAAAATCTTTATTCTTGCTGAGAACAAGCCTGGGGGAAATCTTTACGCAGTTGTAAAAGTTGCTTGTTTTTCTTGATAATACTCCTAACAGTGGGACTGCTAGATCTAAGGGCATCATATGCTATGCTGTCAAACACTACTCCCCGAGGTGAGGGCCTGCCTACAGCATCCTGGAAACACTATTCCCCGAGGTGAGGGCCTGCTTACAGCATCCTGCAAACACTGTTCCCCGAGGTGAGGGCCTGCCTACAGCATCCTGGGTGGGGCTGTGGCTGCGTTTCATCAACTGTCCCACAGGGGTTATCGGTGTTGACAGGTGGACAACATTCGTCATGGATTTTGTTTACTCCTTTGCTTGTTTTTTTACTTAATTCATTTTTCTTTGTGGCGCTTTATATTATGTAATTATGTAAGAAATACAAAGATGCTATGAAAATGCAAATACTACAAAAGTGTATCAAGCAGAAAGTGAAGAACTTCTCCCAGAACCCTGTACCCCAGGAGCCATTAACAAATCATTTTGTTTTAATTTGTAGTTCCTTATTTATCAACAAGGCAGGCCTGTCTTAAAAATTAAGCTCCAGCTGGGCATAGTGGCTCACACCTGGAATCCCAGCACTTTGGGTGGCCAAGGAGGGAAGACCATTTGAGACCAGGAGTTCAAGATCAGCCAGGGCAATAAGGTGAAAACTCATCTCTACAAAAAATACAAAAATTAGCAGGGGCAGGGCACAGTGGCTCACGCCTGTAATCCCAGCAGTCTGGGAGGCCAAGGTGGGTGGATCACCTAAGGTCACGAGTTCAAGACCAGCATGGCCAACATGGCGAGACCCCCCCCCCCCACCGATCTCTACTAAAAATACAAAAATTAGCTGGGCGTGGTGGCGCACACCTGTAATCCCAGCTACTCGGGAGGCTGAGGCAGGAGACTCACTTGAGCTTGGGAGGCAGGGGTTGCATTGAGCCAAGATTGCGCTACTACACTCCAGCCTGGGTGACACAGCGAGATTCTGTCTCAAAAAAAAAAAAGAGAATAACTGCTAATGGGTATGGGGTTTCCTTCTGGGGTGGTGAAAGTGTTCTGGATCTAGATAGTGGTGATGGTTATACAACATGAATGTACCAGATGCCACTGAAGCATAGACTTCAAAATGACAAATAGTGTTATGTGTATTTTACCAAAACAAAAAGGGGTAAACAATGAAGTGCAGTCTGCCTGCACCCCAGGAGGGGCCAGCCCGCTGCAGTCCAAGCTCCGAGTCAATGACACGCTCGTTGGAAAAAAAGAGCTGCTTCTCCACTGGCCCCACTCCCTGATCTTAACCATTTATATAAACACTCACCCTCAGTGCAAACACCACATTAAAAAGAATCATAGTAGGTGCTTCCCTCTTCGGGGAAGGATCTGTTTTGGAGATCTGTAAAAGATGCATAATTCTAATTAATTGAGACGACTTTCTAAGGAAAGCTGTTTAGAGCTATTCTACTTCAGGCATGGCAAAAGTCCCCAGAATACAGCACCAAGGTCTTGGAAAAGCAATGAATGCCTTTGCTCTGGAGGCGTGCCTACTGCATGGGCAAAGTCACAACTATGACAAGAGTGGGAAGGTCAGTGCTCTGACCCCCTCGCCCCCCCGCTAACAGAAGTGAGCTGACAATGCCCACAGGGGACGAGATGGAGAGGGGCATAAATGGGTGGAGGACCCAGACCCACACCCCCACTGCCTTCCCGTGCCCGCCTGCATCCACCAGGCTGTATCTGCTAAGTATGACGCATACTCAGAACAATTGAGGGACAGGACGATGTTCAGGGACAGCCAAGCCCTGAGCAGGGCCCAGGTGAGGCAGGCCAGCAAGTCCTAATTTCTGTGCTCCCGGTTCTGGCATCCAGCCAGCTTCACAAGGACCAGGGCGCTCAAGGGAAGCATTCCAAGGGGCACGGGGGAACTCTTCAAAGCCAACTACAAGTTCTGCCACCAGGGGGAGTTGGGGCCCCAGGCTGCCCTGGCACCCATCCCCTACCCCTGACTGCCACTCCTGTCTACAGGGTGTGACCGCGGGCAGGCTGCCAACTCTCCCCTTCATTGCCTACAGGTAGGGGACTGTGCCCCAGCTGTGGAGGCTGTGATGAGAAGGGAGGGTGCGGTACAGGGGACCAGGCTCATCAACCGCCTCAGAAACTCCTTCCATGGAGGTTCACGAATAACACCACAGAACCTCCCAGAATTGCTGGATCTGTATAAATGTAGCTAAATCCTACGTTACTGTGTTCGACCCTTCAGAATCTTAGTAATGCCATCACTGATCCTGCCTGTATGCAGAGAGCTGACTGGCAGGCTCTGGTGTACAAGTTCCCTTCATCCTGCTAACAAGATGAGTTCCTCAGTGCTATGACACCTATTCATCAAGAGAACATATAGAGAGGGTTTAGCAGAAAAATAAGTGCTAAATAATACTAATATTAGCTACTAGAGTGTCTTGTAATAAATAAGAGGAAATGCTTGCACCACACTGTAGAAAATTCAAGGGTTTCACGATGCTAGTTAACTCACTATCTTGGCCTCCCCTGGAAACAGACATCCTACATATGAAGGGGAGGGCCACAGTCAGTAGAGACCTAGAATGCAGACTGTAAAAGCTAGGGACAGGGACTGAAGCACCTGTCTTCAGGGGCAAGAACACCTGTCTCTTTTTCTACTGGACTCTCTGGGTTTATGAAGATGCACAGTTCATACCAAGTGTCTAATCAGGTCTCCTGCCCAGTACCTTCACCAGAGCTGGTGTCAGCCTCAGTTCTGAGCCCCCCAGAGCCAGAATGGACCAGGCCTGCCGGCCCAGGGAGAGCCACATCTGCCCAGAGGGTCTGTGCATGCCCAGGGAGAACCCCACCTGCCCAAGGACAGACGCATCTGCCCAGGGGAAGCCACACCTGCCCAGGGGGAGCCACACCTTCCCAGAGGGTCTGTACCTGCCCAGGGGAAGCCACATCTGCCCAGGGGAAGCCAAATCTACCCAGGGGGAGCCCCACCTGCCCAAGGAGAGCCACACCTGCCCAGGGGAAGCCACACCTGCCCAAGGAGAGCCACACCTGCCCAAGGAGAGCCACACCTGCCCAAGGAGAGCCACATCTGCCCAGGGAGAGCCCCACCTGCCCAGGGAGAGCCATACCTGCCCCAGAGCATGCTGTAGCAGTGTTGGGTGCCCAACAAATCGCACATTATCAATCTTCAGTTCAAATTTTTGGCCACACATTTCAGACTTGGTTGCCAAAATTGTTGCCAGAATAACATCTGAAAACCTTAAAATTTAAGAGAGGTAGAATAAAAATAAGTTAACAAAATACCACAGCACCATGCCCTGCTGGCCCCAGAGCGGAAGGGTCTCAGTAAACTGCACCTTCATGGAGTTGCTCTGCCCCGACTGCTGGTGGAAGCTACTAACAGTTGCCCTTCTGTAGCAATCCCAGAGGTTATGGATGTAAGATCACCAGAATTACAAGGTAAAAGGCATGAGAAGCACAGACTGAAGGCACATGCTGTCATTTTTTGGCATGCTCTATTAAATTCAGGAGAGAAACAGTTGCAGTTTGCTTTCAAAGGGAGGATCAGCTGGAGCCGGCACTGCCCTGCGGAGCTGCTCTTTAAAGTTCACAGGCAGAGGGGCCTCTCCCAGTTACACTCAGGTTTGCTGTGCTGCACCTTCAACTCCCAGGACCCAGGCCCTTCACCCACAGAGCGGCCCTTCACCCAAAGAGCCGCGTGGAGGGCAAGGGGACAGTGCACAGGGATGCGTGCAGAGCGCTGACTTCCTTCCTCATAGCATGGCTGCCCATCCGTTCCCTTATCCCAAACACTTAAACTTTCCGGTTTTTATCAGGGAAGAAGCTTTGTGCAAGATGTGCAAGCCCACTGTGATCACAGCTATTTCCAAATGGCAGAAATACCAGGTTGCACACAACTGGGTGCCACGGAGAAGTGGGTGCAGCTGTGGTGTGGGAGGGAGGGCATCCCTTTTCCCCTTTTCAAGGTCATCTGTGCCCTTCTGTCTCCTTACTGGCAATGCTGATGCCTCCTGCCTGGGGAGATCTGGATAAGGGAGTGTCACCTGCAGGGGTGCTGTGGGTGGTGCTGACTCTTATCTCAGAGTCCAGGGCTCTGAGGGCCTCCGCTCTAGAAACACAAATGTACTACCTCTGATCTGGACCCAGAAGAGAGAGAAGTCCCATACATATCTCTCCACCCAGGAAAAATATATCTAATATCTAGGTCAGGAGGGTGCACTCTCTTGGGGAAGCTCTAGCCTCCGCAGGGCCATACTCTGCCCCTGGGCAGGGAGACCCCTAAGGTCCTAGAAGAGACCACTGAGGACAGACATTCTAGGGTGCAAACCTGGTCATGCTTCTTCCCCAGAGGCCCTCTTGGTGAAGGGATGGGAGAGACTGACATAACTCCTCCATGTTGTGATGAAAAAGGAAGGCCTGCTTTGAACTGCACTGTAGCTCAGCTCTGTAATAGCAAATGGCAAGTAGCTACATGATTCTTTCCAAGTCTATCATGGGCTGTGGGGCTCAGACTGTTTTCCAGCCTTCCTCCTGAACTGGCACGACCCTCTAACCATCCGAAGTCACCCTAGGCTCACAAACAAACCACATACGAGGGTTTGGTCAAACCTATTTGTGCCATTTGGAAATAGCCTCTCAACCCAGTCAGGTTGCAGTTGGACCTTCTGAAATCAATCTTGTTAGAGTTATCCTGGGAAACGCAGGACCCACAGCCAAGTCCTCAGCAGCCCACTGCAGGTCTCTCCTGCAGAGATGGAGGATTCAAGTGCCTTACACCACAGGCATAATATGCTTTCTTCAAAAACCCTAAATGGCTCACTCTGTTCTATAACTCCCATCTGTGGGACATGGTAATGTTGAAGGAGGGTTTGAGGTATTAAAACGCCACCAAACACTTCTGCTCTAGCAACTGACCCAGGGCCAACGCCTCACATCCTATCTAAACAGTGCCCCTCCACTCTGCCACCCAGTGACTCAGGGGACACAGAGGTAACAGAAAAATAACCACCACCACTCCAGAAAGGTCCCTTGCTCTGACAGCCCAAAATCTCCACTAAAAACTGCTGCTCTGTCATAAAGAGTCACAGCCATGTCTCAGCCTCAGCCCTCAGGCACCAGTCCAGGGACCAAATTTAGTTTGGCTGTGAGATGGTCCCTGGGATTCTCAGAGGCAAGCAGTGGTAGCCCAGTTCGCGTTTATAAATACCTAAACTTCAAGGCGCCCTCACAACAGCCAAATAAAAGGCTCTTTCCCTGCTAGAGGCCAGGGTCTGCAGAGACGGCCAACTGGAAATCTGTGAGCTGAAGTAAAAAGGCACACTGGGCCAGGCGTGGTGGCTCACACCTGTCATCCCAGCACTTTGGGAGGCTGAAGTGGGTGGATCACCCGAGGTCAGGAGTTCGAGACCAGCATGGCCAACATAATGAAACCCCCGTCTCTACTAAAAATACAAAAATTAGCCGGGCGCAGTGAAGCCTGTAGTCCCAGCTAGTCGGGAGGCTGAGGCAGGAGAATCGCTTGAACCTGGGCGGCAGAGGTTGCAGTGAGCGGAGATCGTGCCACTGCA
Source organism: Homo sapiens (assembly GCF_000001405.40). Lineage (NCBI taxonomy): Eukaryota > Metazoa > Chordata > Mammalia > Primates > Hominidae > Homo > Homo sapiens. Next base: position 121,586 of record NC_000016.10, read on the forward strand.
CTCCAGCCTGGGTGACAGAGCGAAACTCCGTCTCAAAAAAAAAAACAGTCACATTGACTTAGTGGCTGTTCATGGAGCCCTCTGAGGCAGCCAGCAGGGTGGTAGTTAGCCATTGTTTATCTGAGCAAATCTGGCCCACAGAGAAATCTACTCCCCACACCTTAATATTACAAACATATAATGACAAAACGCTTTTTTTTCTTTTTGAGACGAAGTCTTGCTCTTGTCCCCCAGGCTGGAGTGCAATGACGTAATCTCGGCTCACTGCAACCTCCGCCTCCCGAGTTCAAGCAATTCTCCTGCCTCAGCCTCCCGAGTAGCTGCGATTAGAGGCACCCGCCACCACGCCCAGCTAATTTTTGTATTTTTAGTAGAGACGGGGTTTCACCATGTTGGTCAGGCTGGTCTCGAACTCCTGACCTCAGGTGATCCGCCCGCCTCGGCCTCCCAAAGTGCTGGGATGACAGGCGTGAGCCACCACGCCCGGCCCCATGACAAAACAATTGAGCGGCTTTTTCTTTTCCCCCTTGAGATGGAGTCTTGCTCTGTCGCCCAGGCTGGAGTGTAATGGCGCAATCTCGGCTCACTGAAACCTCCGCCTCTTGGGTTCAAGCGATTCTACTGCCTCAGCCTCCCAAATATCTGGGATTACAGGCGCGTGCCACCAAGCCCGGCTAATTTTTCATATTTTTTAGTAGAGACAAGGTTTCACCACGTTGGCCAGGCTGGTCTCGACCTCCTGACCTCATGATCTGCCCACCTCGGCCTCCCAAAGTGCTGGGATGACAGGCATGAGCCACTGCACCCATCTGGCTTTATACTTTATATAGTCTGTCTGGTAATGTAATACACATAAAGACAGAGTTATATTCATGAGATTGGGGGTGGGGCAAAACTTATAAACAGCAAACTGAACCATAAACAAGTGTTGTTTTGTTTTATTGGCTTCCAACATTTATGAAAATCCTTTTCCCTCATTTTGATGGTGAAAGGCCTAATAAATGTACTGCAGCACAATAAAACATCTGTTACAAAAACTGAAGATTCCTGGAATAACTTGGAAATTCAAGAAAAACACATTTAGGAAGATGAACCAGCCCAGCCAGAAAACAGGCCAGGACCTTCTATCACTGCCGAGCTATTCTGGAGTAGGGTTTGCTCTCTAGCTTGGACAAAAAAAGGGATGGAAAGACATCCTGGAAGGGAGCTCAGTTCTGCTCCCCCCACCCACCTAAAGGGATGGAAAGACATCCTGGAGGGGAGCTCAACTCTGCTCGCCCCACCCACCTCCTTGCTGGAAGCTCACAGACACTGTGTGTACCTCCAAGGCCCAGAGGAGATGCACTGTCAAGGGGAATGGAAGAGTCGCCCGTCATCCGTGCCCTCCTGGACAAGCACCATATCAATTCCATGAGAACATTTCTGCCTCTATTAAGCACACTCAATAGCATCTAGGCCTGAGCATCACACTTAATGCCCAACCCTTGGGAGAGGCCCCCACAAAACCCCTCAAAAAATAAAAACAAGGAGCAACAGTCACAGGTCTCTCTAGGGCGGCAGTGGACTAGGGAGATGACAGAGTCCACTCCTGCTTGCCCGCCACCCTCACAGGACTACTTGTGCCTACCTGGAGGAAGAGGAGGTTTGTGTGACATGCCTGGTCCCAGAAGTCTCCCGGGTGCCAGCCAGCCATGCCTTGGCCTCTCAGGTAATGTGAAATAGCTAAATGACTGGGTAGAGAAAAAGCCGGGGTGGTGGGAAGTCTGGGCATTCATGGGGGAACTGGGGCAGTGAGGTCCACGCCTGTGTGCCTCATCAGTCACTCTTCAACATGGAGGGAAATCAGGAATTAAGCACAATTACAAGAAGAGAAGGCAGCCGGAATCAAGACAGAAAGACGGTGGAGAGGTCTCGGTCTTACCCTGCAACCAATTGCTCATCGGTTGGAGGACATGGCTCGCTGAAATGGGAACAGGACCATCAAGACCAAACAAAAACATATCACTTTTTTAAAAACCATGAAAAGTTACAAGGCTATTTTATAAAAACTGCACAAAAGTCTAGCAGAAGTGCCACCATTAAGCATTAACTGTTGACCATCACGACTAAGCAACTTACCAGACAAGAAACAGGATCACACACTCCCCACGCTGAGAAACAGGGTCACACACTCCCCACGCTGAGAAACAGGGTCACACACTCCCCACGCTGAGAAACAGGATCACACACTCCCCACGCTGAGAAACAGGATCACACACTCCCCACGCTGAGAAAGAGGGTCACACACTCCCCACGCTGAGAAACAGGGTCACACACTCCCCACGCTGAGAAACAGGGTCACACACTCCCCACGTTGAGAAACAGGATCACACACTCCCCACCGCTGAGAAACAGGATCACACACTCCCCACGCTGAGAAACAGGGTCACACCCTCCCCACGCTGAGAAACAGATCACACACTCCCCACGCTGAGAAACAGGATCACACACTCCCCACGCTGAGAAACAGATCACACACTCCCAACATGTGAGAAACAGGGTCACACACTCCCCACGCTGAGAAACAGGGTCACACGCTCCCCACGCTCAACGCTTACCATGGGGTTTTCTCACTAAAAGTCAAATTCTCACACAGAAGTACAGGCTGGGCAGGAACAAAAGTCATTTTTCAGAAGTAAGCACAAGGCTGGCAGAGCTGGGTCAGACCCAGCACCATATGTATTAGCCGGATGCCTGTGCAGAAGTATCTCATCTTTTCTTTTCTTTTTTTTTTTCCTTTTTTCTTTTTTTTCTTCAAAAGAGACAGGGTCTCACAATGCTACTCAAGCTGGTCTCATACTCCTGGGGTCAAGCAATCCTCCTGCCTCGGCCTCCCAAAGTACTGGGATTACAGGCGTGAGCCACTGCACCCAGCCTAAAACTAATCTTTGTGGTAAAAGTTTTCTCATCTGCATGACAAGAAATCGCCTACCGAGGATCACATAAGACTCCCAGAGGCAAAAGCCTTCTGAAAACTATAGCGTGTCATATGAATTTCACCAGCTCCAATTCTTGAGATACTGTGACTGCCAGCACACCTGACTTCCCTAAGCCTCTGCCTGGAGCAATAAAGTGGTCATGGTGGATCCATATATATTTGTCAGAAAACATCTGGGCTTTTGCACTACCTGAGTTGAGATTTTTAGAAACAGTTTAGGAGTTTACTTTCTGGCTAGGCACGATGGCTCACGCCTGTAATCCTAGCACTTTGGGAGGCCGAGGTGGGTGGATCGCTTGAGGTCAGGAGTTCGAGACCAGCCTGGCCAACATGGCGAAACCCTGTCTCTACTTAAAAAGAAAAAATTAGCTCACCTTGGTGGTGGATGCCTGTAATCCCAGCTACTCGGGAGGCTGAGGCAGGAGAATCGCTTGAACCCTAGAGGTGAGGTTGCAGCAAGCCGAGATCACACCACTGCACTCCAGCCTTGGGCGACAGAGTGAAACTTTGTCTCAAAAAAAAAAAAAAAAAAAAACCTTTATTTTCCTCTGCAGATATTTGAGTTCTGGGACACACTGCTTTCCATGTATTCTGGAAAGAGAAAGGAGACCTGAATCCAGGAGTGGAAACATTGTGGGAGCTCTGCCAAAGATCCACAGAAGGGATCTCTTTCCTCAGCAGCTGCCAAGCTCCTCAGGTTGTACAGTATGAAAGCATTAAGATGTTTCATGGATTTTCCCAAGATCACCCAAGAAGTCAGAATCCTCGAAGCTGAAGCCTGACTGTAAGCTCTGCCTCCTACAACTAGACAAGTCACAATGCAACCCCTTTGCTCCAGAGGAAAAGGAGTAAGCACAGAGGGCTTCTGAGTCCGGCAATGCTCCATTTCCTGACAGGAGCATTTTACAGACTTGCGTCTGCCCCTCTGAGGGAGGCAGGGCCATCAGCTAACACTCAGAGACAAGGATGGTCCTACAACATCCTGATCTGGGAGGAAGAGGTGAAGGCAACTCACCACCCTCAGGCATCTTAACAGAAAACAGTGGAACTAAGGCTCATTCTAAAGAATGTGCCCAAGATCACACACCGAAGGCTGCAAAGCGAGAGTCAAACTTGGAACCCTGAACCTGCACTTGTCCCTTTACACTGCCCTGCAGCATGGATGCGATGGCTGGGCAGAGGGAAGTGCCCAAGCCTGGGGACAAAAATGCCTACCTGCTTTCTTGTGTGTCAACCTCAGCTACAGAAAGGAGAGGGCATCTTTCTAACACATCAGTGTAGGGCTCTAAAAACACAAGCTAATAGAGGCAAACCTAACAAGAGAGGCCCTGGCAGAGCCTCATGTGTGCCTGGTGGGAGGACCTGTATGTTGTGAGCTAGAGAGTGCCTGCCTGGCCAAGGACCCCATCTGGCCTAGGCCCAAGTGCAGCCACAAGTTGGGTACACTGCTACAAAAGTGGCCAAGCCTGAGGACAGTAGCAGTGCCACCTGATTCCCCAAGATGTCACCTGAGAATTAAAGGCAGAGCTGGTAGCTGGGTGAGGGGGCTCATGCGTGTAATCCCAGAACATTGGGAGGCCAAGGTGGGAGGATCACTTAAGCCCAGGAGTTCAATCACCTGAGGTCAGGGTTCTCCATGTTGACCAAGCTGAGTTCGAGACCAGCCTGGCCAACATGGAGAAACCCTCTGTTAAAAAAAAAAAAAAAATTAGGCCGGGTGCAGTGGTTCACGCCTGTAATCCCAGCACTTTGGGAGGCTGAGGCAGGAGAATTGCTTGAACCTGGGAGGCAGAGGTTGCAGTGAGCCGAGATTGCGCCATTGCACCCCAGCCTGGGCAACAAGAATGAAACTACGTCTCAAAATAATAATAATAATAATAATAATTAATAATAATAATAATAATATGATTTCAGAGCATTTTGAAAATGAAAGAAATCAGTTCTTCTCTAAACCTCTAGCTCCCCATTCTCTGAGGTAGTGGCCTAAGCACTGCTCGCAGTTTCAAAGAAGGGAGCAGGAAGACGGTGTCCACACAGAGAGGGACATGCCCACACCAGCCTTTCTGAGGGACACCAGGCTATCTCTCAGACCTGGCTTGATGGCTTCTGCCCCTACCAGTGGTGGGGACACACGGTACATTTAAACATGAGCACCATGGCCCCTAATACCCAGGGAACACTACATCTTTTCTGACCTTGGTTTCAAGTCTTAGAGACACTGGACAATATCCATTTTCTTTTCTCATAATTGAATTATAGAAAAGGATTATAAAAAATAAGTAAGAGTTAATCTCTATAACCTGAATCATATCTTAAATTGTTTCTGAGAGGGGGGTCTCACTCTGTCACCCAAGTTGGAGTGCAGCAATGTGATCTTGGCTTGTGGCAATCTCTGCCTCCCAGGCTCAAGCAATCCTCTCACCTCAGCCTCCTGAGTAGCAGAGACCACAGGCGTGTGCCACCATGCCAGGCTAATTTTTTGTATTTTTGGTAGAGACAGGACTTCGTCATATTACCCATGCTGGTCTCGAACTCCGGAGCTCAAGCGATCTGCCTACCTCAGTCTCCCAAAGTGCTGGGATTACAGGCATGGGCCAATGCGCCCAGCCCTGAACCATATCTTGATGATGCACCTCAAAAAACTAGCCCCCTCTCTAAGACAGCACTGTCCAATTTTTTTTTTTTTTTTTTTTTTTTTGAGACAGGGTCTCACTCTGTCACTCAAGGCTCAGGCTGGAGTACAGCGGCATGATCTCGGCTCACTGCAAGCTCCATGTCCTGGGCTCCCTCAGCCTCCGCAGTGGCTGGGACTAAGGGCGCAGGTCACCAACCCAGCTAATTTTTGTATTTTTTGTAGAGATGGGGTTTCGTCATGCTGTCCAGACTGTTCTCAAACATCTGGCCTCAAGTGATCCCCCCGCCTTGGACACCCAAAGTGGTGGGATTACAGGCATGAGCTACCGCTCCCGGCCCCAAAAGAACTTTCTACTGTGATGGGAATATTCCAAATCTGAACCATTTAATATGGTAGACACTATTTCCATATAGACATTGAGCACCTGAAATGTGACCAGTGCAACTGAGCAAGTGAATTTTTTTTTTTTTTTTTTGAGACGGAGTCTCACTCTGTTGCCCAGGCTGGAGTGCAGTGGCACAATCTTGGCTCACTGCAAGCTCCGCCTCCCGGGTTCACGCCATTCTCCTGCCTCAGCCTCCCAAGTAGCTGGGACTACAGGCGCCCGCCACCATGCCCGGATAACTTTTTGTATTTTTAGTAGAGATGGGGTTTCACCGTGTTAGCCAGGATGAGTCTCGATCTCCTGACCTCATGATCCGCCCGCCTTGGCCTCCCAAAGGGCTGGGATTACAGGCTTGAGCCACTGCGCCCGGCCGCAAGTGAATTTTTTATTTCAGTTAATTTCCATCTTCTTCTTTTTTTTTTTTTTTGAGACAGACTCTCGTTCTGTTGCCCAAACTGGAGTGCAGTGGCGTGATCTCAGCTCACTGCAACCTCCGCCTCCCAAGTTCAAGTGATTCTCCTGCCTTAGCCTCCGGAGTAGCTAGGATTACAGGCATGTGCTCCCATGCCCGACAAATTTTTGTATTTTTAGTAGAGGTAGGGTTTTGCCATGTTGGCCAGGCTGTCTCCTGACCTCAGGTGATCCATCTGCCTGGGACTCCCAAAGTGCTTGGATTACAGGCATAAGCCACGACATCTGGCCTATTTCAGTTAACTTCAATTTAAATGGCCACACTGGCCAGTGTTTGTAATAGTGAGCAGCACGGCTGTGTCCTCACTTTTCTAAGGCAGGCCACGACCACTCACAAGTCACTGTGTAGCCTGTTAATACTGTTTCAGTCTGGTAAACTGAAGCTCTGGTTTCAGAAAGAAAAGCACTTTTGGGAACAACAGTCAAAGACACGGGCCGGGCGCGGTGGCTCACGCCTGTAATCCCAGCACTTTGGGAGGCCGAGGCTGGTGGATCACAAGGTCAGGAGATCGAGACCGTCCTGGCTAACACGGTGAAACCCCATCTCTACTAAAAATAGAAAAAATTAGCCGGGCGTGGTGGCAGTCGCCTGTAGTCCCAGCTACTCCGGAGGCTGAGGCAGGAGAATGGTGTGAACCCGGGAGGCGGAGCCTGCAGTGAGCTGAGATCGCGCCACTGCACTCCAGCCTGGGTGACAGAGCGAGACTCCGTCTCAAAAAAAAAAAAATCAAAGACACAGAGAGTGGATTTGATGCACTTTCACTGCCTTGCTCCAGGAACATGCTCTGAGCTATGACAAGGCAGAGCAGGGGCTTGCGGGCCTACGTGACAAAATAAACCAGGAGGGGAACTGAGCCCCTAAGGGTATGAACCCTGTATCTGGAAAACATGGGTGGCACCAGTGAGATTTACAGATATATGATGTGCTAAAATTACTGAATGAAGCAATTCTTCAATAAAAGATTCTAGAGAGAAGCATGCCCCTCCCACAGTTTTACCTCTTCATTACGTTAAATATTAAATTAATTCCCTAGAAAATATCCTCATGGTCATGTCATTATAAGTCTGAAAATTAACTGCAGGAATTAGGTACTGCCAGCCTTCCTTCTGAGTCTTCAGCAGCCTGGGCCTCACATCCACTGCAGCTTGGAGTAAGGCTAATGTGGGGGGTGGCCAGCAGCCAGCCCTGCTCTAAGCTGATCTGTGGCACAGGTGGAGGGAGAACAGGAAATACCTACCCACTGTGCAGGGGCAAAAGCATTCTATATGCCTGTGACAAACCAGAGTTTGTTCCACCACCACATTTAAAGGGCAAGACAACCACAGGCCTCTACATCAAAATGACGGTCCAATGGGGTGTCCAGCAAGCCCCATCGCCCTTCCAAAGCCCACTCCACTCAGAGACAGTCATCAGTCATGCCAGAGGCCCCAACATCCTCCCAAATGATGATAAAAATCACACTCTTGGAACCACAAATTGTGGTCAGGCATGGTGGCTTATGTACGTAATCCCAAAAATTTGGGAGGCCAAGGAAGGAAAATCACTTGAGGCCAGGAGCTCAGGACCAGCCTGGGCAACAAAGCAAGACCCCATCTCTACAATCAATCAATAAAATTTTTTTAAAAAGACTTGCAAATTGCCATGGCAGGTGTGGTGCTGCCTTGTCAGAGAACTGCAGAGAAACAGCACTACCTCACTGCACAGCAAAGGCCCAGCATAGGGATCTTAGCTATTTTTTCCCGGGACAGTGGAAGCCAAGTCCTTTACTCCACACAGGCCTTGTCTGTGTTTAAGGGAACCCAGGGCAGGTAACTCACAATCTTCCCTCCCTCACCTGGGCCTATGTTACCATTTACTATGCTTCAAAATGAACAGAAGGCAGAAGTGGTCATTTCTAAAGTTTCTACCCTGGTAGTGCCTCCCAGAGAGAGCAGGGGCACAAACACAGGAAGGAACCGGATCCACCTTTCATCTGTGCCTAAAAGAACATCAAAGAACATCAAGGTTCACACCATCCCAGCTCTAAGCCCCACTGCCCATATCACCACCTGAGCCTGGACACCAAGAAGGGACTTGACCAGGCTGTGCTAAACCCAAGCACCTGCATTTGACCTCTGGGTACATGCTCAAGGAATTAGATCCAAAGACAACAACATAGGGGTCTGCTTTCCTCTATGTTTCTTTCATAGGAGATAAACATCTCACGTGGACATGGCCTCATCTGTGCTCTGACCTGCTTCACCCACCAGACAAGCCTGAAGCTGGAACAGGTGCCCAAATTATTCAGCAAGCCCCAGACTGTCTACGCAGTCCTCCACTCTACACTACCTGAGAGCACCCACTAAACGGAAAAAAACAAACACCAGACTTCTCAGGGAGAAAACATCTGGGTGAATAGGAGGGTGGGGCTTTGCCCAGGCCTGGGACCAGGACACGCCCCGCCCTGAAGTGGCCGCAGAGCCTTTACCTGGAATCGCCGTCCTGCTCATCAGCATGGTCGCCCGTGTTGCTGGCAGCGTATCTGCTACGCGGCTTACCTGAGTCGGGGCGAAAAGAGGGGAAGGGCTAAGAAAACAGGGTCCTTCCACACACAGGAGGGTTATGGAACCGTTAACAGCCATGTTTTCCAAAACATGCTCTGTCCATACCATGGAATATTACTCAGACATAAAAAGGAATGAACATGGGTGAACCTTGACAACATCATGCTGAATAAGCCAGAGACAAAAGAACAAATGGTGCACTTACAGTATATGAAATGTCTAGAACAGGCAAATGCATCAAGACAGAAAGTAGATTAGAGGTTAGCACAGGCTGGGAGCAGGGGAAATGAAGAGTTATTGGTCAGTGGTTACAGAGTTTCAGTTTACGTGCTGAAAAAGCTTTAGAAACAGATAGCGGTAATGGCTGCACACTATAATGAATGTAATTAATGCCACTTAATTATACACTTACAAATCATTAAAATGACAAATCTTATGTTATCTTCAAAAACAGTGATAAGGCACGGTGGCCCGTGCCTGTAATCCCAACCCTTTAGGAGGCCAAGGTGGGTGGATCACCTGAGGTCAGGAGTTCGAAACCAGCCTGGCCAACATGGCGAAACCCCGTCTCTACTAAAAATACAAAAATTAGCCGGGCATGGCTGAGCGCGGTGGTTCACGCCTGTAATCCCAGCACTTTGGGAGGCCGAGGCGGGTGGATCACGAAATCAGGAGATCAAGACCATCCTGGCTAACACGGTGAAACCCCGTCTCTACTAAAAATACAAAAAATTAGCCGGGCGTGGTGGTGGGTGCCTGTAGTCCCAGCTACTCTGGAGGGTGAGGCAAGAGAATGGTGTGAACCCGGGAAGCAGAGCTTGCAGTGAGCCAAGATCGCGCCACTGTACTCCAGCCTGGGAGACACGGCAAGACTCCGTCTCAAAAAAAAAAAAAAAAATTAGCCGGGCATGGTGGTGGGCACCTGTAATCCCAGCTACTCAGGAGGATGAGGATTGTGCTACTGCACTTGAGCCTGGGTGACAGAGTGAGACTCAGTCTCAAAAAAAAAAAAAAAAAAAAAACGCTAACAATCAGCTCAGCCTTCAGCAAAACAATCGTTTTGCTGGAGAAAGGTATTGCCTCAATGTTGATGGCTGTTGACTGATTAGAGTGGTACTTGCTGAAGGCTGGGGTGCTGTAGCAATTTCTTAAAATAAGACAACAATGACCTCTGCTACATCTATCAATTTACTCTTCCTTTCATGAAAGATTTCTCTGTCGTACGGGACGTTGACAGCACTTTATCCACCACAGAACTTCTTTCAGAATTGGAAGCAATGCTCTCAAACTGTACCACTGCTTTATCAACTAAGTTTATATAATATTCGAAATCTCTGTTGTCATTTTAACAATGTTTACAACATCTTTACCAGGAATACATTCCATTTCCAGAAGCTACTTTCTTTCTTTCTTTTTTTTTTTTTTTGAGACAGGGTATCACTCTGTCATCCAGACTGGAGTGCGGTGGTGTGATCACCGTTCACTACAGTCTTGACCTCCCAAGGCTCAGGTGATCCTCCTACCTCAGTCCCCTGAGTAGCTGGGACTACAGGCATATGACACCCATGTCCGGCTAGTTTTTGTATTTTTAATAGAGATGAATTTTTGTCATGTTGCACAGGTTGGTCTCGAACTCCCGGGCTCAAGTGATCCACCTGCCTCAGCCTCCCAAGTGTTGGGATTACAGGCGTGAGTCACCACACTCAGCCCAGAAACTGCTTTCTTTGCCCATCCATAACAATCAAGTCCTCATCCGTTCAAGTTTTATCGTGAGACTGCAGCATTTCAGTCACATCTTTAGGCCCTACTTCTAATTCTAGATCTCTTGCTATTTCCACCATATCTGCAGTTACTTCCTCCACTGAAGTTTCGACTCCTTCAAAGTCATCCATGAGAGCTGGAATCAACTTTTTCCAAACTCCTGTTACTGTTGATATTTTGACATGATCACCAATGTTCTTAATGGCATCTATAATGGCACATGCTTTCCAGAAGGTTTTCAATTTATTTTGCCCTGATCTGTCCAAGGAATCACTATCTATGGCAGCTATAGCCTTACAAATTGTATTTCTTTTTTTTTTTTTTTTTTTGAGACGGAGTCTCGCTCTGTCGCCCAGGCTGGAGTGCAGTGGCGGGATCTCGGCTCACTGCAAGCTCCGCCTCCCGGATTCACGCCATTCTCCTGCCTCAGCCTCCCAAGTAGCTGGGACTACAGGCGCCCGCCACTATGCCCGGCTAATTTTTTGTATTTTTAGTAGACATGGGGTTTCACTGTGTTAGCCAGGATGGTCTTGATCTCCTGACCTCGTGATCCGCCCACCTCGGCCTCCCAAAGTGCTAGGATTACAGGCGTGAGCCACCGCACCCGGCCCACCTTGCACTTTTACGTTATAGAGATGGTTTCTTTCCTTAAATCTCATGAACTAACTTCTGCTAGCTTCCAACTTTTCTTCTGCAGCTTCCTTACCTCTCTCAGCCTTCTCAGAATTAAAGAGAGTTAGAGCCTTTTTCTGGATTAGGCTTTGGTTTAAGAGAATATTGTGGCTGGCCTGATCTATCCAGACCACTAAAACTTTCCATACCAGCAACAAACAAAGCTATTTACCTTTTTATCATGCATTCACTGTTCTGTTTTGCTTTGTTTTGAGACAGAGTCTCCCTCTTGTTGCCCAGGCTGGAGTGCAATGTCGGATCTCAGCTCACTGCAACCTCTGCCTCCCAGGCTCAAGCAATTCTCCCGTCTCAGCCTCCCGAGTAGCTGGGGATTACAGGCATGGGCCAACACGCCCAGCTAATTTTTGTATTTTTTTTTTTAGCAGAGATGGGGTTTCACCATGTTGTCCAGGCTGGTCTCGAACTTCTGACCTCGTGATCCGCCCGCCTCGGCTTCCCAAAGTGCTAGGATTACAGGCATGAGCCACTGTGCCTAGCGTTGTTTGTTTGTTTGTTTGTTTTAAGAGTCAGGGTCTCCCTATGTTGCCCAGGCTAGATTTAAACTCCTGGGCTCAAGCAATTTTCCTGCCTACAGTTCCCAGGTAGCTGGGAGTACAGGTGCAGGCCTGGCTTGGAGTAACACTTCCCATTTCCTTCAAGAGCTTTTCCTTTGCATTTACCATTTGGCTGTTTTGTGCAAGCAGACTAGCTTTTGGCCTAGTTCAGCTTTCAACATGCCTTCCTCAAGAAGCCTAATCATTTCTAGCTTTTGATTTAATGTGAGAAACATGTGATTCTTTATTTCACTTGAACCCTTAGAGGCCACTGTAGATAACCAGCTTAATTTCAATATTGTTGTGTCTAAGGGAACAGGGTGGTCCAAGGAGATGGAAACAGATGGGCGAACAGCCAGAATACACACAATTATTGATGAAACTTGCTATCTTATGTGGACATGGTTCTTGGTACCCCAAAACAATCACAATAGTAACATAAAGATCATGTATCACCGTAACAGATACAATAATAATGAAAAAGTTTGAAATACTGCAAGAATTACCAAAACACCACCCAGAGACACAAAGTGAGTATATACTGTTGGAAAAATGGTGCTGACAGACTTGCTGGACACAGGTTTGCCATGAACTTTCAATTTGTAGAAAACACAATAAAGTGAGGTAGGCCCCTATGCACATGTACACACACACACACACCCCCTCACAGTGTGGGATGACAATTAGGTTGGAAAAAGCATAGGCAAAATAAAAAAAATTTAAATGTACATACACCAAGAGCCTTCATATACACAAACAATAATACTTTCCCGGAGTAAAAAAATTTAAAAACCTAGTGATGAATCTAAGAAGAGTGCAAAAGGCCCATGAAAACAATGGAAAAGCTAATAAGGGAGAAAAAAATGAATTGAAGACATATCATTTTCCTGAACGGGAAGATTCAACATAAAGATGCTTTTTCTTCCCAGTTAATCAACAGATTCAAAGCTACCTACACCAAGAGCTTGGGAGTGGGACCTAATGCACTTGATGCGAAAGTTTACAGGGAAAAATAATAAAGCACAGCCAGGATAACGCTGAAAAAGAAAAGTAACGACAAGTGACTAACCTTACGGATAGTATAACATAAAGTCACAGTAATTATTATTATTTTTTTTTTTTTTTTTTTTTTTTTGAGACGGAGTCTCGCTCTGTCGCCCAGGCTGGAGTGCAGTGGCGCGATCTCGGCTCACTGCAAGCTCCGCCTCCCGGGTTCACGCCATTCTCCTGCCTCAGCCTCCCGAGTAGCTGGGACTACAGGCGCCCGCTACCACGCCCGGCTAATTTTTTGTATTTTTAGTAGAGACGGGGTTTCACCTTGTTAGCCAGGATGGTCTCGATCTCCTGACCTCGTGATCCGCCCGCCTCGGCCTCCCAAAGTGCTGGGATTACAGGCGTGAGCCACCGCGCCCGGCCAAGTCACAGTAATTATTATGGAACCTACACATAGATCATTGGAGGAGATAAGAAAGACAAAAAATAGATCCAAGTAAACGTGAGAATTTAGCACGATAAAGAGAGCAGAATCAATTAGTGGAAATAAGGTGAATTATTCAATAAAATTATGTTGGGACCAGATAGCCATATGGAAAAGAAAATTATGTTGGCCCAATCAATCATCATTTGGCCACGTTGTGGCCTGTTATAACTCCAGTTCCACAGGGCTCCAAAGGCAACCATGCAGTTCATCTGCAACTCTTCACAAGAGCCCAGAAAATATCAGCTCTTAGGATTAGCCTTCACCTTATGCCAAGACAAACACATTTAAAAACAAGACATACTTTGGGATGCCGAGGAAGGCAGATCACGAGGTCAGGAGTTCAAGACCAGCCTGGCTGATATGGTGAAACCCCATCTCTACTAAAAATACAAAAATTAGCCAGGCGTGGTGGCACGCACCTGTAAACCCAGCTACTCGGGAGGCTGGGACAGGAGAATCGCTTGAACCCGGGAAGCAGAGGTTGCAGTGAGCCAAGATCAGGCCATTGCACTCCAGCCTGGGCAACAGAGTGAGACTCTGTCTCAAAAAAAAAAAAAAAAAAAAAAGACATAAACAGTCTGGAGGAAAATAAGGGAGTTTTTTATTGTTGTTGTTAATAATTTTGGAGAGCAAAACGCCTTTCCATTTAAAACAAAACTCAGAAACCACAAGAGATTAGACTGAAAACTCCACAAAAATCAAAACTCTGGCAAGAACTACACAGAAGCAAACAGGGTGACTATAGCTTTGTCCCAAGACCTATTTTTACATTAAATATATAAAGAACTCCTTCAAATCTATAAGGAAAAAAAATCAAACAACCCAAGAGAACATTAGGCAAAGGTTATAAATAAGTCATTCACTGAAAAGGAAATCCAAATGGCTCCAAAAACAGGAAAATATGCTTTCTATCTCAATTAAAAGGCAAATAAACATTAAAATTACTACCAGATATAATTTTTCACCTACCAGATTAACAAAGATTGAAAAATCTAACCTATTAAAAATAAATATGCTCTTTATCCCTTAGACCCAACCATGCTACTTTGGGGATTTAATATTACAAGAATTCTGCAAAATGACAATACCTGGAAAGAACGTTTGAACTTTTCGTATTAGCAAAAGATTGAAAACAATTTTGCGTCCATCAACCAAAAGGACACGATAAACAAATCACAATATGTTCATCTCATGGAATTCACCGTGGCCGGTAAGAAGGACAAGGGTGCTCGACAGGTTCTGATCTACATCAAAGATGCAGACATGAAGTGAAAACGAAAACAGGGGCAGAACAGTGTGTATGGTGTGACTTTGCTTGTGCTTAGAAAAAAAACACAAGTGCAGGCTGGGCGCGGTGGCTCACGCCTGTAATCCCAGCACTTTGGGAGGCCAAGGCGGGCGGATCACAAGGTCAGGAGTTGGAGACCAGCCTGGCCAACATGGTGAAACCCCATCTCTACTAAAAATAAAAAAAAAAATTAGCTGGGCATGGTGGCGCATGCCTGTAGTCCCAGCTACTCGGGAGGCTGAGGCAGGAGAATTGCTTGACAGGGGGTCGGAGGTTGCGGTGAGCCGAGATCACGCCACTGCACTCCAGCCTGGCAAGACTGCAAGACTCGTCTCAAAAAAAAAAAAAAAGAAAAAAGAAATACATACGCCTGTATTGACACAGAAGGTCCTGGAAAGACACAGAAAAATGGGAACAGTAGTTACCCCTATGATGGAAACTGAGGGCTGGGGGCCAATAGTAGGAAAGAACTTTCTTTTCATAATCTAAACTCCTTTGTATCTTTAAAACTTTCTGCCATATCAACAAGTTTAAAAATAATTTTAAAACAAAATACAAAATAAAAACTGAACAGTCCGGGTGCGGTGGCTCACACCTGTAATCCCAGTACTTTGGGAGGCCGAGGCAGGTAGATCATTTGAGGCCAGGAGTTCGAGATCAGCCTGGCCAACATGGCAAAACCCCATCTCTACTAAAAAAAAAAAAAAAAAAAAAAAAAATTGCAGGGTGTGGTGCACATGCCCTGTAGCCCCAGCTACTTGGGAGGCTGAGGCAGGAGAATCCCTTGAGCCCGGGAGGTGGAGGCTGCAGTGAGCCGAGATCACGCCACTCAACTCCAGCCTGGGCGACAGAGTGAGACTCCGTCTCAAAAAATAAATAAAATAAAAACAAAAACTGAACATTCATGATGATGAAAAATCAAAAGTAACCTACATGCCGTCCACAGGGGAAGGCAGCAGCCTGCAGCCAAGGGTGAGGTTGATCCCTGCTTGCAAAGGCAGACGGAGCTCCAAGGCCGACTATGGGAAAAGGGCGCCACAGAACAATTCGTGCGATGAAAAACCTCACGCGACGTTCCCTTTTCCTGTGGATAGATCTGCATCTATGCACAGGGCAGACAACTCCCAACACGGCCAGGGGTGATCCCTGTGCTTGCTAGAACTGGGGGTGGCAAAGACAACTTCAGATGTTCACGTAACTTTTTTTTTTTTTTTTGAGACGGAGTCTTGCTCTGTTGCCCAGGCTGGAATCCAGTGGCGCGATCTCGGTTCACTGAAACCTCCGCCTCCCGGGTTCAAGCAATTCTCCTGCCTCAGCCTCCCAAGTAGCTAGGATTATGGGCACGCACCACCACGCTCGGCTAATTTGTTTTTTTTTATTTTTATTTTTTCAGTAGAGACAGAGTTTCAACCATGTTGGCCAGGCTGGTCTCGAACTCCTGACCTCAGGTGATCCACCCGCCTCGGCCTCCCAAAGTGCTGGGATTACCGCCACCGGCCTTGTTCGTGTAATTTTGTATTTTCTCATGATGAATACATCCCAAACTCATTTTATTTTATTTTACTTTATTTTTTAAAGGCTGGAGACTGATGAAATGTCAGCAGTAGTTGCTTTGGTGTGGTGAACAATGCATGATTTTAATTTTTTTTTTCCTTTTTCTACTTTTCAAATACTCTACAACGAGCAGATCTCGAATGCCCAGCAAAAGCTAAGCTCCGCGAGGCGGCCCTGGAATGAGGCGACCCCGGAATGAGGCGGCCCCCGCGAGCGCCAGGCCCCCGCCCAGCGCTCACTTACTTGTCTGGGACGCCGGGTGCTCCTGGCTTCTCTGGAAGGGGTACCTGAACAGCAGCTTATTGCCCCTGCTCCCCGAGCTCACCAGAATCACGCTGATGGGGCTGGTGTTGTCCCGCATCCCGCCGTGGGGCCGGGGCCGGGGGCGGAGGGGGCCAGAGGAGGACGGAGCCGGAGGCGGAGGGGGCCTGAGGAGGACGGAGCCGGAGGCGGAGGGGGCCTGAGGAGGACGAGGCGGGGACGCAGGGGGCCTGAGGAGGGCAGGGGTGGAGGCGGAGGGGGCCTGAGGAGGGCAGGGGTGGAGGCGGAGGGGGCCTGAGGAGGGCAGGGGTGGAGGCGGAGGGGGCCTGAGGAGGGCAGGGGTGGAGGCGGAGGGGGCCTGAGTAGGGCAGGGGTGGAGGCGGAGGGGGCCTGAGGAGGGCAGGGGTGGAGGCGGAGGGGGCCTGAGGAGGACAGGGGTGGTGGTGGACGCGGAGCAGCGCCACAGTTACCAACCCACGTGCCACGCTCCGGGCTCGCGAGACTTCGGCGACACCGTCCGGAGGAGGTGCTAAGGCGGCGGCCGGGAGAACGGCGCAGGCGCAGGCGCAGGCGCAGGCAGCGGAATGCGCAGGCGCGGGGCCTTCTGGAAGCCACCGAGTTCCGCGGTGCTGTCTGGAGCCGTACGGTTCGCGTTTGGGGCACAGGGGCCCCTCTTGCTGGTGCGGATGGGAAAGGCGCGGGGTCGAGTCAGCGTCCCTCTCGATGTTGGTTTCTTCGTTTTACAAATAACACTTGGGCGGGGCGCGGTGGCTCACGCCTGTAATCCCAGCATTTTGGGAGGCCGAGGCGGGCGGATCACGAGGTCAGGAGATCGAGACCATCCTAGCTAACATAGTGAAACCCCATCTCTACTAAAAATTAGAAGAAATTATCCGGGCGTGGTGGCAGGCGCCCGTAATCCTAGAGGAGAATCGCTTGAACCCGGGAGGCGGAGGTTGCATTGAGCCAAGATCACGCCATTGCACTCCACCCTGGGCGACAGAGCGACGAGACCCCGTATCAAAAAAAAAAAAAAGAAAGAAAGAAAGAAAAAAGAAAAAAAAAAGGCCGGGCGCGGTGGCTCACGCCTGTAATCCCAGCACTTTGGGAGGCCGAGGCGGGTGAATCACGAGGTCAGGAGTTCGAGACCATCCTGGCCAACATGGTGAAACCCCGTCTCTACAAAAAAAAAAAAAAAAATTAGCCGGGCGTGGTGGCGGGCGCCTGTAATCCCAGCTACTCGGGAGGCTGAGACAGGAAAATCGCTTGAACCCGGGAGGCGGAGCTTGCGGTGAGCCGAGATTGCGCCACTGCACTACAGCCTAGGCGACAGAGCGAGACTCCGTCTCAAAAAAAAAAAAAAAAAAAAAAAACACTTGGAAGCCGACAGGAGATCTTTGAGACCTTGGGCGAGGCAGTGACACTAAAGGCAGGAGCGACTACAGAAGAATAAATTAAACTTCATCAGATTAAAAACTTTACTGCGGCCGGGCGCGGTGGCTCACGCCTGAAATCCCAGCACTTTGGGAGGCCGAGGTGGGCAGATCATGAGATCAGGAGATCTAGACCATCCTGGCCAACATGGTAAAACCCCGTCTCTCTACTAAAAATACAAAAATTAGCTGGGTTTGGCGGCGCCTGCTTCTAATCCCAGCTACTCGGGAGGCTGAGGCAGGAGAATCGCTTGAAGCCGGGAGGCGGAGGTTGCAGTGAGCCGAGATCGTGCCACTGAACTCTGGCCTGGCGACAGAGCGAGACTCCATCTCAAAACAAAACAAAAACTTCGGTGCTTTAAAGGACACCATCAAGAAAATTAAAAGTCCACCCACAGAACGGGAGAAAATATTTGTAAGTTACATATCTGATAAGGGAATTGTATCTAGAATGGAGGAAACTTACAACTCAACAATAAAAAGACAATTGAAAAATGCACAAAGGATATGAATATTTTTCCAGTGCATTATGCAAATGGCCAATAAGCACCAGAAGATGCTCAGCTCAACTGGTAGAGGCTTACGCCTGTGACCCCAGCGCTGAGAGGCCAGGAACTCCAGACCAGCCTGGGCAAAACAGAAATTAAAAATGCTCAACATTATTAGGCATTAGGGAGATGCAAATCAAAACTACAAATAGATGCCACATCACACCTCCTACGATGGCTGTAATCAAAAAGACAAGCGTCAGCAGGGGTGTGGAGAAACGGGAATCTCTCTCCTGCTGGTGGGAATGTAAGAGGCTACACTCGCTATGGAAAACAGGCTGGCAGTTCCTGAAAGGTTAGAGTTAACACAACACTCGGCAAATCCCCCTTTTAGATATATAGCCAAGAGAAATGAAAGCATATGTCCACACAAAAACATGTGTGTTCTTAGTAATATTATTCATAATAGCCCAAAGTGGAAGCAATCCTAGGGTATATCAATTGATGAATGGGTGAATATGGTATAGTTTGTTTAAGGGAATACTATTCAGCCATAAAAAGGAATGAAGTACGGCACATGAATCCATCTTGAAGACACACTAATATATGATTCCATTTATATAAGATGCCCAGAATAGGCAAATCCATAGAGACAGAATGATTAGTGGCTGCCTAGGGCTTCCAGGGGGTCAGGGGAAATATGGAGCGATTCATGGGTTTTTTGAAGGGGAGTGATGAAAATGTTCTAACGTTGACTGTGGTAATGGTTGGACAGCTCTGAGAACGCGAATACACTAAAAGACATGGAAGTGCCGGGCGCAGTGGCTCATGCCTGTAATCCCAGCGCTTTGGGAGGCCAAGGCAGGCGGATCGCGAGGTCAGGAGATCGAGACCATCCTGGCTAAGACAGTGAAACCCCGTGTCTACTAAAAATACAAAAAATTAGCTGGACATGGTGCGGGCGCCTGTAGTCCCAGATACTCAGGAGGCTGAGGCAGGAGAATGGTGTGAACCCGGGAGGCGGAGCTTGCAGTGAGCCAAGATCGCACCATTGCACTCCAGCCTGGGCGACAGAGCGAGACTCCATCTCAAAAACAAAAAAAAGATATGGAAGTGTACACTTGAAGTGGATAAGCTTTATGGTATGCAAATTGGTATGGTATGGTAAATTATATCTCAATGAAGTTGTTTTTTAAAAAATCACCCCACCTACCCTATCCCAGGCTTCCCCAGGAGGTAACTAAAGGTAATGAGCTTCTTTGGCTGCTTCCAGAACTTTCCCAAGCACATCAAATGCATCAGAACCTAACCACTTGACTGAGGGATGAGCATTTTCACTGTTGCAAGTAACCCTCTTGCACCAACACTGACACTAATGTGTATTTTGCAGAACAAATTTGTGGATTGGCCTCACCAGGGTGAAGGGTACGTGCATTTGAAATGGCTCAACAGTACCAACAGGTGCGTTTTCTTGCACAGGGCTGCATAACATTTTTTTTTTTTTTTTGAGACAGAGTCTCGCTCTATCACCCAGGCTGGAGGGCAGTGGCACAATCTCAGTTCACTGCAAGCTCCACCTACCAGGTTCACATCATTCTCCTGCCTCAGCCTCCCAAGTAGCTGGGACTACAGGTGCCCGCCACCACACCAGGCTAATTTTTTTTTTTTTTTTGAGATGGAGTCTTGCTCTGTCGCCCAGGCTGGAGTGCAGTGGCACGATCTCAGCTCACTGCAAGCTCCACCTCCCAGGTTCACACCATTCTCCTGCCTCAGCCTCCCCAGTAGCTGAGACTACAGGCGCCCGCCACCACGTCCGGCTAATTTTTTTGTATTTTTAGTAGAGACGGGGTTTCACCGCGTTAGCCAGGATGGTCTCGATCTCCTGACCTCTTGATCCACCCGCCTCGGCCTCTCAAAGTGCTGGGATTACAGGCGTGAGCCACCGTGCCCGGCCTGCATAACATTTTTTTTTTTCCTGAAATTCCCAGAAAGGAAAATGGTGTCTTGTTCTATGTTGCATTTCTTTGATTGAGAGGGAGAGCTGCATCACTTAATTATTTGCAGAGAATTGCTTTTCTTGTTTTCTTTACAGGTGGTCTGTTCTTGGATGGTCTGGCTGTGTTCTTTCTGAGGAATACATAACCTCTGCTACACATTTTGCAAGGCTTTATCCCCGTTGTCCATGTTTTGATTTTATGTATAATCAAAAGGTTTGTGAGTTCTCCCGCACTTCCCAGGAGTGCCTCTGGGATGGAAATGAGACTGCAGGAGCAGGGCTTGAGGCTGGAGGGGTGAGATGGGACAGATGGGGGTGGGGGAACCCAGGGCAGTGGCCGGTGGTGGTAATGGAGGCCTCCTCACAGGGACCCTCACAGCGACCATGCGAATGGAGCAGGACTGTGACTCAGGTCTCGCTCTTCTGACCTAATCGTGCTGCTGCCCCAATGGGCAGAACCTTGGGGCTCCAGACTGGACATCTCTGGGCTCAAAGGATCCCACTGTTCCCCCGGTTACCCTCTCAGGGTTGGCCTCCTGCCAGTAACCCTGGCACTCATTGTTCATTCTTCTGACTATCGTCAGTCATAATGAGAGCTCGAACTGGTGAAAGTGCAGGGAGCTCACCATGACCCCAGCCCACAGAGGTCCTGGGTGCGTCCCTGCCCTCGAAGCAGCACTCTGGATCCCAGCGCCACCCTCATGTCCATGTTTGCACCTCATTGGCTGTGACAGAAATGAGACATCATTGTCACACGCTGGCCTGAGGGTCAGTGGGCCTTGCTTTGGACCTCAGTTTCCCCACCAGTAACAGGGTTCAGAGCAGATGGTCCCTGAGTGAGTCCCAGCTCTAAGTTCTCCCAGGGTCTCCTGGACAATGAAGCACCAGGGCCAACCTCCATTTGCTACAGGGGACATCCTCAGGCTCTTCTCTGCTAAGACCCCACACCTCCAAGTCTCCTCATTTTACCTTTAAATAGCTGTTTCATGACCTGCTTTTTTGACGGTAAGTAGATTTTTGGAAACTGAAACCCCTGACCCTTCCTCCCAGCCTGGGCCTGCCCTTGGCAGGATAGGAGGCCTTATCGGTCCTGCCACTTGGTCTGGGCCTCAAAGGGCCACCGCCATCTGCAGGAGGGCCGGGTGGGGTTCACAGACGCTATCTGGGACTTGCCTGGACACCTCCACCTTCTCAGCTGAGTGTTGCTGCCCCACCAGGGAGAACCACTCACACACAGTAGTAATAGAAATAATTTAAAATTCATGCTGCAAGTTCCTGAGCGCCCTCCCAACACTGAGGTGGGGGCTAGTCTAATCCCCATCCTAGAGGTGAAAACAGTGAAACTAGGACTCACAAGGCAAATTAGCCTGTTCAGGGTCACCGAGGGTCCACTCTCATGGGAGAGTTTGCAGATGCCCAATCCGGCATTCTGCTGAGTGTCCAGTGGCTTGTAAGTGGCCAGACACCCTTTGAGCTCAGCCTCAGCTGCTCAGGCACAGAACGTGCCTGGAGCTTGGAATTCAGGCCAGAAACCACCAGTGGACACCAGCATTCCACACTCACTGCACAGGCTGGGGCTCAAACCAAGGCCCAGGGACAGGAAGGGACAAGCCCCAGCCCCAGCCGGACTCCCAGCCCACACAAACCATCAGGGCTTGTTTCCTGCTCCATGGAAGCCTCAGACATGTTTCATAACCTCCTGGAGCCTCCGTTTCCTTATCTTTCCAATGTAATGATGCCCATGTGCAGTGGCTCACGCCTGTAATCCCAAGCACTTTAGGAGGCCGAGGTGGGTGGATCACTGGAGCTCAGGAGTTTGAGGCCAGCCTGGGCAACATGGCAAAACGCCATCTCTACTAAAAACACAAATATTACCCAGGCATAGTGGCACATGCCTATAGTCCCAGCTACTCAGGAGGCTGAGGTGGGAGGATCACCTGAGCTTGGGAAGTTGAGCCTGCAGTGAGCCAAGATTGTCACACTGCACTCTAGCCTGGAGGACAGAGTAAGAAGACCCTGTAACAAAACAAAACATAACAAAACAAACAAACAAAAAACCCAACTAATGACAATAAAATAAACCCTCCCTCACAGGGTGGTTGTGAGGATAAAGCACCCAGAATGAAGAGTGTTGCTGCCATGTGCAGAACTTAGAAAGTGCTCAACAGATGCCAGCCAAACAGACATGGACTCCCCTCAACACAGTCAACCCAAGGTTGACTGTCACCAAACGCAAAAGACCACACTGTAAAGCTTTTAGAAATGTGGTCTAGTGGCCGGGCACTGTGGCTCATGCCTGTAATCTCAGCACTTTGGAAGGCTGAGGCGGGCGGATCACAGGGTCAGGAGTTCGAGACCAGCCTGACCACCTGACCAACGTGGTAAAACCCCGTCTCTACTAAAGATTCAAAAAATTAGCCGGGTGTAGTGCTACGTGCCTGTAATCCCAGCTGCTCGGGAGGCTGAGGCAGGAGAATCGCTTGAACCCAGGAGGCGGAGGTACAGTGAGCTGAGATCGCGCCATTGCACTCCAGCCTGGGAGACAGAGAGAGACTCCGTCTCAAAAAAAAAAAAAAAAAAAAAGTTAGCCGGGTGGTAGTGGCATGTACCTGTAATCCCAGCTACTTGGGAGGCTGAGGTAGGAGAATCGCTTGAGCCTGGGAGGTAGAGGGTTGCGGTGAGCCAAGATGGCGCCACTGCACTCCAATCTGGGCGAGACACTGAGACCCTGTCTCAAAAAAAAAAAAAAAATGTGGTCTAGGAGACTCTCTTCACTTTGAGATAAAATTTGCATCACGTAAAGATAACCATTTTAACGAGAGCAAGTCAACGGCATTCAGCACATTCAGAGTGTTGTGCAACAACCACTTCTCCCTGGTTCCAGGACATTTTCATCGCCTCAGATGGAAACGCCCTCCTCACGGAGGCATCTCTCCCGGCCTTTGTCCTCCCCGGCCCTGACAACCACTAATCTACTTTCTGCTGGGATTTGCCCATTCTGGATGTTTCCTAAAAATGGCTTATCTAAGCCCCACAGTTTCATGCAGCACGTAGCCTCTGGTGTGTGACGTCCTTCACTTGGTGTAATGGTTCGAGGCTTGTCCATGTCGTAGCCTGGGTCAGAACTTCATTTTCATGGCTGAATAATATCTCACGGTGTGGAAATATCACAGTTTGCTTATCTGTTCATCCAGTGATGGACATTTGGGTTGTTTCTACCTTTTGGCTATTGGGAATGGAAGGGATAACATTTTTTAATTGGATTTTTAAAGTCACTAGTTTGACTGCATTAAAATTACAAACTTTTGTTTAACGAGAATATCACTAAGATACAGAGTTGGGGAGATCTAACACATAAAAGTGACAAAGGAATTATATCCAGAATATTTTTGAAATTTCTACAAATCAGTGACTGGCAACACAGTGGGAAAGTGGCCAAGACTAAAATACTTTAATAAAGAGGAAACCGAAATGGCCAGTAAATATGGGCTCAACCTCACTAATTATCAGGAAAATGTAAATTAAGACCACAAGAGAAACCACTACACACTCACCAAAAATCACACACCCAATAAAAAGGTAATTTTTTTTTTTTTTTGAGATGAAGTCTCACTCTATTGCCCAGGCTGGAGTACAATGGCGCGATCTTGGCTCACTGCAACCTCCGCCTCCTGGGTTCAAGCGATTCTCCTGCCTCAGCCTCCTGAGTACCTGGGATTACAGGCGCACACCACCACACCCAGCTAATTTTGCATTTTTAAGTAGAGACGGGGTTTCACCATGTGGGCAAGGCTAGTCTCGAACTCCTGACCTCGTGATCTGCCCGCCTTGGCCTCCCAAAGTGCTGAGATTACAGGCATCAGCCACTGTGCCCGGCCTAAAAAAGGCTAAAATTTAAGAAGACCAGGAGTTTGACTGCTATGGTTGGAATGTTTGTCTCCTCTAAAACTCTTGTTGAAACTTAATCCCCAGTGTGGCAGCGTTGAGAGGTGGGGCCTTTGGGGTAAGGAGGTTGGATCATGAGGGTCCTCCCCCAAGGAATGGATTAATGAGTTGTCATGGGAGTGTGGCTGGTGGCTTTATAAGAAGAGAGACCTGGCCGGGCACGGTGGCTGACACCTGTAATCCCAGCACTTTGTGAGGCCGAGATGGGCGGATCACAAGGTCAGGGGATCGAGACCATCCTGGCTAACACAGTGAAACCCTGTCTCTACTAAAAAAAAAATGCAAAAAAATTAGCCGGGCGTGGTGGCGGGCACCTGTAGTCCCAGCTACTAGGAAGGCTGAGGCAGGAGAATGGCGTGAACCTGGGAGGCGGAGCTTGCAGTGAGCCGAGATCGCGCCACTGCCCTCCAGCCTGGGCGACAGAGCAAGACTCTGTCTCAAAAAAAAAAAGAAGAGAGATCTGAGGTGGCACACAAGCATGCTCAGCCCACACGACCTGCGATTAATACTCTGTGCCACTTTGGGACTCTGCACGAGTCCCCACTGGGCTCGAAACTTCTCAGCCTCCGTAACTATAGGAAATAAATTCCTTTTAAAATAAATTCCACAGTCTCAGGTATTCTATTATAAGCAACAGAAAATGGAGTACTACACCGATCATATCAAATGTTTAGAAGGATTTGGAGCAAGGAGAATGCTCGCACACCACTAGGGAAAACATAAGTTGGTTAACCACTGTGAAAAAGTTTGGCATTCTTTACTAAAGTTGAAAATCTATATGCCCTATGACCCAGCAACTTTACTCCTAGGTATGTATGTACAAAATAGAATTTCAGGCATGTGGGTACCAGGTGACATGTAAAGGAATGTTTATTGCAGCATTATTCATAATAGCCAAGAACTAAACAACACAAAGTTCCAGCCCCAGTACAATGAATAAACTGTGGTATATTCCTACAAGGAAATATTAATAGATACAGCAATGAAAATGAACACATATAACATGGCTGGTAAATCTGACATGAGAGAGTGAAAGAAGATGGACATTCAGTGTGCAGACAGTTGGATTAAAAATATTTTTTTAAAGGCCAGGCTTGGTGGCTCACATCTATAATCCTAGCACTTACAGAGGCCAAGGCGGGCAGATCACCTGAGGTCAGGAGTTCAGGACCAGCCTGGCTAACACAGTGAAACCCCATCTCTACTAGAAAATACAAAAATTAGCCAGGTGTGGTGGTGCATGCCTGTAGTCCCAACTACTCGGGAGGCTGAGGCAGGAGAATCACTTGAACCTAGGAGGCGGAGGTTGCAGTGAGCCAAGATCGCATCACTGTACTCCATCCTGGGTGACAGAGCAAGACTGCGTCTCGAAAATAAATAGATAAATAAATAAATAACCAACAGGCCGGGAGCAGTGGCTCATGCCTGTAATCCCAGCACTTTGGGAGGCTGAGGTGGGCAGATCACGAGGTCAGGAGATCAAGACCATCCTGGCTAACACAGTGAAACCCTGTCTCTACTGAAAATACAAAAAAATTAGCCGGGCATGGTGGCGGGCGCCTGTAGTCCCAGCTACTCAGGAGGCTGAGGCAGGAGAATGGCATGAACCCGGGAGGTGGAGCTTGCAGTGAGCCGAGATCATGCCACTGCACTCCAGCCTGAGCGACAGAGCGAGACTCCATCTCAAAAAAATAATAATTAAAAATAAATAAATTAAATAAATAAATAACAGATTGCATAAAGTGGCTCATGCCTGTAATCCAAGCACTTTGGGAGGCCAAGGCAGAAGGATCACTTGAGCCCAGGAGTTCAGGACAAGCCTGAGCAACATGGTGAAACCCCACCTCTACAAAAAAAAAAAAAAAATTAGCTGGGCATGGTGGCATGTGCCTGTGATCCCAGCTACTTGGGAGGCTGAGGCAGGAGGATCACTTAAGCCTGGGAGGTCGAGGCTGCAATGAGCTATGATCGTACCACTGCACTCCAGCCTGGGCAATAGAGCAAGACCCTGTCTCAAAACAAATAAACAAAAGCCAGACAGACACAAATGAGAGCATTCTGTATCGTTTCATTTCTATGAAGGTGAAAAGCAGGCAAAAACAACCAAAGTGCTTGCAGATGCATATCTGAGTAGTTAAAAACTTACTGAAAAGCAGGCCTGGCTCACGCCTTTAATCCCAGCACTTTGGGAAGCGGGCGGATCACGAGGTCAGGAGATCGAGACCATCCTGGCTAACACGGTGAAACCCCGTCTCTACTAAAAATATAAAAAATTAGCCAGGTATGGTGGCTAGTGCCTGTGGTCCCAGCTACTCGAGAGGCTGAGGCAGGAGAATGGCATGAATCCGGGAGGTGGAGCTTGCAGTGAGCTAAGATCGTGCAACTGCACTCCAGCCTGGGCAGCAGAGCGAGACTCCCTCTCAAAAAAAAAAAAACTTACTGAAAAGCAAGAAGTCAGGTGGAGGTTACCTTTGGGGAGGATTGGGGTGCTGTCCGCTTTCTAATAATTCGTTAAACTATAGTCTACATCTTGTGCTATATTTCACAATGGAAAAACAGAAAAGAGCTCCTGCCCATAACGCTGCTTTGCAGGTTTGGAAATTTCAGATTCAATTCCTCTCCTTGCGGGGGCCAAGGATGGGAAGAGCAGGTGGTTCCAGTAGGGAAAGAGGAGGCCCTGGGGCCTCAAAATGGCTAAGGACCATTCCTCAGCGTGGGTGGCACCTACCCTGGAAACAGGACTCTACTTCCTCCTCTGTTAGGGGGCAGAGCAGCCCTGCAGTGCCTTCTGGGCACAGGTCCTCACTCTGCAGCTGGAGGAATTCTCCCAGGCACTGAGAGCCCTTCACGGCCCAAATGCCCCGTGCGCTCGGCCTCTGGACTTGCCTTCCCTGCTCTGTATATCTCCCTCCGCCTGACCCTCAGCCTCCTCCATCACTCACTGTCTTCTCTGCCAGTCTATTCATCTGTCTCTGTCCCTCTCTCTGCCACCTTCTCTCCTATTGAGAAGCCGAAACCTCAGGCACAGACCCACATCCCCTCCTCATGGGCCCATGTGCCCAAGGTGCCCCTAGGTGCCAGGCTGAGATGAACCAGGAGTGTCCTTCTGAACCCAGCAACAGCGAAGGGTGACCAGGGAGGGCCAGTTCATCTCGGTCTGAAAGAAGCCCCAGATGAGCAAAGGATACACTGGCCTCCTGCGGTCAGCAGCACTTCCCAGGACAGTGAGCAAGACAGGGGTAAGGCCAGAGTGGGTGGGCACACCCATGGGAGAGAGGAGCCGCTGTGAAATGTGCACGAGGAACAGACCAGCAAGGAGGATCCACGCAGTGCTAGAAGGGAGTTCCTGGAAGCCTGGTGGAGAGCCCCTCCCATCTGCTAAGCCCGGAGGGCATCAAAGGCTGCTGCTGCCCTCAACCCCTGACAATCTCATCATCTCATATCTCAGGCATGGAAGAATGAGGGCCATTACACGAGTAAAACATCAAGTACACTCCAGCCTGGATGACAGGGCCAGGCTCCATCTCAAAAAAAAATGCCTGTGGTCAAAGCTCTCCTGACAGGGGAAAACAAAACAAAACAAACTTCTCCTTAAAGAAAACATTTGCCTTTGACTGCATCATAATTCCAGCAGGATTTTGTGCAGATAACTCTTTGGCTAACTCTAAAATTAATAC
Organism: Homo sapiens; assembly: GCF_000001405.40. Lineage (NCBI taxonomy): Eukaryota > Metazoa > Chordata > Mammalia > Primates > Hominidae > Homo > Homo sapiens. Next base: position 149,707 of record NC_000016.10, read on the forward strand.
AGAAAGGTAAAGAAATTAGAATAGCCAAAGAAATTTTGAAAAGGAAGAATAAAGCGAGAGGAATCACATTCCTCAATTTTTAACAGCTCTATTGAGATAAAATTCACATACCATACGGTTCACCCATTTAAAGTGTATAATTCAGGCCGGGCGCGGTGGCTCACGCCTGTAATCCCAGCACTTTGGGAGGCTGAAGCGGGCAGATCACCTGAGGTCGGGAATTCGAGACCAGTCTGACCAACATGGAGAAACCCCGTCTCTACTAAAAATACAAAATTAGCCAGGCGTGGTGGCTCATGCCTGTACTCCCAGCTACTCGGAAGACTGAGGCAAGAGAATTGCTTGAACCCGGGAGACGGAGGTTGCCATGAGCCGAGATCGCGCCACCACACCCAGCTGCCATTTTTTAATTGATTACTTGTCTATTTATTACTGAGTTGTAAGATATTTTGGGCCAAGCACGGTGGCTAACGCCTGTAATCCCAGCACTTTAGGAGGCTATGGTGGGCAAATCACTTGAGGTCAGGAGTTCGAGACCAGGCTGGCCAACATGGCAAAACACCATCTCTACTAAAAATACAAAAAAATTAGCCAGGTGTGGCCAGGCGTGGTGACTCACGCCTGTAATCCCAGCACTTTGGGAGGCCAAGGCGGGTGGATCACCTGAGGTCGGGGGCTCAAGACCAGCCTGACCAACATGGAGAAACCCCGACTCCGCTAAAAATACAAAATTAGCCGGGTGTGGTGGTGCATGCCTGTAATCCCAGCTACTCACGAAGCTGAGGCAGGAGAATGGCTTGAGCCCAGGAGGCAGAGGTTGTGGTGAGCTGAGATCATGCCATTGTACTCCAGCCTGGGCGACAAGAGCGAAATTCTGTCACAAAAAAAAAAAAACCATTAGCCAGCCATGGTGATGCACACCCGTGGTCCCAGCTACTCAGGAGGCTGAGGTATGAGAATTGCTTGAACCCAGGAGGCAGAGGTTGCAGCGAGCCAGGATTACGCCGCTGCACTCCAGTCTGGGTGACAGAGCAAGACTCTGTCTAAAAAAAAAACAAAAACAAAAAAGATATTTTGTATGTGTTTGGATAACTTCCCTATCAGATATATGATTTGCAAATATGTTTCTCTCATTCTGTGAGACATCATTCAATTTTAAGACATCACAGAGCTATGTTAATCAAGGCACTGTGGCTGTGGTAAAGGATAGACACACAGAACAGAACAGAGAGCCCAGAAATGGACCCGCAAACCTATGCCCCATTCATTTTTTACAAATAAGTGCGAGAAGCCAACTGAATAGAAAGCGTATAGCTTTTTCAAAAAACAGTGCTGGAACAATTGGACATCTGTAGGCAAAAAAACAAACAAGCAAACAGAAGAATCTGGACCTGCCCTTCACACCTCAGACAAAAGTCATCTCAAAATGGATTGTAGATCTCAATATAAACATAAACTATACAACTTTAGAAGAAAATATAGGTGAAACTCTTTGTGTTCTGTGGTTAGGCAGACAGTTCCTAGGCATGGCACTAAGTAAGATTCATTTAAAATTTTTTGACAAATTGGACTTTATTAAAACTTTTGCTCTACAAAAGACAATATTAAGAGAATGAACTAACAAGCTACAAACTAAGAGAAAACATTTGCAAATTGCATATCTGACAAGGGATTGCTTCCAGACGATACACAGAATTCTAAAAATTCATCCTTAAGAGAATAAACCACCCAATTTTTAAATGGGCAAAACAGGCCAGGCGTGGTGGTGCACGCCTGTAATCCTAGCACTTTGGGAGGCCGAGGCAGGCGGATCACAAGGTCAGGAGATTGAGACCATCCTAGCTAACACGGTGAAACCCTGTCTCTACTAAAAATACAAAAAATTAGCCAGGCATGGTGGCAGGTGCCTGTAGTCCCAGCTACTCGGGAGGCTGAGGCAGGAGAATGGCGTGAACCTGGGAGGCGGAGCTTGCAGTGAGTGGAGATCGCACCACTGCGCTCCAGCCTGGGCAACAGAGCGAGACTCCGTCTCAAAAAAAAGACAAAATACTTGAAAAGATATTGGCTAGGCGCGCTGGCTCATGCCTGTAATCCCAGCACTTTGGGAGGCCAAGGCGGGTGGATCACAAGGTCAGGAGTTCAAGCAGCCTGGCCAAGATGGTGAAACCCCGTCTCTACTAAAAAAAAAAAAAAAAAAAAAAAAAAAATTGGCCGGGCACAGTGGCTCATGCCTGTAATCCCAGCACTTTGGGAGGCTGAGGCAGGTGGATCAGGAGTCAGGAGATCGAGACCATCCTGGCCAACATGGTGAAACCCCATCTCTATGAAAATACAAAAATTAGCCAGAGATGATGCCGGGTGCCTGTAATCCCAGCTACTCATGAGGCTGAGGCAGAAGAATCACTTGAACCAGGGAGTCAGAGGTTGCAGTGAGCTGAGATCGCACCACTGCACTCCACCCTGGGCGACAAATCGAGATTCCATCTCAAAAAAAGAAAAAAAAATTAAAAGGAATATTTGCCTCATTATGTTACAATAACTAATATGGAAAGCAATATTGCAATGCCTATTAGCACATGACATTAGGTGAATTCTCCTTTGTCCCCGGACCTGCTGCCTCCTCCTGCTTGTCAGGGGACAGATCCAGTACATCTCCCCTCAGCGCTGGGTGGACCTAACCCTTGCTTTCTTGGAGGAAACCCAGGAATCCAGAGACAAAGTGGAAGGGTACTGGCATGTGGTTGGGCAGGGCTGCCTGAGGTCGGTGTCAGCCGACCGTGGGGCTTGGTCCCAGGAGGCTGCTTACTGGGCCCTGCTCCTCTGGTTTCCCCCAAGTCGTGATTCTGAAATGAATAAGGACGGTGCAGAACTGGACTACAAATGCAGGAGTGACTTCCTGGGAGGGTGGGGCCCCTATCTCTCCTAGACTCTGTGGTCAGACTCTGGCCAACACCCCCTGTAAGGCCACAGGAGAGGAACAGGAGTGATAGCCCCCAAACCCCAGTCCCACCAGGCCCTGAGGGCCCCTTTGTCACTGGATCTGATAAGAAACACCACCCCTGCAGCCCCCTCCCCTCACCTGACCAATGGCCACAGCCTGGCTGGGCCCAGCTCCCTGTATATAAGGGGACCCTGGGGGCTGAGCACTACCAAGGCCAGTCCTGAGCAGGCCCAACTCCAGTGCAGCTGCCCACCCTGCCGCCATGTCTCTGACCAAGACTGAGAGGACCATCATTGTGTCCATGTGGGCCAAGATCTCCACGCAGGCCGACACCATCGGCACCGAGACTCTGGAGAGGTGAGTGTCAGACGGGACTGCCAGAGGGACTGGGTGGGAGGCCAGGTATGTGAGTGGGGACAGTGGGGAGGGGGCGGTGGGGAGGGGACAGTGGGGAGGGGACCATGGAGAGGAGACAGTGGGGAGGGCACTGTGGGGAGAGGACAGTGAGGAGGGGACCTTGGGGAGGGGACAGTGAGGAGGGAACCGTGGAGAGGGGACAGTGAGGAAGGGACAGTGAGGACAGATAGCGTTCCCTCTCAGTGAGGAGAGCAGGGTAAGGAGGGAACGATTAGGAGTTGCACAACCATCTGGGCTCGCTGAGACCTGGGCAGGCACAGGCCCAGGTTCTGACAAGCAGAGGGTGAAAGGTTTCGTTCTAGGCCTGAAGGGCCTTACAGGGCAGCCAGGGCACTACAGCCTCTAAAGTCCCAGCATCTGGGATCAGGGCACTGTCCCAGCTTCAAATTCCCAGCATCTGATCCCCTGGGAGGGGCCAGGGAGCTTTTCCTTCCCTGGAACGCTGCTGGGAGGTCATGAGCCTGCAGAAGGGGTGGCGGGCAACCCAGTCTGGGGCTGGGAGGGAGGTCCTGTGGCCAGAGGAGACGGTGGAGGGGCTGGGGGCACCAGGCGTGCTGGAGGCGGAGGGCGGGAGATTTGGGGACCAGGCTGCACAGAACCCGTCGGAAGCAGGGCGATCAGCCGGGAGCTGCAGAGGCCTGGGGGGCCTCTAGCCCAGGGCAGCCTGGGAGGGGCAGCTGCCTGGGCACCCGGGCCCCGCGAGGAGGGGCTGGGGCCTGCTGCGGGGTCGCAGATGTGTCCCGGTGCTCGGAGAGGGCCGCAGGGCGCGTGGGCCGTGGCGGGAGGCCGCGCTGCTGGGAGCTCACGGCCCCCGCCCCCCGTCCCAGGCTCTTCCTCAGCCACCCGCAGACCAAGACCTACTTCCCGCACTTCGACCTGCACCCGGGGTCCGCGCAGTTGCGCGCGCACGGCTCCAAGGTGGTGGCCGCCGTGGGCGACGCGGTGAAGAGCATCGACGACATCGGCGGCGCCCTGTCCAAGCTGAGCGAGCTGCACGCCTACATCCTGCGCGTGGACCCGGTCAACTTCAAGGTGCGCGGGGCGCGGTGCGGGCGGGGCGGGACGGGGCGGGGCGCGGTGCGGGCGGGGCGGGGCGGGGCGGGGCGGGGAGGGGCGGGGAGGGGCGGGGTCGCGGGGCGGATGCGGGGGTCGCCGGGCGGGGCCCGGGCTAGGCCCCGCCCCCTCACTGAGCCGCCCCCGCCCCCAGCTCCTGTCCCACTGCCTGCTGGTCACCCTGGCCGCGCGCTTCCCCGCCGACTTCACGGCCGAGGCCCACGCCGCCTGGGACAAGTTCCTATCGGTCGTATCCTCTGTCCTGACCGAGAAGTACCGCTGAGCGCCGCCTCCGGGACCCCCAGGACAGGCTGCGGCCCCTCCCCCGTCCTGGAGGTTCCCCAGCCCCACTTACCGCGTAATGCGCCAATAAACCAATGAACGAAGCAGCGTCCACCTGGTCTCTGTTGTCCGTGGGCGGCGGGCGCTTGGGGAGGCGGAGCGGGAGGAGGGCGCCCCGGCTGTCTCGGGGCCACTGCTGGGCCGCAGGGATCCTTGCACCGACCCCAGGGTCTCTAAGAGGCAGAGGGATGTGCAGCTCCCGGGGCGGGAGCGGGGGTCACTCGGGACCCAGGCGTGGTGGAGAAGGGGTGCAGTTAGGCCTTTGCGGAGGGGGGAGCAGTGCTGGCGCCCACCCGCCGCGGCTCTCCCTGGGACCTCCGTGGTCTTCCTTCTTTATTTCTCCCGAATGTGTACTATTTCCTGATTTCAGAACGATCAGGACGAAGAGGGGAGGGATGGGCGTCTGCGCTCACTCATTCCTTCTTCCATTCCTCAATGAAACATTTACTGGGCATAAGACAGCCTAGGCATGTTTCTAGGCTATGGATACCGCAGCTGAAATAAAGAAAGCCCTCTGCCCCGTGGGGCTGACAATCTAGTGGGGGATACAGACGTGATGAAGACAGTCAGATCACAGTTCACAGAAATGAGACAGGAAAAGAGGCTGAGCCTCACTCATAAGAGAAACGCAAGTTAAACTACACAAAAATAAAAAACCTCACTGAGATCCATGTCTCACCTCCCTGATAGGCAAAAATCCAAGAGTTTGATCAGACTGCAGGCGCCCCTCCTCCACTGGGCACCCCTCATCCAGGGCAGAGGGAACCAGCCCGGGGCGCAAGTCCACCGGGGCATCTCATTTGCTAAAGACCTGAAAACCCAGGTGTCCATCATCAGGACTAACTGGAAAAACCAAGGGTATCCGCACCATGGAGAGCTCGACTGAAAAAAAAAAATGAGGATAATTGGATAATTTCTTTTTTTTTTTTTTTTTTTTTCAGACGGAGTCTCGCTCTGTCGCCCAGGCTGGAGTGCAGTGGTGCGATCCCGGCTCACTGCAAGCTCCGCCTCCTGGTTTCAAGCGATTCTCCTGCCTCAGCCTCCCGAGTAGCTGGGTCTACAGGCGCCCGCCACCACGGCTGGCTAATTTTTTGTATTTTTAGTAGAGACGGGGTTTCACCGTGTTAGCCAGGATGGTCTCGATCTCCTGACCTCGTGATCCACCCGCCTCGGCCTCCCAAAGTGCTGGGATTACAGGTGTGAGCCACCGCGCCCGACCTAAAATGAGGATAATTTCTAATAATGAAAATAAAGAGGTTAGAATGGTGTGTATACAATGGTGGAACAGAGGAGAAACACGAATATGTGTGTGCACATATATGTGAGCTTATGCATAACTATGTATGAGGCTGCGTGTGGACATGTGTGTTTGTGCACAACCATGTATGTGCCCGCATGTGCTTATTTCTGCAAAAATAAACCATGGCAGGACAAACCGGAAATGAATACAAATAATAAGGTGGGTGGGGATGGAGGGGAAGGTGGAAGGAAGCTCCTGCAAGTCTGACTCTCTACATAGTTTTGACCTTTGATTTGTGTAAATATTTTACATTATCAAAAATAAATTCAGGCTGGGCATGGTGGCTCATACCTGTAGTCCTAGCACTTTGGGAGTCCAAGGGGAGAGGATTGCTTGAGGCCAGGAGTTGAAGGCCACCCTGGCCAACATAGAGAGACCCTGTCTTTAAAAAAAATTACAAAATTAAGGCCGGGCGCGGTGGCTCACGCCTGTAATCCCAGCACTGTGGGAGGCCGAGGTGGGCGGATCACGAGGTCAGGAGATTGAGACCGTCCTGGCTAACACGGTGAAACCCCGTCTCTACTAAAAAGTAGAAGAAATTAGCCGGGTGTGGTGGCGGGTGCCTGTAGTCCCAGCTACTTGGGAGGCTGAGGCAGGAGAATGGTGTGAACCCGGGAGGCGGAGCTTGCAGTGAGCCAGGTTCAAGCCACTGCCCTTCAGCCTAGGTGATAGAGTGAGACTCCTTCTCAAAAAAAAAAAAAAAATTACAAAATTAATAAGATTAAAATAAAAAGAGGGGCCTTGCCAGTGGCTCAAGCCTCTAATCCTACCACTTGGGAGGCCAAGGCTGGAGGATCCCTTGATGCCAAGAGTCGGAGGCCAGCCTAGGTAACACAGCAGGACCTCGTCTCAAAAAGATTAAAAAATTAACTGGGCATGGTAGCCTCCAAATTGGGGGTTAGCCTGGGAGGTTTGCCCAGGAAGGAATTCAAGGGCAAGCTGGTGGTGTTACACAGCAACTCTGATTGATATCGAAGCCACAGCAGACAGCAGGAGCAGAACACTGCTCCTTACAGAGCAGGGGTACCCCATAGGCTGTGTGCACAGGAGAGCAACTCAGAGGCACTGCTGCACTCATCTTTATACCCACTTTTCATTATATGCAAATTAAGGGAAAGTTATGCACAAATTTCTAGGATGAGTGTGGTAACTTCTGGGTGGTCCAGTCACTGCCATGGAAAGGGATGGTAAACTCCCATGGCACACTGGTGGGTGTGTCTTATGGAAAGCTGCTTCTGCCCTACTTGTTTTAGCTGGTCCTCAGTTTGGTCCGGTGTCCGAGCCCAACATCCGGAGTACATGCAGAGTCCCACCTCCTACGTCACACCTGCAGTTCCAGCTACTCAGGAGGCTGAGGCTGGAGGATTGCTGGAGCCCAGATGTTGAAGGCTACAGTGAGCTATGATTGTGCCACCGCACTTCAGCCTGAGCAACACAGCAATACTCTCTCTCTAAAAAAGCAAAGCACACAAACAAAAAGAGTGACTGGGTGCAGTGGCTCACACTTGGAATCTTAGCACTTTGGGAGGCCAAGGTGGGATGGTCACTTGAGCCTGGGAGTTCAAGACCAGCCTAGGCAACATAGCAAGACTTTATCTCTACTAAAATATATATATATTTTTTAATTAGCTGGACATGGTGGTGCACCTGCAGTCCCAGCTACTTGGGAGGCTGAGTTGGGGGTGGAGGGGAGTATCACTTGAGCCCAGAAGTTCCAGGCTGTAGTAAGCTATGATTGCACCACTGCACTCCAGCCTGGGCAACAGAGAGAGACCTTATCTATATTTAAAAAAAAAAAAAAAAAGAGAGAGAAAATTGAAAACTCCTAATTGAAAACCCCCAAATTGAAAACTAACTTAAATAAATGAGCCAATGTAAGAATGTGGTGATATAATAATCAGAAAAAAGGATTGTTCCAGGTGACCTCTGAACACAGAACCTCGGCTATGACCGAAAGAACTCCAAAGACACTCTAACACTCCGTGGTTTATTGTTCCTCATAACATATATAAAATAATTTCATAAGCTTTTATTTTGAAACATATTCAGATTATGAAGAAATAAAAACACCCTGCAAGAATAAGACAAAGATGGAGAAGGAAGGATGACTGCTGGTGGGTTTGGGGCTTTTGGAGGGTGATGGAAACCTTCTAAAATTGATTATGGTGATGGTCGCACAATTATGTGAACACATTAAAAATTATTGAAATGGGCCGGGGGTGGTGGCTCACCCCTGTAATCCCAGCACTTTGGGAGGCCAACGCGGGCAGATTACCTGAGCTCAGGAGTTCCAGACTAACCTGGCCAACATGGTGAAACCCCCGTCCCTACTAAAAATGCAAAAATTAGCCACGCATGGTGGCACATGCCTGTAATCCCAGCTACTGGGGAGGCTGAGGCAGGAGAATTGCTTGAACCCAGGAGACAGAGGTTGCAGTGAGCCGAGATTGTGCCACTGAACTCCAGCTTGGCCGACAGAGTGAGACTCTGTCTCAAAAAAAAAAAAAATTATTGAAATGTACACATTAAGTGGGTGAATTTTATCTCAATAAAACTGTTAAATAAAATAACAAGAATATGAAAAACTCTTGAATACTACTCATCCAGACTCTCCAGCTGTTAACATTCTACCACATCGGCTTGCTCTCTCTTGCCCCCACTTGCTCTTTCTCTCGGAGCCCTTGGAGAGGGGTATGCAAATATCCGTACTCTAAATATCCTCCATATACTGTGTATTTCCTAAAATCAACAAGGACATTAGGCTGCACAGCCAGAGAACAACCATCAAAATCAGGTTAATATTGATCCAAATCCATCTATCAACAGAAGCAACATCAAGTTCAAGACCCTTTTGAAAGCAATGATACCAGCCATTTACTCCATCCCTAAAGGACTGAGGGTGCTGCGAATTTAACCGTATCAATGCAGTCTTTTTGATGTTATTTACTGAAGGAAATGGATGTTCTTTAAAATATGTATTTATTTATTTTTCTTTTTTGAGACGGAATCTTGTTCTGTCGCCCAGGCTGGAGGGCAGTGGGACAATCTTGGTTCACTGCAACCTCTGCCTCCTGGGTTCAAGAGGTTCTCCTGCCTCAGCCTCCCGAGTAGCTGGGATTACAGGCGCGAACCACCACGCCCGGTTAATTTTGGTATTTTTAGTAGAGGCGGGGTTTTACCATGTTGGCCAGGCTGGTCTCAAACTCCTGACATGGTAGCCTGTAATCCCAGCTACTCGGGAGGCTGAGGCAGGAGAATCGCTTGAACCCAGGAGGTGGGGTTGCAGTGAGCCAAGATCGTGCCATTGCACTCCAGCCTGGGAGACAGAGCGAGACTCCATCAAAAAAAAAAAAAAAAAAAATTCCTGAAGCTCCTCTTGAGCTTACATTCTAGTGGACTGTAAACAGAAACATTTTTTTTTCCTGTGGATAAAGAAAAGCAGGGCAAGTAGGGGCTTAGACAGAGGAGGGGAGGATTCAGATTTTAAATGGGTTGGCCACTGTAGGTCTATTAACGTGGTGACATTTGAGGGAGTGGCAATACTAGGGAAGGGGCTTCAGGGGAGTGGCCAGGAGCTAGGGATAGAGGGAGGGAGGACAGGAGGCCTTGTCTGTCTTTTCCTCCATATGTAAGTTTCAGGAGTGAGTGGGGGGTGTCGAGGGTGCTGTGCTCTCCGGCCTGAGCCTCAGGAAGGAAGGGCAGTAGTCAGGGATGCCAGGGAAGGACAGTGGAGTAGGCTTTGTGGGGAACTTCACGGTTCCATTGTTGAGATGATTTGCTGGAGACACACAGATGAGGACATCAAATACATCCCTGGATCAGGCCCTGGGGCCTGAGTCCGGAAGAGAGGTCTGTATGGACACACCCATCAATGGGAGCACCAGGACACAGATGGAGGCTAATGTCATGTTGTAGACAGGATGGGTGCTGAGCTGCCACACCCACATTATTAGAAAATAACAGCACAGGCTTGGGGTGGAGGCGGGACACAAGACTAGCCAGAAGGAGAAAGAAAGGTGAAAAGCTGTTGGTGCAAGGAAGCTCTTGGTATTTCCAATGGCTTGGGCACAGGCTGTGAGGGTGCCTGGGACGGCTTGTGGGGCACAGGCTGCAAGAGGTGCCCAGGACGGCTTGTGGGGCACAGGTTGTGAGAGGTGCCCTGGACGGCTTGTGGGGCACAGGCTGTGAGAGGTGCCCAGGACGGCTTGTGGGGCACAGGCTGTGAGGGTGCCCGGGACGGCTTGTGGGGCACAGGTTGTGAGAGGTGCCCGGGACGGCTTGTGGGGCACAGGTTTCAGAGGTGCCCGGGACGGCTTGTGGGGCACAGGTTGTGAGAGGTGCCCGGGACGGCTTGTGGGACACAGGTTGTGAGAGGTGCCTGGGACGGCTTGTGGGGCACAGGCTGTGAGGGTGCCTGGGACGGCTTGTGGGGCACAGGTTGTGAGAGGTGCCCGGGTCGGCTTGTGGGGCACAGGTTGTGAGAGGTGCCCGGGACGGCTTGTGGGGCACAGGTTGTGAGACGTGCCCGGGACGGCTTGTGGGGCACAGGCTGTGAGGGTGCCCGGGTCGGCTTGTGGGGCACAGGCTGCAAGAGGTGCCCGGGACGGCTTGTGGGGCACAGGCTGTGAGGGTGCCCGGGACGGCTTGTGGGGCACAGGCTGTGAGGGTGCCCGGGACAGCTCGTGGGGCACAGGTTGTGAGAGGTGCCCGGGACGGCTTGTGGGGCACAGGCTGTGAGGGTGCCTGGGACGGCTTGTGGGGCACAGGTTGTGAGAGGTGCCCGGGACGGCTTGTGGGGCACAGGTTGTGAGGATGCCCGGGATGGCTTGTGGGGCACAGGTTGTGAGAGGTGCCTGGGACGGCTTGTGGGGCACAGGCTGTGAGGGTGCCCGGGACGGCTTGTGGGGCACAGGCTGTGAGAGGTGCCTGGGACGGCTTGTGGGGCACAGGCTGTGAGGATGCCCGGGACGGCTTGTGGGGCACAGGTTGTGAGGGGTGCCCAGGACGGCTTGTGGGGCACAGGCTGCAAGAGGTGCCCAGGACGGCTTGTGGGGCACAGGTTGTGAGAGGTGCCCGGGACGGCTTGTGGGGCACAGGCTGTGAGGGAGCCCGGCACGGCTTGCAGCTACAGGGAGAAAAGACTTGGTGCTGTGGGCCTGCCTTGGGGCTGGTGGTACAGCCCTTATCTGCTGCCCTCAGGATCTCCCGGCCCCTCTCGTCCAGGCCCCTGCAACCCCATGCCCCAGCCTCTGAGGACCAAAGGCGCCCCTGCTTGGGAAGAGGGGGCTCAGGGGAGTCGCCTGACCCGGTTCCAAGCCAGGCTGATTTACCGTTGCTAACATCCTATCGCACGCATCCCTCTGCCTCATGCACCCAACCCCAAGGCCTGGTACACTGCAGGCCCCAAGGTCCTGTGCGTCCTTTCAATACCCTCCTCACCTGCCTCACCTGCCCCCCCTACCCTGACTCTGGCTGGAGACCCCCTCCAGGGAGTTTTCAAAACAAAGGGTGTCAGTCTCCTGTGGGATTCCCTCACCTCTGCAGCCTGCGGTCTGAAAGCTGCCCCATGGTGTGTAGTGCTAAACTTCCAACTTACTCCAGGCCAGCGGTGACAGCCCGAGGGCAGGAAGGGCACCCACACTGAGCCTCAAACAGCTAATTTTGCAACTGTAAGTCCATATAATTGTCTTGAAAAGTAATTTGTTTCAAAAAGCTAAAAAACGAATACTCTTGAGTCTCCTTCTAGTAATTCCCCTTCTAGAGGTCTATCACCAGGAAAAGATCCAAAGCACTGATATTCTTCATGGAGTTGTTTATAATAGAAAAAAACTAGAGCTTGTTCACAAAGGGGAGCTCTGCAGGCTGAAGATGTTGCACCTGTCAGCGGGGATGGGGGCACGCTTGCTGACGCAGCAACGGAAAAGCATCAGTGTGTGAAGATGCATTTTCTCTCTTTCTATTATTATTATTTTTATTTTTATTTTTTCTGAGGCAGAACCTCGCTCTGTCACCCAGGCTGGAGTGCAGTGATGCGACCTCATCACAACCACGAGCCACCATGTGCGGCCCCATGAGCAAGCCACCACGCCCAGCCTTTTTTTCCCTTGTTTTAAAAAATCCTCTATTTAAAAAAGATGTGCATGGGCCGGGCACGGTGGTTCACGCTCATAATCCCAGCTCTTTCAGAGGCCGAGGCAGGCAGATCACCTGAGGTCAAGAGTTCGACACCAGCCTGGCCAACATGGTGAAATTCCATCTGTACTAAAAATACAAAAATTAGCCAGGCCGTGGTGGTGTGTGCCTGTAATCCCAGCTACTCAGGAGACTGAAGCAGGAGAATCACTTGAACCCAGGAGGCAGAGGTTGCAGTGGGTCAAAATCATGCCACCACACTCCAGTCTGGGAGACAGAGCAAGACTCCATCTCAGAAACAAACTAACAAACAAAATTTTTATATCTACCTATAATTCGTATAAATTTAAAATACATGCATAAAATCATACCCTTTGCAAGCACACGTACTAACTAAAAGGAATATATTCAGCACATAGAAATGGTTGTCTAACGGAGGAGGGGGGAGTTAATAAACAGAGAGGATAAAAAGAAATAAATCAGTAGAGCTGGAGGAGGGTCTCCTCCAGGCTGCGATGAGAACATAGTGAGCAGAATTGCAGGCCTGCATGACCTCACCTTCTGTGAGGAGTCCGGCCTCCCAAGACGCTTTCCTGCCTAGGTGCCCGGCTCAGAGTGTCCCCTACAAGGCTACTGGAGGAGAACCCCAGACCGAGCCTCATTCAGGTGAGGGGGCTGCACACCGGAGGTGGGAGAGGTCTGTCCCTTCCCACCCTGTGACACTGGGTCCCACTTTCTCTCTAGGGGGTCTCGGTTTCCTCATTTGCAAACTGGAGCTCATAAGGTGGGCCAGAGAAGTTTCAGTGAAGTGAGGAATGGATCGTCCCTCTGCCAGGGCCCATGTGCTCTAGGTCACCCTGTCATCACAGGGACAGGGAGGTCAAGGACAGTCACTCCTGAGGCCAGTCCGGGCTGGGCTGACCACGTGGACTCTCATGCCCAGATTGGGGCCCCAATCTCCCTGAAGCTGGGGCTCCAGCTGTGACTCAGGGGTGGGCAGAAGGGGAGACAGAAGCGATAGGTTCCTCAGCCCCCAGTCCCACCTGAGGGCCCCTTTGTCACTGGATCTGATAAGAAACACCACCCCTGCAGCCCCCTCCCCTCACCTGACCAATGGCCACAGCCTGGCTGGGCCCAGCTCCCTGTATATAAGGGGACCCTGGGGGCTGAGCACTACCAAGGCCAGTCCTGAGCAGGCCCAACTCCAGTGCAGCCGCCCACCCTGCCGCCATGTCTCTGACCAAGACTTAGGGGACCATCATTGTGTCCATGTGGGCCAAGATCTCCACGCAGGCCGACACCATCGGCACCGAGACTCTGGAGAGGTGAGTGTCAGATGGGACTGCCAGAGGGACTGGGTGGGAGGCCAGGTATGTGAGTGGGGACAGTGGGGAGCGGGCAGTGGGGAGGGGACCGTGGGGAGGGGACAGTGAGTAGGAGACAGTGGGGAGAGGACAGTGGAGAGGGGACAGTGAGGAGGGGACCATGGGAAGGGGACCGTGGAGTGGGGACAGTGAGGAGGGGACCATAGGGAGGGGACAGTGGGGAGGGGACAGTGAGGAGGGGACCGTGGGGAGGGGACAGTGAGGAGGGGACCGTGGGGAGGAGACAGTGAGGAGGGGACCGTAGGGAGGGGACAGTGAGGAGGGGACCGTGGGGAGGGGACAGTGAGGAGGGGACCGTGGGGAGGGGACAGTGAGGAGGGGACCGTGGGAAGGAGACAGTGAGGAGGGGACCTTGGGGAGGGGACAGTGAGGAGGGGACCATGGGGAGGGGACAGTGAGGAGGGGACAATGGAGAGGGGACAGTGAGGAGGGGACTGTGGGGAGAGGACAGTGAGGAGGGGACCATGGGGAGGGCACAGTGGGGAGGGGAGAGTGAGGAAGGGACAGTGAGGAGGGGACTGTGGGGAGGGGACAGTGGAGACAGATAGCCTTCCCTCTCAGTGAGGAGGGCAGGGTAAGGAGGGAACGATTAGGAGTTGCACAACCATCTGGGCTCGCTGAGACCTGGGCAGGCACAGGCCCAGGTTCTGACAAGCAGAGGGTGAAAGGTTTCGTTCTAGGCCTGAAGGGCCTTACAGGGCAGCCAGGGCACTACAGCCTCTAAAGTCCCAGCATCTGGGATCAGGGCACTGTCCCAGCTTCAAATTCCCAGCATCTGATCCCCTGGGAGGGGCCAGGGAGCTTTTCCTTCCCTGGAACGCTGCTGGGAGGTCATGAGCCTGCAGAAGGGGTGGCGGGCAACCCAGTCTGGGGCTGGGAGGGAGGTCCTGTGGCCAGAGGAGACGGTGGAGGGGCTGGGGGCACCAGGCGTGCTGGAGGCGGAGGGCGGGAGATTTGGGGACCAGGCTGCACAGAACCCGTCGGAAGCAGGGCGATCAGCCGGGAGCTGCAGAGGCCTGGGGGGCCTCTAGCCCAGGGCAGCCTGGGAGGGGCAGCTGCCTGGGCACCCGGGCCCCGCGAGGAGGGGCTGGGGCCTGCTGCGGGGTCGCAGATGTGTCCCGGTGCTCGGAGAGGGCCGCAGGGCGCGTGGGCCGTGGCGGGAGGCCGCGCTGCTGGGAGCTCACGGCCCCCGCCCCCCGTCCCAGGCTCTTCCTCAGCCACCCGCAGACCAAGACCTACTTCCCGCACTTCGACCTGCACCCGGGGTCCGCGCAGTTGCGCGCGCACGGCTCCAAGGTGGTGGCCGCCGTGGGCGACGCGGTGAAGAGCATCGACGACATCGGCGGCGCCCTGTCCAAGCTGAGCGAGCTGCACGCCTACATCCTGCGCGTGGACCCGGTCAACTTCAAGGTGCGCGGGGCGCGGTGCGGGCGGGGCGGGGCGGGGCCGCGGGGCGGGCGGGGCCGCGGGGCGGGGTCGCGGGGCGGGGCGGGGTGGGGTCGCGGGGCGGGGCGGGGTCGCGGGGCGGGGCGGGGCGGGGCGGGGCGGGCGGGGCGGCCGGGGCCCGGCGGGGCGGGGCGGGGCGGGGAGGGGCTGGGCGGGGCGGGGCGCGGGGCGGGGCGGGCCGGGCCGGGGCGGGGTCGCGGGGCGGGGTCGCGGGGCGGGGCGCGGGGCGGGGCGGGGCGGGGTGGGGTCGCGGGGCGGGGCCCGGGCTAGGCCCCGCCCCCGCACTGAGCCGCCCCCGCCCCCAGCTCCTGTCCCACTGCCTGCTGGTCACCCTGGCCGCGCGCTTCCCCGCCGACTTCACGGCCGAGGCCCACGCCGCCTGGGCCAAGTTCCTATCGGTCGTATCCTCTGTCCTGACCGAGAAGTACCGCTGAGCGCCGCCTCCGGGACCCCCAGGACAGGCTGCGGCCCCTCCCCTGCCCTTCACCCTCCCACAGTTCCTGCCCTGACTCCAATAAATGGATGAGGACGGAGCGATCTGGGCTCTGTGTTCTCAGTATTGGAGGGAAGGAGGGGAGAAGCTGAGTGATGGGTCCGGGGGCTTCGCAGGAACTCGGTCGTCCCCACTGTCGTCGCGGCCTGGGGTTCACTTGGGGGGCGCCTTGGGGAGGTTCTAGCCCCTGAGCACCGGAGCTGCGGCCCGGGTGGAGCGGAGCAGTCCCGGGCCGGCCCGCGGCGTCTCCTGGGGTCCTTGAGTCGGACGGGCGTTTGTGCGTCTCCCGGCTTCCCATATCGCACAAAGATTGTCACTTCACTAAGCGTATTGGAAGCGTGTCGGGGCTCAGGGAACTTTTCCACAAAGCCTGACGTCCGAATCCCGGGACTCTGGCAGCTACGGGGGTCCCTGAGGCCGGTCCCTCCCCGACTCCTAAGAGAGTAGGGGGTTTCCTGCCCGGTGTTCTCTCTCCGGTTCCTCCCATGTGCTCCCTCCTGGCAGAGCAGTAACTTTACCCGAGGGGAGTAAACAGATGCCCCTAAAGTCTGCAGTAAAGGTGCCCACGCGCAACGGCGTGGGTCAATGCCAGAAACCCTGGGATCCCGGAGGTCGAGGCCTCCACACAGACGGGAACCCGGGCTGGTTACGTTCCCCGGCGCAGGCCGAGGGTCCCCGCGTTCCCGCCGCGCTCGGGCCGATAAGGACGGGCGGGGTGCCCGGAGGCTCTATAAGGAGGCCAGGGCGGCGGGCGCGGCCCCCAGAGCACGTCAGGCGGCGCCATGCTCAGCGCCCAGGAGCGCGCCCAAATCGCGCAGGTCTGGGACCTGATTGCGGGCCACGAGGCGCAATTCGGGGCGGAGCTGCTGCTCAGGTCGGTAGAGGCGGGGTCTCCGGGAGCTCAGGGAGGTGGAGATGAGGGTTTTGGGCGCGTGGGCCGCCAACGCCATCCAAGGTCCTTCGGGTGCGGATCCCCGGGCTCTGGGCGGTGTGGGCGCTAGTGAAGCCCCACGCAGCCGCCCTCCTCCCCGGTCACTGACCTGGTCCTGCAGGCTCTTCACGGTGTACCCCAGCACCAAGGTCTACTTCCCGCACCTGAGCGCCTGCCAGGACGCGACGCAGCTGCTGAGCCACGGGCAGCGCATGCTGGCGGCTGTGGGCGCGGCGGTGCAGCACGTGGACAACCTGCGCGCCGCGCTGAGCCCGCTGGCGGACCTGCACGCGCTCGTGCTGCGCGTGGACCCAGCCAACTTTCCGGTGAGGCCTTTCCGGCCGGGGCAATGGTGCAGCGCGCAGCCGGGGTGGGGGGGCTCTGGGGGTCCCTAGCGGGGCAGACCCCGTCTCACCGGCCCCTTCTCCTGCAGCTGCTAATCCAGTGTTTCCACGTCGTGCTGGCCTCCCACCTGCAGGACGAGTTCACCGTGCAAATGCAAGCGGCGTGGGACAAGTTCCTGACTGGTGTGGCCGTGGTGCTGACCGAAAAATACCGCTGAGCCCTGTGCTGCGCAGGCCTTGGTCTGTGCCTGTCAATAAACAGAGGCCCGAACCATCTGCCCCTGCCTGTGTGGTCTTTGGGGAGCTAGCAAAGCGAGGTCACTATTGTTGGCCAGTGAAGCTCAGGGACCTAAAAGGAGCCTCCTAGAACTCTCAAATGCGCCCCACCCCCGGAGGTTTGTCCTCCCATGGCGAGGAGTGCGATGGGGCAGAGGGAGCACTGTGATGTGGCGGGGGTAGGGAGGGTGGCCTTCGACTTCAACCCTTGAATCGGGCTTCCAACCATACTGTTCGCAAAGCACTTCCCCATTCACGCATTTATTCATTCATTCTCCCTCCATCCCCACTTCCTGCTGGGACCTGTAGATGCTAATCCTGGCCCTTTTTGCAGAGAGATGCAGAAACTGAGGTCCCAGAGCCAAATGTGCAACCTAATTCGTTGGCCCAGAGCAGAGGGCTCCGCAGACCTGTTCCTTTCCCCTTCCTTCCCCCATGGACACTTCCTCAGTGGCAAACCTGCGCTAGCCTGGTTAGCCCTCCCTGTGACCCTGCAGCCCTGGGGATGAGGTCGGGAGGAAGTCCTCAGTGGCCACAATTTGGCAGACAGAGCAGGTTTAGTCTTCCAGCCTGCTCAATGACAAGCTGTGCGACCCTGGGCGTGTCCCAGAGCTCTCAGGCCTTTACCTATCGAATAGAAAAACAACGTCCAACTCACGAGATTTTTGAAATAATTTTTGAAATCATAACACAGGGTGGGTGCCTGCAGGGTCGTTGCCACCCCACCCCTCCACCCAGCCCCAGCTGCCGTGTCTCAATCTCTGCAGGTGCCCAGGCCAAGGCACTCCCTTCCCCAGGTTCCCTCTTCTCCCTCCCCAGGACTGGGAAGGGAATCTTAGGGCTCCACCCCAGGCTTTTCAGACAAAGAATAGGGGCTGAGGAAAGAGTGGGACCTTGGAGGTCTCCAAACCCTGAATAGGGTTGGCTCTGGGTTGGCCATCCTGGGTCTGTGTGGGGAGCACTGGACCAGGCCTGGCACCCAGGTCTGACCTGGCAGTCAGCAACGAGGTCTGAAGAGAGCTGCTGGAAGTGGAGCCCTGACTGTGAGTCGGCCAAACTCCCCCCAGCAGTCAGTGCCAGTGACCTGTTGCCCTGCACTGCCTGGGACCCCAGCCCGGTAGTTTGGAGAACTTGGCCCCACGTTATCTACATCCCCCAACTGTTTTTTTGTTTTTGGGGGTTTTTTTTTTTTTTGCTTTGTTTTTGTTTTTGAGATAGGCCCTTGCTCTGACACCCCGGCTGGAGTGCAGTGGCACAGTTTTGGCTCACTGCAGCCTCAACCTCCTGGGTT
This sequence comes from Homo sapiens, assembly GCF_000001405.40. Lineage (NCBI taxonomy): Eukaryota > Metazoa > Chordata > Mammalia > Primates > Hominidae > Homo > Homo sapiens. The sequence continues at coordinate 168,058 of NC_000016.10, forward strand.
CAAGCGATTCTCCTGCCTCTGTCTCCCGTGTAGCTGGGATTACAGGCATGGGCCGCCATTCCTGGCTAATTTTTGTATTTTTAATAGAGACACAGTTTCACCATGTTGATCAGGCTGGTCTCAAACTCCTGACCTCAAGTGATCTGCCCTCCTCGGTCTCCCAAAGTGCTGGGATGACAGGCGTGAGCCACCACACCCAGCCCCCGCAACTGTTTACATGGATAATTAACAGCTTTTTGTCCCAGGCAGAGTTTGGTGTGAAAGCAGCTTATGTTTCACTTTGGAAAAACTGTGCTCTTCTCCCCATCCAGGAAGCTGCCTGGGTCTGGGCCATATGTGGATACCTTATGGGTATAAGCTGCTCAGGACCCTGTGTGGAAGCTCAGGACAATGCCAGCGGGAAGGCTACCATGTGGAGAGCTGGTCTCTGTTTGGGCAGGACTAAGAGACGCAGGGCAGCCTTGGGCAACCTGTCTACTCTCACTCACTCCTCCTCCCCTTTCCTGTGCCAGGCACCTCCTGGCAACTTGCCAGCCAATGACCCTGCATCCCAGGCATAAGAGCTCCTACTCTCCCCCACCTTTCACTTTTGAGCTTACACAGACTCAGAAATAAGCTGCCGTGGTGCTGTCTCCTGAGGACAAGGCTAACACCAAGGCGGTCTGGGAGAAAGTTGGCAACCACACTGCTGGCTATGCCACGGAGGCCCTGGAGAGGCAAGAACCCTCCTCTCCCTGCTCACACCTTGGGTCCAACGCCCACTCCAGGGCTCCACTGGCCACCCCTAACTATTCTTACCCTGGACCCAGCCCCCAGCCCCTCACTCTTTGCTTCCCCCTGAAGCATGTTCCTGACCTTCCTCTCACTTGGCCCTGAGTTATGGCTCAGCCCAGATCAAGAAACAATGCAAGTAGGTGGCCGACACGCTGACCAATGCCGTGGTCCACTTAGATGACATGCCCAATGATGTGTCTGAGCTGAGGAAGCTGCATGTCCACGAGCTGTGGGTGGACCCAGGCAACATCAGGGAGAGCTTTGGGCTGGGAGGAATCTAGGGTGTGGGGGCAGCTGGCCTTCCTCATAGGACAGACCCTCCCACGCGTTCAGGGAGGTGGAGCACAGGTGGCAGTAGTATCTGCATCCCCTGACTCTCTCTCCACAGTTCCTGGGTAAATGCCTGCTGGTGACCTAGGCCTGCCACACCCTTCCCAGTTTACCCATGTGGTGCCTCCATGGACAAATTATTTGCTTTTGTGAGTGCTGTGTTGACCTAAAAACACCATTAAGCTAGAGCATTGGTGGTCATGCCCCCTGCCTGCTGGGCCTCCCACCAGGCCCTCCTCCCCTCCCTGCCCCAGCACTTCCTGATCTTTGAATGAAGTCCGAGTAGGCAGCAGCCTGTGTGTGCCTGGGTTCTCTCTGTCCCGGAATGTGCCAACAGTGGAGGTGTTTACCTGTCTCAGACCAAGGACCTCTCTGCAGCTGCATGGGGCTGGGGAGGGAGAACTGCAGGGAGTATGGGAGGGGAAGCTGAGGTGGGCCTGCTCAAGAGAAGGTGCTGAACCATCCCCTGTCCTGAGAGGTGCCAGGCCTGCAGGCAGTGGCTCAGAAGCTGGGGAGGAGAGAGGCATCCAGGGTTCTACTCAGGGAGTCCCAGCATCGCCACCCTCCTTTGAAATCTCCCTGGTTGAACCCAGTTAACATACGCTCTCCATCAAAACAAAACGAAACAAAACAAACTAGCAAAATAGGCTGTCCCCAATGCAAGTGCAGGTGCCAGAACATTTCTCTCATTCTCACCCCTTCCTGCCAGAGGGTAGGTGGCTGGAGTGAGGGTGCTGGCCCTACTCACACTTCCTGTGTCATGGTGACCCTCTGAGAGCAGCCCAGTCAGTGGGGAAGGAGGAAGGGGCTGGGATGCTCACAGCCGGCAGCCCACACCTGGGGAGACTCTTCAGCAGAGCACCTTGCGGCCTTACTCCTGCACGTCTCCTGCAGTTTGTAAGGTGCATTCAGAACTCACTGTGTGCCCAGCCCTGAGCTCCCAGCTAATTGCCCCACCCAGGGCCTCTGGGACCTCCTGGTGCTTCTGCTTCCTGTGCTGCCAGCAACTTCTGGAAACGTCCCTGTCCCCGGTGCTGAAGTCCTGGAATCCATGCTGGGAAGTTGCACAGCCCATCTGGCTCTCAGCCAGCCTAGGAACACGAGCAGCACTTCCAGCCCAGCCCCTGCCCCACAGCAAGCCTCCCCCTCCACACTCACAGTACTGAATTGAGCTTTGGGTAGGGTGGAGAGGACCCTGTCACCGCTTTTCTTCTGGACATGGACCTCTCTGAATTGTTGGGGAGTTCCCTCCCCCTCTCCACCACCCACTCTTCCTGTGCCTCACAGCCCAGAGCATTGTTATTTCAACAGAAACACTTTAAAAAATAAACTAAAATCCGACAGGCACGGTGGCTCACACCTGTAATCCCAGTACTTTGGGAGGCTGAGGCGAGAGGATCACCTGAGGTCGGGAGTTTGAGACCAGCCTGACCAATATGGAGAAACCCCAGTTATACTAAAAATACAAAATTAGCTGGGTGTGGTGGCGCATGCCTGTAATCCTAGCTACTAGGAAGGCTGAGGCAGGAGAATCGCTTGAACCCGGGAGGTGGAGGTTGAGGTGAGCTGAGATCACGCCATTGCACTCCAGCCTGGGCAACAAGAGCAAAACTCCGTCTCAAAAAATAAATAAATAAATAAATAAATAAACTAAAATCTATCCATGCTTTCACACACACACACACACACACACACACACACCCTTTTTTGTGTTACTTAAAGTAGGAGAGTGTCTCTCTTTCCTGTCTCCTCACACCCACCCCCAGAAGAGACCAAAATGAAGGGTTTGGAACTCAGCCCATGGGCCCCATCCCATGCTGAGGGAACACAGCTACATCTACAACTACTGCCACAGGCTCTCTTTTTGGACAAAAATACCATCATACTGTAGATACCTGTGTACAACTTCCTATTCTCAGTGAAGTGTCTCCCCTGCATCCCTTTCAGCCAGTTCATTCAGCTCTGCGCCATTCCACAGTCTCACTGATTATTACTATGTTTCCATCATGATCCCCCCAAAAAATCATGACTTTATTTTTTTATTTTTATTATTATTATTTTTTTTTTTTTTTTTGTGACGGAGTCTCGCTCTGTCACCCAGGCTGGAGTGCAGTGGCACAATCTCGGCTCACTGCAAGCTCCACCTCGCAGGTTCACGCCATTCTCCTCCCTCAGCCTCCCGAGTAGCTGAGTAGCTGGGACTACAGGCGCCCCCCACTACGCCTGGCTAATTTTTTCTATTTTTAATAGAGACAGAGTTTCACTGCATTAGCGAGGATGGTCTCGATCTCCTGACCTCGCATCTGCCCGCCTCAGCCTCCCAATGTGCTGGGATTACAGGCGTGAGCCACCGCGCCCGGCCTTATGTATTTATTTTTTTGAGACAGAGTCTCGCTGTGTCGTCAGGCTAGAGTGCTGTGGCACGATCTCGGCTCACTGCAACCTCCAACTCCCTGGTTCAAAGGATTCTCCAGCCTCCACCTCCCGAGTAGCTGGGATTACAGGCGTGCACCACCACACCCAGCTAATTTTTGTATTTTTAGTAGAGACGGGGTTTCTCCATGTTGGTCAGCCTGGTCTCGAACTCCCGACCTCAGCTGATCCACCCGCCTTGGCCTCCCAAAGTGCTGGGATTACAGGCGTGAGCCACCGAGCCTGGCCAAACCATCACTTTTCATGAGCAGGGATGCACCCACTGGCACTCCTGCACCTCCCACCCTCCCCCTCGCCAAGTCCACCCCTTCCTTCCTCACCCCACATCCCCTCACCTACATTCTGCAACCACAGGGGCCTTCTCTCCCCTGTCCTTTCCCTACCCAGAGCCAAGTTTGTTTATCTGTTTACAACCAGTATTTACCTAGCAAGTCTTCCATCAGATAGCATTTGGAGAGCTGGGGGTGTCACAGTGAACCACGACCTCTAGGCCAGTGGGAGAGTCAGTCACACAAACTGTGAGTCCATGACTTGGGGCTTAGCCAGCACCCACCACCCCACGCGCCACCCCACAACCCCGGGTAGAGGAGTCTGAATCTGGAGCCGCCCCCAGCCCAGCCCCGTGCTTTTTGCGTCCTGGTGTTTGTTCCTTCCCGGTGCCTGTCACTCAAGCACACTAGTGACTATCGCCAGAGGGAAAGGGAGCTGCAGGAAGCGAGGCTGGAGAGCAGGAGGGGCTCTGCGCAGAAATTCTTTTGAGTTCCTATGGGCCAGGGCGTCCGGGTGCGCGCATTCCTCTCCGCCCCAGGATTGGGCGAAGCCCTCCGGCTCGCACTCGCTCGCCCGTGTGTTCCCCGATCCCGCTGGAGTCGATGCGCGTCCAGCGCGTGCCAGGCCGGGGCGGGGGTGCGGGCTGACTTTCTCCCTCGCTAGGGACGCTCCGGCGCCCGAAAGGAAAGGGTGGCGCTGCGCTCCGGGGTGCACGAGCCGACAGCGCCCGACCCCAACGGGCCGGCCCCGCCAGCGCCGCTACCGCCCTGCCCCCGGGCGAGCGGGATGGGCGGGAGTGGAGTGGCGGGTGGAGGGTGGAGACGTCCTGGCCCCCGCCCCGCGTGCACCCCCAGGGGAGGCCGAGCCCGCCGCCCGGCCCCGCGCAGGCCCCGCCCGGGACTCCCCTGCGGTCCAGGCCGCGCCCCGGGCTCCGCGCCAGCCAATGAGCGCCGCCCGGCCGGGCGTGCCCCCGCGCCCCAAGCATAAACCCTGGCGCGCTCGCGGGCCGGCACTCTTCTGGTCCCCACAGACTCAGAGAGAACCCACCATGGTGCTGTCTCCTGCCGACAAGACCAACGTCAAGGCCGCCTGGGGTAAGGTCGGCGCGCACGCTGGCGAGTATGGTGCGGAGGCCCTGGAGAGGTGAGGCTCCCTCCCCTGCTCCGACCCGGGCTCCTCGCCCGCCCGGACCCACAGGCCACCCTCAACCGTCCTGGCCCCGGACCCAAACCCCACCCCTCACTCTGCTTCTCCCCGCAGGATGTTCCTGTCCTTCCCCACCACCAAGACCTACTTCCCGCACTTCGACCTGAGCCACGGCTCTGCCCAGGTTAAGGGCCACGGCAAGAAGGTGGCCGACGCGCTGACCAACGCCGTGGCGCACGTGGACGACATGCCCAACGCGCTGTCCGCCCTGAGCGACCTGCACGCGCACAAGCTTCGGGTGGACCCGGTCAACTTCAAGGTGAGCGGCGGGCCGGGAGCGATCTGGGTCGAGGGGCGAGATGGCGCCTTCCTCTCAGGGCAGAGGATCACGCGGGTTGCGGGAGGTGTAGCGCAGGCGGCGGCTGCGGGCCTGGGCCGCACTGACCCTCTTCTCTGCACAGCTCCTAAGCCACTGCCTGCTGGTGACCCTGGCCGCCCACCTCCCCGCCGAGTTCACCCCTGCGGTGCACGCCTCCCTGGACAAGTTCCTGGCTTCTGTGAGCACCGTGCTGACCTCCAAATACCGTTAAGCTGGAGCCTCGGTAGCCGTTCCTCCTGCCCGCTGGGCCTCCCAACGGGCCCTCCTCCCCTCCTTGCACCGGCCCTTCCTGGTCTTTGAATAAAGTCTGAGTGGGCAGCAGCCTGTGTGTGCCTGGGTTCTCTCTATCCCGGAATGTGCCAACAATGGAGGTGTTTACCTGTCTCAGACCAAGGACCTCTCTGCAGCTGCATGGGGCTGGGGAGGGAGAACTGCAGGGAGTATGGGAGGGGAAGCTGAGGTGGGCCTGCTCAAGAGAAGGTGCTGAACCATCCCCTGTCCTGAGAGGTGCCAGGCCTGCAGGCAGTGGCTCAGAAGCTGGGGAGGAGAGAGGCATCCAGGGTTCTACTCAGGGAGTCCCAGCATCGCCACCCTCCTTTGAAATCTCCCTGGTTGAACCCAGTTAACATACGCTCTCCATCAAAACAAAACGAAACAAAACAAACTAGCAAAATAGGCTGTCCCCAGTGCAAGTGCAGGTGCCAGAACATTTCTCTCATTCCCACCCCTTCCTGCCAGAGGGTAGGTGGCTGGAGTGAGGGTGCTGGCCCTACTCACACTTCCTGTGTCACGGTGACCCTCTGAGAGCAGCCCAGTCAGTGGGGAAGGAGGAAGGGGCTGGGATGCTCACAGCCGGCAGCCCACACCTGGGGAGACTCTTCAGCAGAGCACCTTGCGGCCTTACTCCTGCACGTCTCCTGCAGTTTGTAAGGTGCATTCAGAACTCACTGTGTGCCCAGCCCTGAGCTCCCAGCTAATTGCCCCACCCAGGGCCTCTGGGACCTCCTGGTCTTCTGCTTCCTGTGCTGCCAGCAACTTCTGGAAACGTCCCTGTCCCCGGTGCTGAAGTCCTGGAATCCATGCTGGGAAGTTGCACAGCCCATCTGGCTCTCAGCCAGCCTAGGAACATGAGCAGCACTTCCAACCCAGTCCCTGCCCCACAGCAAGCCTCCCCCTCCACACTCACAGTACTGGATTGAGCTTTGGGGAGGGTGGAGAGGACCCTGTCACTGCTTTCCTTCTGGACATGGACCTCTCTGAATTGTTGGGGAGTTCCCTCCCCTCTCCACCACCCGCTCTTCCTGCGCCTCACAGCCCAGAGCATTGTTATTTCAGCAGAAACACTTTAAAAAATAAACTAAAATCCGACAGGCACGGTGGCTCACGCCTGTAATCCCAGCACTTTGGGAGGCCGAGGTGGGAGGATCACCTGAGGTCGGGAGTTTGAGACCACCCTGATCAACATGTAGAAACCCCATCTATACTAAAAATACAAAATCAGCCGGGCATGGTGGCCCATGCCTGTAAACCCACCTACTCCGGAGGCTGAGGCAGGAGAATCATTTTAACCAAGGAGGCAGAGGTTGCAGTGAGCTAAGATCACACCATTGCACTCCAGCCTGGAAAACAACAGCGAAACTCCGCCTCAAAAAAAAAAAAGCCCCCACATCTTATCTTTTTTTTTTCCTTCAGGCTGTGGGCAGAGTCAGAAGAGGGTGGCAGACAGGGAGGGGAAATGAGAAGATCCAACGGGGGAAGCATTGCTAAGCTGGTCGGAGCTACTTCCTTCTCTGCCCAAGGCAGCTTACCCTGGCTTGCTCCTGGACACCCAGGGCAGGGCCTGAGTAAGGGCCTGGGGAGACAGGGCAGGGAGCAGGCTGAAGGGTGCTGACCTGATGCACTCCTCAAAGCAAGATCTTCTGCCAGACCCCCAGGAAATGACTTATCAGTGATTTCTCAGGCTGTTTTCTCCTCAGTACCATCCCCCCAAAAAACATCACTTTTCATGCACAGGGATGCACCCACTGGCACTCCTGCACCTCCCACCCTTCCCCAGAAGTCCACCCCTTCCTTCCTCACCCTGCAGGAGCTGGCCAGCCTCATCACCCCAACATCTCCCCACCTCCATTCTCCAACCACAGGGCCCTTGTCTCCTCTGTCCTTTCCCCTCCCCGAGCCAAGCCTCCTCCCTCCTCCACCTCCTCCACCTAATACATATCCTTAAGTCTCACCTCCTCCAGGAAGCCCTCAGACTAACCCTGGTCACCTTGAATGCCTCGTCCACACCTCCAGACTTCCTCAGGGCCTGTGATGAGGTCTGCACCTCTGTGTGTACTTGTGTGATGGTTAGAGGACTGCCTACCTCCCAGAGGAGGTTGAATGCTCCAGCCGGTTCCAGCTATTGCTTTGTTTACCTGTTTAACCAGTATTTACCTAGCAAGTCTTCCATCAGATAGCATTTGGAGAGCTGGGGGTGTCACAGTGAACCACGACCTCTAGGCCAGTGGGAGAGTCAGTCACACAAACTGTGAGTCCATGACTTGGGGCTTAGCCAGCACCCACCACCCCACGCGCCACCCCACAACCCCGGGTAGAGGAGTCTGAATCTGGAGCCGCCCCCAGCCCAGCCCCGTGCTTTTTGCGTCCTGGTGTTTATTCCTTCCCGGTGCCTGTCACTCAAGCACACTAGTGACTATCGCCAGAGGGAAAGGGAGCTGCAGGAAGCGAGGCTGGAGAGCAGGAGGGGCTCTGCGCAGAAATTCTTTTGAGTTCCTATGGGCCAGGGCGTCCGGGTGCGCGCATTCCTCTCCGCCCCAGGATTGGGCGAAGCCTCCCGGCTCGCACTCGCTCGCCCGTGTGTTCCCCGATCCCGCTGGAGTCGATGCGCGTCCAGCGCGTGCCAGGCCGGGGCGGGGGTGCGGGCTGACTTTCTCCCTCGCTAGGGACGCTCCGGCGCCCGAAAGGAAAGGGTGGCGCTGCGCTCCGGGGTGCACGAGCCGACAGCGCCCGACCCCAACGGGCCGGCCCCGCCAGCGCCGCTACCGCCCTGCCCCCGGGCGAGCGGGATGGGCGGGAGTGGAGTGGCGGGTGGAGGGTGGAGACGTCCTGGCCCCCGCCCCGCGTGCACCCCCAGGGGAGGCCGAGCCCGCCGCCCGGCCCCGCGCAGGCCCCGCCCGGGACTCCCCTGCGGTCCAGGCCGCGCCCCGGGCTCCGCGCCAGCCAATGAGCGCCGCCCGGCCGGGCGTGCCCCCGCGCCCCAAGCATAAACCCTGGCGCGCTCGCGGCCCGGCACTCTTCTGGTCCCCACAGACTCAGAGAGAACCCACCATGGTGCTGTCTCCTGCCGACAAGACCAACGTCAAGGCCGCCTGGGGTAAGGTCGGCGCGCACGCTGGCGAGTATGGTGCGGAGGCCCTGGAGAGGTGAGGCTCCCTCCCCTGCTCCGACCCGGGCTCCTCGCCCGCCCGGACCCACAGGCCACCCTCAACCGTCCTGGCCCCGGACCCAAACCCCACCCCTCACTCTGCTTCTCCCCGCAGGATGTTCCTGTCCTTCCCCACCACCAAGACCTACTTCCCGCACTTCGACCTGAGCCACGGCTCTGCCCAGGTTAAGGGCCACGGCAAGAAGGTGGCCGACGCGCTGACCAACGCCGTGGCGCACGTGGACGACATGCCCAACGCGCTGTCCGCCCTGAGCGACCTGCACGCGCACAAGCTTCGGGTGGACCCGGTCAACTTCAAGGTGAGCGGCGGGCCGGGAGCGATCTGGGTCGAGGGGCGAGATGGCGCCTTCCTCGCAGGGCAGAGGATCACGCGGGTTGCGGGAGGTGTAGCGCAGGCGGCGGCTGCGGGCCTGGGCCCTCGGCCCCACTGACCCTCTTCTCTGCACAGCTCCTAAGCCACTGCCTGCTGGTGACCCTGGCCGCCCACCTCCCCGCCGAGTTCACCCCTGCGGTGCACGCCTCCCTGGACAAGTTCCTGGCTTCTGTGAGCACCGTGCTGACCTCCAAATACCGTTAAGCTGGAGCCTCGGTGGCCATGCTTCTTGCCCCTTGGGCCTCCCCCCAGCCCCTCCTCCCCTTCCTGCACCCGTACCCCCGTGGTCTTTGAATAAAGTCTGAGTGGGCGGCAGCCTGTGTGTGCCTGAGTTTTTTCCCTCAGCAAACGTGCCAGGCATGGGCGTGGACAGCAGCTGGGACACACATGGCTAGAACCTCTCTGCAGCTGGATAGGGTAGGAAAAGGCAGGGGCGGGAGGAGGGGATGGAGGAGGGAAAGTGGAGCCACCGCGAAGTCCAGCTGGAAAAACGCTGGACCCTAGAGTGCTTTGAGGATGCATTTGCTCTTTCCCGAGTTTTATTCCCAGACTTTTCAGATTCAATGCAGGTTTGCTGAAATAATGAATTTATCCATCTTTACGTTTCTGGGCACTCTTGTGCCAAGAACTGGCTGGCTTTCTGCCTGGGACGTCACTGGTTTCCCAGAGGTCCTCCCACATATGGGTGGTGGGTAGGTCAGAGAAGTCCCACTCCAGCATGGCTGCATTGATCCCCCATCGTTCCCACTAGTCTCCGTAAAACCTCCCAGATACAGGCACAGTCTAGATGAAATCAGGGGTGCGGGGTGCAACTGCAGGCCCCAGGCAATTCAATAGGGGCTCTACTTTCACCCCCAGGTCACCCCAGAATGCTCACACACCAGACACTGACGCCCTGGGGCTGTCAAGATCAGGCGTTTGTCTCTGGGCCCAGCTCAGGGCCCAGCTCAGCACCCACTCAGCTCCCCTGAGGCTGGGGAGCCTGTCCCATTGCGACTGGAGAGGAGAGCGGGGCCACAGAGGCCTGGCTAGAAGGTCCCTTCTCCCTGGTGTGTGTTTTCTCTCTGCTGAGCAGGCTTGCAGTGCCTGGGGTATCAGAGGGAGGGTTCCCGGAGCTGGTAGCCATAAAGCCCTGGCCCTCAACTGATAGGAATATCTTTTATTCCCTGAGCCCATGAATCACCCTTGGTAAACACCTATGGCAGGCCCTCTGCCTGCGTTTGTGATGTCCTTCCCGCAGCCTGTGGGTACAGTATCAACTGTCAGGAAGACGGTGTCTTCGTTATTTCATCAGGAAGAATGGAGGTCTGACCTAAAGGTAGAAATATGTCAAATGTACAGCAGAGGGCTGGTTGGAGTGCAGCGCTTTTTACAATTAATTGATCAGAACCAGTTATAAATTTATCATTTCCTTCTCCACTCCTGCTGCTTCAGTTGACTAAGCCTAAGAAAAAATTATAAAAATTGGCCGGGCGCGGTGGCTCACACCTGTAATTGCAGCACTTTGCCAGGCTTAGGCAGGTGGATCACCTGAAGTCAGGGGTTCGAGACCAGCCTAGCCAACATAGTGAAACCCTGTCTCTACTAAAAAGACAAAAATTGTCCAGGTGTGATGACTCATGCCTGTAAACCTGGCACTTTGGGAGGCGGAGGTTGTAGTGAGTCAAGATCGCGCCATCGCACTCCAGCTTGGGCAACAAGAGCGAAACTCTGTCTCAAAAAAAAATTTAATCTAATTTAATTTAATTTAAAAATTAGCACGGTGGTTGGGCACAGTGGCTCACGCCTGTAATCCCAGCACTTTGGGAAGCCAAGGTGGGCAGATCACAAGGTCAGGAATTCGAGACCAGCCTGGCCAATATGGGGAAACCCCATCTCTACTAAAAATACAAAAAATTAGCCGGGTGTGGTGGCGCACGCCTGTAATCCCAGCTACTCGGGAGGTTGAGGTAGGAGAATCACTTGAACCCAGGAGGCAGAGGTTGCAGTGACCCGAGATCACACCATTGCACTCTAGCCTGGGCAACAAGAGCAAAACTCCATCTCAAAAAAAATTATAAAAATTATACATCAGTAGATGAATGGGTAAACAAAATGTGGTGGTCTATACACACAATGGAATATTATTTGGCCACAAAAAGAAATGAAGCACTGATAGGATGTAGCTGCACCCTGAAAATATTTGACAAGTAAAAGAAGCCGGACACCAAAGGTCACAAACTGCATGACCCCATCTATATGCAATATCCGCTACAGCCAAATCCATAGGGACCAAAAGCGGATTAGTGGCTGCCGGGGCCAGAGTTACTGTTAATGAGTACCGAGGTGGCGTTTGGGATGATGAAAAAGTTCTGACCTAGATAGTGGTGATGGCTGCATAACACTAAGTGTTCTTAATATCACCAAATTTTATACCTGAAAAATGGCTACAATGGTAATTTATGTCTATTTTATCACCTTTTTTAAAACAAAAAAGATATAAGGGGTACAGCAGAGTGAGTGCTGCATATGCATTTACTATTATTCTTGGGTTACATCCCAGGTACTCAATAAATGTTCACTGCCCTGAAGAAACACCTGCTACGAGTCAGGCACCTCACAGTTGTTATCCGTTTAATTCTCACAATCTGAGAAGAAACTGTCACCCTCATTTTATATAATAAATGAGAAAACAGACTCGGGCAAGTGTCACAATAGAATCAAGAGGCAGAATAAACTGACTTCCAATGCCAAATCCATGCCGAAATTCAGTGCTATAATAATGTACATGGCCGGGCGCGGTGGTTCACGCCTGTAATCCCAGAACTTTGGGAGGCTGAGGCGGGAGGATCACCTGAGGTCGGGAGTTTGAGATCAGCCTAACACGGTGAAACCCTGTCTCTACTAAAAATACAAAATTGGCATGGTGGCATGCACCTGTGATCCCAGTTACTCGGGAGGCTGAGGCAGGAGAATCGTTTGAACCCGGGAGGCGGAGGTTGCAGTGAGCCGGAATGGCGCCACTGCACTCACCGCACCCGGCCAATTTTTGTGTTTTTAGTAGAGACTAAATACCATATAGTGAACACCTAAGACGGGGGGCCTTGGATCCAGGGCGATTCAGAGGGCCCCGGTCGGAGCTGTCGGAGATTGAGCGCGCGCGGTCCCGGGATCTCCGACGAGGCCCTGGACCCCCGGGCGGCGAAGCTGCGGCGCGGCGCCCCCTGGAGGCCGCGGGACCCCTGGCCGGTCCGCGCAGGCGCAGCGGGGTCGCAGGGCGCGGCGGGTTCCAGCGCGGGGATGGCGCTGTCCGCGGAGGACCGGGCGCTGGTGCGCGCCCTGTGGAAGAAGCTGGGCAGCAACGTCGGCGTCTACACGACAGAGGCCCTGGAAAGGTGCGGCAGGCTGGGCGCCCCCGCCCCCAGGGGCCCTCCCTCCCCAAGCCCCCCGGACGCGCCTCACCCACGTTCCTCTCGCAGGACCTTCCTGGCTTTCCCCGCCACGAAGACCTACTTCTCCCACCTGGACCTGAGCCCCGGCTCCTCACAAGTCAGAGCCCACGGCCAGAAGGTGGCGGACGCGCTGAGCCTCGCCGTGGAGCGCCTGGACGACCTACCCCACGCGCTGTCCGCGCTGAGCCACCTGCACGCGTGCCAGCTGCGAGTGGACCCGGCCAGCTTCCAGGTGAGCGGCTGCCGTGCTGGGCCCCTGTCCCCGGGAGGGCCCCGGCGGGGTGGGTGCGGGGGGCGTGCGGGGCGGGTGCAGGCGAGTGAGCCTTGAGCGCTCGCCGCAGCTCCTGGGCCACTGCCTGCTGGTAACCCTCGCCCGGCACTACCCCGGAGACTTCAGCCCCGCGCTGCAGGCGTCGCTGGACAAGTTCCTGAGCCACGTTATCTCGGCGCTGGTTTCCGAGTACCGCTGAACTGTGGGTGGGTGGCCGCGGGATCCCCAGGCGACCTTCCCCGTGTTTGAGTAAAGCCTCTCCCAGGAGCAGCCTTCTTGCCGTGCTCTCTCGAGGTCAGGACGCGAGAGGAAGGCGCCGCCCCTCCCCAAGGAAAGGCGAGGGCCTGGGGCACACCCCCAGTGCCCAGATCCAGGCGCGCCTCTTTCCACCTCCAGCAGGTTTGGGGCCTCGGCCATGGGGGCACCGAACTGCGTGCAGCCTGACCCTCCCGAATGGGGTGGTAGGTGAGGGCCGCGGGACGCCCCGGGCGGCGGGCTGCGAGGACGGCCGACTCTGCCCATCCCGAGGGCGGCTGGCTTCGCCCTCCCCACTCTGCGCCGAGCACGCGGCCCGGACCCACCGCGAGAACTCCGCACCTGCAGCGTGAACGCACGCGGGCGGCGTTAAGGGCCCGGGGCTGACTCGGAGCAGGTTAGGGAACAGCGCCCCCTCCCGGCGCGAGCCGGTACCTGCGCAGCACCCAGCCGCCGCGGCTGTGGCCTGGAATCGGGGACCTGGGGTGCCGGGGGGTTGTGGTGAAGGAGGTGGGACCAGCCCCAGCACCTAGCCACGTAGCTGGCGAGGTGGACCAGGAACCGACCCAGACCCCTGCCGTCACCCGACATCACTACGGAGAGTGAAGCTTTTTTATATTTGTCCACATAAAACCAATCATGGTCATTGTAGAACTTCCGAAAACAAGGCTTGCTGCACCTTCCTGTGTATCCCAGGTCCAGGAATGGGTGCAGCACATCCTTCAGCTGCCGCTTGACACGCGGCAAACTGTGTCATGTGTAAACAAGAACAGGACATGGCTGTCATATCCAAGAGCACATGTGTAACACAGACATGCCACACACACACACACACACACACGGGGTAGAGGCAGGCCTCATCCACACCCCTAACATTTGATGCGTAGCTGTTCCAGTCTTCTAGGCACATGTAGAGATGCTTTTCCTCAGAAATGGTATTCTCAAGGTGACACTGAGGAAAAGTGGACAGGCCGGGCGCGGTGGCTCACGCCTGTAATCCCAGCACTCCGGGAGGCCGAGGCGGGCGGATCACGAGGTCAGGAGATCGAGACCATCCTGGCTAACACTGTGAAACCCCGTCTCTACTAAAAATACAAAAAAATAGCTGGGGGTGGTGGCGGGCGCCTGCATTCCCAGCTACTCGGGAGGCTGCGGCAGGAGAATGGCGTGAACCCCGGAGGCGGAGCCTGCAGTGAGCCAAGATTGCGCCACTGCACTCCAGCCTGGGCGACAGAGTGAGACTCCGTCTCAGAAAAAATAAAAATAAAAATAAAAATTAGCTGGGTGTGGTGCGGGCGCCTGTAATCCCAACTTCAGGAGGCTGAGGCAGGAGGATGGCTTGAACCCGGGAGGCGGAGGTTGCGGTGAGCCGAGATCACACCATTGCACTCCAGCCTGAGCGACAGAGCGAGACTCCGTCTCAAAAAAAAAAAAAAGAGGAGGGGGCGGGGGGAAGAGCCAGAGAAAATATTTGCTACATGTGGCAGATAAAGGTTATTATCTCTACTACATTAGATCTCCGGGCGGGGCATGGTGGCTCACGCCTGTAATCCCAGCACTTTGGGAAGCAGAGGCCGGTAGATCACCTGAGGTCAGGAGTTTAAGACCAGCCTGGCCAACATGGTGAAACCCCGTTTCTACTAAAAATATAAAAACTAACTGGGTGTGGTGGTGCATGCCTGTACTCCCAGCTACTCGGGAGGCTGAGACAGGAGAATCACTTGAACCAGAGTCGGAGGTTGGAGTGAGCTGAGATTGCACCACTGCACTCCAGCTTTGCGACAGAGCGAGACTGTCTCAAACAAAAAAAAAAAAAAAGAAAAGAAAAAATCTGGCCCCTAGCCCACCCGTGAGCCCCCTCTTGGATCCACGTTCTAGTTTCTATCCTTGGGGTAGCTCGAGTCAGTCTCACCTCAATCATCCTGTGTGCTCCCAGAGCACAGGACCTGCGGCTGCTGCAACTTCGCGCACAGGAGCAAGCACTTGGAGCCCAGGAGGCTCAGGGGCCCTGAGGAAGCACCAGGCTCTCAGACTCCTGTAACTAGGTGTGGACACCCTCCTGGGATTACATCTGGAGCATCACTGAAGGTGGAAGAGCCAGACCGCATCCTCCCTGGAGATGTGGAGGTTGGAGGGAGCTGGCCCTGGCTCAAGGGCTCAGCCCACTTGGTACAGAACCTACCCAGAGGTGCAGATCCAAGGGAGCAGGGGGAGCAGCTGTGGGCCCTCCACACTGTTGGGGAGACTCATGCCCACTCAAGTCCAGGGGAATTTGCACTCTGCCTTTTTTTTTTTTTTTTTTTTTTGAGATGGAGTCTTGCTCTGTCACCCAGGCTGGAGTGCAGTGGTGCAATCTCAACTCGCTGCAATCTCCACCTCCCGGGTTCAAGCGAATCTCCTGCCTCAGCCTCCTGAGTAGCTGGGATTACAGGTGCCTGCCACGCCTGGCTCATTTTTATATTTTTAGTAGAGACGGGGTTTCACCATGTTGGCCAGGATGGTCTCAATTTCTTAACCTTGTGATCCACCTGCCTTGGCCTCCCAAAGTGCTGGGATTGCAGATGTAAGCCACCGCGCCTGGCCATACTCTGCCTTTTCAAAGCCACTCCTACACAGGTGGTGGTGAAGGCTGCACAACAATGTAGATACACGTCGTGCCACTGAACTGTACACTGAAAAACTGTTATAACGGCACGTTTTGTGTGCACTTTACTATAATAAAAAATGTTCCATCCTGGCTGGGCGCGGTGGCTCACGCCTATAATCCCAGCACTTTGGGAGGCCGAGGCGGGCAAATCATAAGGTCACGAGATTGAGACCATCCTGGCTAACACAGTGCAACCCCGTCTCTACTAAAAAAAACACACAAAAAATTGGCCGGGCGTGATAGCGGGCGCCTGTAGTCCCAGCTATTCGGGAGGCTGAGGCAGGAGAATGGCGTGAACCAGGGAGGCGGAGCTTGCAGTGAGCCGAGTTTGCGCCACTGCATTCTAGCCTGGGTGACAAAAGCGAGACTCCGTCTCAAAAAAAAAAAAAAAAAAGTTCCATCCTGGCCAACGTGGTTCTGGCTCCAGGCTGCCACCCCTCCCCCAAAGGATGCCACCCCAGATAGGGGTCCTCGGCCTGCTCCAGCACCTGCCTGTCCCATGACGGCTGCACACTGGGGTAGGAAACGGCCTCCGCATCCTCCTCTCCTCCCCCCAGGACTACCCTTAACCCACTCAGGGCTTCGGTCAAGGCCCATGCGCTCCCCAAGCCCAAGGTAACCCTGTGCAGGAGGCAAAGGTGGTACAAGGCACAGCCCATCCAGCTAGTTTGGCGCCGACAGCACCCACCAAACAGAGCCATTTACCTTTAAAAAAATCACTGCCAGCTGTGGTGACACACCTGTAATCCTAGTGCTTTGAGAGGCTGAGGTGGGAAGACTGCTTGAGCCCAGGAGTTCCCAAGAATATCCTGAGCAACATAGTGAGACCTGTCTCCACAAAAACATAAAAAATTAGCCAAGTGTGGTAGTGCACACCTATGTCCCAGTTACTTGGAGGCTGGGGCAGGAGGATCACTTAAGTCCAGGAGTTCAAGGCTGCAGTAAGCCATGACTACAACACTGCACTCCAGCATGGGTGACAAAGCAAGCATCGTCTCAAAAAAAATAAATAAATAATTTTGGCCAGGTGCCGTGGCTTACGCCTGTGATCCCAGCACTTTGGGAGGTCAAGGCGGGTGGATCACGAGGTCAGGAGTCCAAGACCAGCCTGGCCAAGATGGTGAAACGTTGTCTCTACTAAAAATACAACAATTAGCCGGGCATGGTGGCGGGCCCCTGTATTCCCAGCTAGTCGGGAGGCTGAGGCAGAGGGTGCAGTGAGCCGAGACTGCATCACCGCGCTCTAGCCTAGGAGACAGAGCGAGACTCCGTCTCAAAAAAAAAAAAAAAAAGTTTTTTTTTAATCGCCAAATGTTCTGGAGAGGCCCCCTTCTCTTCTGTTCTCCTGCAGTCTGGGCTGCAGGCCAAGGTGGTCCCTGTGGGTGGAGACAAGGGCCGGTTCCACCTGACACTACAGACCCCTTCACATGGGAGGGATACACTTCCAGACCCATATATCTCCGAGTAGCCATCTTTGGCGAGATTTACTGGTACTGCAGTGGAAAGGAAGGACTCGCTGTACTGGGTGAAAAAAGTGAAAACATGGGACTCCTATCGCAGACTCTGACAGCAGAACCTGGTGTGGGTTATTTGGGAGGAGGGAGGGAGGAGGGAGAAAGGAAGAGCTGTTGTGGGTGCTATCAGCGAAACTGCACCGGGGGCATGAAGCTCAGTTTGGTCAGCACCACCTGGCAGGTGTACCAAAAGCCCACCCGACTGTCCCTGCACGGTAGAGAGGCAGGAGCGCCTCTCCCTGCACGGATGGTGCCCCGGAGGCTACCAGGGGCGGCCGAGGACACTGATGCTGCATCCCAGGAGGACCTGTCCTTCAGCTGTAATCAGCAGACACGGGGGACAGGATGGCCAGGGGCACAGCACCTTTTCTGTAAACCCCACACCCTGACCCCCCCCACCCAAAAAAGCAAAAAACAACTATTTGTCTACACATACAATTTTATGCCCAGATGGAAAAAGATCCAAATGATTCACAGTGGTGATGGCTCTGAGGGTGACGCTGTCTGCTTAAGGCCCAGGGAAACCCAGGTGCAAACTCACACTCATCACCCAGGCAGCCACAGCCATGAACACAACGTGGGCTTGGGAACAGGGAGCCCAGACCCAACCACTCCCTCCTAGAAGACGAAGAGGAAAGCACATGTGCTGAACAAGTACCCTGAGTCCCACCTGCAGGAAAAGGTGCAGGTAAGGAATACGGACACGGGAGGAATACGGACACGGAGGGAACAGCGACACGGGGGGAACAGCGACACGGGGGGAACAGCGACACGGGGGGAACAGCGACACGGGGGGAACAGCGACACGGGGGGAACAGCGACACGGGGGGAACAGCGACACGGGGGGAACAGCGACACGGGGGGAACAGCGACACGGGGGGAACAGCGACACGGGGGGAACAGCGACACGGGGGGAACAGCGACACGGGGGGAACAGCGACACGGGGGGAACAGCGACACGGGGGGAACAGCGACACGGGGGGAACAGCGACACGGGGGGAACAGCGACACGGGGGGAACAGCGACACGGGGGGAACAGCGACACGGGGGGAACAGCGACACGGGGGGAACAGCGACACGGGGGGAACAGCGACACGGGGGGAACAGCGACACGGGGGGAACAGCGACACGGGGGGAACAGCGACACGGGGGGAACAGCGACACGGGGGGAACAGCGACACGGGGGGAACAGCGACACGGGGGGAACAGCGACACGGGGGGAACAGCGACACGGGGGGAACAGCGACACGGGGGGAACAGCGACACGGGGGGAACAGCGACACGGGGGGAACAGCGACACGGGGGGAACAGCGACACGGGGGGAACAGCGACACGGGGGGAACAGCGACACGGGGGGAACAGCGACACGGGGGGAACAGCGACACGGGGGGAACAGCGACACGGGGGGAACAGCGACACGGGGGGAACAGCGACACGGGGGGAACAGCGACACGGGGGGAACAGCGACACGGGGGGAACAGCGACACGGGGGGAACAGCGACACGGGGGGAACAGCGACACGGGGGGAACAGCGACACGGGGGGAACAGCGACACGGGGGGAACAGCGACACGGGGGGAACAGCGACACGGGGGGAACAGCGACACGGGGGGAACAGCGACACGGGGGGAACAGCGACACGGGGGGAACAGCGACACGGGGGGAACAGCGACACGGGGGGAACAGCGACACGGGGGGAACAGCGACACGGGGGGAACAGCGACACGGGGGGAACAGCGACACGGGGGGAACAGCGACACGGGGGGAACAGCGACACGGGGGGAACAGCGACACGGGGGGAACAGCGACACGGGGGGAACAGCGACACGGGGGGAACAGCGACACGGGGGGAACAGCGACACGGGGGGAACAGCGACACGGGGGGAACAGCGACACGGGGGGAACAGCGACACGGGGGGAATACCAACACGGGAGGAACAGCAACACGCAGGGAATATCGACATGGGTGATGCCTGCAAAGCACAGCATCAATCCCAAGTGACTCCTGTACAGGGCGGCCCCTTCCACCCTCCTTTCCTTGGAGACAGTTGGCTGGGCTAGACCTGTGTCACGGGCTGGCAGAGCAGCCCACCTACCCATCTGTCCTCCTGGAGGGGACAGCCTGTGGCAGGAGAGCCCAGAGCAAGGCCACCAGCTACACTGTGATACCGGTGGCAGAAAGACCCAGACCACAGCGCCCGTGTGCGCCCACTGAGCCAGCCAGCTCAAGGGTGGCATGTGTACCCCTGCAGAAACAGAGCGGATGAGGATGGCTATGTGTTAACAATGTGAACCTCAGGAATTCCCTCCAAAAAATCTCCCACGAAGTGAAAAAGGGAAGGAGCTCCCATCATCTACACATTAGTTAGCAGTTATCCTTTTCAGAAGGGCTTCATTTTGGGTTTTTGGGGGGTTTTTTGAGACAGAGTCTTGCTGTCGTCCAGGCTGGATGCAATCTCGGTTCACTGCAACCTCTGGCTCCCGGGTTCAAACGATTCTCCTGTCTCAGCCTCCCAAGTAGCTGTGATTACAGGTGTCCGCCACCACACCCAGCTAATTTTTGTATATTGGTAGAGACAGGGTTTCACCATGTTGGCCAGGCTGGTCTCGAACTCCTGACCTCAGGTTATCTGCCTCCCAAAGTGCTGGGATTACAAGCGTGAGCCACCGCGTCCCCCTTTACTTTGGTCTTAAAGTACCTGCCTGATGTACAGCAGGTATGTTAGAAAGAACTGAAAGGTGTTGGCCAGGAGCGGTGGCTCACGCCTGTAATCCTAGCACTTTGGGAGGCCGAGGCGGGCAGATCCCGAGGTCAGGAGATCGAGACCATCCTGGCTAACAAGGTGAAACCCCGTTTCTACTAAAAATACAAAAAATTAGCCAGGCAAGGTGGCAGGCACCTGTAGTCCCAGCTACTCTGGAGGCTGAGGCAGGAGAATGGCGTGAACCTGGGAGGCGGAAGTTGCGGTGAGCTGAGATCACGCCACTGCACTCCAGCCTGGGCGACAGAGTGAGATTCCGTCTCAAAAAAAAAAAAAAAAGAACGAACTGAGAGGTGGGAAACATAATCAGCCCACATGGGACATGAGTCAAACCATTTTTTTTTTTTTTTTTTTTTTTTTTTTTTTTGAGATAGGGCTTTCTTGTCACCCAGGCTGGAGTGCAGTGGCGGAATCAAGGTTTGCCTCAGTGTCCTGTGCTCAACAGATCCTCCTGCCTCAGCCTTCTTAGTAGTAGCTGGGACTACAGGCATGTGTCACCATGCCCAGCCCCATGGGTCTTTGTTTTCTGCTAGTAACTTCAAAAGGGGACATGCAGTGTAACTCACCTGAGTCCCAAGTTAAGGCTATGGTAGCAGCTGAGCAGACAAGACAGCTTTTCCTAAATAAATGAATGCAGAATGGGGACCCCTCCCTCCTCCCCATGGGAGATGGGCAGCTCAGACACTCAGAAGGTTGTGTGGGAGCGAGCAAACAAACACCCATGCACACCTGGGTCCCGTCAGTCAGATGCAGGGGACAGGAAGTGCCCTGCCATCTACTGGATGCCAGAAGACAAGACGTGACCCACGAGTAAGTCACGGTTTCTGTGAGGTGCTGGTGGCACTGGCACAGGGTCACAGTGAAAAGCCTCTACGCAGAGGACAGCAGAAACCCCCCGCAGCCTCAGGAGGCAGCATCAGATTTATTTATTCCTACTCAACATGACCCGGGAACACAGGAGCAACTCTGTACACTTCTAGAAACTCACAGCTAGCTCCAAAACAATAGAAATTTTAAACTACAAAAGATGAGTTGTATTCAGCAAATATAAAGGGTAATTTTAGACTGTGTGAACGTTTATCAGACTATTTACAGCACCCGGGAGACGGGTTCAGATCTCGCCGGCCTCCTTCTCTTCTGACCTCCGTGAAGCCATCTTCCCGTTGGAGCTCTCAAGCCTCCAGTCCGGGGGCCCTCGCTCGCTCCGCCCGCTCTCCCAGGACTCCTCTCTGGATGCCCGCTCTCTGGAGAACCTGGGAAATGGGAACCAGAGGCTCAGTGGAGGCTGCTGCCCCCCTTCTGCTGGCCGCTCAGGCACTGACGATGGACCCGCAGACCAGGCCAGGCAAGGCCCTACATCCCCTATACCTGGAAACCCCCCGGAGGCCAACCAGACTTGCCCACCACATATGGAGTGTTAGATAGCCATTAAAAAGTGACCTTTGCGAAGATTTTTAATAAGGAGAGCCTTCACTGTAACATAAACAGTGCAAAGGAGAATACAACACTATATGCACAGAACATGACACTACGTAAAAACACAATGGAAAAAAAAATATCAAAAACAAAAACCAAAACAGAGGTAAGCAGGGCCTGGTCAGGACACAAGTCTCAGCCACTCTGAGCATGGACGCAACAGTGCACAGGCCCCAGGACGCAGGCAGGGGACAGTGCCTGTGCAGCCCATCACCTGGCGCCGTGCGAGCTCCTCCACAGCCCTCTCGCCTCTTCCCACACCTGAGTCCCGTTCACGACTCCCCAGCCCTACTCCTGAGGGTGAGCCCAGCCCCATCCCCACCAGACACGGCCCTCAGCAGACCCTGGGAACACAGAGAAGGGCTCACTCCTGGTTGCAGCTACCGAAGGAGTCAGAGTAGTTACTTGTATTTCGCACTTCGGTCCCGGGAAGCCCGACGATGTCCCCGGCTGTGGCTCCGGGAACGGCTGCGGTGGCGCCGATGTCTATCTCGGGACCGGGACCGGGACAATTTCCGTCGCTCTCGGGAGGTAGATCTTGACCGCCTCCGACGCCGATCCCGGGAGCGTGACCTGAACAATCAGAAGGCTCCAAGGCTGAGACTCTATAGGTGCCAACACTATGAGGGCCCCACCCCTCAGCAGATTCTGCTTGCTGCTTTACTGACATTTTCTCCTTTACTCCCACAAATTTAGGTTTAAAATATTTCCATCAGTTAATCTCCAATGGCTAGGTCCTTCCAATGAGGTCTCCTGAAAACATGTGGCCTGGATACTCCTGTCACCCTGCAGGCCCCGACCTTCCCTCTCATTAACACTGGGAACCCTCCACGGCACCAAGCAACCTCTTGCCCTGTGCCCTTCACAAGCCAGCCCTACCTGCCAGGTAACATTTGTAAAGGCATAATCATTAAATATTAAGAAAAATGCTTATGGAAAAAAAAATTTGAGAACATTTTAATGGACCTGGAAACCTACCTCCTGCGATCTCTGGTTCTTGATCCCGACCTAAAAGGGGGAAAAAAAGATGAACAAGGCCAGGCATGGTGGCTCACACCTGTAATCCCAGCACTTCGGGGAGGCCTAGGCAGGCAATCACCTGAGGTCACGAGCTGGAGACCAGCCTGGACAACGTGGTGAAACCCCGTCTCTACTGAGAACACAAAACCTGGCCAGGCGTGGTGGCGGGTGCCTGTAATCCCAGCTACTCAGGAGACTGAGGCAGGAAAATCACTTTAACCTAGGAGGCAGAGGTTGCAGTGAGCTGAGATTGTGCCACTGCACTCCAGCCTGGGCAACAAGAATAAAACTTTGTCTCAAAAAGAAAAAAAAAAAGTGAATGACTTCCCGAAAGCACCCCTATTCCTCACCCTCTTGGGGGAGGACTCCAAATTTAAGAAGTGAGGCACCTCCCCCAAAGACCTGCTGTTTTCAAGCTGCCTGCATGTTCCCAGTCTGAATGGGAAGTGCCAATGCTCCCATCCCCACAGCCACTCTGTGGCACACTCAGTGTCACCTGAGCCTCACAGACAGGCCCACATCCGAGCATCAGACGCAGCCCTGTAACATTACAAGGGCCGTGAAAAGTCTGTGCACACTGACTGTGCTGCACTCAAGTCCTACAAATGATTCTCCAGTCTTTACAACAGACACCAGCACAGAATGTGCAGACAGCGAGTGGGGCACACCAAAAACACAGAAAAGGAAAAGCAAAGCCCGAAGTTCCAGGCACAGGCTTCCTGTCAGGTGAGAGTCATCAGCTCATTCTGCCACACAACCAAGAGGCTGAAAAAGGCAAGCTATGAGGCCTCATTCTATGCCCGTAAGCCATTAAGGTCAAGTGGCCCCATGTACATCCGCAACACAAATGGCCTAAACATGACAGTGCATGTAAAAATGTAAACTCCATGCAAAAAATGGATTGTGTGTTTTGCTTAATATTTTCTTCTATACTGTTTAAGTTTCTCTCCAATCAGAATCTCCTGCTGGTAAAACAACAAACGGCCGGGCGTGGTGGCTCACGCTTGTAATCCCAGCACTCTGGGAGGCTGAGGCAGGCAGATCATGAGGTCAACAGATCGAGACCAGCCTGGCCAACATGGTGAAACCCTGTCTCTATTAAAAATACAAAAATTAGCTGGGCGTGATGGCACAGGCCTGTAGTCCCAGCTACTTGGGAGGCAGAGGCAGGAGACTCGCTTGAACCCAGGGGGTGGAGGCTGCAGTGAGCCGATATCGCACCACTGCACTCCAGCCTGGTGACAGAGCGAGACCCTGTCTCAAAAACAAACACAATAAACATTCGCCCTGAGTTATGCACTGAGGAATTATTTCAGGAAAAGTGGTTTGGGAACCTTCCTGGACAATGAGCTGTCTCCAGGAGGATGTGGATACTTCTGGCTCCTACCTCTTTGAACTCCAAACAGACTCAACAGCCCCACCTCAAGATGGCCTCTCAAGCTGAGTGTGGCCAGAGGCATCTTCTACTTCCCACCTCCTCCCACTCCAATACACCACACCCAGCCTTCCAACCTCACCAAGCAGCAACTCCGGGCCAGAAACCAGGAGACCAGCTTCATTTCCTCCTCTGCACGCTTCACACACTACCAGCAAATCCCATCAGTTCTATCCCAGAACTTTCCCCGACTCCTTGCACCCCTTACCTGGCTTAAACTGCCACCTCCTCCATCTGGATTTTCCCACCTAGCTCCCCAAGGTCCTGCTGCTTCTACTCCAGCCCAGCACGCTTGCCAAAGGGGAGCAGGCACCACCCCTCCTGCGTAAACAGGTGTCCAATGGCCCCATAGCACTCAGTAAGTAAACAGCAGTGCCCACACACAGCCTCCAACAGCTTGGATCCCTTACCTGACTGCCATGCACACACAGTCCTGCGCTGGGACGTGTTTTGTTTTGTTTTGTTGGACTGAATATGCTGTTTACTTTTTTTTTTTTTTTTTTTGGTTGAGATGGAGTCTCTGTTGCCCAGGCTAGAGTGCAGTGGCACGATCTCGGCTCACTGCAACCTCTGCCTCCCGGGCTCAAGTGATTCTCCCACCTCAGCCTCCGAGTAGCTAGGATTACAGGCTCATGCCAGCACGCCCAGCTAATTTCTGTATTTTTAGTAGAGACAAGGTTTCACCATGTTGGCCAGGCTGGTCTCGAACCCCTGACCTCAAGTGTTCTGCCCGCCTCAGCCTCCCAAACTGACAGGATTACAGGCGTGAGCCGCCAGGCCTGGCCTTACTATTTTCTTTTATAACGGCCTATTGGGCAGGCCCTGCCTATTCCAAGCAACAGTGGAATGGACCGAGCAGGGAATGCCCGAGGCCAATGCAGGCCATCCAGTGCCAGCCCTCAGGCTCACCTCCTGCTCAGACGCTCCTCCCGTTCCCTCTCCTCTCTCCTCCTCAAGCGATCCTGATTTCTCTTCTCCTGCTTTTCAGCGACAGTTTTCTAAATAAATGAAACAAAAAATGAGGAAGAGCAAGTTACACAAACCAGAGTGTGAATGCTACTTAACAAATCACCTTTATATGAGCTCAGTATTGGTAATTTAAAAATTGAAGGGACACTTTTAGGAAATGGGAATACTTTTTTTTTTCTCTTTGAAACGGTGTCTCACTGTCACCAGGCTGGAGTGCAGTGGCGTGATCTCGGCTCACTGCAACTTCCACCTCGAGTTCAACCTATTCTTCTGCCTCGGCCTCCCAAGTAGCTGGGATTACAGGCACATGCCACCACACCCAACTAATTTTTGTATTTTTAGTAGAGATGGGGTTTCACCATGTTGGCCAGGATGGTCTTGATCTCTTGACCTTGTGACCCGCCTGCCTCAGCCTCCCAAAGTGCTGGGATTACAGGCATGAGCCACCGCGCCCGGCCAACACATTCATTTTTAAAACTTCTTAATGAAGAAGATAACACATGAAAAAATGCTTTATCATTACATTTTTTTTTCCTGAGACAGAGTCCGCCCTGTTGCCCAGTGCAGTGGCGCGATCTTTGCTCACTGAAGCCTCTGCCTCCTGGGTTCAAGCGATTCTTCTGCCTCAGCCTCCTGAGTAGCTGGGATTACAAGCGTGCCAGCACGGCCGGCTAATTTTTGTATGTTTAGTAGAGACGGGGTTTCACCATGTTGGTCTGGCTTGTCGCAAACTCCTAACCTTGTGATATGCCTGCCTCGGCCTCCCAAAGTGCAGCAATTACAGGCGTGAGGCACTGCACCCGGCCTCGTTTACATTTACTTTTTTTTTTTTTTTGAGACGGAGTCTCGCTCTGTCACCCAGGCTGGAGTGCAGTGGCGCAATCTCGGCTCGCCGCAAGCTCCGCCTCCCGGGTTCACGCCATTCTCCTGTCCTGGCCTCCGGAGTAGCTGGGATTACAGGCGCCCGGCACTGCGCCCGGCTAATTTTTTGTATTTTTAGTAGAGACAGAGTTTCACCATGTTAGCCAGGATGGTCTCGATCTCCTGACCTCACGATCCGCCCGCCTCGGCCTCCCACAGTGCTGGGATTATAGGCATGAGCCACCGCGCTTGGCCACTTTTTTTTTTTTGAAACAGGGTCTTGCTCTGTCCACCCAGGCTGGATGGAGTGCAGTGGCGCAATCACAGCTCACCGGAGCCTTGACCTCCCAGGCTCAAGCAAGCCTCTTTAGCTCCGCCTCCTGAGTAGCTGGGACTATAGGCGTGTGCCACCATGGCAGACTAATCTTTAAACATTTTTTATGGAGATGGAATCTTGCTATGTTGCCCAGGCTGAGCTTGAACTCCTCAACTCAAGCAATCCTCCTGCCTTGGCCTCCCAAAGTGCTGGGGTTACAGGCCTGAACCACCCAGCCTATCATTAGATTTTAACAATGTGGTAACAAACTGTCTATTCTAAGTGGTGCTATACTTCTAACTCACAGGGAATTGATCACATTGTTTCAAACCAACCCAGATAGGTAGGAGACTGTACAAACTTTATGGTAAAAAAGGACGGATGTATCTCATCAAACACATCTTGCTACTGGGAGCAGAATCCCTACAGCCAAAAAGCAGCCCAACCTCAGGGTGCTGGGTGCTACGCTGGCTTTAGAACAAACTGAGTTGGAGGACAGCAGGCCAGGGGAGGTGGACCACAAATCCTCTGCAACTGGCTTTCAACACAGGATGATGTGAATCATCAGGCTTGATGAAGAAAGCAATATAAGGGGATGAGAAACCTCGCCAATGAAAATACCGTCAACACAAGCTGAGTGGAAAAGCACCGGGCACCGTTCTGTATACCCACTACTCCCAATATCAACTCTAAGACATTTAATGCCCCTCATCTGTGTCAAGTGAAGCCCTGAGTGGGAGCAAGTCAGAGCCAGTAAGACAAAGAATCACGAGTCTTCTCCATCCAGAGAGCCACGATGGCATAAGGATAATCTTCCATACCCAGTGTGGATGAGAGCACGCTCCCCACAAGGGCACGGAAAGTATGCAGAGCTGGGTGACTGGTATCTCCAGCTCTAAACTTTCACCCATGCTCATCCTGTGTCTGAAGCAGGGCACACATGGATGGACACCTTTAAGGTGATGTTTAAGGATGGCATTTAAGCCAGGTACGGTGGCTCATGCCATTTCAGCACTCTGGGAGGCTGAACTGGGAGGATCATGTGAGGACAGGAGTTTGAGACCAGCCTGGGAAACATAGTAAGACCTCCTACCTAAAAAAAAAAAATGAGCCAGATATGGTGGTGCATGCCTGTAGTCTCTGCTACTCAGGAGACTCAGGATGCAGGGCCACTTGAGTCCAGGAGTTCCAGGTTACAGTGACAATAAGCTATCAGCTACCATCACATCAGTACACTCCACCCTGGGTGCCAGAGGGAGACCCTGTCTCTGAAAAAAAAAACGAAAAAAATCCTCTGTTGTCTAGGTTGGAGTGTAGTGTCGTGATCACAGTTCACTGCAGCCTTGAGCTCCAAGGTCCAAACAATCCTCTTACCTCAGCCTCCTGAGTAGCTGGACCTACAGGCACACACCACCATGCTTGGCTAATTTTTAAATTTTTGGTAGAGACAGGGTCTCCTTATGTTGCCCACGCTGGTCTCAAACTCCTGGATTCAATCGATTCTCCTGCCTTGGCCTCCTAAAGACTGGAATTACAGGCGTGAGCCACCACACCCAGCCTCAAGGATGGCAGTTTTTAAAAAAATTAAGGATTAGCCAGGTGCAGTGGCTCATGTGTAATCCCAGCACTCTGGGAGGCCTAGGAAGGTGGATACCTCTGGGACTACTGTGAGTGAGGCCTCCTCTAACTAGGGCACAGAACTCCCACTCTCCCTATCATTAAGAGGTGCACTTCCAAATACATTGTGCACTGTTACTTTAATAATTATTTATCAAAGTCTGTAATACGAGTTGTGTTGTTTTGGTCAACTCTATGCTGCAATGATAAAACAAGCTTTCTAACCAAGTTAATGCTTCTTAAGGTAGAAGGGAAAAACATTTCACAATATTCACATTTCTAATGCAGAGATACACATTAAGGAAATAAAAGATTGCAGATATTAAAAAAAAAATACTACATTAGGGCCAAGCACTGTGGCCCACGCCTGTAATCCCAGCACTTTGGGAGGCCGAGACAGGTGGATCACCTGAGCTCAGGAGTTCGAGATCAGCCTGAGCAACACGGTGAAACCCCATCTCTACTAAAAACACAAAAATGAGCCAGGCATGGTGGTGCACGCCTATAGTACCAGCTACTTGGAGGGCTGAGGCAGGAGTATCTCTTGAAGCTGGGAGGTGGAGGTTACAGTGAGCTGAGTTCGTTACACTGCACTCCAGCCTGGGTGACAGAGCAAGACCCTGCCTCAAACAAACAAACAAACAAACAAAAAAAACCCAACAACTACAGTAGGACAAAATTCTGAGCTGTGAAATGAAAATGTAATTTAAAGGAGAAATGGGAAAGTAACATTTCCAGTGGCTAACAAACAATTTTTTTTTCTTTAAGACAAAGTCTCACTCTGTTGCCCAGGCTAGAGTGCAGTGGCTCGATTTCGGCTCACTGCAACCTCTGCCTCCCGGGTTCAAGCGATTCTCCTGCCTCAGCCTGCCAAGTAGCTGAGAATACAAATGTGTACCACCATGCCCAGCTAATTTTTGTGTTTTCAGTAGAGACAGGGTTTTGCTATGTTGGCCAGGCTGGTCTCGAACTCCTGACTTAAGTGATCCGCCCTCCTCAGCCTCCCAAAGTGCTGGGATTACAGGTGTGAGCCACCATGCCTGGCCAAAAGCAAATTTTTAATAGAGTGGTAAATGCATACTAAATTGTGATTTATAATTCTATTGGATACAGATACTTTTACATCTTTTTTTTTTTTTTTTTTTGAGACAGAGTCTCGCTCTGTCGCCCAGGCTGGAGTGCAGTGGTGCAATTTCGGCTCAGTGCAAGCTCCGCCTCCCGGGTTGACACCATTCTCCTGCCTCGGCCTCCCGAGTAGCTGGGACTACAGGTGCCCACCACCATGCTCGGCTAATTTTTGTATTTTTAGTAGAGACGGGGTTTCACCTTGTTAGCCAGGATGGTCTCAATCTCCTGACCCAGTGATCTGCCCGCCTCGGCCTCCCAAAATGCTGGGATTACAGGAGGCTGAGCCTCTGCACCCAGCCTTTTTTTTTTTTTTTTTTTTTTTTGAGACGGAGTCTTGCTCTGTCTCGTAGGCTGGAGTGCAGTGGCACAATTTCAGCTCACTGCTACCTCTGCCTCCCAGGTCAAGCAATTATCCTGCCTCAGCCTCCCGAGTAGCCAGGATTACAGGCGCCCGCTGCCATGCCTGGCTAATTTTTGTATTTTTAGTAAAGACGGGGTTTCACTATGTTGGCCAGGCTGGTCTTCAACTCCTGACCTCGTGATCCACCTGCCTCGGCCTCCCGAAGTTTGGGATTACAGGCGTGAGCCACCACACCCAGCCTCACTTTTACATCTTTCATACCTATAAACTTATAAAGAAAAATTCCAACTTTGACAGAGTACATTGCTTTTCAAAATTCTCTCGGGAACACGGAAGTAAAATGTTTCAAGACCAGTGGCCGAGAATAACCTCACTGCTGCACCAGCTCCCATCACAGTCCCAGGTTCACACCATCACCTATGGGACCCTCCTGAGGTGCACAGCCCTGCCATATGCGGCCTGAGTGAGCAGCTCTTTCCTGGGGCACAAAAGGCCCTCAGCCGTGGTCACTGCAGCATTCTGCAGTCAGCGACACGTCTGTCCCTCCACTACATTTCAGGTATACAGGGGGAGGCTGGCTAATTTCCCACCATCCTATCCTGAGGTCCTAGTATGCGGTAAGGGGGGCTCCATCAGTGTGAAGGGAGACAATTCAAAGTAGTGGAAATACGTCCAACCTTCCTTCTTAGCATTCCGTACTTAAAGTTTTTAAATGTCGGCCGGGTGCGGTGGCTCACGCCTGTGGTCCCAGCACTTTGGGAGGCTGAGGCGGGCGGATCGCGAGGTCAGGAGATCGAGACCATCCTGGCAAACACGATGAAGCCCCGTCTCTACTAAAAATACAACAACAACAACAAAAATTAGCCGGGCGTGGTGGCAGGCACCTGTAGTCCCAGCTACTGTGGAGGCTGAGGCAGGAAAATGGTGTGAACCTGGGAGGCGGAGCTTGCAGTAAGCCGAGATTGGGCCACTGCACTCCAGCCTGGGCGACAGAGCGAGACTCCATCTCAAAAAAAAAAAAAAAAAAAAAAAAAAAAGTTTTTAAATGTCTTAGAGTCTTGAAGAAGGAACAGAGGTTTTCTCTGGGCTGGGATGGTACAATGCTACCAGAAAAACCCCATCTTCACCCCGCCCTTCTGAGGTGGCTCATAGGCAAGGAGCCAGGATGTGTGACACTCTGTCTTGACCAACCAGAGATTCTTTCTCATCTCCTAACAGAAGTTATTTCAGAGATACACAACGAGCTGTATGTATTCTGGGAACAGGCTCTGCCATTTTCTTCCCTTAACGACAGGGTCCAAAATAAATCTCCAAGGCTCCTTTGGACTCTGAGCTATCATGTCTCTTGTGTGAATCCAAGTGATGAAATCTGCGTATTTCACTATAAAACTCAAGTTCTTAGAGATCAGAACATAATGTTTTTTGTTTTTTTTTTGAGATGGAGTCTTACTCTATAGCCCAGGCTGGAATGCAATGGCATGATCTCGGCTCACTGCAACCTCTGCCTCCTGGGTTTAAGCAATTCTTCTGCCCCAGCCTCCCGAGTACCTAAGATTACAGGCTCACACCAACACACCTGGCTAATTTTTCGGTAGAGACGGGGTTTCACCATGTTGGTCAGGCTGGTCTCGAACTCCTGACCTCAGGTGATTCGCCCACCTCGGCCTCCCAAAGTGCTGGGATTATAGGCATCAGCCACCACGCCCGGCCAAAACATAAGGTTTTTAAAAATTAAAGAAATGTGAAAACACCCCAAGACTCCTCAGCTTTCTCCAGAAACAGATGAACATACCCTCAACTGATCAAGCTTCTCTCGGATCTGAATGAACCCCAAGTGTAACTTGCCACCGAAGTGGTCTGCCAGGCGACGGTCATTGTCATGGAGACCAAGGTAGGCTGAACAGACCTCGCAGACACGCAGCTTTTGCTGCTGAAAACTGGATGCAGGCATGGAATTTCTGTATTCTTCCTGAAGAAGGAAAATGGAGAAATAAAAGTGAGGTATATAGAACTGCCACCACAAATTCAATCTCCAAAATGAAAATATTTGATAAGATGACAGAGGTGACTTTTAAACAAATATTAAAAAAACACAAACAAAACTTCAGATATTTATAACCAACTCAATTTTCACTGTTTATTTAAGAAACGCGGCCAGGCACGGTCCCAGCACTTTGTGAGGCCAGGTGGGCGGACCATGTGGTCAAGAGATCAAGACCAGGCCAGGCGCGGTGGCTCACGCCTGTAATCCCAGCACTTTGGGAGGCTGAGGCTGGCGGATCACCTGAGGTCCGGAGTTCAAGATCAGCCTGACCAACATGGAGAAACCCCATCTCTATTAAAAATACAAAAGTAGCCGGGTGTGGTGGCGCATGCCTGTAATCCCAGCTATTCTGGAGGCTGAGGCAGGAGAATGGCTTGAACTCGGGAGGCGGAGGTTGCTGTTGAGCTGAGATCGCACAGGCAACAAGAGCAAAACCCTGTCTCAAAAAAAAAAAAAAAAAAAAAAAGAGAGATCGAGACCATCCTGGCCAACTTTGTGAAACCCCGTCTCTACTAAAAATACAAAAATCAGCTGGGTGTGGTGGCACATGCCTGTAGTCCCAGCTACTCAGGAGGCTGAGGCAGGAGAATCACTTGAACCTGGGAAGCGGAGGTTGCAGTGAGCCAAAACCGTGCCACTGCATTCCAGCCTGGCAACAGAGCGAGACTCCATCTTAAAAAAAAAAGGTACTAACAGGCTGGGCTCAGTGGCTCACGCCTGTAATCCCAGCATTCCGAGGCCAAGGCAGACAGATCACTTGAGGCCAGGAGTTCAAGACGAGCCTGGCAACATAGCAAAACCCTGTCTCTACTAAAAATACAAAAATTGGCCGGGCGCGGTGGCTCACGCCTGTAATCCCAGCACTTTGGGAGGCTGAGGCAGGCGAATCATGGGGTCAGGAGATCACGACCATCCTGGCTAACACGGTGAAACCCCGTCTCTACTAAAAAAACAGAAAAAATTAGCTGGGCGTGGTGGCGGGCGCCTGTAGTCCCAGCTACTCAGGAGGCTGAGGCAGGAGAATGGCGTGAACCCGGCAGGCGGAGCTTGTAGTGAGCCAAGATCATGCCACTGGGCGAAAGAGCGAGACTCCGTCTCAAAAGAAAAAAAAAAAAAAAAAGCCAGATGGTGGCAGGCATCTGTAATTCCAGCTACTGGAGAGGCTGAGGCACAAATTGTTTAAGCCCAGGAGGTGGAGGTTGCAGTGAGCTGAGATCACACCACTGCATTCCAACCTGGAGGACAGAGGAAAACTCCAAAAAGGAAAAAAAAAAAATTGTATTCCAGGCCTGGTGTAGTGACTCACACCTATAATCTCAGCACTTTAGGAGAGTGAAGCAAGAAGATCACTTGGCCCCAGGAGATTGAGATCACCCTGAGCAACACAGCAAGACTCAGTCTCTAAAAATAAGAAAATAATTAGCCCGCTGTGGTGGCACGTGCCTATAGTCCCACCTACTCAAGAGACTGATTCGAGAGGACTGCTTGAGCCCAGGAGGTTGAAGGGGCAGTGACCTGTGACTGCGCCACTGTACTTCAGCCTGGGTGACCCTGGCTGACAGCAGGACCCTCTAATATTAAAAAAAATAGGCTGGGCACAGTGGCTAACACCTGCAATCCCAGCACTTTGGGAGGCCAAGGCAGGTGGATCACAAGGTCAGGAGTCCGAGAAGGTGAAACCCCGTCTCTATTAAAAATACAAAAAAATTAGCTGGGCACGGTGGCTGGCACCTGTAATCCCAGCTACTCGGGAGGCTGAGTCTGAGAATTACTTGAACCCGGGAGTCAGAGGATGCAGTGAGCCGAGATCGCACCACAGCAATCCAGCCTGGGCGACAGAGCGAGACTCTGTCTGAGAAAAAAAAAAAAAAAAAAGTAGACAAGGAACTAGCAAGAACTTGAATTTCCATTATAGTATGCTACATAACTAAAAAAAAAAAAAAAAAAAAAAAACTTAAGCAAAAACAATATTGTGGTACACAAATATTCATAACATTACTCTGTCCCCTTCTATAGTTTTGAAACCTTAAATGCCACCTTCTAACATCTTTCAAAATAAACTCTGATTATGTTGAGTAAAAAAAGTCAGTCCCAAAAGGTTACCTACTGTATGATTCCATTTACATAACTTTTTTTTTTTTTTTGAGACGGAGTCTCGCTCTGTCGCCCAGCCTGGAATGCAGTGGCACGATCTCAGCTCACTACAAGCTCTGCCTCCCGGGTCCACACCATTCACCTGCCTCAGCCTCCTGAGTAGCTGGGACTACAAGCGCACGCCGCCACGCCCGGCCAATTTTTTGTATTTTTAGTAGAGACGGAGTATCACCATGTTAGCCAGGATGGTCTCGATCTCCTGACCTCGTGATCCACCCGCCTCAGCCTCCCAAAGTGATGGGATTACAGGCGTGAGCCACCGCACCAGGCTTTTTTTTTTTTTTTTTTTTTTTTGAGAGAGAGTCTTGCTCTGTCACCCATATTGGAGTGCAATGGCACGATCTCTGTTCGCTGCAACCTCCGCCTTCTGGGTTCAAGCGATTCTCCTACTTCAGCCTCCCAAGTAGCTGGGATTACAGGTGCCCGCCACCACACCTGGCTAATTTTTATACTTTTAGTAGAAATGGGGTTTCACCAAGTTGGCCAGGCTGGTCTCGAACTCCTGACCTCAGGTGATGCACCTACCTTGGCCTCCCAAAGTGCTGGGATTACAGGCATGAGCAACCGTGCCCGGCCATATTTTTAATTTCTTTGTAAAGATGGGGTATCCCTATGTTGCCCAGGCTGGTCTCAAACTCCTGGACTCAAGCAATCCTCCTGCCTCGACCTTCCAAAGTGTTGAGATTACAGGCATGAGCCACCATACCCACCCTCCATAAGCTTTTACGCTGGGCAGAAGGCAGCAAAAGGGGAGTCAGCATATCACATGGCAAAAGAAGGAGTGAGACAGAGAGAAGGACCTAGGCTCCTTTAAACAATCAGCTCTGAGGTGAACTCACTATCCCAGGGAGGGCACCAAGCCATTGATGAGTGAACCACCCCCATGACCCAAACACCTCCCACTAGACCCCACCTCCAACATTGGAGGTCACATTTCAACATGAGATTTGGACGTGCCACACATCCAAACCGTATCAAGTGTTATTTTTTATCTTTTATACTGTATTTTTACTGTACCTTTTCTATGTTTACGTACACAAATATTTAGGGGCCCACTGTGTTGCAACTGCCTATAGTATTCAGCACAGTAACATGCTGTACAGGTGTGGAGCCTAGGAGCAATGGGCTCTACCATACAGCCCACATGGCTATACCACCCAGGTTTGTTAAGCACACTCTATAATGTTCTCACAATGATGAACCATGGAACGCACTTCTCAGAATATTTAATCCTTGTCATTAAGAAAGATATGACTGTACTAATATCAGAAATGAAAGACAGGACATCATTACGGATCCACCCACTTTAAAGGAATAATACAAACAACTCTTAAAAACAACAACTCCATGCCCACAAAAGCGATAAACTAGATGAAATGGACCGATCCCTTCAAAGACAGCCAGGAGCAGTGGCTCACGCCTGTAATCCCAGCACTGTGGGAGGCTGAGGCAGGTGGATCACTTGAGGTCAGGAGTTTGAGACCAGCCTGACCGACATGGTGAAACCCCGTCTTCTCTACTAAAAATACAAAAATTAGCTGGGCATGGTGGCAGGCACCTGTAATCTCAGCTGCTCAGGAGGCTGAGGCAGGATAATCAGTTGAACCCAGGAGTTGGAGGTTGCAGCGAGCCATCGCACCACCGCACTCCAGCCTGGGCAACAGAGAGAGACTCCGTGTAAAAAAAAAGTATAATAATGTTGAAAGACACAATCTGCCAAAACTCACACAAGAAGAAACAGATGATCTGAATGAATCTGTATATTAATAACCTTCCAAAACAGAAAGCATCAGGTCCAGATGGGTTTACTGGTGAATTCTACCAAAGCATTAGGGAGCAAATCATGCCAATTCTCTACAATCGCTTTCAGAAAATAGAAGCAGAGAGAGTATCTTCTAACTCCTTCTATGGGGACATTACCATAATACCAAAACCAGATAAAGGTATTACAAGAGGCCAGGCATCATGGTGACTCATGACTCTAATCCCAGCACTTTGGGAAGCAGAGCTAGGCAGATCGCTTGAGCCAAGGATTTCAAGACCAGCCTTGACAACATGGCGAAACCCAGTCTCTCCAAAAAATACAAAAAATTAGCTGGGCTTGGTGGCATGTGCCTTCAGTCCTAGCTATTTGAAAGGCTGAGGCGGGAGAATCAAATGAGCCCAGGAGATCAAGCCTTCAGTGAGCCAAGATCGCGCCACTGCACTCCAGCCTGGGTGAGAAAGTGAGACCGTCTCAGGGCGGGGGGCGGGGTGGAGGTGGGGAGGGCTGGGCGCGGTGGCTCACACCTGTAATCCCAGCACTTTGAGAGGCCAAGGCAGGCGGATCATGAGGTCAGGAGATAGAGGCCATCCTGGCTAACACGGTTAAATCATATCTCTACTAAAAACACAAAAAATTAGCCAGGTATGGTGGCACACGCCTATAGTCTCAGCTACTCGGGAGGCTGAGGCAGGAGAATCGCTTGAGCCCGGGAGGCGGAGGTTGCAGTGAGCCGAGATCACGCCACTGCACTCCAGCCTGGGCGAATGAATGAGACTCCATCTCAAAAAAACACAAAAACAAAAACCAAAAAACAAATGACCAATTACACCAGCACCCGCAAGCATGAAATATTTAGGTAGAAATCTAACAAAACATGCATGAGATCTTCACTATGAGAAAAATTACAAGACTCATAAAAGGTATCAAATGGCCTGGCGAAGTGGCTCACGCCTGTGATCCCAGCACTTTGGGAGGCCAAGGCAGACGGATCACCTGAGGTCAGAAGTTTGAGACCAGCTTGGCCAACACGGTGAAACCCCATCCCTACTAGAAATGAAAAAAAAAAAAAAAAATTAGCCATGGGCCGAGCATGGTGGCTCACTCCTGTAATCCCAGCAGTTTGGGAGACCGAGGCGGGTGGACCACGAGGTCAGATTGAGACCATCCTGGCTAACACAGTGAAACCCCATCTCTACTGAAAGTACAAAAAAATTAGCCGGGCGTGGTGGTGGGCGCCTGTAGTCTCAGCTACTCTGGAGGCTGAGGCAGGAGAATGGTGTGAACCGAGGAAGCGGAGCTTGCAGTGAACTGAGATCGCACCACTGCACTCCAGCCTGGGGGACAGAGCGAGACTCCATCTCAAAAAAAAAAAAAAGAGAGAAAATTATAAGGAAGAGAAAATAAAATACATTTATAGTACTGTGCTGTACTGATCACTTCTGTACGTTTACACTGCTCATTTACAAGATGAATTGTCCGTCTGAAATGGTAGCAACTGCAGCTGCAGACCTCAATCTAATGTATACATCAAGCAACTCAACTTTTTCTTGTAATATCATGGCTGTTCTTGCCTTCTTGGGAGCATTTTCAGCATCACTAGTGGCATATGGATCCTATGGCATTACTCAAAGTTTATGGTATTGCACTAAACACGATGAAAAACGCCTAGGAACCCTGTGAGTTCACTTTTTACTGCAGTAGGAATGTACTGGAGAGGTGAACTGCTCCTTCGGAGATGATGAGTGTCACGTGGTGTTTCAAGGGGATACTCACGACCCTTGAGCTCCACACAATGGCAACAGGAAGTGGCATGAATTATTACAGTAGTACAGTACCTATTACAGTTATTCTTAGGCAGCCCTGATTTAATACTGCACCTCTGCACTACGTTTGTTAACATCTCTCTACGGCGAATGCTGTCATGTATGGTCTGTAAGCGTTTGCATGTAGCCTCTTCTTTTTTAGAGACAGGGTCTTGCTATGTTATCCAGGCTGGACTCCAAAAGTCCTAGGATTAAGGGATCCTCTCATCTCAGCCTCCCGAACAGCTGAGACTAAAGCCAAGAGCCACCATAGCTGGCCATATGCTTAAGTTTTGACAAATGTTACCTTTTCATAATAGACTTGTGTATATTTTATGGCAGTAAATAAAAGACTAGTATCCTCATATATTTTATGTATTCATGACATACCTAACATTTTCTGCAGACTTTGGGTGATAATGACAAGTCAACGTAGACCCACTGACTGTGGGCAGATGCTAGGAATGGAGGAGGCTGTCTGAGGAGAGGGTACATGGAGAATCTCTGTACTTTCCTCTCAATTTAGCTATGAAGCTAAAACTGCTTGCAAAAACAGCGTTTATAAATTTTTTTGAGACAGAGTCTCGCTCTGTCGCCCAGGCTGGAGTGCAGTGGCGCAATCTCAGCTCACTGCAAGCTCCGCCTCCCGGGTTCACGCCATTCTCCTTCCTCAGCCTCCGGAGCAGCTGGGACTACAGGTGCCTGGCGCCATGCCCGGCTAATTTTTTTGTATTTTTAGTAGAGACGGGGATTCGCTGTGTTAGCCAGGATGGTCTTATCTCCTGACCTCGTGATCCGCCCGCCTCGGCCTTCCAAAGTGCTGGGATGACAGGCGTGAGCCACTGTGCTGGGCCCAAAATGTATAAATTTTTTAAAAAATGGGAGCAAGCATGGGCTCAATTAATTCCAACGGTCAACGCTGCCAAATTACTAAGATTTCTCTTGCCCTAAGGCACTTATCTCACCAACCTCAGCTTCTTTTTTCTTCGCACGAACTTTTTCCACTTCCATAAGAATCTTCTGGGATTCATCCACATTACCTTCAGCCCCTAGCTGTTCGGCTTTAGCAAGGAGTTTTCCTATTTCTTCATTTAACTCATGTACTTTTTCTGCCTGTGAGGAGAAAGAATGAGGTAAGCAGACATCTGAAAATGAAAGTGAATGCAAAGGCAACAAGGGTTTCTCCTGCTCCATTTCCAGTCTGAAAATAAGTGGAAGAGCTAAAGATCCACACTTAACAATGAAGGCATCCTTACTGCCAGCATTGAGACTGTAACCATAAACGAGTCCTATGTTCCAATGAAACCAGTGGCACCTTTGTCACTTCCGACATGCTTCCAAGGATCATCACAGATTGGTCATTGTCTAGGCTGTCTCTCTTTATGACTTTTTCTTCTGGGTATGGTAATAAAATGCCTAGGTTTAAATGTACAGATTTAAGCTGTAACCAAAATACCTAATTACTAGGATTTACCTTCTGAAACAAAATAGCACCGTTGGTCAAATTAGCAATTGCATAAATCCTAAGAAATGCTTTTACAACACTGAAAAGAAAAAACAAGGAGAGGCTTAGTTCCACTGAAGAGAAAAACAGAAGAGTGATGTAAATGGCACTCAGTCTAATTACATATAAATCTACCTCCTTTTCATTCTATGATATGGATGTACCACAGTTTGACCATTTCCTTACCAATTCTTTCCAGTTTTATGTGGAGATATTAAAGTTTAAAACAACATGCAGAGGCTGGGCATGCTGGCTCACACCTGTAATCCCAGCACTTCGGGAGGACAAGGCGGGAGGATTGCTTAAGCCCAAGAGTTCCAGACCAGCTTGGGCAACAGACTCCATCTTTATTAAAAAAAAAAAAAAAAAAAAAAAAGATGGCTGGGTGCAGTGGCTCATGCCTGTAATCCCAGTACTTTGGGAAAACGAGGCGGGCAGATCACGAGGTCAAGAGATCGAGACCATCCTGGCTAACACAGTGAAACCCCGTCTCTACTAAAAATACAAAAAATTAGCTGGGCGTGGTGGTGGGCACCTGTAGTCCCAGCTACTCAGGAGGCTGAGGCAGGAGAATGGCGTAAACCCAGGAGGCGGAGCTTGCAGTGAGTCGAGATCACGCCACTGCCCTCCAGCCTGGGCGACAGAACAAGACTCTGTCTCTTAAAAAAAAAAAAAAACCGACAATAATTTTTTTTTCTTTTGAGGCAGGGTCTCACTCTGTTATCCAGGCTGAAGCAAAGTAGCATGATCACAGCTCATTGAAGCCTCAATCTCCCCAAGCTCAAGTGATCCTCCCACCTCAGCCTCCTGAGTAACTGGGATACACATGTGCACCACCAAGCCTGGCTAATATATGTATTTTTTGTAGAGATGGGGTTTCTTCATGTTGCTCAGGTCTAAAACTCCTGGGCTCAAGCAGTCTGCCCCCACCTTGGTGTCCCAAAGTGCTGGGACTACAAGCATAAGCCACCAAACTCAGCGAAGAATATATTAAAATTAAAAAATAATGATAAACCATGTACAGAGGACGAAAATGGAGAGAATAAAAAGACAGAGGTAGCAGCTCCTGAGGGATGAGAATTCCATGACACATGAATGCTTGATCACAGCCCTCTATCCTTAACTGGAGTAAGGCAGAGAGTACTGTCCACACAATCAGTGCTGAGGGTCAGTTAATAGCTATTGACAACGCCGGGCGCGGTGGCTCACGCCTGTAATCCCAGCACTTTGGGAGGCTGAGGCAGGCAGATCACGAGGTCAGGAGATCAAGACCATACCGGCTAACACGGTGAAACCCCGTCTCTACTAAAAATACAAAAAATTAGCCGGGCATGGTGGCGGGCGTCTGCAGTCCCAGCTACTCGGGAGGCTGAGGCAGGAGAATGGCATGAACCCGGGAGGCGGAGCTTGCACTGAGCTGAGATCATGCCACTGCACTCCAGCCTGGGTGACAGAGGGAGACTCCATCTCAAAAAAAAAAGCTATTGACAAGCCAGTATTTTTAAGAACACACCAGACACCGAAGCCACCCAAGCATACCTTTGCAGAAACTTCCGCACTGATTTCCTCCTGTGTTTCTGCCAGCCGCTTCTTGGCGAGCTCAGTTCTCCGATCACATTCAGCAATAAAGGACTCCAAGTGATCCATTGCCTAGCACGGGAAAAGCACAGCGCTATAATCAATGATGTGTAAAGCGTAAAGTCTTAGAACCCATTTGCTTGATAGGAAATACACTCCTAGGTTCGTTTCTTTAAAGCCTGTACATTCAAGGGAAAGATCTTAAACTACACTACCACTAACGCATTCATAATTGCATTAAATCAAGGGGATCTGTTAAACAGAATGATTGTTTGGAAGCATGGTCTTCTCATTTGATTTACTTATTTCCAAAATTTGTAAAAGGACCTCCAACCCTCAATAACATTACAAAGAAATTCTGAGGAAAATTAAAACACTTGGCAGCAATTCATAGAGTTCTCGGAGGGACAGAAAAGGCTGAGCCTAGACTCGTGCTGGAGGCCCTCTTCTGGGGAGTTGTGAGAGATGCATATGATGTACTCACTGGTCTTTGTGAGCCACGTAAATATTATTCCCTCATGTTCTGAGGGTAGGGTCCCCCCTTTCACCTCAAAAACAAAACAATAGAACAAATATTACTGAGAGCTATGAATACATTTTGTTATTGCCTACTATCTAAAGTAGCAGGAAAAATTGGTTGCTATTTACCCAAAGAGATAAAGGAAAAGAAGCTGTAGACGTCAAATTGCTTACTCTGAAAAGGGTGGTGGGAAACATTAAGAGAACTATCATATGCTAAGGTTAATTCACCATAACTAGGCAAAGGCTAACATAATTTCAGATAAAAACAGAGACAGGACCGGACGCAGTGGCTCACACCTGTAATCCCAGCACTTTGTGAGGCCAAGGTGGGCGGATCATGAGGTCAGGAGTTCAAGACCAGTCTAGCCAACATGGTCTCTAATAAAAATACAAAAATTAGCTGGGCATGATAGCGGGTGCCTGTAATCCCAGCTACTCAGGTGGCTGAGGCAGGAGAATCGCTTGAGCCTCGGAGGCAGAAGTTGTAGTGAACTGAGACCAGACCACCACACTCCAGCCTAGGCAACAGAGCAAGACTCCGTATCAAAAACAAAAACAAAAACAAAAAAAGGCAGGGCCCAGTGGCTCACACCTGTAATCCCTGCACTTTGGGAGGCCGAGGCGGGAGGATCCATGAGGTCAGAGGTTCAAGACCAGCCTTCCCAATACAGTGAAGCCCCATCTCTACTAAAAACATAAAAATTAGCTGGGCGTGGTAGCATGCACCTGTAGTTCCAGCTACTCAGGAGACTGAGGCAGAAGAATCGCTTGAACCTGGGAGGAAGAGGTTGCAGTGAGCCGAGATGGCACCACTGCACTCCAGCCTGGGCAACAGAGCAAGATTCCATCTCAAAAAAAAAAAAAAAAAATAGGGCATCACTTTTCCGACTGTCAGCCAGTGACCAGTAGTAAGAAACACTAACATTAAACCATGAGTCAGCTTGCTAATGTCAGCATCATGATAAACATAAATAAGTTTGTTTTGCAATGATGACAAGGTTAGATAGCATGATCTTTTACCAAAAACTAAATTTTAGGTGGAGATGAGAAGGCAGATGACAGGAAAACACTAAGGGGTGATAACCTAAGTCACCGCTCCTAAAACAGACAGGAGACAGTAGGTCAGCTGTAATAAACTGCTCCACAATGGATTACACAGACACTGGAGAAGATTGTGATCTTCTCTAGAAATCTTAAATATTTTTTTCAAAAACATGCATACTTGGGAGTAGGTAAGATAGGGAAGAACCTCCAAGTCTCCTGGTGCCCAGTCTCCCAAGAAGCTGGAGAAAGCACAAGCAGCATCACTGATGAAGGCTGACTCCCAGATATCACTCCATAATTTTGGAATTCAAAAACTGCCTCTTGGCCAGGCGTGGTAGCTCACGCCTGTAATCCCAGCACTTTGGGAGGCCAAGGCGGGTGGATCACTTGAGGTCAGGAGTTCGAGACCAGCTTGACCAACATGGAGAAACCCCATCTCTACTAAAAATACAAAATTAGCCACGAGTGGTGGTGCATGCCTGTAATCCCAGCTACTTCGGAGGCTGAGGCAGGAGAACTGCTTGAACCTGGGAAGCAGAGGTTGCAGTGA
This sequence comes from Homo sapiens, assembly GCF_000001405.40. Taxonomy (NCBI): domain Eukaryota; kingdom Metazoa; phylum Chordata; class Mammalia; order Primates; family Hominidae; genus Homo; species Homo sapiens. Next base: position 210,233 of record NC_000016.10, read on the forward strand.
ACTGAGATCGCGCCATTGCACTCCAGCCTGGGCAACAAGAGCGAGACTCCCTCTCAAAAAAATACATAAACTGCTTCTTGTTGGTCACCCAGATATTCTCTAGTCAACATTTCAGTATGTTCAAATCAAAGAATCAGGAAAACAAATGATCCGGCATTTGACTGCTTCTATGCACCTGTACACTGGACTTTCTGGAAAGGTGAAGAGCTGGCTGGAGCTCATCAGGATCCAAGTATTAAGGAGCTGACAAGGGTCACTGTGCCTTCTCTTCTGTGCTTACCTCAGACAACAGCCCCTAACAGACCAGTCTGAGATGCTCCAGGTTCACCCACACAGTGGCCCTGTACTGTCTGCTCAAGCTGAGCAATCAATCACCAACCTGAGACAGATTCAGGGATTCACTCGAGGGGTCAAATGGGAAATAGGCAGCTGACAACTCTCCCAATACCTAAACCCATCAAAGCAATTACCTGCACCTTAAGCAGAATCCAAATTGGCTATGGACTCAGATGTCTGATAACCTAAAAACTAAATGGTGGCCGGGCGTGGTGGCTCACGCCTGTAATCCCAGCACTTTGGGAGGCTGAGGTGGGCGGATCACGGGGTCAGGAGATCGAGACCACCCTGGCTAACACAGTGAAACCCCGTCTCTACTAAAAATACAAAAAATTAGCCGGGCGTGGTGGCGGGCGCCTATAGTCCCAGGTACCCGGGAGGCTGAGGCAGGACAATGGCATGAACCCGGGAGGTAGAGCTTGCAGTGAGCAGAGACTGTGTGCCACTGCACTCCAGCCTGGGTGACAGGGCAACACTCCGTCTCAAAAAAAAAAAAAGAACACTAAATGGTAGGCCCAGCACGGTGGCTCACGCCTGTAATCCCAACACTTTGGGAGTCTGAGACCAGCCTGGCCAGTATGGTGAAACCCCATCTCTACTAAAAATACAAAAAATTAGCCAGGCGTGGTGGCGGGCACCACTGGTTGCTATTTACCCAAAGAGATAGAGGAAAAGAAACTCTAGACGTCTAATTGCTTACTCTGAAAAGGGTGGTGGGAAACACTAAAAGAACTATCATATGCTAAGGTTAATTCGCCTTACGAGGTGAATCCCAGCTACAAGGGAGGCTGAGGCAGGAGAATCGCTTGAACCTGGGAGGCGGAGGTTGCAGTGAGCCAAGATCACGCCACTGCACTCCAGCCTGGGCGACAGAGCAAGACTGGCTCAAACAGAAAACAACAACTATAAATGGTAAACTTCACAACAGAGAACAAGCCAACCAAGAGCTGCCAAGTTCTTTAAAAGGTGGCTTTCTGTTCTACTGCCCTCTCCCTTCAAAGTGTTTCTCAACTTTAGCCTGTTTCTTAAAAGAGCAGATCTAAATGATAAAAAAAAGACATTCGATTCCAAAAATTAAGTCCTAATCACAACCTACCACTTACTAGAAAGTCACCCAATCTCTCTCTATCTCTGAGTAGCGTTATGAAACATAAACCCTAAAAGCCCCTGAGCACAGACAGCACCAGCACAAAGACTTGTGTCCTAACAGTATGGCAAAACTGGACAATATCAGCACACGTCATCTCCACTGAGGAGGCTGTCCCTCCACACACGGACTGCCTGGTGCTGTTACCAGCTCTCCCGGCCCAGCAGCACTGACACAGGCCGGTGGTCACTGAGCCTGAGAAAAGCCCATGATGTCAGTCAGAACTGTCACAGCAGACAGGTGCCCTTGTGCTGCACTAGGCACGTGCGCTAAACACCTCCAAAGAGCCGCAGAGGGGCCGGGCGCGGTGGCTCACGCCTGTAATCCTAGCACTTTGGGAGGCTGAGGTGGGTGGATCACCTGAGGTCAGGAGTTTGAGATCAGCCTGACCAACAAGGAGAAACCCCATCTCTACTAAAAATACAAAATTACCCAGGCGTGGTGGTGCATGCCTGTAATCCCAACTACTCAGGAGGCTGAGGCAGGAGAATCACTTGAACTCGGGAGGCGGAGGTTGCAGTGAGCTGAGATCGTGCCATTGCACTCCAACCTGGGCAACAAGAGCGAAACTCCATCTCAAAAAACACAGCCGCAGAGGAGCTCGTCGGGTCTCCATTGCATGGATGATGAAAGTGAAGCACAGCTACCAAACCACTAAGTAAGCAATGGAGTCAGGATCCAAGGACCCTTGTGGTCTGGCTCCAAAGACCTGCACTTCATCCTCACAAATCTGAGGCAGCCATCGTCAGCCCAGTTTATAGATGAAAAAAAGAAGGTGAAATAACTTGCCCAGGGTCACACAGGGACTCTAACTCAAGACATTTGACCTAGAAAAATGTCACTCTTATACTGGACAACTGTAAGACAGGAAAACTACATACAATCAGAACTGGTCTCATGTGGTATATTAAAAACAGCTTTGAAATGAGCCCATATATGTTGTTTTGAAAACTTTTCAAAACATCACATGGCCAGACAACATGGGAGTAAAGGTTAATTACACTTTTGGTGAATTACAAAGACACATTCATTACATTTTCAACATGTGAACACTAAAGAAATATACCTTTTTTTTTTTTCCCGAGAGGATCTTGCTCTGTCACCCAGGCTAGAATACAGTGGCACGATCACGGCTCACTTTAGCGTTGACCTCTCAGGTTCAAACCATCCTTCCACCTCAGCCTCCAAAGCAGGTAGGACTATAGGAACACGTCACTACACCCAGCTAACATTTCTGATTTTGTAGAGACTTTGCCCAGGCTGGTCTCGAATTCCTGGGCTCAAGCAATCTTCCGGCCTCTGCCTCCCACCAAAGTACTGGGATTACAGGCGTGAGCGCACACCTGGCCATCTGTAACTTTTTCAGAGCTTAATATGATTAATATTGCTGTTTGACAGTTTACAAGTTGAGAAACTTAGTTTATTTATAGACTGCCTTATAACAAATATAGCACACATCCTTTCCTAGGCAACTTCCAGATAAAACATATCAAGGCCTGGGTCTTTTGTGGTCAGGCTGAGGCTGACTCAGGCTGGAAGCAGCCAATGATGAGGACAGGGAGGGTATCTTCTCCCAGGTAAAACAACTGAGTACTGGGAGGATCCTGGGTAGAAATGTGCCAGGAGTTCCATCCATCAAGCTTAAGGTGATGGTCCAGGCAGAAAATAAAGGCCCACAATTTTTTTTTTGGAAGGGGACAGGGAGACACAGCGTCATCTTGTCACCCAGGCTGGAGTGTAGAGGCAACATCTGAGCTCACTGCAACCTCTGCCTCCCAGGCTCAAGCAATTCCCCTGCCTCAGCCTCCCAAGTACCTGGGATTGCAGGTGCACACCACAACACCTGGCTAATTTTATTTCTGTATTTTTATTAGAGACAGGTTATCACCATGTTGGTCAGACTGGTCTCGAACTCCTGACCTCATGCAATCCGTCTGCCTCGGCCTCCCAAAGTGCTGAGATTACAGGCGTGAGCCACCGCACCCGGCAGAAATCTTTTTTCTTTTTTTCTTTATTTGAGACCAAGTCTCGCACTGTTTCCTGGACTGGAGTGCAGTGGCGCAATCTCGGCTCACCGCAATCTCTGCCTCCCAGGTTCAAGCGATTTTCCTGCCTCACCCTCCAAAGTAGCTGGGATTACAGGTGCCCACCATCACACCTGGCTAATATTTTCTATTTTTAGTAGAGATGGGGTCTCACTATCTTGGCCAGGAAGGTCTCCATCTCCTGATCTTGTGATCTGCCCACCTCAGCCTCCCAAAGTGCTGGGATTACAGGAGTGAGCCACTGTGCCTGGCTTGAGTTGAAATCGTTACAGCTTTATATTTTGTGTCTTTGTTTTGTGTTCTCATGAGCAATTGTTTTTTTTTTGAAATGGAGTCTTGCTCTGTCGCCCAGGCTAGAGTGCAATGGCACGATCTCGGCTCACTGCAACCTCTGCCTCCTGGGTTCAAGCTATTCTCCTGCCTCAGCTTCCTGAGTAGCTGGGATTACAGGTGCGCACCACCACACCCAGCTAATTTTTATATTTTTAGTAGAGACAGTGTTTCACCATGTTGGTCAGGCTGGTATCCTGACCTCATGATCCACCCACCTCAGCCTCCCAAAGTGCTGGGATTACAGGTGTGAGCCACTGAGCCCTGCCTATCATAAGCAATTTGAAATCATTAGACAGGTTTCACAAACATTAGTTTGAAGGGCAGAGTCTATCATATAGGTTCATTATAATTTATTCACTCATTTCTCTTCTTGGGCATTTTTCTTGATCCAAATTTCAATCTCATAAACAATTTTGTCATAAGTATCATTTATCCATTCATTCATTTATCTGAGACAGACTCTTGTTCTGTTCTCCAGGCTGGAGCACAGTGGTGCAAGCACAGCTCACTTCAGCCTTGATCCTCCGGGCTCAACTGATCCTCCAGCCTCAGCCCCTCGAGTAGCTGGGACTATAGTTGCAGGCCACCTTGTCTGGCTAATTTTTTTGGTATTTTGTGTACAGACAGGGTTTGTCATCTTGCCCAGGCTAGTCTCCAACTGGGCTCATGCGACCCACCCACCCTAGTCTCCCAAAGCTCTTGGATTACAGGCATGGACCACTACACCTGGCCCACAAACATCTTTACTATAACCATGTTTCCATGTATTTCCAATTACTTTCTTAGGATAGAGATTTCTAGAAATAAGTCACAAGGCAGAGATACTTTTAGGCCAGGCATGGTGGCTTGTGACTGTAATCCCAGAACTTCGAAGACTGAAGTAGGAGAATAGCTTGAGGCCAGGAGTTGGAGGCTACCGTGAGCTATGAGCACGCCACTGCAATCCAGCCTGGGCAGAACAAGATCCTATCTCAATAGTTGTATTACATCTTTTTTTTCCTCTTAAAATAAGTTACGATAAACATCTTTTCTCTGCATTCATTTTCACATATCCTTAAGACACATTCCCAACAGTGGAATTCTGGAAAAAAATGTTTAAAACACCAACAGTAGGCCAGGTGCAATGGATCACGCCTGTAATCCCAGCACTTTGGGAGAGTGAGGCGGGCAGATCACAAGGTCAGGAGCTTGAGACCATCCTCGCTAACATGGTGAAACCCTGCCTACTGAAAATACAAAAAATTGGGCCGGGCGCGGTGGCTCACACCTGTAATCCCAGCACTTTGGGAGGCCGAGGCGAATGGATCACAAGGTCAGGAGTTTGAGACCAGCCTGACCAGTATTGTAAAACCCCGTCTCTACTAAAAATACAAAAAATTAGCCAGGCATGGTGGCGCGTGCCTGCAATCCCAGCTACTTGGGAGGCTGAGGTAGGAGAGTTGCTTGAACCCGGCAGGCGGAGGTTGCAGTGAGCCGAGATCATCGCGCCATTGCACTCCAGCCTGGGCGACAAAAGCAAAACTCCGTCTCAAAAAAAAAAAAAAAAGAAAATACAGAAAATTGGCCAGGTGTGGTGACATGCACCTGTAGTCCCAGCTACTCAGGAGGCTGCGGTGGGAAAATTGCTTGAACCGGGAAGGCAGAGATGGCAGTGAGCCGAGATCATGCCACTGTACTCCAGCCTGGACGAGAGTGAGACACTGTCTCAAAAAAAAAAAAAACATCGACAGTGTCTTGACAGATCACTCTCCCACAACACTGCTGCTCCACCACACCCAGCTAATTTTCTATTTTTTTTCTAGAAACATGTTCTTCAGGCAAAAACTCCTGGGCTCAAGTGATCCTTCACTTTTGGCCTCCAAAAGTGACAGGATTACAAGCAGAAGCCCCCTTGCCTGCCCAGCCCGGTTTACTGTTTTTTTTTTGAGATGGGATTTCGCTCTTGTTGCCCAGGCTACAGTGCAATGGCACGATCTTGGCTCACTGCAACCTCTGCCTCCCAGGTTCAAGTGATTCTCCTGCCTCAGCCTCCCGAGTAGCTGGGATTATAGGTGCCCAGCACCACGCCCGGCTAATTTTCAATTTTTAATAGAGATGGGGGTTTCTCCATGATGGTCAGGCTGGTCTCGAACTCCCGACCTCAGGTGATCTGCCCGCCTCAGCCTCCCAAAGTGCTTGGGTAAGAGGTGTGAGCCACAGGGCCCGGCCCTTGTTTACTCTAATTCTTTGAGTGAGGAGGACCTTTTTCTTTTCCACATGCTTATAAACACTGGTTATCAAATAGTTGTTTTTTTTTTTTTTTTTTTTGAGACGGAGTCTCGCTCGGTTGTCCAGGCTGGAGTGCAGTGGCACAATGTCGGCTCATTGAAACCTCCGCCTCCTGGGTTCCAGTGATTCTCCTGCCTCAGCCTCCCAAGTAGCTGGGACTACAGGTGCCCACCACCATGACCGGCTGATTTTTGTATTTTCGGTAGACACGGTGTTGTACTATTTGGCCAGGCTGGTGTTGAACTCCTGAACTCGTGATCTGCCCGCCTCGGCCTCCCGAAGTGCTGAGATTACAGGCATAAGCCACCTCGCCTGACCTAATTATTTTAATATGAGCCCCCTGTAAGGTCAAAAATGACTTTTAGGGAGTGGGAGATGCGGGTAGTTTTCAGGGAGTAACTCTTGTATATTGTACATTTTCACATAGGACAAAAAGGTCTCTGACCTGTTCTAGCTCTCTAACCCATTCTCTCAAGGCACATGCCACCACGCCTGGCTAACTCTGGCATTTTTTTGTAGAGACGGGGTTTCCCCATGTTGCCCAGGCTGGTCTTGAACTCCCGGGCTCAAGCAATCCTCCTGCCTCAGCCTCCCAAAGTGTTGAGATTACAGGCGTGAGCCACCACATGCCTGGCCAAGGCCACTATTTTAAATAGAATTTTTTTTTTTGAGACAGAGTTTCGCTCTGTCACCCAAGTAGAATAAAGTGCAATGGTGTGATCTCAGCACACTGCAACCTTCACCAACTGGGTTCAAGCCATTCTCCTGCCTCAGTCTCCCGAGTAGTTGGGATTAGAGGACAGCACCACCATGCCCAGCTAATTTTTGTATTTTTAGAAGAGGCAGCGTTTCACCATGTTGGCCAGGCTAGTCTTCAACTCCCGACCTCAGGTGATCCACCCACCTCAGCCTCCCAAATTGCTGGAATTACAGCTGTAAGCCACTGCACACGGTCCAGGAATTTATTCTTTATTGAGAATTGCATTCCTGTGTCAAATGAAACATCTCAGGTACCCCCCAAATATATACACCTATTATGTAGCCACAACAAATTTTTTAAATAGGCTGGGCGCAGTGGCTCACGCCTGTAATCTCAACACTCTGGGAGGCTAAGGCGGGTGGATCACCTGCGGTCAGGAGTTTAAGACCAGCCTGGCCAACATGACAAAACCCCGTCTCTACTAAAAATACAAAAATCAGCCAGGCGTAGCGATGTGCACCTGTAATCCCAGCTACTCAGGAGGCTGAGGCAGGAAAATCGCTTGAAACCAGGAGGCAGAGGTTGCAGTGGGCCGAGATCACACCACTGCACTACAGCCTGGGCAACAAGAGTGAGACTCTGTTTCAAAAAAAAAAAAAATTTTTTTTTTAAATAAATAAACAGAATTTACTTGAGGCCAGGTGCAGTGGCTCACGCCTATAATCACAACACTTTGGGAGGCCAAGGCAGGTGGATCACCTGAGGTCAGGAGTTTGAGACCAGCCTGACCAAAATGGTGAAACCTCATCTCTACTAAAAATATAAAAATTAGCTGGGCGTGGTGGCGGGTGCCTGTAATCACAGCTACTTGGGAGGCTGAGGCATGAGAAGAGAAGGAGGTTGCAGTGAGCCGAGATCATGCCACTGTACTACAGCCTGGGCGACAAGAGCAAAACTATATCTCCAAAAAAAAAAAAAAAAATTAGCCAGGCATGGTGGCAGGCACCTGTAATCCCAGCTACTCAGGAGGCTGAGGTAGGAGAATCGCTTGAACCCAGGAGGTGGAGGTTACAGTGAGCTAAGATCATGCCACGGCACTCCAGCCGAGGCAACAACAGTGACACTCCGTCTCAAAAAAAAAAAAGGAAGAATTTACTGTAAAACGTATTGACATCTTGTAATGCAAGCGGAGGGACCCTTTCCCTTGGGTTTTATATTTTTCACTGGCTCCCTCATCCCATGCTCAGTGCCTTCCCGGTCTTCACTCAAGAACCAGAATGGCATCAAACCCCTCTACTAACCTCTGGTCATACTAGCGATGGGTGATTAGGGATTAAAAAACAATTAAAATTGAGTGAGTTTAAATCATGTATTCTTACCAGGCACAGTGTAATCACACCTGTAAACCCAGCACTTTGGGAGAGTGAGGTGGGTGGATCACCTGAGGTCAAGAGTTCAAGATGAGCCTGGCCAACATGGCGAAACCACATCTCTACTAAAAATACAAAAATCAGCTGGGTGTGGTGGCGGGCACTTCTAATCTCAGCTACTTGGGAGGCTGAGGCAGGAGAATTGCTTAAACCCAGGAGGCGGAGGTTGCAATGAGCCAAGATTGCGCCACTGCATTCCAGCTTGGGCAACAGAGGGAGACTCTGTCTCAAAAAAACAGAAAAAAGAATCTTAAAAGGCTCCACTGGGGGCAACAACGAAAAAAAGCTGAAAAATGCTACTCTAAATGAATTTACTGGCCAGGCATAGTGGCTCACACCTGAAATCCCAATACCAGTGAGAGGCCAAGGTGGCAGGATCACTTGAGGGCAGAAGTTTGAGACCAGCCTGGGCAACATAGTAAAACCCTGTCTCAAAAAAAAAAAAAAAAAAAAAAAAAAAGGCCGGGTGTGGTGGCACACACCTATACCCGCAGCTACTCAGGAATCCGAGGCAGGGCTATCACTGAGCCGAAGAGGTCAAGGTTACAGCAAGCCATCATCACGCCACTGCCCTCCAGCCTGGGTGACAGAACAAGAACCTGTCTCAAAAATAAATAGGACAGGCGCGGTGGCTCACAGCTGTAATCCCAGCACTTTGGGAGGCCGAGGCAGGCGGATCACAAGGTCAGGAGATCGAGACCAGCCTGGCCAACATGGTAAAACCCCATCTCTACCAAAAATACAAAAATGAGCTGGGCATGGTGGCGCATGCCTGTCATCCCAGCTACTTGGGAGGCTAAGGCAGGAGAATCACTTGAACCAGGGAGTCGGAGGTTGCAATGAGCCAAGATGGTGCCACTGCACTCTAGCCTGGTGACAGAGCAAGACTCTGTCTCAAAATAAATAAATAAATAAAAATTAAAATAAATTAAATAAATAATTAGCCAGACATGGTCGTGTGCATCTGTAGTACTAGCTATTTAGGAGACTGTGGAAGAAGGATCACCTGAGCCCAGCAATTCACTTACAGTCAGCTATAATCATGCTGCTGCACTCCAGCCTGGGCAACAGAGTGAAACTCTGTATCAAAAAGAAAAAGAAGCTAGGCACGGTGGCTCAACCTGTAATCCCAGCACTTTGGGAGGCTGAGGCGGGCGGATCACCTGACGTTGAGAGTTCGAGACCAGCCTGATCAACATGGAGAAACACCATCTCTACTAAAAATACAAAATCAGCCGGGCATGGCGGCTCATGCCTGTATTCCCAGCTCCTCAGGAGGCTGAGGCAGAATTGCTTGAACCTGGGAGGAGTAGGTTGCAGTGAGCCAAGATCGCACTACTGCTCTCCAGCCTGAGCAACAAGAGTGAAACTCCGTCTCAAAAAAAAAAAAAGAATTTACTAATGTAGATAAAATAACACAACTACTGAGTACTAAAAAAATGCAAATTGAGATCAGAAAGAAATGCCATTTTACAACCACTAAACTGCAAAAATTAAACAGTCTGATAATACAAAGTGTTGGTGAGCGTGCAGACACTGCTATGGGACTTTACCAAATAGAAACAAGAAGACAACATTACAAAATTGTCTTGCGAGGATAAATACGGGTATCTCCTATAAACCAGCAATCCCTCTCCTAGGAATATACCCAAAATAAATCCTTATCCACGTGACAAGGAAGTTATGCAAAAATATTCATATTGTCTGCAGTAGCAAAACTAGAATCAATCTAAATGTCTATGAATAAAGCAAAGATCGTTTGAGAATTATTCAAGCAGCAATGAAAACTATATGCAACAACCTGGGCAAACAGAAACATGATACTGAACCAAAAAAATCTAATTTTAAAGACTCTACACTATGAAACCATTCAAAACTAAGCAAAAATAAACACTGTTCAAGGACTCATAAAAATGTAATTAAAATTTTTAAAAGCAACAAAATGAGATAACACATATTATCATTTAGGACACTGACAGGACGCTGGACACAACATATAAACAGTACTGGCTGTATTCTAGCTCTGAGCTTGAGTGGCAGGATAACAAGCAACTACCTTATTATTTTGCTTCATAACTTACGTATGTTACATTTTTCTTGTTAGTTCAATATTGGGTTCTTCGCAGTAGGAATAAATCAACATTAAATAAAACTTACATCTAATTCAAAAAACAGGTCTCTTTCTTTACTTGCAATCTCATAATCTGCTCGGAGGGCCAAGTCGTGGATTTTGGTACATTCTCCTAAATCCATGCGCTGTGGGAAAGAAACAGAAAATGCAGACCTCAGTGCCTACCTACTGTAGAAAGCACACAACGCGACTTGGTGTTTCAACTGTCACCAACAGAAATGATCACTTTTGGAACACTGACACTGCAATAAGAAAATTAAGAAAGGAGATATGGCTGAGAAGCCTCATTTCACTTTTACCATCGTGACTACGTGATACTTGAAACTGATGCATTTAATAGTGTAAAGTTTCTATTTTAGACCCAGAGATAATTGGACTGTAATCATCACAACTACATTAATTGGCTTTTGCCAGTTTTTAAGGAGTCTCACCTGTCACCCAGGCTGGAGTACAGTGGCGCGACCTCAGCTTACTGTAACCTCTGCCTCCGGGGTTCAGGCAATTCTCCTGCCTCATTCTCCCAAGTAGCTGGGATTACAGGCACGTGATACCACACCCAGCTAATTTTTTTTTTTTTTTTTTTTTTTTTTTTTTGTATTTTCAGTAGGGACAGGGTTTCGCCACGTTGGCCAGGCTGGTCTTGAACCTCTGACCTCAAGTGATACACCCACCTTGGCCTCCCAAAGAGCTGGCATTACAGGTGTGAGCCACGGTGCCTGGCCCAGTTTTATTTATGCATCAGTCCAAGGATTCAGTAAATGGCAGCATGTGGGGTGGCAGGGATAGGAAACGGCCAGGGCTGGGCGTGGTGGCTCACGCCTGTAATCCCAGCACTTTGGGAGGGTGAGGCAGGCGGATCACTTGAGGTCAGGAGTTCAAGGCCAGCCTGCCCAACATGATAAAACCCAGTCTCCACTAAAACTACAAAAATTAGCCAGGTGTGGTGGCAGGGCACCTGTAATCCCAGCTACCTGGGGAGCTGAGACACAAGAATCGCTTGAACCCAGGAGGTGGAGTTTGCAGTGAGCCAAGACTGTGCCACTGCACTCCAGCCTGGGTGATAAAGTGAGACTCTGTCTCAGAAAAGGGGAAAAAAAAAAGGAAAGGGCCAGAAAACAGTCTCACTGCAACAAATTTCTAGGCATTGTCTTGCAATCTTGACTACTTGAGATGCTCGATGCTTAAGATGCAGAGACAGAGGAAGAGGAAAGAGCGGACAGAAGTTAGATTTTGGCAATTACATCACAACCTAACACTTGGCTTTGTGTAGCTGATTGTGTATCAAAGGGAATAAAGGAGAACAGGCTGGTTCGTAGCCAAATACATGCTCTACACATTTTCTTAGCCTGGGAAATGACCCTGGACATCTAAGTGAGGACAGATAATTGTCCCACTCAGTTCCTCCATTTGACAAGCAAAACGTTCCATTACTAAAACAAAATGATTTATGTTGTCAGTAAGAACAGCATGATGTGCTATTATGTGTACCATATGCAGTACAATTAGAAAACAGTGTATGATTTTAATCTAAATCCTAAGTATAGGACTCTATGCAGACACCTTCTGCCTCTCGCCATCTACACAGCAACAGGGAGGTTTGTGTGCTGAGGATCATCGTGTCAAGTTATAGAGTGCATGTTAACAAAACCCAACATCCCAACTAGGAGACACCCCCAGTAGGACAAAAGAACATGTCTACATAACCAGAAAAAAAAAAAAAAAAAGACGTTAGTACCAGTTGCAGTGGCACATGTCTGTAATCCCAACACCTTTGGGAGGGCAAGATGGGAGGATCACTTGAGCCCAGGAGTTTGAGACCAGCCTGGGCAACATAGCAAGACCCTGTCTCTATGAAAAAATTAACAATTAGCTGGGTGTGGTGGTATGTGCCTGTAGTCCCAGCCACTTGGGAGGCTGAGGGGAAGAGATCGCTTGAGCCTAGGAGGTCAAGGCTTCAAGTGAGCTGTGACTGAGCCACTGCACTCCAGTCTGAGCAACAGAGACCCCTGTCTTTTTAATTTTTTTTTTTTTTTGAGATGGAGTTTCGCTCTTGTTGCCCAGACTGTAGTGCAATCTCGGCTCACCGCAACCTCCGCCTCCCAGGTTCAAGCGATTCTCCTGCCTCAGCCTCCCAAGGAGCTGGAATTACAGACATGTGCCACCACGCCCAGCTAATTTTGTATTTTCAGTAGAGATGGGGTTTCTCCATGTTGGTCAGGCTGGTCTCGAACTGCTGACCTCAGGTGATCCACCCACCTTGGCCTCTCAAAGTGCTGGGATTACGAGCGTGAGCCACCTCGCCCAGCTTTTTAAAGAGACCCCGTCTTTTAAAAAAAAAAAAAAAAAAAGAAAGGAAGGCTTTAAACCTTTAATCCATCTTGAGGGGGAAAAAAATAGAGAGGCTTGCATGTCTGACTCTTGGGATGCAGTCTCATAGAAAGCATGTAGCATGCTAGGCTGGGCACGGTGGCTCACTCCTGTAATCCCAGCACTTTGGGAGGCCGAGGCGGGCGGATCACGAGGTCAGGAGATCAAGACCATCCTGGCCAACACAGTGAAACCCCTTCTCTACTAAAAATACAAAAAAAATTAGCTGGGCGCCTGTAGTCCCAGCTACTCAGGAGGCTGAGGAAGGAGAATGGCATGAACCAGAGAGGCAGAGCTTGCAGTGAGTCAAGATCGCACCACTGCACTCCAGCCTGAGCGACAGAGCGAGACTCCGTCTCAAAAAAATAAAATAAAATAAAATAATAGATAAAAAAAGAAAGCACGTGGCATACTCACTAACAAAACATCCTTCAGTATCACCAATAATAAAGCTAACATGGAGGCGGCAGACAACGGGTCTGCCTTGTATGGTGATGTTTATTTTGACGAAAGATTGACTTTTCTCCTTTATCATTCTTACTCTGAAGTCAGATGGGACTCACGTTATGGTCGGTTACATAGAAGACTTAGAGATAGGACAATAGTGGTTCTAGAAGCCAAATTTGCACTTAAAATCACTGTCACTGAAAATCTGACAACTTTTACCTCATTCACTCTGTTTTTTCTTTTTTTTTTTTGAGGCGGAGTCTCACTCTGTCGCCCAGGCTGGAGTGCAGTGGCACGATCTCAGCTCACTGCAACCTCTGCCTCCCAGATTCAAGTAATCCTCCTGCCTCAGCCTCCCGAATAGCTGGGACTACAGGGGCACGCCACCACGCCCGGCTAATATTTTTGTATTTTTAGTAGAGACAGGTTTTCATCATGTTGGCCAGGCTGGTCTCAAACTCCTGACCTCAAGTGATCCACCCGCCTCCTCCTCCTCCTCCCGAAGTGCTGGGATTACAGGTATGAGCCACCGCACCTGGCCTCATTCACTCTTCTAAGTTGTGGGTGTTGTCCTTTAAAATATATAGTTTCCACAAACTAAGCATTGTAGCTGAAAAATGAATGGCAGCTATCAGAAAAAATGCTTTAAACTAATCAAGGCTTTGTTGTTCAAAGAAAAAGCTACTACCAAAGGAAGCAGACCCTAAAACCTGAAGTACAACAAAGTATGAAGTACAAATTGATTTCCATTATAAAAAACTCAACTGTCAAGAAAGATATGACATTAGAAAACCTCATGAGGCCGAGCGCGGTGGCTCATGCCTATAATCCCAGCACTTTGGGAGGCCGAGGAGGGCGGATCACCTTAGGTCAGAAGTTCGTGACCAGCCTGGCCAACGTGGTGAAACCCCGTCTCTACTAAAAATACAAAAATTAGCCGGGTGTGGTAGCGCACGTTTGTAATCCCAGCTACTCGGGAGGCTGAGGCAGGAGAATTGCTTGAGCCCGGGAGGCGGAGCTTGCAGTGAGCTGAGATGGAGCCATTACATTCCAGCCTGGGCAACAAGAGCGAAACTCAGTCTCAAAATAAAAAAAAAAGAAAACCTCATGAGGCCAGGCGCGGTGGCTCATGCCTGTAATCCCAGCACTTTGGGAGGCAGAGGTGGGTGGATCACCTGAAGTCAGGAGTTTGAGACCAGCCTGGCCAACATGATGAAACCCCATCTCTACTAAAAATACAAAAAAAATTAGCCAGGTGTGGTGGCGGGCGCCTATAATCCCAGCTACTCAGGAGGCTGAGGCAGGAGAGTTGCTTGAACCCAGGAGACAGAGGTTGCAGTGAGCAGAGATAGCACCATGCACTCCAGCCTAGGCAACAGAGTGAGACTCCGTCTGAAAAAAAAAAACCTCACATGAAGCAAAATTCAGCACTTACTTTTCAATGTGAGAGCTCCCAAAAGAGTCCCTGCTTAAGCACACTGAGGATAGGCTTGGGTTCTATGATTACCCTCTTTGGATGTAGCTTTTCAGCTTTGCCAAGGAGGCAGGGAAAAATACTACTGGCCATTCCCCTGGATGCCCAACATCAAGCAGAGCTGAAATATCACATTCATTAAGTCCTTCCACAATATTCCACATGGCTGCTAAATCCAGTGTGTCAGGCGTTTTTTACTCCACAACCTGTGTTCTCTTCTGTACCTTCTACTGGTCTAACACTACTGACCAGGAAGGGCACCAAAGTTTCCGGAACCTTCAGAAAACACAGTTCTGGCCGGGCGCAGTGTCTCATGCCTGTAATCTCAGCACTTTGGGAGGCCAAGGTGGGTGGATCACGAGGTCAGGAGCTCCAGACTAGCCTGGTCAACATGGTGAAACCCCGTCTCTACTGAAAATACAAAAGTTAGCCGGGCGAGGTGGTGCATGCCTGTAATCCCAGCTACTCGGGAGGCTGAGGCAAGAGAATGGCTTGAACCTGGGAGGCAGAGGTTGCGGTGAGCCACGATCACATCACTGCACTCCAGCCTGGGCAACAAGAGCGAAACTCCGTCTCTTTTTTTTTTTTTTTTTGAGACAGAGTTTTGCTCTTGTTGCCCAGGCTGGAGTGCAATGGCTCGATCTCGGCTCACCACAACCTCTGCCTCGCGGGTTCAAGTGACTCTCCTGCCTCAGTCTCCTGAGTAGCTGGGATTACAGGCATGCGCCACCACACCCAGCTAATTTTGTATTTTAATAGAGACAGGGTTTATCTATGTTGATCAGGCTGGTCGCCAACTCCCAACCTCAGGTGATCCACCCGCCTCGGCCTCCCAAAGTACTGGGATTACAGGCGTGAGCCACCGCACCCAGCCTGAAATTCTGTCTCAAAAAAAAAAAGAAAAGAAAAGAAAAGAAAAGAAATACTCTCACTCAGATTATTTTTCTCACCAGTATTCTGCAGCTATGCTACACAGGGTCTGGCCAAGGAAAACATGGTTGAAATCTTCCCGAGAGTGCACATCTATCTGCTCCCTCTGACTTCCTTCACTATGGGTTTATCAAGAATTCCAAGTTGTGCATCCTATGAAAATACCCTACAGTGAAACTTCCTTTGACGAGTTGAAATCATTAATCTGTATTGACCTCGGTACACACAACAATCTGCATCAAACAGTAACGTTTTCCCATCCCAGGCCAAACAGCAGACAACACCCCAAGGAACAGAGGCACAAGGTTTGGCATTCATTTCGCATTTGCTGTCAGAAAACTCAGCTTGAGAAGTTTTAATACATCTGAGCGGTTTTCCAGAAGGTGCTCCTCCCTAATATAAGCAATGATTCATCATGAAGAAAACTTCCTTTAACATATGCACATTTCATCCTTAAAATGAGAGGATAGTTTTTAACCTCCGTGAGGTAGCTGTGAAACCTTAAAATGGGGGTGGTCTCTACAGGACTCCTTTTCTCTCAGTGGCGTAATCACCACAGATAACCTTCCACTATTCAGTCTTTTCAAATTCTTACTTCGAATAAATGCACATTATACAAAGCTAGCGTTTATCTGTTTTGTTCATCTGAAGTGAACTTAAAATTGTAGGGTTCTATATTCATTAGATAGCATGTTGATTTCTTGAAGGGGTGGCACAACACAAAACTACAAAATCAATGTATCCTCAACTGATTTTTAAAAACCAAAAAATTGCGGGAAGAAAATGTACCTTGCTAGATCAAAAGTTTTCCACACAACCAACTTGAGGTCAAACAAACCCACGCAGAATCTTCAAAGAACTTCAGGCTGACCTAAAGCATATTTTTTGCTACAGCCAAATTAGAATACTTGCCCTATTTAGTTGTGAATATCTCAGTATAAATGACTTTACAAAAAATCTGGTAACTTTACAGACAGAATTTTACAACAGTGAAATTTGTTCCATAATATAAAATCCTACCAAATGAATAGAATCTATCATTTTAAGGGCATCAGGGATTTCTGCCTGTTGAAGAGTGGAGGATTGAGAAAGGAGCAGTGGCTCATGCCTGTAGTACCAGCTGCTCAAGAGGCTGAGGTGGTAGGATTGCTGGAGCCCAGGAGTTCAAGGCTGCAGTGAGCTGTGATCACACCACTGCACTTCAGCCTGGGCAACACAGAGTGACACTCCATCGCATGCATGCATGCAAACATACATACGAGTGGAGGAACACCTGCCATAATTAAGCCACTTAGAGAAAAAGAGACTTAAGTTAAAACAAAATTCAACATAGAAAAACCGTCACTGCCTATACAGCACTCATGTCAGAGTGTTCCATGAGGTCCCCCAAAATGCACCTACCGTCCCAGCCAGGATGTCATGGGGGCAGCAGTCCAGAAGGTGACTCTTGCAGACACGGTCATCTGTAAACTTGACCCTCTGTCTGGTTTCGTCTCCTGAAATTCATTTGTGGTTTTAAATAAGACAATATTATCACATTAACCACCAAAAAATAACTAGTATAACAATTCACCTGGATGATTTGCAGACTATCATTTCTGTGTTCTCCCCATCAAATGCAATGAAAAGCTGATCTAAAGATATTTACAACTGGAGTGGAATACACATTTTTTTGAGGCTAGTTATATCATGGAGAATCACACTTAATGAGATCTGACTCCATCACTGTACCAAAGAAGTCAAGGAGTCAGACGTAAACAGCTGAGCACCAAAAGGCCATTGGCTCCACATATACATGTGGCAATGAGACTGCAAAACCCAAGCTAATCAGAGGTCCATGAACCACCAAGGGTGACTTATAGAGCTGGTAATTTCCACCAACAAAAGCTACTTATTAATCTAATCTTTTTGTTATGAACAAATGCAGAGGCAGTATTTTGCCCAAAATTGAATGAAGAAGAAAGCTTTCAAACTCTATCGAAGACTGTTAAATAATCTAGATCTATTCTTCCTACGTCCCTTTCGTTCCCACCCTTAAAAAAGAGAGTTGCTACCTGGGAGTCACTTTTAACAAGACAATACCAAAAAAAGCAAAAAAGGAACTAGGTTAGTCAATACACACTGTGAGCTCCAACACATACTGTACCCATCTGCATTCTTCAAGACCTCAGCTGCAGAATTTTATGCCCGCTGTTGAAAAGTGTTAAAGGAAAAGTTTTCTTGCCCACACCTGCAGTAAGGAAGTCGGGGGAATGATACATAAAAGTAAAGGTAAAGTGGTATGTGACAAATTTTAAAGCTAGTCTGTGTATACAACACAGAGCTGTGCAACGCTAGAGGAGGAATATATTTTAGGATTTGCAAGCATCCAGGATTAATGTAGTGTCTTTTTATTGAAAATGTTTTCTTTCTAAACTACACTTTTAAAGTTACTTGTGAAAAAAAGCAAACACTTTTTTGTTATAACAGCTTAGAAATTGGTTGTGACTCACGGCTCGATGAACATGAGGCTTTCTGCAACTCCCTTGCAGATTGATGTAGGCAGGCAAAGATACACTGAACCTTTATAAATAAAATAGAGGGGCCACAATTGTTCAGTTTGTATGAAATAAAAATATGGGAAGCAATTCAAAAGCAACTCAATATACAAAGAAAGCTAAAAAGCACTTATTCACCTATGAAATAAAGTGCAAATAATCTGCACAGCCCTGAGAATGTGCCAGTGTGAACTTACAACTTCATTACTCAGCAGAAAAGAAAACACAAACCACAGCAGGTATATAGTTTTGCAAAGATGCAACCGCTTTCTCCTGTGACAACCATCATGATCTTGAGCTCCTCCCTACACAGTACAACCTACCTAACGACTGTCAAGCGCTGGCTACACAGAGGCTCTCCTGTGTGCTGGGGGGAAGGGGGCAGCTGGAAAAGTACTTGGCAGAAACCCACGTTAGAAAAGCTCAGTTTACGGTTCCCCTTGCAATGGTACAGAACCAGAGCGGGCCAGGTTTTCGAGGCCCATCCGGCTCCCTCGGGTGTAGCTTCTTCCCAAGGAGCCTCGGAAGAGTTCTGCCACCCGGCTGCCAGCGACCTGGAGCCCACGCTGATTCCAGCCCTCCGCCGACTCCACAGTTCGCGGAGGGGCACGGAGCCGCGGCGCCCGCCGGGGAGGAAGTAGCAGGACGGTACATAGGAAGGAGGCTGAAGCCCCATCCATGGCGCAGACTCCGAGAGAGGAGCCCGACCTGGACCCACGGCCGCCTCAGAGACGCACCGGCTTAGACAAAGGCCCGGCGCCTGCGGTCGGAGCGCGGGGGAGGAGGAGCGATGCCCCGCGCAGGCGCAGGCGCAGACGATCGCGGCCCCCGCCTCAGGCCGCCCGGCGGCCTCGCCTCACTCCCACCCCAGACCCTCGCCTGGTTGGCCGCTCTGACTCACCGTCCCGAGCCGTGCCCATGAGCTGGTCCAGCAGGGCCCGCATCTGCGCCTGGGCGGACATGGTAGCCGGCGGAGGCGACGGGGTCGGCCGCGACGACTTCTCTCAGGCAGGCGGTGGCAGCGGCGTCGACAAACGATGGTCGCGTCGGCCTCGAGCCCACTCGGCTCTTTCCCGCCGCGGGGGACGCCGGGAGGAAGTACGACGGCGCCGGCGCACGCCCTGCTGGGAAATGTAGTTTCTGGGGTGGGTGCTTAGGGAGGCTGAGGCTCTGAGTGGTCGCAAGTTGTCCAACGGCGGAACCAAAATCCCAACCCTGATTTTACTCTAGACCCCCAGGACCTCAAACGAGTCTCTACGGAGGGTAAACTACAATAAAATGAAATACAGTCAATCAAAAACAAGATGAATCCGTGCTTTTTCTAAGCTAGCCATGAAACCGTGAGCATATTATTTAGCTCCCCGACGCTCGTTTTTTTAAATCTGTGAAATGAGGGTTCTAAAGGTGCCCCTCATATGATTTTTGTGAAAGTTAAATAAAGCATGGAATTTTATTTATTTATTTATTTATTTATTTAGAGCGAGGGTCTTGCTCCGTCGCCCAGGCTGGAATGCAGTGGCGCGATTACCGCTCACTGCAGCCTCGACCTCCCCGGCTCCTTATCCTCCCGCCTCAGCCCGGCAAAGTATTGGGATTACTGGTGTGAACCACCACGTTTGGCCATCAGTCATGGCATTAATATTAGGTTCTATGATTACAACCTCGTGGTCGTCCTTTTGTGAGCTCATGGTCTACTGTCCCAGGGACTAAAGAAAAGGCATATGTAAGCAGTTATTTTATGTGATAATAGAATTATAGCATGCACTTATGTGTGCATAGTCTGGCATATACTTCTATTATATTAAACCTCTATTATTTATTTATTTATTTTTGAGACGGAGTTTCGCCCAGGCTAGAGTGCAATGGCGCGATCTTGGCTCTCCGCAACCTCCGCCTCCTGGGTTCAAGCGATTCTCCTGCCTCAACCTCCCAAAGTGCTGGGATTACAGGCATGAGCCACCACGCCCGGTCTTTATTTTTTATTTGTTTATTTTTTTTTTGAGACGGAGTCTTGCTCTGTCACCCAGGCTGGAATGCTGTGGCGCGATCTCGGCTCACTGTAAGCTCCGCCTCCCGGGTTGAAGCGATTCTCCTGCCTCAGTCTCCCCAGTAGCTGGAATTTCAGGCGCCCGCCACCCCCTCCGGCTAATTTTTGAATGTTAAGTAGAGACGGGGTTTCACCATGCTGGCCAGGCTGGTCTCAAAGTCTTGACCTCAAGTAGCCAGCCACCATGCCCAGCTGATTTTTGTATTTTCGGTAGACACGGTGTTGTACCGTATTGGCCAGGCTGGTCTTGAACTTCTGACCTTGTGATCTGCCTGCCTCGGCCTCCCAAAGTGCTGAGATTACAGGCGTGAGCCACCGCGCCCTGCCGTATTTTATTTATTTTTGAGACGGAGTCTCCCTCTGTCGCCCAGCCTGGAGTGCAGTGGCGCGATCTCGGCTTCCTGCATCCTCTGACTCCTGGGTTCAAGCGATTCTCTTGTCTCAGTCTCCCCAGTAGCTGGGATTACAGGCACCCGCCATCATTCCCGACTAACTTTTTTTTTGTACTTTTGCAGAGACGGGGTTCCGCCATGTTGGCCAGGCTGGTCTTAAACTCCTAACCTCAGGTGATCCGCCCACCTCAGCCTCCCAAAGTCCTCGGATTACAGCTGTGAGCCAGAACGCCAGGCCCCTGCTCTCTATTTAAAATAAATAAATAGGGTGTCCGTTGGGCTGCTCGGGTCGGATTCCGCGGTGCCAGCCCTTCCCCATGGCCGACCCTGAGAAGTTGCAGGTTTCTTCGCCGCCCCCGCCGCCTCCTTCTCCCTCCTCTTCAGACGCCTCTGCAGCATCTTACCCTGGCAGCCCAGTGAGTTTGGGCTGGCCAGTTCCGAGCAGGAGCAGCGGCCGAACGGTGGACCCGCTGGAGGAAGTGGGGCTGCAGATCGGAGACGCAGCCTTTTCATTAACCAAACTTCTTGAAGCCACATCTGCAGTATCAGCTCAAGTGGAAGAACTTGCCTTCAAATGTACAGAAAAGGCACGTTTCCTTAAAACGTGGCGGGACCTATGGAAAGAAGGCTATGATTCTTTGAAACCTGATGACTAATTTGGCATACTTCGTTGTTTAATAATGACTGCAATAATTCATACTTCTTCTTATGTCATATTTGTACGTGTACCACACGTATAGGATGACCTCTGTCCAGCAGTTCTGTATATACTCAGAATGAATTTTTTCTTGGTTTTCTTGGCTTTTCTGAAAGCAGAATACCGATGCTATTTTTGTTGCGGACCAGTACTTGTTTGTCCTTACATACTTCATGCCTCTGAACTTTCGTAGAATCCTTTATGAAAGTTAACTTCATCAATAGATGGTTAATATTAATAGAGCCACAGGGCTACCAGCAGCAAACTAGGTGGACCATTATTTGTTTTGAAACAAGATGCTAAGCATGGCAGAGTTTGAAGTTGCATTTCATCTTAAGGACCAAGGGAGGTAACTTTAAGGTTGCCAGTGGTGGATCCAGCTCCATTAGGCTACGTTGTCTACAGCTAATGATTGTGCTTCATTCTGTATCCCCAGCACCTAAAACAGGGTCACACAACACTCACTGTTGGTTGAATACAAGAATTAACAAACATAAAAATAAATAAATAAATATAGGCCGGGTGTGGTGGCATGTGCCTCTAGTCCCAGCCACTCGAAGCTGAGGTTGGAGGATGGATTGAGCCTGGGTGGTTGAGGTTGCAGTAAGCTGTGATCACACCACTGCATGGCAGCCTGGGCAAAAGAACGAGACCCTGTCTTGGCCAGGCACGGTGGCTCACACCTGTGATCCCAGCACTTTGGGAGGCCAAAAAAAAAAAAAAAGAATGAGACCCTGTCTCAAAAATGAAATTAAAACTTAAAAAACATGCCAGGCTGGGGGCAGTGGCTCATGCCTGTAATCCCAGCACTTTGGGAGGCCGAGGCAGGCGATCACCTGAGGTCAGGAGTTTGAGGCCAGACTGACCAACATGGAGAAACCCCATCTCTACTAAAAATACAAAATTAGCCAGGCGTGATGACGCATGCCTGTAATCCCAGCTACTCGAGAGGCTGAGGGAGGAGAATTG
Organism: Homo sapiens; assembly: GCF_000001405.40. Taxonomy (NCBI): domain Eukaryota; kingdom Metazoa; phylum Chordata; class Mammalia; order Primates; family Hominidae; genus Homo; species Homo sapiens. Next base: position 232,483 of record NC_000016.10, read on the forward strand.
CTTGAACCTGGGAGGCAGAGGTTGCGGTGAGCCGAGAATGCATCATTGCACTCCAGCCTGGGCAACAAAAGCAAAACTCCCTCTCCCCCCGGCCAAAAAAAAGGCCGATCACAGTGGCTCACGCCTGTAATCCCAACACTTTGGGAGGCCGAGGTGGGTGGATCACAAGGTCAGGAGTTCAAGACCAGCCTGGCCAACATGGTGAAATCCTGTCTCTACTAAAAATACAAAAAAACTAGCCTGGTGTGGTGGCACACGCCTGTAGTTCCAGCTACTCAGGAGGCTGAGGCAGGAGAATCACTTGAACCCAGGAAGCGGAGGTTGCAGTGAGCCAAGATTGTGCCGCGGCACTCCAGCCTGGGCGATAAAGGGAGACTCCATCTCAAAAAAAAAACAGGCCGGGAGTGGTCTATTTTGACACTCCACCTCAAAAAAATTAATTAATTAAAAAATAAAATTTAAATTTTAAAAAATCATTTCACAAATGATAATTTAATATGATTGCTGCCCTGGAAGGGGGAAAAAAGACTTACTCTAAGAATACAACAAAGACTGTTCATGGGCTAGAAGCATCAAAAGTCCAGACACGGTTAGACAAGTTTTGTTTTCATTTATTTTGAGACAGAGTCTCACTCTGTCGCCCAGGCTGGAGTGCAGTGGCGCGATCTCAGCTCACTGCAAGCTCCGCCTCCGAGGTTCACACCATTCTCCTGCCTCAGCCTCCCAAGTAGCTGGGACTATAGGCGCCCGTCACCACGCCTGGCTAATTTTCTTGTATTTTTAATAGAGACGGGGTTTCACAGTGTTAGCCAGGATGGTCTAGATTTCCTGACCTTGAGATCCACCCACCTCGGCCTCCCAAAGTGCTGGGATTATAGGCATGAGCCACTGTGCCCGGCTGACAAGTTTTAAATAATGTTTTAAGGCATGACTTTGCTTCCAATTGGCCATTTGAACAAAGCAATTAAATCATCTGAATTACGCACCTACCAAACTGCCACAGTTACTAGAAATCAGACAACTGCCAGGCACAGTGGCCCATGCTTGAAATCCCAGCACTTTGGGAGGCCAAAGCAGGAGATCACTTGAGTCCAGGAGTTCAAGACCAGCCTGGTTAATATGGCAAAACCCCATGTCTACAAGAAAGGAAAAAAATTAGCTGGGCATGGTGGCTTACAGCTGTAGTCCTAGCTACTCCGGAGGCTGAGGTGAGAAGATCACTTGTGCCTGGGAAGCAGAGGTTGCAGTAAGCTGTGATCCCGCCACTGCACTTGAGCCTGAGGGACAGAGGGAGACCCCATCCTTTTTTTTTTTTTTTTGAGACGGAGTTTCACTCTAGTTGCCCAGGCTGGAGTGCAATGGCAAGATCTCAGTTCACCGCAAACTCTTGCCTCCCAGGTTGAAGCAACTCTCCTGCCTCAGCCTCCCGAGTAGCTATGATTACAAGCACGCGCCACCAAGTCCAGCTAATTTTGGATTTTTAGTAGAGACTGGGTTTATACATGTTGGTCAGGCTGGTCTTGAACTCCCGACCTCAGGTGATCCACCTGCCTCGGCCTCCCAAAGTGCTGGGATTACAGGCATGAGCCCCTAGCCTTTTTTTTTTTTTTTTTTTTTTTTTTTTTTGAGACACGGTCTGGCTCTGTCGCCCAGGCTGGAGTGCAGTGGCGCAGTCTAAGCTCACTGCAACCTCCGCCTCCTGGGTTCACGCCATTCTCCTGCCTCAGCCTCCTGAGTAGCTGGGACTACAGGCGCCCGCCACCACGCCTGGCTAATTTTTTGTATTTTTAGTAGAGACGGGGTTTCACAGTGTTAGCCAGGATGGTCTCGATCTCCTGACCTTGTAATCCGCCCGCCTCGGCCTCCCAAAGTGCTGGAATTACAGGCGTGAGCCACCGCCCCCGGCCCTGGCACCGTATTTCAAGGCCGAAAATTCGCATCCTCAGTGCCAGCAATTCTCCTCGTGGTCAAAGAGGAGAAACACTGGGGAGAGCACCCGGAAGCGGGGGCGAGGACGCAGATCGGGGGTCGACGTCAAGAAAGAAGGCGGGAAGAGGACAAGGTCGGGAGAGGAGGAGGAGGGGAGCGAGGACGCAGAGAAGGAGGGGAAAGAGGACGGAGAGGAGCGAGGACGGAGGGGGGACGGGAACGAAGAGGGGCGAGGACGTTCAGCATCCATTGCGACAGCGACAAACAGGACACCGCCAGGTTCCCGGCGGAGGCAGCGCCCAAGATCCCCGTTGCCGAGCAACCGAAGCATGGCGGTGGGGCGGGGTCGGAGCCTGCGCATTTCCGCCCCCGCCCGCCCGGCTGGTCGGAAGTGACGCCAGGGGGCGGGGCCAGCGGCGCGGTCGGGTGAGAGGCCGCGGCGGCAGGTGAGTGAGCGCGGCCTCGTACTCGCGCGTGCACGCCGCAGGGGCGCCGCAGGCCGCCCCTTCGCTCTGGGACCCCGGCCCCCAGGTTCCCCAGTCCCTCGGCCCCTGGAGGACCCCGCCGTGCTGCCCCCTAGCTCCTCCGCCTTCCCGAGTCGGGTGCGGGCCGGGAGGCTGCGGCGGGGCCCCAAGTCCCTCAGCGGGTCGGCAGCAGCGCCTCTGGAGGCTGATTCTTTCGGGTTTCCCCCATTGCCGCAGCCTGGGTTTCAGTGGCATTCAGAACAAGCCCACATGTTCCTCAAAGCGGGGTTTTACCTCCCGGTAGGGAGCTCCCCGCCGTGGCGCAGCGTAGGTGAGCCGGCCGTGGTCGCTTTCGCTCTTGGTGCCGCCTGGGTTGCCTGAGAGTGTTTTTTTATGGTGGAAGAATGTGGATGAGAAGCCTCACGGGGGTCGGAGAGGCGTGTCCTCTCTCGGGACGCTGTCTGCAAGCTTGTCCGTCCGGCACCCCGGGAAAGCTCCCCGAGCGCAGCCGAGGTTGCTCGTCTGTGGGAGGGACTCAGGCATAGAACACAAAACAGAGGCTAGATGGGAGGAAAACACTGGGATTAGCGTTCCTGGCTCTCCCCTACGTTCGTTGGCCGAGAGTTGTCAAGGAGAGAGTTTGCCCTTGGACAGACTGATAGGATATCAGGGTAGGCAATTTCACTTACTCTCTGGTTCTAAACCTTGTGATTCCAGCTGAGGAGGCTGTGACGCGCTCCCTTCCATGTACTGGCTGCCGGTGTCTTTACGGCGCCAGCATCAGATTACACTACTTCCCTTATTGCAATTTCAGTCTGCATCCAATTAGAGCAGAATAACTCAACAAATACTCTCCGAGTGTCTGCTGGGAACCAGGGATGGTTGTAGGAGCTAAGGATATAGTACTCCACGAAAGAACTTCCTGTCCTCAAGGAGCTTCTATTCTACTGGAGGGTACAGATAGTAAATTAGATAAATAAAAAATGGAGCTTGCTGGGCCGGCGCGGTGGCTCACGCCTGTCATCCCAGCACTTTGGGAGGCCGAGGCAGGCGGATCACCTGAGGTCAGGAGTTCGAGACCAGCATGGCCAACATGGTGAAATCCCGTCTCTACTAAAAATAAAAAAATTAGCTGCGTATGGTGGCAGGTGCCGGTAATCCCAGTTACTCGGGTTCAAGCGATTCTCCCCACTCAGCCTCCCAAGTAGCTGTGATTACAGGTGCCCGCCACCACACCCAGCTAATTTTTTTTATTTTTTATTTTTAGTAGGGGTTTCACCATGTTGGCCAGGCCAGTCTCAAACTCCTGACCTCAGGTGATCCACTCGCCTCGGCCTCCCAAAGTGCTGGGATTACAGGTGTGAGCCACCGCAACTGGCCCTCTTTTTTTCCTTTTGCTCCACCCTCCTGAGTATCTGGGACTACAGGCATGTGCCACCATATTTATTTTTCTTAAAAATTTTTTTTGGGTGGGCGCAGTGGCTCATGCCTGTAATCCCAGCACTTTGGGAGTTTGGGGTAGGCGGATCACTAGGTCAAGAGATCGAGACCATCCTGTCCAACATGGTGAAATCCCGTCTCTACTAAAAATATAAAAATTAGCTGGGTGTGGTGGCGCACACCTGTAGTCCCAGCTACTTGGGAGGCTGGGGCAGGAGAATAGCTTGAACCCGAGAGGCAGAGGTTGCAGTGAGCCGAGATTGCACCACTACGCTCTGGAGACATAGCGAGACTGTCTCAAAATAAATAGGCCGGGCGCGGTGGCTCACGCCTGTAATCCCAGCACTTTGGGAGGGCGAGGCGGGCGGATCACGAGGTCAGGAGATCGAGACCATCGTGGCTAACACGGTGAAACCCCGTCTCTACTAAAAATACAAAAAATTAGCCGGGCGAGGTGGCGGGCGCCTGTAGTCCCAGCTACGCGGGAGGCTGAGGCAGGAGAATGGCGGAAACCCCGGGGGGCGGAGCCTGCAGTGAGCCGAGATCGCGCCACTGCACTCCAGCCTGGGCCACAGCGAGACTGTCTCAAAAAAATAAAATAAAATAAATAAATAAATTATTTTGTAGGGATGGGGTCTCTCTTTCTCAGTCTGGTCCTGAACTCCTGTGCCCAAGCAACCCTCCTTTGTTGGCCTCCTGAAGTGCTGGAATTATAAGTGTGAGCCACTGCGCCCAGCCTGTTTATTTATTTATGTATTTTTTTAAAAAAATATGTAGATGGGTTCTCACTGTGTTGCCCAGGCAGGTCTCAAACTCCTGGCTTCAAGCAGTCCTCCTGCCTTGGCCTCGCAAAGTGTTAGGATTACAGGTGTGAGCCACCATGCCCACCCCTTCTTTTTCTTTTCAGGCTCCTTGCTTCCATTCTGCTGACTTCTAATGGTTGTCTGCTGCTTGTAACAACACAAAGTTTAATGGATTAAAGTGACGAATATTTATTATCCAACAGTTTCTGTGGGTCAGGAATTGATCAGTGGCTTATCTGGGTGATTATGACTTCGGGTCTCATGGAGTTGCAGCCAAGATGTTGGCTGGGGCTGCAGGTGTCTAAAAGCTGGATGGAGTCTTTTCTGTTTTTTCTAGAGGTCGAAAATTTAAAAAGAACAAATAAAATAAAAGCTGGACCAGGGCTGGAGGATCTGATTCCAAGATGGCTCACTCACAAGGCTAGTGACTGGAAGCCTCAGTTCCCTCTTGGCTGGTGGCAGGAGCCCTCAGTTCCTTGCATCATGGAACTTTCCTTAGGGCCCATGTCCTCACATGGTAATTATCTTCCCTTAGAGCAAGTGATCTCGGAGTGAAAGTGGAAGGTTTCCACCACAAAACCTGTTAATGAAATTCTTTTTTTTTTTTTTTTGAGACAGAGTCTTCCTCTGTCACCCAGGCTGGAGTGCAGTGACGTGATCTTGGCTCATTCCGCCTCCCTGGTCCAGCTATTCTCTTGCCTCAGCCTCTGGAGGAGCTGGGACTACAAGCACGTACTACCACGCCCAGCTATTTTTTTTATTTTTAGTAAAGACGGGGTTTCACCATGTTGGCTGGGCTCGTCTCAAACTCCTGGCCTCAGGTGATCCTCCCGCCTCGGCCTCCCAAAGTGCTAGGGTTACAGACTTGAGCCACCGTGCCTGGCCTATGTTATTTATTTTTATTTATTTATTTATTTTGAGATGGATTCTCGCTCTGTTGCCCAGGCTGGAGTGCAGTGGCTCCATCTTGGCCCACTGCAACCCCCGCCTCCCAGGTTCAAGCGATTCTCCTGCCTCAGCCTCCTGAGTAGCTGAGATTACAGGTGTGCATCACCATGCCGGGCTAATTTTTGTGTTTTTGGTAGAGACGAGGTTTCGCCATGTTGGCCAGGCTGGTCTTGAACTCCTGATGTCAAGTGATCTGCCCATCTTGGCTTCCCAAAGTGCTGGAATTAGAAGCATGAACCACCGCCCCCGCCCCTGTCCGAACATTTTTAAACCACTATGCAGCTTACCACTCCTGTGGGACAAGAGTGCCTGGTCCTATGATTTCAGCTGGGGTGCTGGCCGTAATCTCTGGGAATCTGATTAGTTAGCTAGGGCCAGGCCTAATTTATTAATGAATGCATTAATAAATTACTGTTCTGGCCAGGCACGGTGGCTCACGCCTGTAATCCCAGCCCTTTGGGAGGCCAAGGGGGGCAGATCATGAGGTCAGGAGATCGAGACCATCCTGGCTAACACAGTGAAATCCCGTCTCTACTAAAAATACAAAAAATTAGCCAGGCGTGGTGACGGGTGCCTGTAGTCCCAGCCACTCCGGAGGCTGAGGCAGGAGAATGGCGTGAACCCGGGAGGCGGAGGTTGTAGTGAGCAGAGATCGTGCCACTGCACTCCAGCCTGGGCGACAGAGTGAGACTCCGTCTCAAAAAAAAAAAAAAAAAAAAAGAAAAAAAAAATCCCTGGCTGGGCGTGGTGGCTCAAGCCTGTAATCCCAACACTTTGGGAGGCTGAGGTGGGTGGATCACGAGGTCAGGAGATCGAGACTATCCTGGCTAACATGGTGAAACCCCATCTCTACAAAAAAAAAAAAATTAGCCGGGTGTCATGGCACGTGCCTGTAGTCCCAGCTACTCAGGAGGCTGAGGCAGGAGAGTTGTTTGAACCCAGGAGGCGGAGGTTGCGGTGAGCTGAGATCGCTCCGCTACACTCCAGCCTGGGCGACAGAGCGAGCCTACGTCTCAAAAATAAAAAAAAAATACCATCCTGGCTAACACAGTGAAACCCCGTCTCTACTAAAAAATACAAAAAATTAGCCGGGCATAGTGGCGGGCACCTGTAGTCCCAGCTACTCGGGAGGATGAGGCAGGAGAATCGCTTGAACCCAGGAGGCAGAGGTTGCAGTGAGCTGAGATTGCACCACTACATTCCAGCCTGGGCGACAGAGCAAGACTCTGACTCAAGAAAATAAAAATAAAAATAAATAAAAATTGTGCCGGATGCGGTGGCTCACGCCTGTAATCCCAGCACTTTGGGAGGCTGAGGTGGGTGGATCACGAGGTCAGGAGATCGAGTCCATCCTGGCTAACGTGGTGAAACTCCGTCTCTACTAAAAATACAAAAAAAACTAGTCGGACGTGGTGGCGGGCACCTGTAGTCCCAGCTACTCGGGAGGCTGAGGCAGGAGAATGGCATGAACCCAGGAGGCGGAGCTTGCAATGAGTGGAGATTGCGCCACTGCACTCCAGCCTGGGTGACACAGCTAGGCCCCGTCTCAAAAAAAAAAAAAAAAAATTAACACTAATTTGTGGGGGAGTTGCAGGAAATCTGCCTTGGAATTCAGGAGAAAGGCTTACTCCATGGTATTTTCTGGACAGACTACAAAACTTATTCTGTGTAATAGTTGCCTATCAGCTGTTCGCCCTCAACTTATTTTTAGGAGGCATTGTGAGCCCTTCTCAAGTACTGTAAAAGTTTTTCAGTTCTGCAAAGGAAAGGAACTTGTGTTTGGGCTTTTGAGTGCTGACTGCATGTGCTGTGATACTTTTGCCTTTGTCATGGAACCATGATCTTTAAAGTGGTTCTGGAAAAATGGTTATGGGCCTGTTCTTTGTCTTGAGATTATTCTTGGTGGAGAGAGAAATAGCTGCTTGCTGTAAACAACTGGACACAGTAGCTGTCCTTGTCTGACATCTGCTTTGCTCAGCTGAAACATCTGCCTCATTGGCTGTTGTGGGTGTCTCTGAAGCTCATGTTGAATTGCTGTCAAATGCCCAGCGTGTTCTTGGTGGTGACACAGCCACATTGTGTAAATACATTTCTTAAGTCATTTGTGTGTATAGCAGCTGGATTTGGGGACAAGCATTTGGGCACACTCGCTACAAGATTGGTTAGTGATTATGGATGATGAAGTCTGTCGGAAAATTCAGATCTTGATTGTGAGTTATCTTACTTGTCTTTTAAGTTCTCTTTCATCCATTTGGCTCAGGGGACACAGCAGACATCTTCCTGGCCTTAAATAGCTTTCTTTCTGCCAGGTAAGAGAAGTATGATGAGTGCTTTGAAAGAAAAATACTGAGTTCTCTGGGGTGGAGTGTGGTTAACCAGGGTCAGTGGGGGTCACCCCAAACTTATTTAAGGCTTGAGCCGCTGCATCTGGGTGTATTTTTTTTTTTTTTTTTGAGACAGAGTCTTGCTCTTGTTGCCAAGGCTGGAGTACAATGGTGCGATCTCAGCTCACTGCAACCTCTGCCTCCTTGGTTAAAGCGATACTCCTGCCTCAGCCTCCCTAGTAGCTGGGACTACAGGCGCGTGCCACCACGCCGGCTAATTTTTGTACTTTTAGTAGAGATGGGGTTTCACAATGTTGGCCAGGTTGGTCTCGCACTCCTGACCTCAAGTGATCCAGCCGCCTAGGCCTCCTAAAGTGCTGAGATTACAGTTGTGAGCTACCACACCCAGCTGGGCTTATTATTTTTAATCCATTGACAAAATCTTTTCAGTTTCTGTTTCTAACTGGTGAAACTAGATAGTAACATTAATCTATAATCATAGTTTTCCTCTAAATATTAACTAAATATTTTATCCATTTAAAACACTGTTTTCTTCTCTTTTTTTTGAGACAGGGTCTTGCCCTGTTGCCTAGACTGGAATGCAGTGGTGTGATCTCCGCTCACCTCCCAGGCTCAAGGGAACCTCAGTCTCTCGCACAGCTGGGACTAGAGGCACATACCACCATACCCGGCTAGTTTTTGTATTTTTTTGTGGAGGTAGGGTTTTGTCATGTTGCCCAGGCTGGTCTCGAACTCCTGCGCTCGAGTGATCTTCCTGCCTCCTGCTGTAGCCTCCCGAAGTTGCTGGGATTACAAATGTATGCTACTGTGCCTAGCCTTAAAACACTTATCTTGACCGCAGAGGAGGTCTACACAAAAAGAAAGAAAAAAAAAAAGCTGTCTGCTTCAGGCTGGGCACGGTGGTTCACACCTGTCATTCTAGCACTTCGGGAGGCAGAGGTGGGAGGATCACATGAACCCAGGAGTTACAGAGGAGCCTGGGCAACATAGTGAGGCTCTCATTTCTACAAAAAATTTAAAGATTAGCTGAACAAAAATTAGCTGGTGCATGCCTGTGCTCCCAGCTACTGGGGAGCCTGAGGCGGGAGGATCTCTTGAGCCCGGGGATTCAAGGCTGCAGTGAGCCATGATTGCACCACTTCATTCCAGCCTGGGCAACAGAGCAAGACCCTGTGTCAAAAAAAAAAAAGTTTTCATCAAATTTCTGCAATTAAAAAAATTAGAGGCCGGGCGCGGTGGCTCAGGCCTGTAATCCCAGCACTTTGGGAGGCCGAGGCGGGCGGATCACGAGGTCAGCAGATCGAGACCATCCTGGCTAACACAGTGAAACCCCATCTCTACTAAAAATACAAAAAATTAGCCGGGCTTGGTGGCGGGCACCTGTAGTCCCAGCTACTGGGGAGGCTGAGGCTTGAAACCAGGAGGCGGAGGTTGCAGTGAGCCAAGATTGCACCACTGCACTCCAGCCTGGGCGACAGAGCGAGACAACGTCTCAAAAAAAAAAAAAAAAAAGGCAATTAGAATGAGACTTTTGTTTTTATTTTCTGTTCTCTGTGACTCAGTAAACTTCTTAGAGAAAGAACTCTTGGAGAAAAGGGAGAGACCTGTCACTTCCTTTCTGCATGGACTGTGGTATTCCTGCCCCACCCCTGCCGAAATGTTAATGAGCTGTGCAAACTACTGCTGGATTGTTTTGTTCTTCCCCCTAATCAGAGTTTCCACTCAGGACTGGGTAGCCTGTGGACTCCCTGGAGGACAGATAGGTGTGGCAGCCTCAGTGGCCTAGAGTGGACAGCTGGTTTACCGATAGTCCTTTTTTTTGAGACAGAGTCTTGGTCTATCACCCGGGCTGGAGTGCAGTAGTACGATCTTGGCTCACCACATCCCCTACCTCCCAGGCTGAAGTGATTCTCGTGCTTCAGCCTTCCCAGTAGCTGAGACTATAGGCAGACACCAACATACCCACCTAATTTTGTATTTTTAGTAGAGTCGGGGTTTCACCATGTTGGCCAGCCTGGTCTTGAACTCCTGTCCTCCAGTGATCTGTCCACCTCGGCCTCCCAAAATGCTGGGTTTATAGGCACGAGTCACCGCGGGCTTACTGATAGTTCTGTAGGCCAGGGGAATAATCCGTTTGAATAACCATATATGAGGTATTGTGTTTATCTTTCTTTCTTCAAGTTATTCTTGGTGTCAGCTCCTTTTTTTTTTTTTTTTCTGAGACAGAGTCTCGCTCTGTCGTCCAGGCTGGAGTGCAATGGCGCTATCTCAGCTCACTGCAACCTCTGCCCCCCGGGTTCAAGCGATTCTCCTGCCTCAGCCTCCTGAGTAGCTGGGATTACTGATGCACATCACCACGCCTGGTTAATTTTTTGTATTTTTAGTAGAGATGGAGTTTCACCATGTTGGCCAAATTGGTCTCGAACTCCTGACCTTGCGATCCACCCACCTCAGCCTCCCAAAGTGCTGGGATTACAGGCGTGAGCTACCACGCCCATCCCGTGTCAGGTCTTTTACCTTAATTAATACGTATTGTATTGACAAATTTTCTTTTCTTTCTGAGCCCTCACTTTTTTTTTTTTTTTTGAAACAAGGTCTCACTCTGTTGCCCAAACTGGAATGTAGTGATAATGATCACAGCTCACTGCAGCCTCAACCTCTTGGGCTCAAGCTAACCTCCCACCTCAGCCTCCCAGGTAGCTGGGACTACAAGCACATGCCACTACACCTAATTTTATTTTACTTTTTGTAGAGATGGGGTCTCCCCATGTTGCCCAGACTGGTCTCGAACACCTGGCCTCAAGTCATCCTCCTGCCTCAGCCTCCCAAAGCACTAGGATTATAGGCGTGAACCACCCTGCCCGGCCATGAAGTTAAATTTTTGGTTATTAGCTTGTTGAGTTCTGTTTTCTGTTTTTTTAAATAGCCACATGGCCTGACTCTCTGTGGTCAATGGTATGGATGCTAAAGTAGAGCAAGGACAGTGCCCTGCTCAAGTCTCTCTGACCTGGGTCCATGGGGATTTTCTCTGCCAGTCAGGTTCCTGAAGCTCTGGCTACGGCTCCTGGTATTTTTAATGACCGCAGTAGAGAAAAACATTGGTATCTTCTTGCTGTTGATGAGCAAATCTTTGGACCTGTCTCATGGTGTCTTTATTTGCAAACTGGTTGAATCATGAACTGCCTGGCTTTGGCTGCCTTGCCGTTGTGGCTTTTAATAACTACCCCTATTTCTGGTGGCTCAGTCAAGTTTCCAAAAAGGAAGTCTTACCTGGAGATCCTGTGAAGGAATTCCTGACCAGCTTTTTAATTTTCCAAAGACAGGCCTTATTCGTGTTAAACACACACCCCTTTTCTGTGGCCAGGCCGGTGTGAAAGCATGTGCAGAGGCTGTATAGCAGTAAGAGTTCCCACCCCTTGGGGCATTTTCATTGTCACCACATTGTCTGACTTTGGAGACGACCCCTTTTAAACTCTGGCATTTGCTCAGGTAAGTATTTGGGGAGTATTGTTATAAATGCTGTGCATATCCGTTTTTTCCCCACAGTGGAAAGGAAAATGATTTTTTTTTTTTTTGAGTCGGAGTCTTGCTCTGTCACCCAGGCTGGAGTGCAGTGGTGCCATCTCGGCTCACTGCAACCTCCGCCTCCCAGGTTCACACCATTCTCCTGCCTCAGCCTCCTGAGTAGCTGGGACTACAGGCACCCGCCACCACGCCCGGCTAATTTTTTCTATCTTTAGTAGAGATGGGGTTTCACCGTGTTAGCTAGGATGGTCTCGATCTCCTGACCTTGTGATCCACCCGCCTTGGCCTCCCAAAGTGCTGGGATTACAGGCGTGAGCCACCGCGCCCGGTCGGAAAATGATTTTAATGGATGGTTTTGAGGAAGCTGGTGATTATTTTGTAATGGAGAATTGTAACATGCCAGGGGTTTGGCTCTTCTTTCAGTATTTCTTCAGGCTACCACAAAACTCCACTATTGATATTCTTCCAAAAATAAACAAAACACTAAAAGGACTCCTGCCTTTGGAACAAAATAGCTTCATATTAAGGTAGCTTTGAGGCACAAACCAAGCTGCCTGTGGAGAAGCTGGTTCTTCCTCTAAAACTTACATGAACCTCTGACCCCACTCCCCCTTACTAACGGTTTTCTTTTCTCTTTTGATTTTCTATTTTATACTTTTTATTTTGGACTACTTATAGATTCACAAAATGTTGTAAAAATAGCACAGGGCTGGACCCTGAAGTCTGCTTCCCTGAATGGTAACCTCTTTTTTTTTTTTTTTTTTTTTTTGAGACGGAATTTTGCTTTTGTTGCCCAGGCTGGAGTGGAATGGCACGATCTTGGCCACTGCACCCTCTGCCTCCCAGGTTCAAGTGATTCTCCTGCCTCAGCCTCCCGAGTAGCTGGGATTACAGGCATGCACCACCACGCCCGGCTAATTTTTTTTTGTATTTTTAGTAGAGATGGGGTTTCTCCATGTTGGTCAGGCTGGTCTCAAACTCCCGACCTCAGGTGATCTGCCCGCCTCAGCCTCCCAACGTGCTGGGATTACAGGCATGAGCCATCGCGCTCGACCAATAACTACCATTTCAAATTCCCACGACTATTGTACTGCAGACCTGTTATCGTATATTCTCACCAACACATTTTAAAATGCTTAACTTTTAGGCTGGGCGTGGCCCACACTTTGGGAGGCTGAGGCAGGCAGATCACTTGGGCCCTGGAGTTTGAGACCAGCCTGGGCAACGTGGCGAAACTCTGTCTCTACAAAAAATACAAAAATTTGCCCGGCGCGGTGATGCACACCTGTGGTCCCAGCTACTTTATAGGCTGAGGTGGGAGAATCTCTCGAACCCAGCAGGAGGAGGTTGCAGTGAGCCTAGATCACCACTGCCCTCCAGCCTGGGCCACAGAGTGAGACCCTGTCTCAAGATCAGATAAAATGAAATGCTTAACTTTTGTTAATGTCATTGGTCCTGCTGTGTCTATGAGTGAGACTGAGTGTGTTTCCCCTGGGCACCGGCCACTGGCGTGTGCTCTTCAGTGAACTGCCCAGTTATGAATTCGTTTCCTGTTTCCCCACTGGGGTCCTTGCCTTTCTTTTGTGGGTTTGTGAAAACCCTAAGAATATTTATCCTGGTTTGTTTTGTGGAGCTAACAACAATCTTTTGGCTTCCCTGGGCCACGTTGGAAGAATTGTCTTGGGCCACACATAAAGTACACTAACACTAATGATAGCTGATGAGCTGAAAAAAAAAAATTGCAAAAAAATCTGTGAATGTTTTAAGAAAGTTTCTGAATTTATGTTAGGCCACACTTCAAGCCATCCTGGGCCGAGGGTTGGACAAGCTTGGGTTAGACATTTCATAATATATTTAGTTCATCAGTGTTTTTCTTAATGATTTCCACCTTTGGGGTCATGCGTTCAAGACTTTCCCTAACAATACATAAACATTCTCTTCTATTTTCTTTTAGTTTAATGTTTGTTAAAAATAATGTTTACATTTTTGGCCAGGCGCAGTGGCTCACGCCTGTAATCCCAGCACTTTGAGAGGCTTAGGTGGGCAGATCACGAGGTCAGCAGTTCTAGACCAGCCTGATCATCATGGTGAAACCGTCTCTACTAAAAATACAAAAATTAGCTGGGTGCGGTGGTGGGTGTGGTGGTGGGTGCCTATAGTCCCAGCCACTCAGGAGGCTGAGGCAGGAGAATCGCTTGAACCCAGGAGGCAGAGGTTGCAGTGAGCCAAGATCACGCCATTGTACTCCCGCCTAGGTGACAGAGCAAGATTCTGTCTCAAAAAAATAATAATAATAATAATAATGTTTACATTTTTAATTCATTTGGAGTTTATCTTGATTGGTGGATTTTTTTTTTTTTTTGTGACGAGGTCTCACTCTCACCCAGGCTGGAGCACAGTGGTGCAGTCTCGGCTCACCGCAACCTCTGCCTCCTGGGTTCAAGCAGTTCTCCTGCCTCAGCCTCCTGAGTAGGTGGTGGCTTTTTTTTTTTTTTTTTTTTTTGAGATAGTCTTGCTCTGTCGCCCAGGCTGGAGTGCAGTGGTGCGATCTTGGCTCACTGCAAGCTCTGCCTCCCGGGTTCACGCCATTCTCCTGCCTCAGCCTCCCGAGTAGCTGGGACTAAAGGTGCCCGCCACCACACCCGGCTAATTTTTTGTATTTTTAGTAGAGATGGGGTTTCACCGTGTTAGCCAGGATGGTCTCAATCTCCTGACCTTGTGATCCGCCCGCTTTGGCCTCCTAAAGTGCTGGTATTACAGGCGTGAGCCACCATGCCCAGCCAGCTGGTGTTTTTTTTTTTTCGATCGATTGGTGTTTTGTTTTGTTTTGTTTTGTTTTTGTTTTTTTCTTTTTTTGAGATGGGGGTCTTGCTCTGTTGCCCAGGCTGGAGTGCAGTGGCACGATCTTGGCTCACTGCAACCTCTGCCTCCCAGGCTCAAGTGATTCTCCTGCCTCAGCCTCCTGAGTAGTTGGGATTATAGGCGCATGCCACCATACTCATCTAATTTTTTTATTTTAGCAGAGGTGGGGTTTCACCATGTTGTTCAGGCTGGTCTCGAACTCCTGACTTCGTGATCTGCCTGCCTCGGCCTCCGAAAGTGCTGGGATTACAGGCGCAAACCACCACGCCCGGTCAGTTGGTGGTTTTTTAATTGATTGATTGTTGGTTTTGTTGTTTTATCGATGTTTTGTTCTGTTTTGTTTTGTTTTGAGACAGAGCTTTACTCTGTGTCACCAGGCTGGAGGGCAGTGGCGTGATCACCACTCATTGCAGCCTCCACTTCCTGGCTTCAAGTGACCCTCCCACCTCAGCTCCTGGGTAGCTAAGACCACAGGCGTGTGCCACCACACCGGGCTGATTTTTTTTTTCTTTCTTTTTAGAAACGGTCTCACCGTGTTGCCCAGGCTGGTCTTGAACTGAACTCAAGCTTTCCATGCGCCTCGGCCTGGCAAAGTGCTGGGATTATAGACATGAGACAACACTCCCAGCCTTATTAATGATTTTTTTTTTTTAAGAGAAGTCTTGCTGTTGTCCCTCAGGCTTGAGTGCGATGGCTCAATCTCGGCTGACTGCAACCTCTGCCTCCCAGGTTCAAACAATTCTCCTGCCCTTGACTCCCAAGTGACTGGGATTAAGGTGCCCGCCACCACGCCCGACTAATTTTTGTATTTTTTAGTAGAGATGGGGTTTCACCATGTTGGCCAGGCTGGTCTCGAACTCCTGACCTCAGGTACTCCGCCTGCCTTGGCCTCCCAAAGGGCTGGGATTATAGGCGTGAGCCACCGCGCCTGGCCTTATTAATGATTTTTAAATCAGTTTCTCACAAACTCTTTTGATCTTAGATCAGTCTGTGTTTTTCATAAATGCCTCAACGGCTGGCTCGGTTTTAGAAACCTGTGTTTGTCAGTTAAAATGATGATCCTCCCAAAAATGTTCAGTGCCATTTTCTACCCTGACCTGGGTTCGCCCAAGTGGTGGGAGAGTCCCCATGGAGGCACTGCGGGGCCTGACTGTCTGGGAACCCTCTCAGAGTGGAGCCCAGTGCTGGGTTCAGGTGGGTGCTCATCTGGTTAAGTCAATTGCCTGCATTGTTTTGCGTCCCGTAATGGGGCTTTGCCTTCTGAAGCCTCTGTTTCTGTCTTCCCTCACACGTATGTGATATGTCTTATTTCATTCTGCTCTGCAGGTGAGGACACTGGACCAATTGTAGATGCTCACAAGACACAGATGACCCAAATCCCCAACCGTGTTACTAATGAGCATTTAGAGAGTTTTTTCCCTTTGTCCTTCTAAATCTTGTTACAGAGATGGTCCGTGCATGGGGGAAATGTTTGTCCTTTCGGCCAGGCTCTCCAATTCAAAAGGCAGGAATTGAGAAAATGACAGTACTTTCTCTGTCCCTGCCACAGAATGTCCAGTTTGGTCTGATTTAACATGACAAATCATGCTGTAGAGATAAGTAAGTAGTTTGAATTTTATTTTTCCTTTAATTTTTAGAAGCCACCTTATAACTCGACCATTCTAGTCACATTTTTTTCATATAGATTGTATACTTTATATACTCCATGCTTATCCACATAGAGAATACTTCTGGAAGGACCCATATGAAACTGGTACCATGCTTCCCCTCTTGAGCCTGGGAGCCACAAGATGAAAGGAGATTTACCCTTTTATAGTTTTTAAGTTTTGTGGGTTTTTTTGAAACAGGGTCTTGTTCTGTTGCCCAGGATGGAGTGCAGTGTCCTGGCCATCGCTCACTGCAGCCTTGACCTCCCGGGCTCAAGCAATCCTCCTGCCTCAGCCTCCTGAGTAGTTGGGACTATAGGTGCCCACCACCACACCTGGCTGATTTTTGTATTTTTGGGTAGAGAAGAAGTGTCCCCTGTTGCCCAGGCTGGTCTCAAACTCCTAGGCTCAAGCGACCCACCTGCCTCAGTCCCCCAAAGTGCTGGGATTACAGGTGTGAGGCAGTGCACCTGGCCCTTTTAAATGTTGTATATATTTATTACTGATTTTTTAAAATTATAAATCCAAACTACATTAATAGTAATTGTCTTGCAGGGTCCTTTGGTCATAGCTTACATATTAGAAGAAGGATTAAGAAAGGGAGTGATATAATTTACTAGCTTGAGGTCTGCATTTGGATTGACTTTACTAAGCTTGCTGTGAACTCCAAGGAACAGAAAACCCAGAATACAGGCCGGGCGGCATCTTCAGAGGAAGAGGCCCTTTCCCCTTTGCCTTGCTTGCTTCCAGGCTGGCTGTGGGGGGATGCAGTCTCCCCTTGAGGGTCAGGAGATGTCTGGCCATCATCTGGTAGTTAGAGTGGGATGAACCGAACAAGGGCAGACTTCTCGGTCTGTTCTTCTCTGCTTGGCTCCACCCTGGAATCAGCTGGAGAGTGCCAGCAGCTGCTCCTGACTGGGACCCCACACCCAAAGTGGCCAACTTAGTCCTTCTGGGGGTGGCATCAGGATTGCGAAAGCACCCAAGTTATTTTCATGTGGAGCCACCACTGAGAGTCATGTCTTTGGGAGGATCTAAGTTCCTGACCTGCCACCTTCGCAGGCTGCCTGAGCTGCACTTGACAAGTGGCTTTATGATCCCTAGGTCCACCTGGGCTTGCGAAGGCACAGATTCCCCGTCCACAGCTCACGACCAGATGCACCAGCAGGAGTCCACATCGAGGACGTCCTCCGGGCACTCCCACGACCAGGTAGGTGAGGACTGGTGGGCCCGTGGCTGGATGGGTGGTGTTTTCAGATTCCTGGTGGTGGCGGTTGATGCCCCTCCTTGAGTAGTGCTTTCCTGCACGCTTTCTTTGATGCTCTAGCTCCCACCAGATGAGGACAGCTGAGGCTCAGAGCTCGAATTTCTTGGCTGCAATTTTAAAGCTCTTAAGTTTAAAGCCGTAAAGATAGAAATCCAGAATTATAACATTCTGGTTCTTACTCCGTTTTTTTCTTTCCTTTGCCAAAGGAATCTATGTTTTATTTATTTATTATTTAAAAAAAATTTTTCTTTTTAGACGGAGTCTCGCTCTGTCGCCCAGGCTGGAGTGCAGTGGCGCGATCTCGGCTCACTGCAAGCTCCACCTCCCGGGTTCACGCCGTTCTCCTGCCGCAGCCTCCTATAGGCGCATGCCGCCACACCCAGCTAATTTTTTGTATTCTTAGTAGAGACGGGGTTTCACCGTGTTAGCCAGGATGCTCTAGATCTCCTGACCTCGTGATCCTCCCACCTCGGCCTCTCAAAGTGCTGGGACTACAGGCGTGAGCCACCGCGCCCGGCCAGGAATCTATGTTTTAAACATTTCACACATCCCTTCCTTGGGGACATGGTGGCTAGATTTGCTGAATTAATGGCCGTCTCCTCTTCTTCCAGCCCTGGCCCCAGCCCCTCAGGCCCTGGCAATGAGGCACTCCTACGTTCTGTTGCTGGCTTTTTCCCTAGTTACCTTTTCCAGACAACCCACGTCCTGCCTTCCCCACCCCCATGCCAGCTGCTTGGGTTTAATGAGGTCCTTGGTCGCGACTCATTGTTTGATTTTCCGTGTTCTAACTCACTGCCTTTGATAAGCACACCTTTTCTGACTTCCAAGATGTTAAAACTTAAGCCTCAGCACCTAGGAGAATGCACACATTTTTTCTTATTGTGGTAAAATGTACATAACGTAAAATTTGCCATTAGTAACATTTGGTATGATCACAGCATTTTGTAACCATCACCACTATTTTCATCATCCCACAAAGAAACCCTCAGCCCATAGCAGTCATTCCCGACTCTCCCTGTTCCGCACCTGGCCCCCACGAGTCTACTCCCTGCCTCTGTGGATTTGCCTGTTCTGGGCGTTTCACACTACAGGGGACCTTCGTGTCCTAGTCATTGCATTTAGCATAATTTTATAATGTGTCAGAATTTTAGTTTTTACCATGGCTGAAAAACACACCACTGCATTATGGTGTAATTATGCACTGTATTATGGATAGGCCACATTTTGTTTATCCATTCATATGTTTTGTTTTGTTTTGTTTTTGAGAAGGAGTCTCCCTCTATTGCCCAGGCTGGAGTGCAATGGTGCAATCTTGGCTCACTGCAACTTCCACCTCCCGGGTTCAAGCGATTCTCCTGCCTCAGCCTCCCGAGTAGCTGGGATTACAAGCGCCTGCCACCATGCCCATCTAGTTTTTTTGTATTTTTAGTAGAGATGGCTTTCACCATATTGGCCAGGCTGGTCTCGAACGCCTGACCTCGTAATCCTCCCGCCTTGGCCTCTCAAAGTGTTGGGATCACAGGCGTGAGCCACTGCGCCCAGCCGATACGTTCATATGTTGTTGGACATCTGGGTTGTTTCTACATTTTGGCTGTTGTTAATAATGAACCAATATGAACATTTATTTACAAGTTTTTGTTTGAGCCTCTGCAGTAGGGTTTTTTTTTGTTTTGTTTTTTTTGAGATGGGGTCTTGCTCTGTCACCCAGGTGGCAGTGCAGTGGCGTGATCTCAGCTCACTGCAGCCTCCACCCCCCTGGGCTCTAGTGATCTTCCTACCCCAGCCTCCGGGTAGCTGAGACCACGGGCGAGCGCCGCCATACCCAACTAATTTTTTTGGTATTTTTAGTAGAGACAGAGTCTCGCCACATTGCCCAGGCTGTTCTCAAACTCCTGAGGTCAAGCACTCCACTCACTCGGACTCCCAGAGTGCTGCGATTACAGGCATAAGCCACCATGCCTAGCCAGGTTTTTTTTTTTTTTTTTTTTTTTTTTTAAGAGATGGGGTCTTGGCCAGGCGTGGTGGCTCATGCCTGTAATCCCAGCAGTTTGGGAGGCCAGTGCGGGTGGATCACGAGGTCAGGAGATCGAGACCATCCTGGCTAACATGGTGAAACCCCATCTCTACTAAAAATACAAAAAATTAGCCAGGCATGGTGGCGGACGCCCATAGTCCCAGCTATTCGGGAGGCTGAGGCAGGAGAATGGTGTGAACGGGGGAGGCAGAGCTTACAGTGAGCCAAGATCATGCCACTGCACTCTAGCCTGGGCGACAGAATGAGACTCCGTCTCAAAAAAAAAAAAAAAAAAAGAGATGGGTCTCTCTGTTGCCCAGGCTAGAGTGCGGTGGCATGATCAGAGCTCACTGCAGCCTCGAGCAATCCTCAAGGGATCCTCCTGCTTTGGCCTCCCAAAGTACTGGCATTACAGGCATGAGCCACCGTGCTGGCCATGTCTCTGTTTTTCTGTTTTTTGTTTTTTTTTTTTTTTTGAGACAGAGTCTCACTGTCGCCCAGGCTGGAGTGCAGTGGCGCGATCTTGGCTCACTACAACCTCTGCCTCCCAGGTTCAAGCCATTCTCCTGCCTCAGCCTCCCGAGTAGCTGGGACTACAGGCGCCCGCCACCATGCCCAGCTAATTTTTGTATTTTTAGTAGAGATGCGGTTTTCACCATGTTGTCCAGGATGGTCTCAATCTCTTGACCTTGTGATCTGCCTGCCTCGGCCTCTCAAAAGTGCTGGGATTACAGCCGTGAGCCACCGTGCCCGGCCGGAAAGTCTGTTTTTAATTCTTGTGGGTGTACACCTAGGACTGGACTTGCTGGAGAGTATGGTAGTTCTGTGTTTAACTTTTTGAGGATCTGCCAGACTGTGTTTCACAGCAGCGGCATCATTTTACAGTCCCACCAGCAACGTACGATGTTCTGATTTCTCCACATCCTCACCCAGACTCGTCGTTTTTCCCTTTTAAAATTAAAGCCATTCTAGTGTCATACACAGGTTATTAAGTGAGTTACTTTTATTATATAATTAGGCAAAGACAAAGTCCGAGTGAACAGTTTAAAACAAAAGCCAGCAGTCCCTTATCTCTCTGTCTTCCTGACCCTTCCCCAGAGGGTGCGGCTTTCAGCTCAGCTTTTCCTCGCCTTCCCTCGCTGACCTCCGCACGCCCTCTTTCATCTTTCACCCCTCCCTTTGCTGTGAACTGTTGACTTCCTTTTTGGGTAGGTGAAGGTTTTACCTCAAATCTGCATGATCACGTCCAGTCTCTCAGTATGATGTGTTAGGACATCGGTTTGGTTGTTTAAAAGGAACCAAAATAACAAAAATCTTGCCTGAGACAAAATGGAAGTTTGTTTTTTTCTCGTTTTATACAGTCGAAGCAGCTCAGGCTGGGTGGTGGTGGTTGGCAGATATCAGGGGCCCTGTGCCTTTCCCATGTTCAAATGTGTTTTCCGTTTTGGTTTCTAAGACGGCGACTGCCGGTTTCCCCACCGCATCCACCCCCGGTCCGGCCAGCAGGAACCAGGGGAAGGAGAGGGCATGTTTTTCCCCTCAGAATTGGGGCTCAGAAGTTACTCCCAGCACCGAGCTCACTCAACACAGCTGTCCCCTGTCCTCCCCTGCGGACTTCTGTTTGAATATATTTTATTTTATTTTTTTCTAGTTAGTCTGTGCTTATCCATGAACATATTTTATTAATAATAATTAGGTAGTGTTTGAATGTTTACTGTGTATCATATGATCTTATAAGTACTTTATATGCATTTAATTTTTTTTTTTGAGACGGAGTGTCACTCTGTCGCCCAGGCTGGAGTGCACTGGCGTGATCTCGGCTCACTGCAAGCTCCGCCTCCCGGGTTCACGCCATTCTCCAGCCTCAGCCTCCCAAGTAGCTGGGACTACAGGTGCCCGCCACCGTGCCCTGCTAATTTTTTGTATTTTTAGTAGAGATGGGGTTTCACCGAGTTAGCCAGGATGGTCTTGATCTCCTGACCTCGTGATCCGCACGCCTCGGCCTGCCAAAGTACTGGGATTACAGGTGTGAGCCACCACGCCCGGCTACATTTAATTATTTAATCCTTAGAACAGGCTTCTAAAGTAGATATTGTTTGTTTTACAGATAAGGAAACTGAGGCACAGTTCAGTCAAAGCACATGTCCTGGTCACACAGCTAGGGAGGTGCAAGCCTGCCCGCCCAGAGCCCATCTTCACTCCGGGTACTTTGAATTTTGGGTCTGTGGCCCTCCAGGGAGTCCATGTGTGCGCACCTGGGTCACCTTTTCCATCTGTGCTTGAGGCTGGTGGAAGGTGGCTCAGATATGCTCAGAGGCTGAGTAGGTGGGGCTTAGTTAACACTGCCCTGGAGCTCATTGAGCATTTCCTGGGTTCGGCAGGCAGGAAGCACCAGCGTGTTCTGGATGAAAATAGTTCCTGCCTGCTGGCTCTCCACAGCTAACTCGCCTTTCCACACTAATTAGAGACCTTCTTAAGTATAATCTGTTAAGACTGACACCCTAAACATTTATTTAGCTTTTATTTCCTGGGCTGGTGGCCCATAGTTAGAGCTGCAGCCAGTCCCCAAGAAGCCGACGCCAGCAGACCCCTCTGTGCTGCAGCTTTGTGCCGTGGGACTGCTGGCCTCGCCGACCTCTTGCTTTATCGACACAGTGACCAGGAGTTAAACTTTGGGATGTGCCCGTGATGTTGGACCACAAGGACTTAGAGGCCGAAATCCACCCCTTGAAAAATGAAGAAAGAAAATCGCAGGAAAATCTGGGAAATCCATCAAAAAATGAGGATAACGTGAAAAGCGCGCCTCCACAGTCCCGGCTCTCCCGGTGCCGAGCGGCGGCGTTTTTTCTTTCATTGTTTCTCTGCCTTTTTGTGGTGTTCGTCGTCTCATTCGTCATCCCGTGTCCAGACCGGCCGGCGTCACAGCGAATGTGGAGGATAGACTACAGTGCCGCTGGTGAGCCTCGGCTTCCCCGCCCAGTGGGGTCCAAAGCAGCTCTTCCCAGGGGATGGGGCGGAGGGGGCAGAACTGTGTCTGCGAGTCTAGAAGTGGCCTTTAAACAGTGAATCAATCCCAAGAGGCTGCCAGTTCTATGTCCAAGGTTTTCCCGGAGTTTTAGGGAGCGATAGACCAGCCTTTTTATTTTTGAGATGGAGTTTCGCTCTTGTTGCCCAGGCTGGAGTGCACTGGCACAATCTCAGCTCACCGCTACTTCTGCCTCCGGAGTTCAAGCGATTCTCCCGCCTCAGCCTCCCAAATAGCTGGGATTACAGGCGTGCAGCACCACGCCCAGCTAATATTTGTATTTTTAGTAGAGACCGGGTTTCACCATGTTGGTCAGGGTGGTCTCGAACTCCTGAGCTCGTGATCCGCCCGCCTCAGCCTCCCAAAGTGCTGAGATTACAGGCGTGAGCCACAGCGCCTGGCCCTAATTTTGTATTTTTGGTAAAGATGGGGTTTTACCATGTTAGCCAGGCTGCTCTTGAACTCCTGATTTTAAGTCATCCTCCTCCCTCGGCCTCCCAACGTGCTGGGATTACAGGTGTAAGTCACCACACCTGGCCCAATTCAGTGATTTGTAGTCAGTTTGTAGAGTTATGTAGCTGTCAGTACAATTCCGTTTTAGAATATTTCCATCATCCCTAAAAGATTGCTCAAGAGGCTGGGCACAGACCGCATCTCTACAAAAAATACAAAAATCAGCCAGGCGTGGTGGCATGCAGCTGTGGTCCCAGCTACTTGGGAGGCTGAGGTAGGAGTATCATTTACACCTGGAAGGTTGAGGCTGCAGTGAGCTGTGATCGTGCCACTGCACTCCAGCCTGGGTGACAGAGAGAGACCCTGTCTCAAAAAGAGAAAATTCCTCATTATCTTTGCCATCACTCCCTGTTCCCTCCTCTCCTAGCCCTGGGCAACCTAGTCTCCTGTCTCCAAAGATTAGTCTTTTTATTTTTTTAGACAGAGTTTTGCTCTTGTTGCCCAGGCTGGAGTGCAATGGCACAATCTCCGCTCATCTCAACCGCCACCTCCCAGGTTCAAGTGATTCTCCTGCCCCAGCCTCCCGAGTAGCTGGGATTGCAGGCATGCACCACCACGCCCAGCTAATTTTGTATTTTTAGTACAGATGGGGTTTCTCCGTGTTGGTCAGGCTGGTCTCAAACTCCCGACCTCAGATGATCTGCCCGCTTAAGTCTCCAAAAAGGGCTGGGATTACCGGCGTGAGCCACCGCGCCCGGCCTCTAGACATTTCTTAGAAGTGAAATCATACAGTATGTAAGTGAAGGAGTGTGACTTCCTTAACTTAGCGTGATGTTTTGCCGTTCGTTTGTGTCGTGGTCTGTCTGTGTCTTTCCGTTGCTGAGCAGTGCTCCTGGGAGGGTTGGCTGACGATCACCTGGATGGCTCTCAGTTGAGACTCTTATGAATAATTCTGCCGTGAACATTCACGTGCAGATCTTCGTGTGGATATGTTTTCATTTCTCTTGGGTAGATTGCTAGGAGTGGAATTGCTGAACCCTATGGTAAGTTTATGTTTAACTTTCTGAGGAGCTGACAAGCTGTTTTCTAAAGCGACTGCACCATTTGACTATTTTCCATTCCTACTACAATGCTGAGGAGGCCTTTAGTTTCTTGTTATTGTCTGTCTTCTTATTACACTCATGCTAGTGGGTGTGAATTAGAATCTCCCAGTGACTGAAAATGTTGGGTCCCTCTTTTCGTGTG
This sequence comes from Homo sapiens, assembly GCF_000001405.40. Taxonomy (NCBI): domain Eukaryota; kingdom Metazoa; phylum Chordata; class Mammalia; order Primates; family Hominidae; genus Homo; species Homo sapiens. Next base: position 256,449 of record NC_000016.10, read on the forward strand.
AGTTTTAGCCATTCTTGCATCTTCTTTGGTGAATGTCTATTCTTGCATCTTCTTTGGTGAATGTCTATTCTTGCAGTCTTTTGCCCATTTTTAGAAATTAAAAATAATTTATTTTTATTTATTTATTTATTTATTTTTTGAGATGGAGTTTTGCTCTTCTACCCCAGGCTGGAGTGCAATGGCGCAATCTCGGCTCACTGCAACCTCTGCCTCCCAGGTTCAAGCGATTCTCCTGCCTCAGCCTCCCAAGTAGTAGCTGGGATTACAGGCACAGGCTACCATGCCTGGCTAATTTTTTTTTTTTTTTTTTTGAGACAGAGTTTCGCTCTTGTTTCCCAGGCTGGAGTGCAATGGCCTGATCTCAGCTCACCGTAATCGCCACCTCCCAGATTCAAGTGATTCTCCTGCCTCAGCCTCCCGAGTAGCTGAAACTACAGGCATGTGCCACCACACCCGGCTAATTTTGTATTTTTAGTAGAAACGGGGTTTCTCCATGTTGGTCAGGCTGGTCTTGAATTCCCGACCTTAGGTGATTGGCCTGCCTCAGCATCCCAAAGTGCTGGGATTACAGGCACGTGCCACCACGCTTGGCCGTAACTTTTGTATTTTTAGTAGATGCGAGGTTTCACCATGTTGGCCAGGCTGATCTCAAACTCCTGACCTCAAGTGATCCGCCTGCCTTGGCTTCCCAAAGTGCTAGGACTACCGGTGTGAACCACCACGCCCAGCCTTTCCACTCTCTTGATAGTGTCCTTCGATGCATAAAAGCTTTTAGTTTCAATGAAGTCTTTTTTTTTTTTTTTTTTTTTTTTTTGGAGACAGTCTTGCTCTGTCATCCAGGCTGGAGAGTGCAGTGGCGCGATCTCGGCTCACTGCAACCTCCACCTCCCGGGTTCAAGCGATTCTCCTGCCTCAGCCTCCCAAGTAGCTGGGATTACAGGTGCCCGCCTCCATGCCTGGCTAATGTATGTATTTTTAGTAGAGACGGGGTTTCACCATATTGGCCAGGCTGGTCTCAAACTCTTGACCTCAGGTGATCCACCCGCCTCGGCCTCCCATAGTGCTGGGATTACAGGCGTGAGCCACCGCACTCAGCCTCCTGTGCTTTTGTATCAAAGAAACCATCACCAGATCCCTTGTCATGAAGATTTTTCCCGTTTTTTTTTTCTAAGAGTTTTATAATTTTAGCTCTTACGTTTAGGTCTTTGATTCATTTTGAGTTCATTTTTGTGCATGACGTAAAGATTCAACTTCATGCTGGGCGCAGTGGCTCACACCTGTAATTCCAGCAGTTTCAGAGGCTGAGACAGGAGGATCACTTGAGGCCTCGAGTTCAAGGCCAGCCTGGGCAACGTAGCCAGACCCTGTCTCTAAAATAAGGGGGACGGGGTTCAACTTTATTCTTTTTTTTTTGTTTGTTTGTTTTTGAGATCGAGTCTCGCTCTGTCGCCCAGGCTGGAGTGCGGTGGCTCAATCTCAACTGACTGCAGCCTCCACCTCCTGGGTTCAGGCGATTCTCCTGCCTTAGCCTCCCGAGTAGCTGGAACTATAGGCGCCCGCCACCACGCCCGGCTAATTTCTGTATTTTTAGTAGAGAAGGTTTCACCGTATTAGCCAGGCTTGTCTCGGACTCCTGACCTTGTGATCCACCCGCCTCGGCCTCCTAAAGTGCTAGGATTACAGGCGTGAGCCACCTCACCCGGCCTATTTTTTTTTTTTTTTTTTATTGATCATTCTTGGGTGTTTCTCGCAGAGGGGGATTTGGCAGGGTCATACGACAATAGTGGACGGAAGGTCAGCAGATAAACAAGTGAACAAAGGTCTCTGGTTTTCCTAGGCAGAGGTCCCTGCGGCCTTCCGCAGTGTTTGCGTCCCTGGGTACTTGAGATTAGGGAGTGGTGATGACTCTTAACGAGCATGCTGCCTTCAAGCATCTGTTTAACAAAGCACATCTTGCACCGCCCTTAATCCATTCAACCCTGAGTGGACACAGCACATGTTTCAGAGAGCACAGGGTTGGGGGTAAGGTCACCGATCAACAGGATCCCAAGGCAGAAGAAGTTTTCTTAGTACAGAACAAAATGAAAAGTCTCCCATGTCTACTTCTTTCTACACAGACACAGCAACCATCCGATTTCTCAATCTTTTCCCCACCTTTCTCCCCTTTCTATTCCACAAAACCGCCATTGTCATCATGGCCCGTTCTCAATGAGCTGTTGGGTACACCTCCCAGACGGGGTGGTAGCCGGGCAGAGGGGCTCCTCACTTCCCAGTAGGGGTGGCCGGGCAGAGGCGCCCCTCACCTCCCGGAGGGGGCAGCTGGGCCCGGCCTATTTTTTTGTTTTTGTTTTTTGAGATGGACTCCAGCTCTGTCGGCCAGGCTGGAGTGCAGTGGTGCAATCTCGCTCACTGCAACCTCTGCCTCCTGGGTTCAAACGATTCTTGTGCCTCAGCCTCCCGAGTAGCTGGGACTACAGGCACGTGCTACTACACCCAGCTAATTTTTTGTATTTTTAGTAGAGACAGGGTTTCACACGTTGGCCAAGATGGTCTCAATCTCTTGACCTCGTTATCTGCCCTCCTCGGCCTCCCAAAGTGCTGGGATTACAGGCGTGAGGCACCTTGCCCGGCCAACTTCACTCTTTTGGTGTTTGATTTTAGGGCATAAAGTTTATCACTTGAGTCCTTGAATGAAAGGAAGTGTAAACCCTGACGAGTATGGAGTGTGGACTGTCTAGATGCCCCCTGGTCTAGGGAGGGATTTATCCCTGAACAGAAGGTGCCAGAACATCCAATTCTTAATGCCCAGATGTCCTGCTTGTTCCTTTCTGAAGGTTAACACTAGGCATTGTTGCCCACCCCCTGGTTTTCACGAAGGAAATTACTCATCCTAGTGAGGAAGAAGCCACCGTCCTCGTTGGGTGCCCTCACAGTGGCAGGTTCCATGTAGCAGAGAAGTAGGTCGTGCTGGACCTGATCGTTCCTGGAAACCAGGCATGGCCCGCGGAGTATAGTCTGTGGTTTTCTCTTTCAGTTATCTATGACTTTCTGGCTGTGGATGATATAAACGGGGACAGGATCCAAGATGTTCTTTTTCTTTATAAAAACACCAACAGCAGCAACAATTTCAGCCGATCCTGTGTGGACGAAGGTAATTTCATTTTATATGAAAAAGGCGGAGCTCCCTGTAGAAAGAGGAATCGTCATTTTGGGTCACCCTCTCGCTTTCAGTGTTTGGGGGAAGCAGATGGTGGTGTTTCTGGAACCCATCTCGTCATCCTTCCTGGCAGACCAGAAAGAGGCCTGGAAGCCCAGTCCCAGCACTGCCCTGGCCCCTGAGCCCCGTGGGGTCAGCATTAGAGCCCCGGGAGCCTGCAAGATACAGGAGATCCACCTGGCGGGAGGGGCTGTGGCCTAGGAGAGGTGTGAGGAAAACAGACCTGGAACAGCACATGCTGGGGCTGGCCGGCCTGCCTGCCCAGATGGTGCAACAGTGAGGTGCCGGTGTCTCTCCCTACAGGCTTTTCCTCTCCCTGCACCTTTGCAGCTGCTGTGTCGGGGGCCAACGGCAGCACGCTCTGGGAGAGACCTGTGGCCCAAGACGTGGCCCTCGTGGAGTGTGCTGTGCCCCAGCCAAGAGGCAGTGAGGCACCTTCTGCCTGCATCCTGGTGGGCAGACCCAGTTCTTTCATTGCAGTCAACTTGTTCACAGGTAGGCCAGCCAGGCAGCGGGGTTCTCACTGAGGGCCTCTCACCTGAGCCACCTCACCCTGAGGGCTAATGCCAGGAGGCCGCGACGAGGCTCAGCCCTGTGATCTTGAGGGTGGCTGGATGGGAAGGAAGGTTATGGGGAGAACCTCCAAGTGAGGCTGCAAGCGTGTGGAAGGCACACGCCTCGGCTGCCTTCAGCTGCACTGTGTCTGTTACCTCCCGTTACACCTTGCTGGTGGGCTGTAACACACAGGGGCAGTCCGATGTCACCTGCCATGGGGTAGCAGAGAGGAGGAGCGGCTTGGCCCCCGGCTGCTCCTGGGGTGTCAGTGGTGGCAGTGCCCAGGGCGAGCCCAGAACATGAACCAGCACTCGGCCCGTCAGGGGAGATCGGGGCCTGTCAGTGCCCCTAAGCCTGAAGGTGCAGGTCTCCGAGCCCCAGCGGAGCCGGCCTCGTGGAAGGACGAGGGAAAGAATGCGTGGTGCACGGGGCCATGTGTGTGTGTGGGCTCCTTGCACCTCATCGCGGTCTGGAAGATTTCTGTGCCTAGATTTGGTGAATGTTCATATTTCCCTTACAAGCTGTCATTTTAAGGATATGGAGGAGAATAAAGAGCAGGCTGAAAATATTTTAAGAATCAAGGAATCTGTCTTTAAAAAAAGGTTTGGATGAGATTGTATGTGCGTAAGGAGTTGGACGAGGACCTGTGGTCAGTAGATCTGCCTCCGGGCGCACACCTCCATTCTTGCCTTCTATGTGGAGGGCAGATGAAGGGGCCACTCAGCTGGGGCCTGCATGGCACCAAGGGCACGCCTGCAACCCCAGCAGGAGGCAGGGGCTTCGAGAGGTGGGTGAGGTCAGGCTTCATCCACTCGGGCAGGAGGGTCAGCATGGGCCCTAGAGGTTCCAGGACACGCAGATAGGAGAAAAGGAAGGGGGAACTCTGCGGTTCCCAGGAATGAGGCTGTCAGCGTTTGGCATATTGCCACCGAGTCTCCATACACGGGCAGGACGTGTGTCCACCACCTCCGCGTGCTGCTCCTTCACGAGCACAGGAGTGCCGCCCTCCCCTCCTGTTGGCATCTGCTCTGAGTGTGCAGTGAGCCGTGGGCTCACGAGGGTGATGCCTCAACAGGAGCCTGCCTGTCACAGGCCTTGCAGTTGCCGGGCTGCTGTTGAAGGGGACTCAGGGCCACGTTCCGTGACCGTGTGCTTGATTCTAGGGGAAACCCTGTGGAACCACAGCAGCAGCTTCAGCGGGAATGCGTCCATCCTGAGCCCTCTGCTGCAGGTGCCTGATGTGGACGGCGATGGGGCCCCAGACCTGCTGGTTCTCACCCAGGAGCGGGAGGAGGTACATCCCAGCCTGGCTCTGCTCCCAAGTCACGAGGCCACCTGCCACACGGCCCTGCTCTACCTCCCCATCTGCTGCCACTTCCCAGACAGGATTCGGGTCTGACCACTTGCCGGGGACTCGCCCAGAGCCCCACGTTCCCAACTCCCATAGACCCAGCATACTCAGGGGGCTCCATCTCTACCAGGCAGCTTTGGGGCCTCCCCAAGAATGGTGGAGTACACACTTCCCATTTGTGCTGTTGCAGTGTTGGGGGTGAAGCTCTGAGGGCTGGGAGCACCTGTGAGGCACTGGGGCTGCCCTGCCTGCCTCATGTGCCCCGTGCAGTGTGGAGGCACCAACCATCGTGGCAGACTCTCTGATGTCAGCGTGTCTTTCCTCAAAACCAAGAGCCTGTGGGCCCCTTACCCTTCCACATCTCCCATTGTAGAGTGCCCCGCCCCCAGGCTCACGTCCCTCTCTTCCTGGGCCTTGTGTCATTGCAGCCCCAGGCTCAGGTCCTTCTCTTCCTGGGCCTTGTGTCCTTGCAGCCCCAGGCTCAGGTCCCTCTCTTCCTGTGTCATCCTGTGTCATTGCAGGTTAGTGGCCACCTCTACTCCGGCAGCACCGGGCACCAGATTGGCCTCAGAGGCAGCCTTGGTGTGGACGGGGAAAGTGGCTTCCTCCTTCACGTCACCAGGACAGGTGCCCACTACATCCTCTTTCCCTGCGGTACGTTGTTTCTGCCACATCCCTGGCCAGCCTCACTCGTGGAGCATGACTGCCCTGCGGCTCCTCAGGTCCTGCTTCTGCTCTCGAGGTGCTGGAGTCAGGAAGCCCAGGGGCCTGGCTCCATGTGGCACTGCGTGCCCCTGGTCCGGGTTCACAGCGTGACCCTGGTGACCTCGGGCCCTTCTGTGTTTTGAATAGCAAGCTCCCTCTGCGGCTGCTCTGTGAAGGGTCTCTACGAGAAGGTGACCGGGAGCGGCGGCCCGTTCAAGAGTGACCCGCACTGGGAGAGCATGCTCAATGCCACCACCCGCAGGATGCTTTCCCACAGGTGGGTCCGGGCCGCAGCCTTTCTCCATGCAGAGCGCCCACCCCATGGCTCTGCTCGCCTGCCTCAGCGTTCGGACAATCTGTGTGGAGCCCAGAGCAGCCCCACCGGCAGGGAGGTGCTCGGGGTACCGCAAGGTCACCCTGGGCTCAGATGTGAGAAATGGTCAAATAAAAGTTGAGTAAAGAGAAGAAAGGTTCCCGACGCTGTGCCTGTCTGTCTCCACGGAAAGTGGGGGTCTTTCTTCTCTTTTCTGTTTTTTTTTTTTTTGGTTGTTTTTTTTTTTTAAGACGGAGTCTTGCCCTGTCCCCCAGGCTGGAGTGCAGTGGTGCGATCTCGGTTCACTGCAACCTCCGCCTCCCGGGTTCAAGTGATTCTCCTGCCCCAGCCTCCCGAGTAGCTGGGATTACAGGCGCGCACCTCCACGCCCAGCTAATTTTTGCATTTTTAGTAGAGACGGGGTTTCTCCATGTTGGTCAGACTGGTCTCGAACTTCTGACCTCGTGATCCGCCCGCCTCGGCCTCCCAAAGTGCTGGAATTACAGGCATGAGCCACCGCGCCCAGCTCTTCTCTTTTCAAGCTGTAGAACTGAGAAACGGGTTATGGGGGCCTAAGAGGAGCACCCTGAGACGGGCGGTGCCAGAGCCTCCACTGGGTGCCTGAGGCCGCCCCGGGGACCCGGCGCCCCTTTCTCCCACTCTCCTGTCTAGCTCTGGAGCAGTGCGCTACCTGATGCATGTCCCAGGGAACGCCGGTGCAGATGTGCTTCTTGTGGGCTCAGAGGCCTTCGTGCTGCTGGACGGGCAGGAGCTGACGCCTCGCTGGACACCCAAGGCAGCCCATGTCCTGAGGTACAGGGTTTCCCCAAGGACCGCGCAGGTGCTGCACCCCTTCCCGGCATCCCGGGCACATCCCGTTGGCTGGCGAGGAGACAGCGCTGGGGGTGGGGCCGGAGGCCGTGTGCTGCTGCCCGGGCTTCTTGCCTGTCTCTGGTACTTGCCCCTTGCCCCAGACGTCGGCTCCGTGTCCTGGGCCCTGGTCCAGATGTGGCCATGGGAGACTGAGGGGCGGACGTGTTCCTGGGTGCTTCCTTCATCTCAGTCTCCTCACTGAGACCCCTCGTGAGCGCTTCCTCCATATTGTTCCAGAAAACCCATCTTCGGCCGCTACAAACCAGACACCTTGGCTGTAGCCGTTGAAAACGGAACTGGCACCGACAGACAGGTTCGTTGTTCTTCCTTCGGAGGTGGCACCTTTGTTCTTAGCTGAGGATAGACTGGTCTGAAAGCAGACGGGGCTGCGGCCCAGGAGGCTGCTGCCGTCAGAGCTGCTGAGAAGGTTCTGCCTCCCTCAGAGCATCTGCCTCCAGGGCTGGCATGGCTGAGGGCACGTGTGCCTGTGCAAGCCTCGAGCTTTTCCCGGTAGCCCCCACGTTGGCCCCCACAGTGTCCCCTCCCTCCCCAGATCCTGTTTCTGGACCTTGGCACTGGAGCCGTCCTGTGTAGCCTAGCCCTCCCGAGCCTCCCTGGGGGTCCACTGTCCGCCAGCCTGCCGACCGCAGACCACCGCTCAGCCTTCTTCTTCTGGGGCCTCCACGAGCTGGGGAGCACCAGCGAGACGGTACGGGAGCCACCCTCGGAGCAGCCATGCTGGGAGCCGGGGCCAGAGACCCAGGCTGGAGCTCCACCGTGGAGTGCCCAGAAGCTCATCGGTGCCTGGGCAACCTCACATAAGTTGAAGTCCAGTGACAGTCAGGATGAGGTGGTGCAAGCTGAGGCAAAGTGACCTTAGAGGGGTCCAGCGAGAAGGGGCTGATGGCCTTCGGTGGATAGGGGCGCACACAGCCATGCCCTGAAGGGAGTGGCTGCCGGCAAGGACCAGTGTCAGGACCAGGTGGGGTGGGAGGACCTGGGAGGTGGCCACAGAACTGGGGGCTGGCATTTGGGGGACCCAGATAGGGCCCCTAGCAGACATAGAGCTCCAGGCACGGTCACTCTGACAGCAGTGTCCTGTGGGAGTGCTCAGTGAAGGGCGTGGGGCCCATTGCTGGTTCTCGCTCCAGGAGACCGGGGAGGCCCGGCACAGCCTGTACATGTTCCACCCCACCCTGCCGCGCGTGCTGCTGGAGCTGGCCAATGTCTCTACCCACATTGTCGCCTTTGACGGTGAGTGTGGCCTCGGCCAGGGACCCGGGTGTTCCGCGGGGTCTGCCCTGGCTGGTCCTGAGCCGCCCTGACAGCTGTGTCCCCCACCCTGCAGCCGTCCTGTTTGAGCCAAGCCGCCACGCCGCCTACATCCTTCTGACAGGCCCGGCAGACTCAGAGGCACCCGGCCTGGTCTCTGTGATCAAGCACAAGGTGCGGGACCTTGTCCCAAGCAGCAGGGTGGTCCGCCTGGGTGAGGGTGGGCCAGACAGTGACCAAGCCATCAGGGACCGGTTCTCCCGGCTGCGGTACCAGAGTGAGGCGTAGAGGCACGCCAGCCAGAGCCTGTGGAGAGACTCCGCCTGCTGACACTAAACGTCCTGGGAAGTGGGCCCTTCCCTGGGTCTCTGCACTGACTCCCCCACTCCTGACCCTGGTGATGGTCGCCACTGGGCAGCAGCAGCCTTACCAGTCCTCCATGATCACACCCAGGGACCTGCATGGGTGAGGGGACACCCTGGGCCTCTCTCCCGCCCAGCATCCTCCCTGAGTCCCCACACAGGGCCTCACTCTGCACCCCACCAGGGTCCCGCTCACACCAGGCAGCCTTCATAGTGGTCTCCCTGGCCACCTTGGGCAGAGCTGGGTCATGCAGCACCCCATCCTTACCCGGTGCCCTCTCCTTGCCAGCTTCTCCCCAGGCCAGAGCGGCCATCGCGTAGAAAGAACCAGGGTGTCCCCGGGACAGGCCGTCCCCCACCCCATCCTGTAGAAGTCCATTCCCCTTTTCCCTCCTGTGCTCTGTCCCCCAAGGAGTCATGGAACTCAGGGTACTGGGCCTCAACGGGAACCTGAGACAGCTCCAGCTTCGCAGCCCTTCCCGGAGCTACAGGGGGATCCTCTAGCATGGGGGGTGTGACTTGGTTCCTTTGACCAGGTCCTGTGAGGAAGCCTGGAGCAAGGGTCTCCCCCAGCAGGATGGGTGGGGCCTGCTCTGGAGCTGAGCCCGTGGCCGCTCACAGGTGTCCTTAGTGGTGTTGCAGCTGTCTACTGGCTGCATGTGCTGTGAATATCCCAAGGAACTGGCTGTGGAATGCGTGTTTGGGTCAGTCTGTGCCCTCTCAGTAGACACTGGAGCTGCTCTGTCCCTGAAGAGGCCCCGTGCCCCAGGCATGGCAAGCGCCTGCCTCTCCCCTTCCGGTGCTCACACGCCCACGCCGTGCCACCCGATGCAGGACTCACCTCTGTGCCTTGCTGCTCCTGAGGCCCAAGGGCAGCCATGGTGCTCTGTACTGCTCGGGCCGCCCAGGTCACAGAGCCTGAGCTTCGTAGCCAAAGCAGCCTGATGACCCACCCACCAAGGAAGAAAGCAGAATAAACATTTTTGCACTGCCTGAAAAACCCCGGTGGTCAGGCGTGAGCCTAGCGTGTGTGCGTCTGCCTGTCTGTCTGCTCCCTAAGTAGTCAAATGGATTTGTTCCTGGAGGAGTGACCAGGAATTTGCTGGCCAGCCTGGGTCAGGGTGGGGAGGGCTGCCGAGGAGGCGAGCACCCCCACCCAGACCTGCTCAGTCAGAAACTGGGCACCCAGCAATCTTGACATCCTCTGGGGGTCTCCGGTTTGAGGACCCCTGCCCACCAAGCTGGGCACCCTGGCCCCATGCAAGCGGGTGTGCTCCCACCTGGAACAGACGGTGGCCTCGGCACCGCGTGACGTCTGAGGGCTGGCTGGAGTCCAGCGTGAAGGGATGATGGTAGGGCCGGGGTGAGCTCTGGTGACCCTGCAGGCAAGAGGAGCCCAGGCAGGGGCTTCCCGGAGATGCAGCTTTGGGTGTGGCGGCAGTGAGGGGCAGGCAGGTGCTTTAGAGAGCCCTGCAGGACTGTCCCACGGCCATGTATGCAAGTGTGAAAAGCCCCGCTTCAGAGCCACACAGGTGTAACCTTGTTCCCATTGCTCCTTCCAAGGCGTGGTAGGGGGACGTGGGGGATGAGGTTGAACAGGTGGGTGCCCTCGTGCCAGGAAGCGGTTCTCTTGTCCCTGAGAAAAGTAACTCAGCCCAGAAGGCCTTGGGTATGAAAGGGCCATATAGGGCTCTGCGGACGCGTCCTATAAGTGAGAACCGCCAGGCGGGCAGGGTGGGGCTGGAGGGAGAAGGGAAGGTTCACTGGGGTTGCAAGAGCTGCCCCCTGACAGCACGGGAGGGAGGGCAGGGGGTCCCCAAAGGGAGGGGTCACCCTGCAGGTCAGAGGAGCAGCTGTGCCCCTGGCCATGGAGGGGTGGGCAGGGCCATGAGCCCCACCCTGAGAAGCCGGAGTTGAGGGGCTGGGCCAAGGGGTGCCATTGCTGGTGGGCAGAAGTTTCCCTCCCTGCAGGAACAGCCTGCACCCCCAGACTGTGAAGAAGGGATTCTTGCCCTGTGGTCACTGCGGGCCCTAGAGAGTCTGGGCCATGCCATGCCATGCCCTCTGCAGCTCTGTGGCCTTAGGGCAGGCTGGGGACAACTGCCCCTCCCCAGAGGCTTCCTTAACAGTTTCCTCACTGTTCCCCCTCTGGAGGGCAGGCGTCCCCACACACTACCCTGCTCACCCTAGCCCACCAGAGCACAGTGCCCTGGCTGTCTCCTCCCAAAGACCAGATGCCCCAAGTCTGCTGCCTGGGTCTGAGAGGGTCAAGTCCCTCCTCCACCATCGACTCCACACACCTGGGACCTGCCCCCTCCCTCACCACACACTGCACACATCACATGCACAATACATTCACACATATGTACTATACATGTGCACACCTCATACATGCAATGTGCACCACACATGCATCCTACACGACACGTGCACACACACCACACATGCATGCCTCACAGTACACCTGCACACGTGCACTACACACAATCACACGTGCTATGCGTACACACCACACGTGTGCCTCAGTGCTACACATGCCTCATACGACACGTGCACACACATATGCATGCCTCACAGTACACCTGCACACGTGCACTACACACAATCACACGTGCTATGCGTACACACCACACGTGTGCCTCAGTGCTACACATGCCTCATACACACAACACGTGCACACACCACACATGCCTCACAGTACACCACACGTGCACTACACACAATCACACATGCTATGCGTACACACCACACGTGTGCCTCAGTGCTACACATGCATCCTACACGACACATGCACATACCACACATGCATGCCTCACAGTACACCTGCACACGTGCACTACACACAATCACACATGCTATGCGTACACACCACACGTGTGCCTCAGTGCTACACATGCCTCATACACACGCACACACACCACATATGCATGCCTCACAGTACACCTGCACACGGGTGCTACACACAATCACACATGCTATGCGTACACACACTTGTGCCTCAGTGCTACACATGCCTCATACACACGACACGTGCACACACACACCACATATGCATGCCTCAGTACACCTGCACACGTGCACTACACACAATCACACACGCTATACATACACACCACACGTGTGCCTCAGTGCTACACATGCCTCATACGCACACACACCCATGCATGTGTCACATGCACCGTCACACCATAAGCTGCACCCACAGCAGGATGGGCTCAGAGCCAGGGCCCAAGGGTCTTTTATTTGTGTGCTGGACGCTGTTGGGAGTGACTGGATGTGAGCCAGCCCTATGGGTGGGGATGGCACCGCCCTACCGCCGAGAGAGTTGAAGCTGCACCCCCGAAAGGAGCCAGCTGTACCTTCACCCAGTCTGGGGGACTGGTGAGGCACTTGGGGGATGGGGAGCAAGGCCAGCTCACGAAGGAAGACTTGGGCAGGGAGGATCAGGGACGCCTGGCAAGGATCCACCCTATGGAATCGGGCCTCGTCAGTGGGGTGACAATGTCAGAGTTGTCTATAAATCGGGGGGGAGGCCGCGGCCTCGAGGTGGGAAAGCAGGTGCCGGCGCACCTGTGGACAAATTCTGGAACGCGTTTGGCGAGGGAGGAATAGGCGCAGCTCCGGAAGGCAGTGACCTCGAGGCAGCCTCAGCACGGCACTCTCTTGGGTCCTCTTCCAGGCTCACACTGGGCGACAGCGGAGAGGCTCTTGGACGGGGCAGAGCTCGCGCCGAGACCTGCATGTCCGCGTCTTGTGACGGGTGTGTGGGAAGCCGCCCGCCTGTGCATCTTGCTTCCGGGTATTCGCTGGCTGATTTACTGGTTTTAGAGATGGGGATGGGCACCCAGTGCTGGACTGAAGACCAGAGAAGGTGGAGCTCCCTGTGGCCTTGGTCTCACCTCTCTTCAGGTAACAGGCTCTGCCCTGACCCAAGCTGAGCCAATGAACCCCCTCCCTGGGAATCCACACCTGGACCCATTCCTTCTGGGCAGGGAGGGCTTGCTGGAGGGAGGGAGGCTGTGCACCCCACAGAAGACTGGGCCCCCTGGGCACAAGGGGACACTGGTGCTGGGTTCAGCAGCCCCCAGGACCTGGGCCAAGACGGGGGTGGCTGCTGCATTCACGCAGGACGTTGAGCTGCAGGGACTAGAGTGGCAGATGGGCCAGGTCCACTAGGCCACCCCATCTCCACCCCCAGGGCCACAAGCCGCTGTGGGCTCCACAGGGGTGGGAAGGAGTGCAGGGCTGGGGCTCGAGTGCCGTGGCCTCCACGTAAACGGGAACACGCTGTGGGCGAGAAGGCGGCTGAGAACAGGCTGGCCAGCTGGTGTCCTGCCCACCTCACTGCAGGGCCCCAGCAGCCCCCAGGCCACAGCCGCCGGCCACAGGGCACTGCCTGGGCTCACCGTCTCTTCATCTCCAGCGGGATCCCAGCCTCTGCCAGGAGGGCCTTGTACATGTCAGACTTCAGGAACCTTGGGTAGGAGTCCTACAAGAGACAGCGTCCAGCCCCTGACCCTTCTGCCTCCTCACCTCTCAGCCAGCTCCACCCGAAGGAGCAGCCAAACATTGCTGGAGCCTCCTCCAGCCACAGAGTCTCCGGCGGACAGGGTGCTGGAGGCAGCCGCCTCGGACCTGCCCAGACCAAGGCAGACGCAGGGAGACCTGGGCTCCCGTCTGCCTGGGCCATGTCGCAGCAAAAAATGGCAAGAGCCCTGGTGGCCACGTGTAGAGGAATAAACCGCGGCACCTCCTCAGCCATTAGCGGGAACCAGGAATGGCTCCGTGTGCCCCACAGAGTGAGGGCAGGGTTGTGGAGTCAAATAAAAAAACAAGGTAGGCCACGCATGGTGGCTCACGCCTGTGATCCCGGCCGGGCAGAGTGGCTCACGCCTGTAATCCCAGCACTTTGGGAGGCTGATGCGGGTGGATCATGAGGTTGGGAGATCGAGACCGTCCTGGGTAACACGGTGAAACCCCGTCTCTACTAAAAATACAAAAAATTAGCCGGGCGTGGTGGCGGGCGCCTGTAGTCCCAGCTACTCAGGAGGCTGAGGCAGGAGGATGGCGTGAACCCGGGAGGTGGAGCTTGCACTGAGCCGAGATCCCGCCACTGCACTCCAGCCTGGGCGACAGAGCGAGACTCGCCTCAAAACAAAAGAAAACAAAACTTTTTAGATCGAAGCTTGACCCTTATTAAGCATGTGATCTGGGCCAGTCCTTCAGCCTGTCTGAACCCGGAGTGGGCTCAGGACGGAACACTGACAGGAGAGCGGCCAGGGCGGCCCCAACCAGGTGGGGAAGGTGCTCCCCAGGGGCAGAGTCAACGTGGGCAGTGCCTGTGCGGACAGAGCCCTTGAGGGTGGGGACATGGAGGCCCGTCTGGGATGACCCCTCCTGCCCCTGCAGGCTGGCCCAGCACCCACCTTCTTCATGAGCATGTATATGTGCAGCTGGGCGTCATCCAGGACATAGCGGTGGGGCTGGCGCAGCCCCTCCAGGGTCTGCTCCATGGTCCGGCTGTCGATGTTGACCCAGTGGGCAGCTCCGGGGGCCAGGAACTGCCTAGGGGTGGGGACAGCACTGGGTAGTCTCGGCTGGGTGCACCTGCCCGTTGGCCAACCGGTGCCCACCACGCAGCACTTACTCGTACACGGCATCCACCAGGGTGGGGACCTGGGCCTGCGCTCCATATCGAAGCTCCTCACATGCCTCCCAGAAGCTGAGGTTTTCTCCTGGGGGGCCGGGCACCCAGTCAAGGATCCCATCGAGAGTGGCAGCCAGGGCCGGTGGGGGGTTCCCAGGGAGCTGGTGGAAACCGAGGCGGGAGGGGTCCCAGGCAGCAGCCTCCCCGCTGGGACTGGAGCAGGGGCTGGGGGGTTCTCACCACTGAACTCCTTTCCCAGAAAGTCCATGAAGTGGGCCCGCCCCACGGGGTCCTCCAGGAGCTCCCGGAAGCTGAAGCCCCATCTCTCCACACGGAGCTTCGTGGGGGCAGCCACCCTGGGGAGAGGGCAGGGCTGTTGGGGAGGGTGGGGACTGACCCTCCTGCGTCCCCCCAGGCTGGGAGCACACCCGCAGTCCCGCTGCCCCGCCTGGGCTCACGTGGGGGCATTCATGACCCAGTAGGCGTCATTGTCTGAGATCCAGGGATTGCTGGGCAGGCACCCCGACACGAGGGGATCGTGGGGTCCACGCTGGCCGCAGAAACTCAGGTACCTGGAAGGGGGTATGGGGGCTGGTGCAGGAGGGGCCTCAGCACTCAGCAGGGGTCTCCAGCTGCCACCCCTCACCCCACTCACGCCTCAAGGCAGACGGAGGACTTCACTCGGGTCCTGCCCAGCGCTTTCCTGAAGTACTCGATCTAGGATGTGGGGCCTGTGAGTCAGGTCCCGGGCTGGGGAAGGCACCTGGCACCCTCCACTCCCAGCTCCAGAACTTACCTCCCGCTTATGGAAATCTGCACTCTTGGTCTAGAAGGGGATAGGTGGGCTGCAGTTAGATGCAGGTCCCCTGCTGGGGTCCAAAATCCCCAGCAGGAGGGCACCTCCCCAGGCTGAGCCCCTGCCCCATAGATCTGGCAGAGATGGTGGCCCAGGCCCCCAGTCCCGCCCCTTGGAGCCCCTTCTTCCAATCAGGGATCTTTCGAGGAGACCTCTGGGGGCCTAAGGTCTGGCGATCTGTGGAATATTCCACGGAACCTCAGGTTCTCAAAGTTGCAACTGTAATATGTCATTTTTTTTTCTTTATTATTTTTTTGAGACAGTTTCACTCTTGTTTCCCAGGCTGGAGTGCAGTGGTGCGATCTCGGCTCACCGCAACCTCCGCCTCCTGGATTCAAGCTATTCTCCTGCCTCAGCCTCTCCAGTAGCTGGGACTACAGGCATGCGCCACCAAGCCCAGCTAATTTTGTATTTTTAATAGAGACGGGGTTTCTCCATGTTGATCTAGCTGGTCTCGAACTCCTGAACTCAGGTGATCTGCCCGCCTCAGCCTCCCAAAGTGCTGGGATTAGAGACGTGAGCCACCGCGCCCGGCCTAATATGTCACATTTTCAAATGTACTTAAATTATGTTTTTAAACAACACATACTTGAGAAATACTACTAATGGGGATCACTGGGGAACCAGGTGTGACCTTCATTGGTCGGCACCTCGCTGGGGCCAGAGCGGAGGAGGCGGACGCGCTGCGAGTCCTGGCCTGTGTCCCCGCTCTCTCTGACCAGCTTTGTATGGGGAAATGTTAGGGTCGTGAACTTAAGAAGTTTTATCAGTGAGGTTCTAGGTGCATCTTTCCAGATGTTGGGTCTGGATGGGACTGGTTTGAACAAAGGGTTTTGCTGCTGCGGGGCTCAGATGCTCCCTCTGGTCTGGTCCCTCTGGTTCTGGAGGCCTCCACCTGGAGGGAGGTTGCTGGATCTGCTGAGGTCTGTCAGAGGCCGTAACCCTGCTTGTCACCCCTCCAATTCCCAGCAAACCCTGATACTGTTCTGGAGAAGAGCCCCCTTCCTCCCCGCCAGCCCCCTCGTCCCCACCACTCCACTTACCTGCACCCAGGGCAGCAGGTGGGAGGGGAGAGAAAGCGAGAGTTAGCAGGGGCCTGGGGAACAGGGAGTGACCGGGAGTGAGCAGGGGCTTGGGGAGGCTGCACCAAGTGCCCTCTGGGTGGACCAAATGACGGACAGATGGGCAGTCCCATGGTGCGTCCAGCAGGGTGCAGCCGGTGTGCAGGGTGAGAGGGCGGCCAGCACGCACGCAGGGGCTCACCATGAGCACACGGCTGGCAGCGCAGGATCCCCGCCCTGGACCCTGCTCCAGCACATCGGGGGCCCCGGGCTGCGGAGGGGAGACGAGATGAGGTGGGGATGCAGTTCCGGTGGCTGACCCCCTTTAAGGCTAAGTTCCCCCTCCCAGACCCCCATGTGGAAACTGACACTCAAAGGAACTCGGGAAGAGTCCCGACCTAGCCGTCAGCTGTCTCTTCTCTGCTCACCACCTCCAAATGGCCTGTCCACCGGGCCTCCCCACAGCCCCAGCTGCTCCCGGCCTGTGAACTCGGTCCCCCCACTGCAGCCAAGGCCGCCCCCACTCTGCCTGCTCCCGAGGCAGAGTCTGCAGTCCCCGCAATCTGGCATCCCTGTGACTCTCCCTTGGGCCCAGAGAGAAGCTGGCTTGTCCTGTGGTCTAGGGATGGAGACCTGGGTTCTGATTGGCAGAAACGCAACTAAGTCACGAAGTGAAAACGTCCTGCCCCCACCAGGAGCTCCAAGGCAGGTCCTTCCACAGGCTCAAAATGGTGGTCCTGAGAGCGCCTGTCAGGGAAGCACGCTGACCCCTGCGCTGGCCAGCGACCCCCACCCTCACCGCAGGTGGGCTCACCGGGGGCCTGTTCACCAGCCAGTAGGTCTGCTCCTGGCACGCAATGACCAGCCTGTCCCCCTTGCTGCGCTGCTTGGCTGCCCTGGGAGGAGGAGGCCGAGTTGAGGGCACGCCCTGCACACAGCAGCCCCTCCGCCCCCACCCTCAGGCCTGGACCTGGGCAGGCAGCCACACCCAGGGGTGCCCTCCACGGTCCCAGGGCCACCGGAGCCTGGCCTGGGCTGGGCTTCCCGGGTAGCCTGGGTTGGGCGCCTGCAGGCGGGGCGGGGCAGGGCGGGGCCTCACCTCAGCTGCTCCCTCGCCTGCATCAGCACCAGGTCCCATGCGTGGTTGATCTTCTTGTGTAGCCGGTCATAGCAGTCCTGGGGGCAGCGAGGTTTCCAGTGGGTCACCCCGGCCCCTGCCCCCAGTGAGACTGTGTGGGCAGTTGGGGGGTTGGGGACTGTCTTGGGTTTTGGGGCCTGGGCTGTATGTTCTGGGGTAAACCGTGAAGCCCCGGGGGGCCGTGAGTGAGGCTTGGGTTCCTCCAGCTGTACCCAGCCGGGGCGGGAAGGGTGGGGGGTCCCACCTTCTCATAATCCACCAGGGTCCCCCGTTTTCGGATGTTCTTCTTGGCCAGGTAGATGGCTGGAAGAACAGGGACAGCCTGCAGAGGGGCCAGCTCTGCCCTGCCTCACGGCATCACCCTGAGGCCCCCAGTCCTGGGAACTTGTCTGGGGCCAGCCGTCCCCTTGCTCACCATAGTCCAGCTCTGCAGCCGGCCTCAGGGTACTTGTCCAGAAGTACGGGGTCTGGCGTGGTGCAGGGAGAAGGTGTCCAGGACGCCTGCGTCTGTGCCTCCCCAGTGTCACCCCACCCTCAGACCTCCCTGGGAAGAAGCCTGGGCTGGGCAGGAGGTGTCTGAGGATCTCCCTGCCTGCCCACCACCGAGAGACTCCACTGACCACTGGCCAGTCTCTCCAACTAGAACTGAGGTCAACTCGCTCCTTAGGGCCCTGTTCAGACACTGCCTCCCTCACTGGTCACCCTAAGCCCCCATTCAAGGCGGGGTGGGGCTGGGGGCCTGCACAAGTCTTGGATGTAGTCACAGTCTGTGCCTGGGGAGGGGTACAACCGACGGCAGGTCGGCCCGGGACCCTGATGTGGTTAGGGAGGGCAGGAATGCTGTCCTCAGGCCTTCACAGCCCCTCCCTCAGGACCTGGGCCTAGGGACCCCCAGGAAGATGGCAGAATCCTCTGCACATACGACCCCTTGTGGGGCCCTGCTGTGGTCCCCAGGAAAACTGAGGCTCCATCCCTCAGCCGGGTCCTTCTCACCACATCCGTACTTGCGGTCCAGGACTTTTGGGGAGGGGGCGATGGACCACCAGCCCACGGCGACATGGCGGAGTCCCACTCCAATCCCAGCAAGCTCGGCGCCCCTCCTGTCTCCCCGAGTTGGTAAGCTGGGTGGGTGGGGGTGGGGGTCCCACCGGCTCCCACCTGCACCCCCGAGCCTGACCTGGAACCTGTAGGGCGTCTCGTCTGGCCGGAGCATGAGGCTACGGGGGTCGCGCAGCGGGTAGATGTAGCCATGCTGCACCAGGACGGCGCCCAGGTGCAGGGCCTCTGGGGAGGGGTGGGACGGTGAGCGCGGGGCCGCGGAAGCGGGCGAGGGCGGGACGAGCCGGGCCTCCTCTCCCCTATGTGCTCCCCACCCTTGCACAGCGCGCTCAGCAGGGCTCTGAGAACTGCCAGACTCCAGGAAAACCCAGGCCTAGGCCACCAGCCCAGTGACCCCAGGGCCCAGTGGGAGGCAGGGCGCTCACCCTCCTCCGAGACGCAGAACTTCTGGGCCAACCACTGCACGACGTCGCTGCCTGCACGGGAGAGACAGAGGTGGAGGGAGGCCGAGGCGCGCACGCACCCCCGCCCCGGCGCGCCTCACCTGTCACCGCGTGGGGAATGACGGTGACCAGCAGGCGCTGGCTCCGCATCTTCACGCCCTGGTCGGGGTCCTGCATGCTCACGACCACCCGCTCCATCTGGGCGGAGGGAGTCGTCAGGGGGTGTCTGGCCGCCCCGCAACCCTGATTCCCTGGCACCGGCCGGGATGCCCCGGATCCGGGAGCGCGGAGATTAACGCGCGGCGGCGGCGGATTCCAGGCCGCAGCTGGCGGCGGGGACGCGGGGCGGGCCGGGGAGGGCCGGGGAGGGCCGGGGAGACCCCGGAGACCCCCAAGGGCCCCAGGCCTCGCCGCCCCTCCCGGCCTCGCAGACCTCCGCCCCAGGCCCGCCCCGCCCCGCGCGCCCCCGTGTCCCCATGCTCTCCGGCCCCTCCCGGCCTCGGGCGCCGGGAAATCGGGGGACGGCGGGACACCCACCCGCCTCGCACCTTCCTCAGATGCGGCATCTGCGCCCGGGGGCGGCCGGGGGGCGGCGCGGGGCCGGCGGCCATGGCTGCGGGGCGAGGCCGGCGGGGATGACCGACGTCCCGCCCGGCCCCGCCCCGCGCCGCGCCGCGCCCGGGTTAACCCTCGGGCCGCGAGGCCAGAGTCGCCCAGGCCCCGGTTCGGGTTTTAAGAGACACGGCCACGGCCCAGAGGCAAACGAGCCGGCCCCCCACGAGCGACCCGAGTCACCCCCCCGACCCAGGTCCCGGGACGCTGAGGCCCTCGTGGGTGAAGGCGAAGTGGGACGGGGGAGGGTGTGGGCCGGGGGCCGAGGGGGGATGTGAGGGGATGGAGCTCAGCTGGAGCAGGGGGTGGTCTCTGGGAGAGGCAGAGGGGCTCATCAGCGAGGGGGGGTTACTATGGGGAGGGTCTCAGGGAGGGCAGCGGAGGGGATGGGGGTTCAGAGAGGGAGAGGGGTTCCGTGAGTAGAGGAGACCCGTAGGGAGAGTGAACTGGGGTGGGAAACGTGGTTTAGGGCCCACTGTAACCCCGGTCCTATGTGTGGGGCCCTGAGGACATACAGGGACTAGAGGCCTGGCTGTGGGGCCGGGGCCAGGGCCAGCGGTATGACTGCCCGAGGCCTTGTGTCCTGCGATGCTTGTGGCCAAGACTGCATACATTGCTGTGACGGTGGCTGGTTAGGGGCAGGGTGCATGAGAGATTGGGTCAGCTTTCTACATGGGCCGGATGCCGGCTGTCAGTGGAGCACGTGGCTGCTGCAGAGTGTGACCCAGCTGTCCCCATCTCCTGCTGTGGGTCCCTTATCCGGGGTCCTTCCGGGAAAGTGGCTGATGGCTCATGGCTCACTTCCCTCAGCTCCACGCAGGCCTGGGTGGCCCGCTGGGGAATGAGCAGAAACCCTGCCCAGGGCACCCTGACACTGTTGGAGAGGAGCTTTACTGCAGGGAGGCCCTCAACACACACCCACTTAGTGTCACCGGCGGCCGCCAGGCTTCAGGCCCCACTCCACTCCCAGCTCTCTCCCTCCTCCAATGGCTATGCCTGTCCCCCAGGTGCACCCCGAGCCAGGCCCAGGATCTTCAGGCCCCACCGGGCAGTCTCGGCTCACTGCAACCTCCGCCTCCTGAATTCAAGCAATTCTCATGCCTCAGCCTCCTGAGTAGCTGGGATTACAGGCTCCCACCACCACGCCTGGCTAATTTTTATTTTTGTTTTTGTTTTTGAGACGGAGTCTCACTGTGTCACCCAAGCTGGAGTGCAGTGATGCGGTCTTGGCTCACTGCAGCCTCCGCCTCCTGGGTTCCAGCGATTCTCCTGTCTCAGCCTCCTAGGTAGCTGGGATTACAGGCACGCGCCACCACACCCAGCTAATTTTTGTATTTTTAGTAGAGATAGGGATTCACCACGTTGGCCAGGCTGGTTTCGAACTCCTGACCTCAGGTGATGTGCCTGCCTTGGCCTCCCAAAGTGCTAGGCTTATAGGTGTGAGCCACTGTGCCTGGCCGATTTTGGTATGTTTAGTAGAGATGGGGTTTCACCATGTTGGCCAGGCTGGTCTCAAACTCCTGACTTCAGGTGATCCACCTGCCTTGGCCTCCCAAAGTTCTGGGATGACAGGTGTGAGCCACCACACCCGGTCGGATCATTTTTTAAAAACTAAGTCGAGGTCTCACTATGTTGCCCAAGGTGGTCACAAACTCCTGGGCTCAGTCCATCCTCCTGCCTCAGCTTCCCAGCGTGCTGGGATTAAAGGCATGCCCAGCCAGCATCTTTTTTTTTTTTTTTTTTTTGAGACTGAGTCTTGCTCTGTCAGGCTGGAGTGCAATGGCGCAATCTCGTCTCACTGCAACCTCCTCCTCCCAGATTCAAGCAATTCTCCTGCCTCAGCCTCCTGAGTAGCTGAGATTACAGGCCCCCGCCACCACGCTTGGCTAATTTTTGTATTTTTAGTAGAGACAGCATTTCACCTTGTTGGCCAGGCTGGTCTTGAACTCCTGACCTTAGGCGATCTGCCCACCTCGGCCTCCCGAAGTGCTGGGATTACAGGCCTGAGCCACCGAGCCCAGCCTCAGCACCATTTTTAAAAGGTGCAAATGCATCTATTTCTGCTTGCTTTCTTTATTTTTTAAATTATTTATTTATTTATTTTGAGATGGAGTTTCACTCTTGTTGCCTAGGCTGGAGTGCAATGGTGCAATCTCGGGTCACTGCAACCTCCGCCTCCTGGGTTCAAGCGATTCTCTTGCCTCAGCTCCCAAGTAGGTGGGATCAGAGGCATGCGCCACCATGCCCGGCTAATTTTTTTTTTTGTTTTTTTTTTTGCATTTTTAGTAGAGATGGGGTTTCACCGTGTTGGCCAGGCTGGTATCAAACTTCCTGACCTCAAGTGATCCACCTGCCTTGGCCTCCCAAAGTGCTGGGATTACAGGCATGAGCCACCGCACCTGGCCACTAATTTTTTTTTTAATTTCATTTTTATTTTTGTAGATAAATATACACGTAGCCCCTCGCTTATCCCTGTCTGTAAGGGCCTCAGTTTCTTGCTGTGTTGCCTAGGCTGGCTGATCTTGAACTCCTGGCCTCAAGTGATCCTCCTGCCTCAGCCTCCCAAATGTTGGGATTACAGGCATGAGCCATGGCACCTGGCTATGTATTTATTTTTTGAGAGATGGCAGTCTCATTCTGTCACCCAGGCTGGAGTGCAGTGGTGCAATCATAAACTCATTGCAGCCTCAAACTCCTGAGCTCAAGTGATTCTCCCACCCCAGCGTCCTGAGTAGCTGGGACTACAGATGTGTACCACCGCATCTGGTCTATTTCTGCTTTCTTGGAGGCAGAGTACCTCTCCCCATCCTTACCCACTCAGAGGGTGCTAGGGGCTGGGCAGGGTGGGCGGTTGGCCTTGGGCTGGGAGCCCCTAACATAGTGGTCTGAGTCCATTTCCATTGCCGGAGAGGCCACGTTCAGCATGAGCTGGGGCAGGGGGCTTGTGGGGTCTCTTACTCCAGGGTACCATCTCGCTTGGATCCCAGTGAGCCCTCCCATGCCCCACACCCAGGTGGGGTGAGGTGGCCCAGGTCTGGCTGCCCTGTCTGCAGGGGTGGGCACCCATGGTAGCTGTGAGGCAGAATAGGGAATGAGGGTAGCCAAGGGTTGGGCATAAGAAACGGAACAGCAGGTGCAGCCAGTTCTAGGCAGGATTGGGCAGCTCACAAGCCACATCCTGGCTGCTGTGATAACAAGACAGAAATTTCCACTTCACCTCTGATTGGTCTCGGGCCAATCCTTCATAGGGTGTAGCCAATTGGAGGCCTCTAAAGGGCACAAGGGCTGTGGTCAGGTTTCTTTGCTTAATAAAAATCCTAATTACAGAGGCTCTGGAGCTACTTGCTCCAGCCCACTCCCACTCTGTGAATTGCCTTCCGTTAAATCTGTGCTTTCCTTACTCCGTTCTTCTGACTCAGTTTTGTTTCCTTGTGTTTCGTTGTTCTTTTGTTACTTTGTGCGTTTTGTTCAATTCTTTGTTCAACCCACCAAGAACCTGGACAACTCACCTCCAAGACCTTCTATCTGGTAACAGCTGCAGGAGCTGGAGCTGTGGGCCTGGGGACAAGTGTCCTAACAGCCCCCGCTCCCTGCAGCGAAGGGTCAGCAGAGGTGGCGCTCTAGGGGGGCCTGGGCACAAGTTCATAGGATCCTGCCCTGGAAAGGTTGTGGGCAGTTGGGGGGCAAGGGAGACAGTCCCCACCCAAACCCCAATGCCCCCTAGCACCCAAGGTGGTCTTCTCTCAATTGAGGAGCTCTTTGGCAAGGGCGGGTCTAATTTCTGGTGTCCCTGGAACCGGCCAGGGGTGTCTAAGAAAGGGACTCAGGCTGGTGTTCGGACCCCTTCTCCCTTATCCAGACGCAGGCCTTTGGTCCAGCTGTCCCAGCCAGGGCCTGCTCACCCCTGTCCCCTGCCGGGTCCCATCCCCCCCACCCACCCACAGGTCTCAGTTTAGGTGTCAATATCAGAAGCCCCCTCTGTGCTCCGGTCTCTGTACTCCGCCCCCTTGTCAGTGTCCTCTCCCTGAGGACAGGGGGCTCGGTAACTGGGTTTCCAAGAGCCCTGCAGGGACACCCCCTCTTGGGAACTCACACAGCGCAGCCAGGTCGCTAAGCCTTTGAGGGGCCCTTGTTGCCTCCTGGGTGTGCGTGCGACCCGCGCCCACTGTGGTCCCGCCCTACTGATGACCGTGAACCTGTAGGGTGTTGGGCCAGCCCCTCACCCCAAGGCTGGGCAGGCCCCCGGAGTCCCCCTCGGCCCAGACAGAAGCTCCCTCAGGAGCGGGGGAGGGGAAGGGGGCGCGCGGTCCGGCCCCAGGTGTGGCCGCGGATAATGAGACCCTGGGGATGGGGGCGCACCTGCGCCACGGCGCCCCGCAGAGGGTTTCCCAGGAGACCCCCTCGGGCTCCCGCCGCGCCGTGGGGGTGGGGCAGCCCTGCTGGCCAGAGCCGGGCACGGGCCGGGCGGGCGGCGGGGATCGTGACCGCGGCTGCGTGCGTCCGCGTCCGGGCGCTTCTGTGCGGGGTCCTGGCACGCCGGCGGGGGCGACCCGGGTGCCGGCCCGTGCGGGCGACACGCGCGTCTCTGCGGGGCTGCGCGGGGTCCGGAGCGGCTGGGGGCTCTCTGCCGGGCGCGGCTGGGCGCGGGGGGCGCTCCCGGCCGGGATGAGCTCACCGCAGTCGCGCCGGGGCTGAGCGCCGAGCGGGGCGGCGGCGGGGCGGGCGGCGGCTCCTCGGCGGCTCCGCGGCGCCCGGGCCGCGCGCCGCCATGCTGGGCCTGGACGCGTGCGAGCTGGGGGCGCAGCTGCTGGAGCTGCTCCGGCTGGCGCTGTGCGCCCGAGGTGAGCGGGCCGGGCAGGGGCGGGGGGCTCGGCTGGTCTCAGCCCCGGGCGGGGAGTAGCCCCTCCCCCGCGGCAACTTTGGGGGCGCGCATGGGGACCTCGCGGCGCCGACCCCCCGGCTGGGGTCTGGCAGGGGTGGGGGACTTCATCCAGGCTCCAGCCCTGTGGGGAAGGGACCAGGTGCGGACGGGTCGGCTTGGGAAGCGGCGGCGCTGGGACCCTCTCCCCCTGGACACCGCCGCCTGGAGCCCCTCTGTCTTGGGTGGGGCTGGGGCTGGGGCTCAGGCTCTGTAGGGCGTGTGGTGATCCCCGAGAAGACGGGAGCGAAGTGGGCAGGGACTCAGAAACCCCTGCCCAGGGCACCAGGGAGAGGGGCTTCAGGAGGCCACCAGCCCGGGGCGCCATGGGAGGCGGCGCAGAGCCTGAGCCCAGGGATTTGGAGACAGCCGCCCCCGGCACCCGAGCACCATGGGGAGGAACTCCTAGACTGTGGGAAAGTGTTCAGAGACCCCAGTCCAGAGCAGGGTGGTGGAGGGCCCTAGAGGGTCAGTAGGCTTGGGGGGCCGCCGAGGGCCCTAGAGGGTCAGTAGGTTTGGGGGCCGCCGAGGGCCCTAGAGGGTCAGTAGGTTTGGGGGCCGCCGAGGGCCGCTGCTCTCTAGCAGGTAGCCCCTGACCCTGGGCTGCCCTCATCTGAAGTCTTCGCTCCCCCGCCCTTTGGTCTCCGAGTCAGGGAGGGGGCCCTTGTGGACATCTGGGCCAGAGGAGCTGCAGGCCTGGCGGTCTCTGGAGGCCCCTCCTGAAGGTCTGGGTGCGGTGCGGCACCTCCCCAGGCCGCCCTGCTCTCTCTGCTCGCTCTCTCCCTGAGCCCCCAGAGGCTTCCCTTGAGTCCCTTTGGATAGTGGGAGGTACAGCTGGCCAGAGGGGGCTCCAGCCTGGTGCTCGAATGCCAGGGTCCGCTAGTGGCTGCTGCTCACGCCCCTCCCCACCCCCAGTCCTCCTGGCTGACAAGGAGGGTGGGCCGCCGGCAGTGGACGAGGTGTTGGATGAGGCTGTGCCCGAGTACCGGGCGCCGGGGAGGAAGAGCCTCTTGGAGATCCGGCAGCTGGACCCGGACGACAGGAGCCTGGCCAAGTACAAGCGGGTGCTGCTGGGGCCCCTGCCACCGGCCGTGGGTATGGCAGGGGTCTAGGCTTGGAGGGCTGGGTCTGGGGGGCTGGTGAGGAGCCTGGTGGGGGTGGGGGGCATCCTGCAGACTTCCAGTTTCTCCTCAGACCCAAGCCTGCCCAATGTGCAGGTGACCAGGCTGACACTCCTGTCGGAACAGGCTCCGGGGCCCGTCGTCATGGATCTCACAGGTAACTCGCAGGATGCTGCACCCTGAACACAGGTAGGGCCCTCCCAGGCACGCTTCTGCACCCCTGAGTTCCGAGCCCTGGGCCATCACAGTCGCACACCTCATGGGTACCACACCCTACGTGGGGGCTCCTGGAGCAGGTCTCAGCCTGTAGGGGAGTTCCGACCCTAGCTGAGGTTTCCCCAATAGGGGACCTGGCTGTTCTGAAGGACCAGGTGTTTGTCCTGAAGGAAGGTGTTGATTACAGAGTGAAGATCTCCTTCAAGGTGAGAGCCGGGGCAATGGGCGGAGGGGATGGGGGTGGGGGCAACAGCCAGAGGCCTGGCCCCCAGAGGAACCCCTAATGCCTCTGTTCCCAGGTCCACAGGGAGATTGTCAGCGGCCTCAAGTGTCTGCACCACACCTACCGCCGGGGCCTGCGCGGTGAGGGCAGCGGTGGGGGGAACGGGGCGGGGGGGGGAAGCGGGGGCAGACAGAGGACAGCTCTGATGCCCTCGCCCTCCCTAGTGGACAAGACCGTCTACATGGTGGGCAGCTATGGCCCGAGCGCCCAGGAGTATGAGTTTGTGACTCCGGTGGAGGAAGCGCCGAGGGGTGCGCTGGTGCGGGGCCCCTATCTGGTGGTGTCCCTCTTCACCGACGATGACAGGACGCACCACCTGTCCTGGGAGTGGGGTCTCTGCATCTGCCAGGACTGGAAGGACTGAACCCCCAGTCCGTGTCTCCCCTACCTCCCTCAGTTGTTGCACAGGGACCCCCAAGCATCCCCAGCACCCCCCGTGAGTGACCAGACCCTCCCCTGCTGCCCCTGCTGCCCCTGCTGCCCCTGCTCTGTCCCGGGACCCCCTGGCCTGGCGCTGTCCCCTGAGCTGTCCCATTAAACATGGCCCTGTCTCTCTCGGTGCCCTGGGTGTCGTCTCTTTCTGCCTCCCCTCCCCTGGGGGCCGGGGGCGGCCGCATGGGCCTTGTCTTTGCTGGGACTGGGCCTGTGTGCCACGTGGCAGCTGCTGCTTGGCTTCTGGCCCCCTTATCTGCCCCCGCCCCACGCGCCCTGGCAGCACCATGAGCCGCCAGCTTCTGCCTGTACTGCTGCTGCTGCTGCTCAGGGCTTCGTGCCCATGGGGTCAGGAACAGGGAGCGAGGAGCCCCTCGGAGGAGCCTCCAGAGGAGGAAATCCCCAAGGAGGATGGGATCTTGGTGCTGAGCCGCCACACCCTGGGCCTGGCCCTGCGGGAGCACCCTGCCCTGCTGGTGGAATTCTGTGAGTGCTGGGGCCAGTGGGGCTGGGGACCGGCGGGGGACCGGCAGAGCCCACCTGGGGGCCCCACCCTTTGCCGGCAAATGCAGGGCATGTGCCCAAGAGGGGCCTCCCCGCAGGCACTTGCCCCCACTGTGCCCAGGAGCTCTCTAGGAGGGGCCTGGGGGTCTGGTTGGGGCAGGCAGGAGCAGTGTGGTAGTACTGGGGGTACCCACAGGACTTGAGAACACCTGTGCCTCCCTGCTCGGCCAGCGGCCACGGTGCCAGAGTCACCACCTTGCCGGCCACTCCTCCAGCTGCCAGGGGCATCCCACAGACTCTGCAGAGGCTCGGGCAGTATCCAGGCTTTGGGGGCCCATGGAGGTCCCTGACGTGTGTGCCCTGTGGTCTTTTCGCAACCCTTGACACACATAGGAACTGTTCTTGCCTAGGAGGCCTTCACAGGCAGCCACATGGGCCCGGGAGCCCCAGCCATACAAGGCACGAAAGGGAGGGGTCTTTTTATTTTTATTTTTTGAGATGGAGTTTTGCTTTTGTCGCCCAGGCTGGAGTGCAGTGGCCCTATCTCGGCTCACTGCAACCTCCGCCTCCCAGGTTCAAGCAATTCTCCTGCCTCAGCCTCCCGAGTAGCTGGGATTATAGGCATACGCAACCAATCCCGGCTAATATTTTTTGTATTTTTAGTAGAGATGGGGTTTCTCCATGTTGGTCAGGCTGGTCTCGAACTCCCAACCTCAGGTGATATGCCCGCCTCTGCCTCCCAAAGTGCTGGGATTACTGGCGTGAGCCACTGAGCCTGGCTGTGGGGGGAGGGGGGGTGGTCTTTCAAGCTCTCCCAAGCCTTACTGGTCCCTGTGCTGCAGCCTGGGGGGCCACGAAGAGGCACTGGTGCTCGGCTTGTCCACGGCCAGGGCTCAGGGCAGAATGGAGCAGCACGCTTGTTCCCTGCTGGGTTGTCAGGTGTGGAGAGGGTGCTCCTGGGGTTGTGGTGGCCTGGGGCACTCACGGCCCCATCCCCCAGATGCCCCGTGGTGTGGGCACTGCCAGGCCCTGGCCCCCGAGTACAGCAAGGCAGCTGCCGTGCTCGCGGCCGAGTCAATGGTGGTCACGCTGGCCAAGGTGGATGGGCCCGCGCAGCGCGAGCTGGCTGAGGAGTTTGGTGTGACGGAGTACCCTACGCTCAAGTTCTTCCGCAATGGGAACCGCACGCACCCGGAGGAGTACACAGGTGAGGGGCAGGCCGGTCATTGGGGGGGCGGTGGCCAGGCCGAGGCTGAGGGGGACTCCCTGCAGGACCACGGGACGCTGAGGGCATTGCCGAGTGGCTGCGACGGCGGGTGGGGCCCAGTGCCATGCGGCTGGAGGACGAGGCGGCCGCCCAGGCGCTGATCGGTGGCCGGGACCTAGTGGTCATTGGCTTCTTCCAGGTGAGCCACTGGGCATGGGGGGCCGGGCCATGAGGGCAGTGACTGTGGGTGGGACCGGGTGGCCTCACAGGGCCAGGCCCCTCAGGACCTGCAGGACGAGGACGTGGCCACCTTCTTGGCCTTGGCCCAGGACGCCCTGGACATGACCTTTGGCCTCACAGACCGGCCGCGGCTCTTTCAGCAGTTTGGCCTCACCAAGGACACTGTGGTTCTCTTCAAGAAGGTAGGTCAGGCCCAGGTGTGGGTTGGGGTCCGGCTGCAGCGCCCGCTAACCCACCTGCTGCTGTCCAGTTTGATGAGGGGCGGGCAGACTTCCCCGTGGACGAGGAGCTTGGCCTGGACCTGGGGGATCTGTCGCGCTTCCTGGTCACACACAGCATGCGCCTGGTCACGGAGTTCAACAGCCAGGTGCGTAGGCTGCAGTGCCTGGGCTGGGGGTGTCCCAGGGTAGAGTCGTCCAGGGATGGGGGTGCCTAGGCTGGGGGTCCTGTGGAGTCATGAGCACCCTCCCTACTGTAGACGTCTGCCAAGATCTTCGCGGCCAGGATCCTCAACCACCTGCTGCTGTTTGTCAACCAGACGCTGGCTGCGCACCGGGAGCTCCTAGCGGGCTTTGGGGAGGCAGCTCCCCGCTTCCGGGGGCAGGTACTGGGGGGCTGGGGGAAAGGGGCAGCGGGAGAGTGGCCGGTGCCAGCATGGACTCCCTGCCACAGGTGCTGTTCGTGGTGGTGGACGTGGCGGCCGACAATGAGCACGTGCTGCAGTACTTTGGACTCAAGGCTGAGGCAGCCCCCACTCTGCGCTTGGTCAACCTTGAAACCACTAAGAAGTATGCGCCTGTGGATGGGGGCCCTGTCACCGCAGCGTCCATCACTGCTTTCTGCCATGCAGTCCTCAACGGCCAAGTCAAGGTCCGCTGCAGACTGCTCATAATGGAAGGGGAACCCTGACCTCATCCCACCAGCTTGGCAGGGGGTGGGAACAGCAGCTCTCAGAGCCCCCTGCCCCTGCAGGCCCCGCAGAGGCCCCCCTCAACCCGGCAATTCTCCCAACCCGGCGGTTCTCCCAACCCCAACCCGGCGGTTCTCCCAACCCCAAACCCGCGGTTCTCCCAACCCCAACCCCGCGGTTCTCCCAACCCCAACCCCAACCCCAACCCCAACCCCGCGGTTCTCCCAACCCCGCGGTTCTCCCAACCCCGCGGTTCTCCCAACCCCAACCCCGCGGTTCTCCAACCCCGCGGTTCTCCCAACCCCAACCTCAACCCCAACCCCACAGAGGTCCCTCCCCCCACCAAACCCCACAGTTCTCCCTCCCCCCACTAAACCCCACAGTTCTCCCAAACTTGAAGAGGACCTCCCTGTCAGGCCCTGCAGAGGATCTCCCCCCCACCTGCCCCCGGCCCCGCACAGGACCTCCCCCCCACCGCCCCCCCCACACAGAACCTCCCCCTGCCGCTGACCCCGCACAGGACCTCCCCCCCACCCCCCAGGCCCTGCACAGGACCTCCTGAACCCTGCAGAGGACCCCTGGCAAAGCGCCTGTCCTGGTTTCCCCCAGCCCTATCTCCTGAGCCAGGAGATACCCCCTGATTGGGATCAGCGGCCAGTTAAGACCCTCGTGGGCAAGAATTTTGAGCAGGTGGCTTTTGACGAAACCAAGAATGTGTTTGTCAAGTTCTGTGAGTGTTGAGGGAGGCAGGGGTGGTGTGGGCTGGGCAGGGGCTGCCCAGATGGCTGTGCTCAACGGCTCCCATCCTAGATGCCCCGTGGTGCACCCACTGCAAGGAGATGGCCCCTGCCTGGGAGGCATTGGCTGAGAAGTACCAAGACCACGAGGACATCATCATTGCTGAGCTGGATGCCACGGCCAACGAGCTGGATGCCTTCGCTGTGCACGGCTTCCCTACTCTCAAGTACTTCCCAGCAGGGCCAGGTCGGAAGGTATGGCGGACAGGTGGCTGGGGAGGAAGCCGGGGTGCCATCTTGCTGGGCATGGGGCTGGGCCCCACGTGTCCTCCAGATCCCCCTGCCTCTTCTCAGGTGATTGAATACAAAAGCACCAGGGACCTGGAGACTTTCTCCAAGTTCCTGGACAACGGGGGCGTGCTGCCCACGGAGGAGCCCCCGGAGGAGCCAGCAGCCCCGTTCCCGGTGGGTGTCCCTAAGCCAGGGCTCCAGGCCTCTGCACAAATCCTCTTTACACAGGGCTGGCAGGGGCGGGGGCAGGGGTAGGCTGGGAGCAGAGCTTCGAGCTGCACTTGTGACCCTTTCTAGGAGCCACCGGCCAACTCCACTATGGGGTCCAAGGAGGAACTGTAGCTGCCCCCGTGTCACCCCCGCCATCACTGCTGGACAGGAGCCACCCCCTTGGGTACCAGAGGGAGCTGTGCATTGTGAATAAAGAGTGAGCTTGGTTCTGGACTCTGTGTGCCTGGTCCCTCAGCAAGGCTGGCCTGATGCAGCTCTGCCCAGCTGGGGGCTCCAGGGCAGGAAGGTGGAGCACGTTCCTGCTCTAGCCCTGCCAGCCTCTGAGTCACAGGTGATCCCCATGCCTGCTGGAGGCCAGTGTGCCCTCCTTTACCACGGGGGCTGAGGCTGGGAGACCTAGGCCAGGCCCCACCCGCAGAAGACACACCACAGCCAGGGCAGGTTCAAAAACAGTTTTATTTCATTATTATCCAAGTACCTTTGAAAAGATAATTAATTGTACAAGTGTCATCGCATGAAAAACAGACTCGGGCAGCCCCTGCTGGCCTAGCCTGAGAAATGTACATATTTACACGGGCCCTCAGAAAGGAGGACCCAGGACTGCACAGCCGGCGGCTGGAGGCAGGTGCAGTGCTCCGTCGCCGATTCACACAGTGGCAGGCAAGAGACAAGCTGTGTTGAAGGCACTCGGTGGCGCGTACAATTGACAGAGGCCCTGCAGGCCTCTGCATCCGGGCCTGGGCCCCACCCAGACCTGGGTACGTGGGCAAATCCCAGAGGGAAAGTAGATCCCAGCACACGTGCCCAAGGGAGGTGCCGGGGGATGGGGGGGGGTCACCTGAAGCTGGCAGCAGGGACCTCGGCTGCCTCACTTGGGCTGGGCCCTCCAAGTATTGCTATGAGGAGTGGTCCAGGCTGCCTCCTTGGGGGCAGGACAGAAGCTTGTGGACCACTTGGAGGGACCCCCTACCTGCCTCTAGACACGGGTAGACCACAGGGATGGGTGGTACACCCAACACTGTTCCCCATCGGGCTCCTGAGTACGAGGTCATCTGCCTGGCCGTGACACCCGTGCCCGCCAAGGGCCTCGCCTGGCACAGCGGCCAGCCCACCAGCCTATCAGTCCACCTTCTCCACTTTGCCGATGATCTTCTCCTCAAAGACGGGCAGGACGGCCTCGTCCTCTCGAACCTCCTCAAACACCACCCCACAGTCAAACTCGTCGCTCACTTTCTTGAAGTAGTATCTGCAGGACGGAGGTGAGGAGGGCAGTGAGCAGGCAGCACCGCAGATGGGAAGGAGGCCTGTGGCAGGGGACGGCGTGTCCACACCCCATCCCGAGGAGCCTCCTGTCCATGCCCCACGGCCCCCACTGCATGTGCGCCCCCTCCCAGGGCAACAGTGAACAGTGCAATGACCACATGTGGGTGAAGTGGGCAGCCATGGGGGGTGAGTTCACTGCCTGCTGGGAGCACCCCACATCCCCCTGGGAGTACCTGCCCCAGCCTCTCAGGAGTTGCAGGGGGGAAGTGGACGGGTGTGGGGTGTCTGCTTCCCAAGGGCTGAGCCCCGTCATGGAGGTGACCCCAACTGGGGCCCTCCCTCAGCACCACATCTGCAGTCATGGGGTGTTTGCACAGTGGCTTGTGGACGGTGGGAACCACCCGCCAGGCTCTGCCAGGCTCTTGGGGTCAGGCCCCCTCTGCTCACCGCCCAGTGCTCACTCGGGAGCCTCCAAGGCTGGCTGCACGCAGGGCCCTGCAGGGCTGAGTGGCCCAGGGCGAATGAACCTTGGTAGGAGGGGGCTTGGCTTTTCAGTCAGGCAAAAGCACATGAGTCCAGAGCCTGGAGACAAGGTCGGCCTAGGGGAGCCTAACACAAGGTTCAGACCATCGTCGTCTAGGGGTCTGGCCTCTGTTTTCCCACCCCGAAGATGAGGGCCCTGGACGGGGGTCCCTTTGGACCCTCTCAGTCCTGTGGGGCCGAAAGCCTGATGCCACCCTCAGCCTAGGGCTTGGAGAAGTGGCTTTAGTTGCAGATGAGGGACATGAGCTGAAATGGCCGGAAGCCCTTTTTCTTCTTTTTTTTTTTTTGGGCGGGGGTAGAGACAGAGTCTCGCTCTGTCACCCAGGCTGGAGAGCAGTGGCGTGATCTCAGCTCACTGCAACCTCTGCCTCCCGAGTTCAAGCAATTCTGCCTCAGCCTCCCAAGTAGCACACCTGGCTAATTTCTTTAGTATTTTTAGTAGAGACGGGGTTTCACCATGTTGCCCAGGCTGGTCTCGAACTGCTGAGCTGAGGCAATCCGCCCACCTCAGCCTCCCAAAGTGCCAGGATTAGGACGTGAGCCACTGTGCCCGGCTGGAAACCCTCTTTTTCATACCGTTGGGCACCCACATACTCGTGCGGGGAGGGGGCACCCCAGCCCTCACACTCACCTGTAGCTGCCCTTTTTGGTCAGCAGCTCCTTGAACTGGCCCAGGGTGACAGCGCGGCCCCTCACCAGGGTGCGGTAGGGGATGGGTTCCCCGCAGAAGTAGTACGCCACAACGATGCTGTCACACGGCTGGGCACTCCCGCCGCCCACCTTCCTCTGCGATCTTGTCCTGGGGAAAGAGATGCAGCGGTGGTACCTGGTTTTGGACTGAGGTCCCACAGGGTCCCTCCTGCTGGCCTCAGGCTGCCAGTGTAAGGCGGGGCAGGCCTGCAGGGGTGAGCAGCACCCCATTCAAACACCTGGGGCCCGCAGCCCCCGCACAGCATCTCAATCTGGGATCTAGTCCGCTAGCAGTGGAGTCGGCTCCGCTCACTGGGAGCACGAAGGTCTCCCTGCTGCCTCACAGCCCCACCCTCGACTGGCCAGGGCCTGGCTGCCAGGTGCACTGCAGCTCCCACCTCTAGGATGGCAGGGCAGGCTGCAGGGCTCCTATCTCAGGAAGACCTACGGCCCCCAAACCTTAAAAACATCTGAAGGGCAGGGATTGGACAAACAGAACTGTGCACGATTTCTGGATAAGCCTGACCCCGCAGCGAAGTTTGTCGGAGGACTGGGGCGGGGGTGGCCAGCAGGCCCTTCAGAGGGGGCAGGGCTGGCACCGTCTCCTGCCCAGGCTGAGCCGGGCCCTCCTCTGACAGGTGCTGTGCTTCCACAGCCGTGCCGGGATGACGGGCGGGGCCTGGTTGCTCTCGCACCCCCCACTCGGCTACCCCGCCGCCACCTGTCCTTCAAGTGACTCCAGAAGCTGCCCCTGGCCCACTGGGGTTCAGCCCTTGGGCCTCCTCCTGGCTGGGTGCACCAGAGGCTTCCAGAGCCAACACCAGGGCAGGAAGGCCTCATGGCCACCTGAGCCATGTGACCATCCTCTTTGCACACCAGGCCCCCAGCCACGTGCGCTCTTAGACGTCCTCCCAGTGCCACATCCTCGGAGCCTCCTGGAGCCAGGCCCATCAGAGAAGAGCCAACACGTGGGGGCTGCCCCAGGGACAGGTGAAGGCTGCCCCAAGACCGCCTACACGATGAGGGCCACAACAAACCTGCATCTGGGGCAAGCCTGGCAAGGCCTGGGGGACCCTTGTTCTCAAGGCCCCTTTTGGGGTGTGCCCCCTCCTCCTGCCACCTTGAGCACATAAAGGCGCCGTCGACACGGCCCATGTGGGATCACATGGTCTGAGCCCTTTCTCACGGGTTCAGAGCAGTCAGCATTGTAGGTGGGAGCAGAGCCCCGACTCACTGACTGCACGGGCTGGACAGACACGCATGGCTGAGACCCACACTGCAAGCAGACGCACCCCGGGCACCTCAGCACCTGCAGCCCCGAGCCTGGTCAAGTCAGGCCTGGCAGGGACCGGCCCGTTCCAAGCCGGGTGGAGGCGCAGGCAGGTCTCTGCCCCACAGGAAGCCTGGCCGTGACACCTGTGTGGATGCAGGGGCTGGCTGTGCCCAGGCCTCCAGCCGGGCCTTTTGGTCACTTGTCATCATGCTGGACAGTCAGCGTCTCCTTTGATGGAGACAGGAGAAGGCTCTCGGGCAGCTTCGAGTCTGATGCCACGGGACCCTCTCCTGCCACAGCTGCTTCTGAGCGTGGTACCCGAGCTCAAGCCCCGGGACGGCGGCTCTACGATGGGACCTGGCTTGGGACGCCAGGGCTGGGGTGGGCAGGACCGGGAGGACCCTCAGGACGCACGTACTCTGTCTCGGAGAGCTCCATGTCCGACACGGCTGGTACCACGTGCAGCACCGGCGCGCACGCTGGCCTGACGCAGGCGCGTCCCCGCCGCATAACCTCCTGCACATACCTAGGGAACAACCCGCGTCAAAGGTGGCTGTGCCGGCGGCCACCAGCCCTGGGGAGGGAGCCTCGACCAATGCTGCTGCGCAGGGACGGACGGAGCGTGAAGGGCCCGAACAACCCACCCTGCGCAGGCTCCAGTTTGCAGGGTAGACAAGACACCGAGTCCCCTCCTAGGCCTGCCTTGGTGGTACCCGATACTGCAGCGCGCCCCACATTCATGATCCCGGCACCAACCCCCTGAGTTCCCTGGACCGCACTTTGGGGAGCTTCCGATCAGGGGTGCTGGGATCCCACCACCTCATCCCCTCTGGTGGGATGACATCTCGTCCCGAGAGTCTGTCCTTCAGTCTCTTGGCATGAATTCCCCACCGATAGCGTGGACACTGGCTCTGGGGCGTGCGTGGCAACTCGGTCTGCACCTCAGGGAGGCTGAGGGCCCCCCGGCGCCACAACTGAGGCCATCCTGGGGCAGCACAGCAGCTCCTCTCACGTGGACACCTCCACCGGGGTACACTGGGCGACCTTGATGGTGGTTTCTACTCTGACATCCTGACAGGGCCCAGCACCCAACCTGCCTCTGGGCCTTCACTCCGTCTCCACAGCTTCTCGCAAAAACCCACATCCCCTGGACGGACAAACCCAGCAACTCTGGGTTTCCCCATGGGGGGATGCTGGAGCCCAGCAGCCAAACGGGCGGGAGGGTCGTGTCTCAGAACGGCGGGAGTGGTCCCACGGCTCAGCGGGCATCCCCTGCCATCATGTGGGGCCACGGGTACCAGGGGAAAGCGCAGACGCAACCTGAGAGACCCCTGCTCAGCCCAGCAAGGATGGCTCAGGAAGCCCCGGCAGGAGAGCCCACACACGCCCAGGGCCTCGGACCTGCTGCACACGATGCCCACCACGGCTCATCTGCCAGCCCAGTCACACGCCCCGGCTCCGAGCACCACACTCCAGGCTCCTGCATGGCAGGGGGCTCCAGCTCCTTGTTGGCCGAACACGATCACAGGGTCACAGATGTTTGGTCATAAAGTGGTCACCCTTTGGGTTTGAGGTAACTGTGACCCTTTCTGGCCCCAGAGCTGTCATTAGGCTCACAGCCTGGCAGAAGCTCAGGAACCTTTAATGACTTGAGACCACACAGGCTTTCAGCTGGGAAGGGTCTGAACCCTGATGCTGGTTCGGCAGAATAAGGCCCCTAGCCACAGCCTCCCTGGAGTGGCACAGCCCCAAAGCTGGAGGCCCGGGAGGCGGGCCTGGACCCCAGGCCCCAGGTGACCCAAGGTGGACAGGAGGAGCTGGTGACCTCTGAAGGCAACCATGGCCTCTGTGACCACAGCCCCAGGGCCTGGGTGAGCTATAGGCTCCCAGGACCCTCAAAGAGACACTGATCTGTGGGGAATTCCAATGACCCAGGATGGCCGAGAAAACTGGCCTTATGAGCAAGCTGAAAATGGAGAAGCCAGGTTCTGGCCTGGAGCGAAAATGCTGCCCACACAAAGGGGAGACCTCCCTGCAGCCCAGACAGAAGCCTCCCTGCCCTAGGGAGAGAACAGGGTCTGGCTACGGAGCCCAGAAGACCAAGGAGGGCGCAGTGAGGAGGGCTGTGGGCTGGACGTCCCGGATGAGAGAAGGGCACAGTGAGGAGGGCTGTGGGCTGGACATCCAGGATGACAAGAGGACACAGCGAGGAGGGCTGTGGGCTGGACGTCCAGGACGACACTTCTACATCTGCACGGCTTTCAGAACCACGTAGCTTTCCGACCGTGCAGAGCCACTCAGGGCTCCTGGGACGCAACTGTCAAGAGGCAGCCGCCATGCCTCCAGGACCTCTGCCCTAAAGCCCAGGCTGCCCAGCAGCGAGCAGCCTCTGGCTGGGGACCGGCGTTCCCCACACACTGGGGCCCTGCAGCCTCCCTGCAGACTGGGCTCAGGTTGAGGAGGGACCCCGCCTCCAGAGCAATGAGCGCGGCGGCCTCGGGTGTGTGAAAGCTCCAGCCCCAGCCTCCGTCCACCGCAGGGTGGCCTGCCACGTGGCCCCTCAGTGGTTCTCAGTGGATGGAAGGGCCCAGTATGGCTGGGGGACACCCAGAGGGCCGTTTTTCCCCTGAAGACCTCAGGCCTCGGGGAGCTTCAGCCCCAGGAGTGGTGCTGTGGTAACCCCCAAGACCCACCCCACCCCACGACGCGGCCGTACCTCTGCTTGGAGGGTGCTCGGCTGGCTCTCTTTTCTTCCTCCTCCAGACGTCGGCGCGCCTCCTCCAGCTGGGTTAGGGGGTTGGGAGCTGGGTGGGGTGGCATGGTGGGGTCTTGGATGAAGAGGTGGGAGGGCTGCACGGAGGTCCGGAGCTGAGGGCCGGCCCAGGGGTGCTCAAGGGACAAGGGTCTGGAGTTCTCATGGGGCTGTGGCTTCCTCGTCCCCGAAGACCTTGGGGAACAAGAGAACAAGTTGTGACTGTGGCCGACACCCTGGCCAGGTGGCCTGGTGGGGCTACACTCATCTCACAAGGGCAGCCTCCTTGAGGGATAGGATGGGATGGGGCACTGGGGCCTGGCCACCAAGCCACATGGACGTCCTCCACAGACCACACAATAAAAACATCCCGGCCAGGCATGGTGGCTCACACCTGTAATCCCAGCATTTCGGGAGGCCGAGGCGGGCAGATCACCAGAGGTCGGGAGTTCGAGATCAACCTAACATGGTGAAACCTCATCGCTACTAAATATACAAAATTAGCTGGGCGCCTGTCATCCCTGCTACTCTGGAGGCTGGGGCCCGAGAATGGCTGGAACTGGGGAAGTGGAGGTTACAGTGAGCCGGGATCACGCCACCGCACTCCAGCCTGGGTGACAGAGTGAGGCTCAGTCTCAGGAATAAAAAAGACAACAAAAAACCAACCCTCATTTGCCTGTAATCCCAATACTCTGGGAGGCCAAGGTGGGTGGATCGCCTGAGGTCAGGAGTTCAAGAACAGCCTGGCCAACATGGCAAAACCATGACTCTACTCAAAAAATACAAAAAATTACCCAAGTGTGGTGGTGGATACCAGTAATTCTAGTTACTCGGGAGGCTGAGGCAGGAGAATCGCTTGAACCTGGGAGGCAGAGGTTGCGGTGAGCTGAGATTGCACCACTGCACTCCAGCCTAGGCAAGAGTGAGACTCCATCTCAAAAAAAAAAAAAAAAAAAAAAAATGGCCAGGCGCGGTAATCCCAGCACGCTGGGAGGCCGAGGCGGGTGGATCATCTGAGGTCAGGAGTTCAAGACCAGCCTGGCCAACATGGTGAAACCCTGTTTCTACAAAAATACAAAAAGTTAACTGGGCATAATAGTGGGTGCCTGTAATCCCAGCTACTCAGGTGGGTTAGACAGGAGAACCACTTGAACCTGGGAGGTGGAGGTTGCAGTGCGTTGACACTGGCCTGTTGCACTCCAGCCTGAGCCACAGGAGCGAAACCCCATCTCAAAAAAAAAAAAAAAAAAAAAAAAAGGCCAGGCGCGGTGGCTCACGCCTGTAATCCCAGCACTTTGGGAGGCTGAGGAGGGCGGATCACGAGGTCAAGAGATCGAGACCGTCCTGGCTAACACGGTGAAACCCCACCTCTACTAAAAAAATACAAAAAATTAGCCGGGCGTGGTGGCGGGCGCCTGCAGTCCCAGCTGCTCTTGAGGCTGAGGCAGGAGAATGGCATGAACCCGGGAGGCGAGGCTTGCAGTGAGCTGAGATCAGGCCACTGCACTCCAGCCTGGGCAACAGAGCAAGACTCCGTCTCAAAAAAAAAAAAAAAAAATTCTTTCATGGAGACTTTTTTTTTTTCTTTTTTTGAGACAGAGTTTTGCTCTTGTTGCCCAGGCTGCAGTGCAATGGCTCGACCTCGGATCTCGGCTCACTGCAATCTCCGCCTCCCAGGTTCAAGCGACTCTCCTGCCTCAGCCACCGAGTAGCTGGGATTACTGGCACTCGCCACCACACACGGCTAATTTTTTGTATTTTTTTTAGTAGAGATGGAGTTTTTGTCATGTTGGCCAGTCTGGTCTCGAACTCCGGACCTCAAGCGATCCACCTGCCTCGGCCTCCCAAAGTGCTGGGATGAGGCTTCTTTTTTTACATTTTATTTTTAACAGCTTTACTGGGATACAAATTATATACTAATCCTAGAGGCCGGCGGATAGCTTTGAGTCCAGGAGGCTGAGACTGCAGTGAACGGTGTGATTACACCACTGCACTTCAGCCAGGGTGACAGAGGGAGACTCTGTCGCAAAAAATTAAAAAAAAAGTCTTAATGAATAAAAAGTATAAGTATGTCTCAAAGTGGAATGTATTAATACTTATCCTAAAATATGGGACATGCAATATTTAGTATATACAGCTATTTAAAAAAAGGATTCGGCCGGGCACGGTGGCTCACGCCTGTAATCCTAGCACTCCAGGAGGCCGAGGCAGGCGGATCACCAAAGGTTGGGAGTTCGAGATCAGCCTAACATGGCAACCACCCCCTGCCCCGGTCTCTACTAAAAATACAAAAATCAGCCGGGCGTGGTGGCTCACGCCTGTAATCCCAGCTACTCGGGAGGCTGAGGCAGGAGAATTGCTTGAACCCAGGAGGTGGAGGTTGCAGTTAGCCAAGATTGCACCACTGCACTCCAGCCCGGGCGACAGAGCTAGACTCCGTCTCAAAAAAAAAGACTCGAAGGCCAGGAATGGTGGCTCATGCCTGTAGTCCCAGCATTTTGGGAGGCCAAGGTGGGAGGATCACTTGAGCCCAAAAGCTTGAGACCCAGCTGGGCAACACACTGAGACCCCCTCTACAAAAAATGAGCCAGGCAAGGTGCTGTGCACCCCTGTTCCCTCGGGAGCCCCAGAAAAACGATGAGCCCGTCCCCACCTCAGTCAGCACCGATGGGGACCCCAAGGCCTTGCGGGACAGGCTTCCAACACAGGCAGGAGGGCCACGCCCCAGGCGCTCAGCTGCCTCACAAGTTCTCATCAAGTAATGTGGAGGGAGATGCGTCCTGGCCAGGGCCTGGGTGAGGGTGGGGGGCAGATCAGGACCTAAGTCTGAGGAAGCTGGGGCCATCCACCCACCAGGGCCAACACTTCCCAGCTGACCTGCCTCTGACCACGACAGGAAGGTGGGGGGTACCACCTCTGTGGGGCCCCTGGCCCTCCTGCTGGGTTCCGGGCACGAGTGCAGGCCCAGGGGGCGAGCAGGAGCAACACCAAGACCGGCCCGGCGGGCAGCGGCAGGGGCTGGACCTGTGGCGCCGGGGCCTTGCTCCACACCACACACGAGGCCTCTGCCCTTCTGGGAGGAGAGAAGTGCTCACGCTACACAAGAGCCTTCCCCAGCCCTCAGCAGGACGGCCAGGTGTGAGCACAGAAGGCTCCTCCGTGGGCACCTCGGGAGTGATGGTCAGTGGGGGCCTTCCCAGGTGACTTAGGTCATTCTCATGTGGGGGTCAGACTGGAAATGACCTCCCGAGAGCATCTGTGCTGCCTGCGGGGTGACAGCCACGTCAGCTTCCCTCCTGCTCGGGGCTTCAGGGACAGCCTCTCTCTGGGGACATGAGGTTTTCCTCCTGGAGACGTGGGGCCCAGGGAGCCTGCTGGAGGGTGCCCGGGAGGGTGCCACAGTGACAGGGGAAGTGTGAGGCGTCACAGGCGACACTCGCCACACACACTGAAGCTGCACACACTGAGACTGTGCGGAGGCCAGGGGTGGCAAAGCAGGCCCCACGAGGCTGGCTGCGTGCGGGGTGCTCACCCGTGGCCGGTCCTGCGGTGCCTGCTGATCTCCTTTTCCCCCTCAATGATCCACTGCATGATTTTCTGGTTCTTCTCCGCATCCTCCGAGGCACCTGGCACCTCGGTGCTGGCGCTCTTCCCCGACTCAGCCTTCTTGGCATTTCTTTTGCACGCCACGCCCACCTTCCCACTGCAAGGGCAAGAGCTGCGAGTCGCCCTGGCCTCCGGTGGCCGAGGCTGTGCCCCTTCCTCGTCTGCGAGGCCCCCTCCTGGCATCTGTAAGGCTCCCGTGGTGCAGCCGCCGCCCGCTGTCCCCTGCCCGCTTGTCCCCCACCCGCTGTCCCCCGCCAGCTTGTCCCCCACCCGCTGTCCCCTGCCCGCTGTCCTGGTGCTGTCTGGGGGTTGGTTTCCTCTCTAAACACACAGGCAGTCACTGCTCACCCCCTGAAGACTGAGGGCCAGAGCGGGAGCCAGGGTCGGGCTGTGTCCCCTAACCTTCATCTCCCACCTGAGGTCACGGCGTGGACTCCCCTGACCCAGGGCCCAGTCCACTCCCTCCAGCAGAGGGGCCTCCTGCCTGTTGCTGGCGGTCCTGGGTTTCCTGAGTTTTATGAGGAGGTTCTGGCCTTCTGCAGGGACACAGCCTCACCCCAAGCCCCCTCCTCACTGACAGGCGCACGCTCACCTGTGGGCGAGGCCATCACTGGCGTTGGGGGCAGCGCCAACACTCTCTGAGTAGCCTCGGGACCTTGCCCCATGGCTGTGTGGTTCCAGGCCCCAGGCGAAGCTGCTCTGGGCCCTGCGGGTGGCCTCGGCCTCCACCTGCTCCTTGGGCCGGGCTGTGCTGTGGTGGACGTGGTGGTGGACGTGTCGGTGGTGGTGCAGGCCGGCCGCGTCCAGCTTCGCCCCTGACTTGGGTACGTGCTTCCCGTGCCCCGAGGCGGCACCCCCCAGTGCCACTGGCATCTTGGCCACGTGCCCACTGTCCGGGGAGCGATGGCCAGGCCCAGGCGACTGGCGGCCAGGTGTCCTCAGCACACGCTGTACGTGCTCGTCCAGGATGCTCTCAGGGTTCTCCTCGTGTGCATCCCGGAGCCCGGCACAGCCCATGTCCACACAGCGGGGCGGGAAGTGGTGCCAAGCGGGGGCGGGAGGCAGCTTGTGACACGGCCCTGGGGGCCCTGACGATGGATCGCCGTCCTCACCTTCCTCCTCCTGTGTGGGGACAAGCAGCACCATCACCTCTCAGCACCAGCTGCACACTTGGGGAAAACAAAAAGCATCAGGCCTGACCCAGCAGCCCCAGCAGATGCCGTCCCAGCCCAGGGTGGCCGGGGGCCCCTCGCCACCGGTCCTGTCCCTGAGGATGGAGAGGCAGGACGGGGCATAGACAGAAGGAGCGGAGACAGCAAGGCCTCAAGGAATGCAGCGTATGTATCGGCTGTGGGCAGAGCTCTGCACAGATTTAGTTTAGTTTTATTCTTTTTTTGAGACAAGTTCTTGCTCTGTTGCCCAGGCTGGAGAACAGTGGTGTGATCTCAGCTCACTGCAGCCTCCGCCTCCTAGGCTCAAGCGATCCTCCCACCTCAGCCTCCAGAATAGCGGAGACCACAGCCGTGTGCCACCACGCCCAGCTAATTTTTTTGTACTTTGGGGACAGATGCGATTCTCACCATATTGGCCAGGCTGGTCTCGAATGCCTGAGCTCAAGCAATCTGCCTGCCTTGGCCTGTATATATATATATTTTTTGAGACAGAGTCTTGCTCTGTTACCCAGGCTGGAGTGCAATGGTGCCATCTCGGCTCCCTGCAACCTCTGCCTCCTGGGTTCAAGTGATTCTCCTCCTTCAGCCTCCCAAGTAGCTGAGACTACAGGTGTGCGCCACCACACCCAGCTAATTTTTGTATTTTTAGTAGAGACAGGATTTCACTATGTTGGCCAGGCTGGTCTCGAACTCCTGACCTCATGATCCACCCACCTCGGCCTCCCAAAGTGTTGGGATGACAGGCATGAGCCGCCGCGCCCGGCCTCCCATTATATTTTAAGGAGAACCTTGTACAGAACGGCTCTTGGGTTATGTACATGTTGTGATGCTGCCTGACGAGCTTCCACATGAAGCCGGTGGAGTTTCACTTGATTCTCCAAGTTAACAGGTGCTGAAGCTTATCTGTCAGAGCAAACATTTGATCACTTTAATTCCAAGTTGCATCTCATACTTATTTTCTCATCTTATTGGACTGACAAACTAAAACAGTATTGAGTAAATCTGGTGTCAATACAAAAGAAAGAGAGGGAACTAAGTTACCATGTATCTATGTATGTATTTATTTATTTAGAGTCAGAGTCGCTCTGTCAGCCAGGCTGGAGTGCAGTGGCACGATCTTGGCTCACTGCAACCTCCACCTCCCGGGCTCAAGCAATCCTCCTGCCTCAGCCTACCGAGTAGCTGGGATTATAGGAGTGTGCCACCATGCCTGCCTAATTTTTTTGTATTTTTAGTAGAGACGGGGTTTCACCATGTTGGCCAGGCTGGTCTCAAACTCCTAACCTCAGGTAATCCACCACCCTCGGCCTCCCAAAGTGCTGGGATTACAGGAGTGAGCCACCACAACCGGCCTATTTATTTTCATTTTTTTGAGACAGAGTCTCGCTCTGTCACCCAGGCTGGAGTGCAGTGGCACGATCTCGGCTCACTGCAACCTCCGTCTCCCGGGTTCACACCATTCTCCTGCCTCAGCCTGCCCAGTAGCTGGGACTACAGGTGCCCGCCACCACGCCCGGCTAATTTTTTATATTTTTAGTAGAGATGGAGTTTCACCGTGTTAGCCAGGATGGTCTCGATCTCCCGACCTCGTGATCTGCCCACCTC
Organism: Homo sapiens; assembly: GCF_000001405.40. Lineage (NCBI taxonomy): Eukaryota > Metazoa > Chordata > Mammalia > Primates > Hominidae > Homo > Homo sapiens. The sequence goes on from NC_000016.10 coordinate 299,907, forward strand.
GGCCTCCCAAAGTGCTGGGATTACAAGTGTGAGCCACCGTGCCCGGCCTATTTTTATTTATTTAATTTTTTTTTGAGACGGAGTTTCACTCTTGTGTCCCAGGCTGTAGTGCAATCTCCGCCTCCCGGGTTCAAGTAATTCTCCTGCCTCAGCCTCCCGGGTAGCTGGGATTACAGGCACCCACCACCATGCCCAGCTAAATTTTTTGTATTTTTAGTAGAGACTGGGTTTCACCCTGTTTGCCAGGCTGGTCTCGAACTCCTGACCTCAGGTGATCCACCCACCTTGGCCTCCCAAAGTGCTAGGATTACAGGTGTGAGCCACCACACCTAATCGCAGTGGTGCCATCACAGCTCAAGGCAGCCTCAACCTCCAGGGGTCAAGCGATCCTCCTGCTTCAGCCTGCCAAGTAGCTGGGACTACAGGTGCATGCCACCATGTCCCATTAATTTTTTCTTTTTCTTTTTTTTTTGTAGAGATGGGGAATCTCACTATGTTGTCCAACCTGCTCTTAAATTCCTGGCCTCAAGTGATCCTTCTGTCTTGGCCTCTCAAAGTGTTGGGATTACAGATGTGAGCCACTGTGCCCCACCTACCTCTATATTTTAATATAAACAAACCTCCCAACGTTTAGCACCCAACTCTCACACCTGCAAAAGTATCCAAATGCAACTGGAACAGGCGTGCCCCAGAGCTGGTGTGGGCTTGGCTGCGGGCACCTGCACTGGGGCTGAGGGTGAAATATGGCACTAAAGAGGACAGACGGATGCTGGAGCAGAGCCGGGGGACAGGTGGGTGGTGGGCATCCCCTGGCGGATGCAGCTATGCTGCCTCCCTTTCCTTGGTTTTGTAGGACTAAAGGGCCCGGGCACTCTGGGGAGAAATCTTAACCGAGGGTCTTCCTAGGGACTAAAAGTGTTTGGAGTTTTGATGCCGTTCACTGCCTTGGCCGAGCTCCACATCGGCAGGAATTCTATCATGGGGCTGTGAAATGTTACAGATTAACTTAACCACTCGGCTAATGGTTTTTGTTTTCTTCTTTGTGCTTTAATTTCCCAAATTTCACAATGAAAATAGGTTATTTAAAAAATCTGGAGTTCACGCCTGTAATCCCAGCACTTTGGGAGGCCGAGGCGGGTGGATCACAAGGTCGGGAGATCGAGACCATCCTGGCTAACATGGTGAAACCCCGTCTCTACTAAAAATACAAAAAAATTAGCCGGGCGTGATGGTGGGCGCCTGTAGTCCCAGCTACTGGGGAGGCTGAGGCAGGAGAATGGCGTGAACCCGGGAGGCAGAGCTTGCAGTGAGCTGAGATCGTGCCACTGCACTCCAGCCTGGGCGACAGAGCGAGACTCTGCCTCAAAAAACAAAACAAAACAAAGCAAAAAAAAAAAAAAAACTGGAGTTATTCCTTTTAGGGAAGGACCACCACTCCTGGGCCCTGGTGGTGCTGGATCCACACACCTGTGGGCACTGCCATGCTCCCTGTTGCTGGGACAGAGCCAGGACTCCATGGGGTGGGGAAGCCTTGAGAGTCACAGGTGAGAGCCACACACTCAGCACCTGTGGCTACGCCTGCCTTTAACATGTCTTGCTTAAGGCCAGGCACGGTGGCTCGTGCCTGAAATCCCAGCACTTCGGGAAGCTGAGGTAGGAGGATCACTTGAGGCCAGGAGTTCAAGACCAGTGTGGGTAATATAGCAAGATTCCATCTCTACAAAAATATTTTTTTTAAAAAATGTCTCACTCAAAATGGGAACCTGCCCTACTAGAAGCACACCCTGCGAACGGGTGAAGGCGCAAAGATCAGAAAATTACAGACGGCCAACATGACAGCAAAGCGTTCCACAGAAAATTACAGCGGCCGGCGACCGACACAACAACAAAACAGCAAAGGCTTCTGCAGAAAATGACAGCGGCCAACACGGCAGCAAAACAGCAAAGGCTTCCTTTCTTACGTTTCTGTTGTGAGCATGTTTGTTTAAGGGCTGCTAACCTTCACCTGCCACCCAAATGATGATGCTGACGTCACAGCCCGTGGGCCCGGATGTGGCCTGCGGACATGTCCATATTCTTGGTAACTCTGTTCCCAATGTTTGGTTTTCAGACAACAGCCCAGTAAGGCTCCCAGGCAGGCCCCAATGCCGCTGGCCTCAGGTGCGCACAGCCAGCCTCCTCAGGGCCACCCCAGGAAGCAAGCGAGCCGCTCCAGTGACCACCAGGTCTGCAAGGCGAGGCCTCACTCTCACCGCCACAGGGACCACGCGGCACTGATGCTGCTCCTGCCAGCCCTGCGGCCCCGGCTAGGTTCCCGATATTGGAGGACAAATTCCCTGAGTCCTTTCCTTGGGGGACTGTGGAGAAGGTGAACTTGGCACCTGCAGAGCCCTGGAGCTGGCACCACCCACACCTGTGCCCTACCCAGATGAGGGTCACCCTCAGACCAACGGCCAGGGGAGACGAGAGGATGCAGCTCCACATGGTGGCAAAACAATTTACTGAGGATAAAACAAATCGACGTCTGTGTGTGAGACATTTCCACACAAACCCCTTCATGGGGAGCTCCACCATCTGCAGCGACCACACCTGGTCCCCGCCATGAATCCCAGCTGCTCAACGAGCTATGTAAGGTCTGCCTGCCATCTCAATGGAGTGCCCGGCGCACGGTTTCCCAGATGGGCACCACCAGCGGCACCCTGCGTCCACCCTCACGGTGGCATCTCCAGGCTTCAGGGCACAGCTCACCCGGGTAGCGGGTGAAAGAGTGAGTGTACCGAGGGGTCTCCTGTGGTCTGAGGAGAGCTGAAGGTCTGCATTTTACATCAAGGATCAGGTGAATGGAAACGCTCAGAAGTGTATACATTTTCTAAGTATTCATATTCACGAACATTGAAAGGAGAATGAAGGACCACCCCCCGACTCGATGGTGCCCACTGACCTCCCATAGGAATTAATCTGGCTAAGAGAAAAGCAAAGGCATTTTTTTTTGGCACCCAGGCTGGAGTGCAGTGGCACAGCCTCGGCTCACTGTAGACCTGACCTCCTGGGCTCAAGTGATCCTCCCACCTCAGCTTCCTGAATACCTGGGACCACAGGTGTGTGCCACCACGCCCAGCTAATTTTGAAATTTTTTCTAGAGACAGGAATTTGCCACATTGCCCAGGCTGGGCTCAAACTCCTCGGCTCAAGTGCTTCACTCGCCTCAGCCTCCCATAGTGTTGGGGTCACAGGTGTGCACTGCCCGCCCGGCCAGCAAAGGCAGCCTTGCAAGTGAGACGACCAGGTGGGAAGGGGTCTCCAGAGAAACTCCAGCCGGCCTGCGCACTGGGAGGAGCGCACACTGGGGTGGAGCCACAGAAGTCTGCACCATTTGCAGCGGGGAGGAGCCAGGCCCCGCGTCTTCCTAGGTGGAACCTGGGATTCAATCTGCGAGGCGGGAAGCACACTAGCAGAACTCTGGCTTTGCGGGAAGTGATTTTTTTTTTTTTTGAGGTAGAGTTTCACTCTTGTCATCCAGGCTGGAGGGCAGTGGCGCAATCTTGGCACACTGAAGCCTCTGCCTCCTGGGTTCAAGCGATTCTCCAGCCTCAGCCTCCTGAGTAGTTGGGATTACAGGCACCTGACACCAACCCGGCTAATTTTTGTATTTTTCATTAGAGATGGGGTTTCACCATTTTGGCCAGGCTGGTCTCAAACTCCTGACCTCAGGTGATCCGCCCGCCTCGGCCTCCCAAAATTGCTGGGATTACAGGTGTGAGCCACTCGCCCGCCCGTTTCCCTTTTTACCTTTTCACCCAATAAACTCTGTCCTTCTCACCCTTCGAATTGTCTGTGAGCCTAATTTTTCGTGGCCATGTGAAAGGGACCTGTTTTTAGCTGAACTAAGCAAAGAGTCCTACAACACAAGTGCCTAGAGGGCCGTGCACCATGGCCTCAAGGAACCAAAAGTGACCAGGAGGTGGCAGAAAGTCTCAGGCATCGCAGCCCCCGACTGCACGCCACTAGCCCTTCCTGCTCTGCACATGCTCATCTCACTTGCCAGCCACACGGGGTGAAGAAGTTGAGATCACCCGCTGCAGTCTCAGCTTGTGGCCCTGCCACCCACAAAGGATCAGGTACACAGCAGGCAGCCGTGTCACCCCCGGCCCCTTCAATGCAGGTGACCAAGGTGGGTCTCTGGGCCTCTGAGGGTGGCATGGGGCCGCTGGGACATCCCATCTTGAGCTGGGGCTCGGCTGCAGAGAAAGGGGAACAGGGGACTCAGCCGGGAGGCCTCATGGGTCAGCAGGCCTCGGCCAGCCCCGGGCATCCCCATGAAGAACATCAGGACATCCCGGCGGCAAGAAAACAGCACGACACCGACGCGGAGCGCGACACCGACGCGGCCCACTCACCATGCGCACGCGCTTCAGCCGCTCCTCCAGCTTCTCCTCGGCCTCCCGCGTGCGCTGCACAGCCTCCAGGCGGTGGATGAGCTCCTCCGCGAACTTCTGAGGCTCCACGCGGACCTCCTTCGGCACCCGGTACGTGCGCTGCGAGGGACAGGACTGTGAGGCACGGGGGTTGAAAGGTCACAGGCTAAACATTTCTTTGTGAAGGGAAAGAGCGTGTGCTATCTCTGTTGTATTTTATTTTATTTTTTTGAGACAAACTCTTGCTCTGTCACCCAGGCTGGAGTGCAATGGCGTGATCTTGGCTCACTGCAACCTCTGCTTCCCGGGTTCAAGCGATTCTCCTGCCTCGGTCTCCCAAGTAGCTGGGACTACAGGTGCCCGCCACCACGCCTGGCTAATTTTTGTATTCTTAGTAGGGATGGGGTTTCGTCATGTTGGCCAGGCTGGTCTCGAACTCCTGACCTCAGGTGATCTGCCCACCTCAGCCTCCCAAAGTGCTGGGATTACAGGTGTGAGCCACCGGGCCCGGCCTTTGTTGTATTTTAAAGCAAGAGTTTACTTTTTCCTCCTTTCAGTTGGGAATCAACTTCCTCACGGTCCCCCTTTTCGTGTCCGGCCAGTCTGTCCTTCATTCCCCACGGACCCAGGAGACAGGGCTGCTTCTTTCCAGCGTCTCCCGACTACCAGATCAAGAGGCCTGAGCAGGGCAGCTTCAGGACACACAGCCGGCGCTCCCCACCCACTTCAGAGAAGCACTCGAGGAGACGCCTGCAGAAGGTGTGAGCAGAAGGCCCCCGAGGCCCCACGGCAGGGAAGGACGCCCAGGATTTGGAGGACAGGGGAGGTCTGGGAAAGGCAGGCTTTCCTTTTTAAAAGAATCTAAAGGCCAGGTGGTGGCTCACGCCTACAGTCACAGCATTTTGGGAAGCAGAGGCGAGCAGATTACTTGAGCCCAGAAATTAAGAGACCAGTCTGGCCAACAAAGTGAGACCTCATCTCTACAAACAAAAATTTTTTTTAATTAGCCGGGTGTGGTGGCACCTGTGGTTCCGACTACTTGGGAGGCTGAGGTGGGAGGATCGGATCGCATAAGTCCTGGGAGATCAAGGCTGCAGTGAGCCGAGATCATGCCACTGCCCTGCAGCCTGGGTGAAAGAGTGAGACCCTGTCTCAAAATAATAACAATACATCTGCAATGTATTTTATAGTAATATACCATATAGCTTGTTTGTTTTTGGTTTTTTTTGTTTTTGTTTTTGAGACAGGGTCTCGCTCTGTCACCCAGGCTGGAGTGTAGTGGCGCGATTTCGGCTCACTGCAAGCTCCGCCTCCCGGGTTCACGCCATTCTCCTGCCTCAGCCTCCCGAGTAGCTGGGACTACAGGCGCCTGCCACCATGCCCGGCTAATTTTTTTGTATTTTTAGTAGAGACAGGATTTCACCGTGTTAGCCAGGATGGTCTCAATCTCCTGACCTCGTGATCCGCCTGCCTCAGCCTCCCAAAGTGCTGGGATTACAGGCGTGAGCCACTGCACCCGGCCCCCCTATAGCTTTTTTTAAAAATAGAGATGGGGGTCTTGCTGTCCAGGCTGGCCTCAAACTCCTCCCACCTAGGCCTCCCAAAGCACTGGGATTACCGGTGTGAGCCACCACGCCTGGCCCTGTGTAACTTTCAAGGGTACTTCATTTTAAATTTCAAACTTCAAAACAGCTGCAAAAATAGAACAAGGAATTCCCGTCCACCTTCACCCAGATTCCCCAAGGGCTCACATTCTGCCATAACTGCTTTATCATCCCCTTACCGGCAGGCACATGCGTACACACACATGCCCACACATGCGCAGGCACACACACCCACACACACGTACACACACACGCACACACACAGGCACGCTCACTTTTCTGAACCAGTTAGAGTGTATTTAACAAAAGCAAGGTCGCTCTCATACCTAACCACAGTACAAATATGGATGGTTAAAAAAACTGACCCTGATACAATAACATCACGTGGCAGATCTTATTCCAATTTTGCCAGCTGCTCCAATAACATCCTTCATAGCAAAACATGTTTTAAAATCCAGGCCGCCAGTGTCTAAGCCGCGGAGGGATGCAGCCAGGGACAGCTCCCCTGTGACAAGCAAGCAGGGTGGCAGATGGGAGGTGGGACCCTCCGTGTGTGTGGCCTTCCTGCCCTCCCGCCGTGGGCTCTGGCGCAGTCCTGGCTCTGTGCACCCGTTTCTCATCTACACAATGAGAGTAGAAACAGCATCTAAACCTGAGAAGGATGGGGTGAGACTGGACACAGGGGCCACACAAAAGGCCTCCTCCAGGCTCAGATGTTCCACAGTAGACGAGGCTCAGAGAGAGGCTGGCCCTGGAGCCACAGGCTTCACTTCAAGGAACGTGGAGTATGAAGGGGCCAAGGGCACGCCCAGGACACTGGGTGATGCCTCAGAGCTGGGAAAAGTCACTGCTGGAGTCTGGGCCGTGCACAGCGCCAGGAAGGGGTCTGTCCCGGAGCCAAGGAGGAGCATCCAGTGCTTCTGGAAGATGATGAGGAAGGCTGGGGCTGGCACCAGCAGGGATGTGGGCCGGTGTGTCCGGGTGTGTGGACGGCAGGGCGTCCACACAGATGGCAAGGAACTAACAAGCCACCCTTTCCCGCTGCACCCGGGGCCTGGAGGCTGGGTGGCTGGGGGGCCATGCTGGCTTTTCCGTGCCCAGTGCTGGGCAAGGCGCAGACGTGGGAGTGGCACACACAGGAATGGGAGCTGCCAGCACTGCAGGGACCACGGCTGCTGTGTCTGCAGACAGCCAGAGGCGCAGACAGACGCGCTTATGGTCTGAACAGTCAGCACCACAGAGACCAAGGGCAGGATGAAAAGCCCATCATCAGGCCCAGAGAGCAGCACGGCTGAGGGGCCAACAGGAGCACTCATGCCGCCACGCGAGCTCCATAAAAAGACTCCAGGTGGCCTTGCAGGCTGCGTCACCACGGTTCTGAGAACAGCAAAACTGTCAGAGTCATCAGATTTACAGAGAATGGCAACCTCTCCAGCTTTAGAGGAACAGAAAAAAATATCATAAAGGAAAAAGCCAAGTAAATGAAAACGTGAAACTTCCAAGTAATTGTAAAGGCTAAAGATGAAGAGGCCCCTCCCCGCAGGGCACGCATTCTGGTACCAGATGCTGTAAAGCCACGGCCCCCAACCTTTTGGCACCAGGGACCAGTTTTGTAGAAGACAATTTTTCCATGGACAGTGGGGGCAGGGGGCTTTTCGGGATGAACCTGCTCCAACTCTGATGGGCAGGTGTTAAAGAGTCTCACAAGGTGCACACAGCCTGGGCCTCCGTGGGTGCAGCCACAACAGGGTTCTGCTCCTATGAGCGTCTAAGCTACTCCCCTCCTGCTGTCCCTGCTGCAGAGCCATGGACTCACCAGAGAAACGGCATAGCTTTTGCAAAACCAAGGCCCTCAACAGAGCAGAAGTGGGCAGTGCAACCACGGCACGTCCTGCTAGCTTATCGGCTTCCTGGGCCTCCCCCCGCCTCTGCTCACCACCATCCTCGGGTCCAGTTTCCCAGTAGCAGCAGTGAGCAGGCCCCGGGCAGCTGTGCCCGTGATGTGGGTTTCTCACTTGGGCCTCTGGCTGAGGGACCTCCCACCGAAGGTTCCAACCACAGCCCCACCTGACAGGCCACATGGACCTGATGCAGGTTCCTACAGAGCCTCCGATGAGGTTGTTTGCTGCAGACTGTTCACACAGAAACGCACACTGCGGCCCCCACCCCACCACACAAGGGCCCTCTGGGGGTGCGGAACGCAGCAGGGCCTGCTCCTGTCTGTGCCTGCCGCCTCTGTTGGCTTTCATCTTCCTGGCGACTCAAATGTGACCCTCCAGGACCTGAGGGCTCTGTGCTTCCCTCGGTTCTGGAAGGTTCTGACGACGACACCAGGGACTCGCCATAGGCATCCTCTTTTCTCTGTGTTGCATCCTGAGAGGTCTTTCCAGGTCCACGTTCCAGGCACCAACGCACTCCACAGCTTCTGTCCTTCCTGACCCTTCTGAGGGGAGGTTGTCTGCCTGATGCCCCCTCATCCAGAGTCTGTGGCATGCACTTTCTACACACGAAGACTCTGACCAGCACCCCAAAATCGGGGCACCCCTGTGGACAGAAGCCTCCCGCGGGCCTCAGCCCACTCAAGCCCCGTCCTCATGGGCACAGAGGGCTGTTCCGGGCCTGTGGTTGCTCAGCTGTCTTGTCTCTCGGGCCTCCGTCATCCCAGCGGCTCCGCGGGTTCTTGACGTTCAGGACCTGTGACTTGAAAATCAGAGGCCGGTGGCTGTGCAGGTGCCCTCGACTTGGGCTGTGACCTCATGATAGCCTTGGGCCATGCCTGGCAGGCAGGGCCCCAGATCTTCCACAGCACAAGCACGCACACACGCACGCACCCACACACAGCCTACAGTGTCAGCCACTTTTTGTTAAGTAGACACCATCAGTGCCTAGTTTTAGCCAAACCTGAGTCAAGGGTTGGCTGGCATCTTCTCAGAAGTGATAACAAACCAACATCCTTTCTTTTCAACCATAAAGAAATTCCTGACTTGGAAACTGATGTCTGCAGAAAAGCTAAAAGGCTAAGAAATCCTGACCAAGACTGTGTCAGTGCTCTCAAAATGCCTACTTCCCTGCACAGACACTCAGATGGTCACGTGGTTTAACCTCAGACACCGCGGCTAACAGTGCGTTGCGCAGTGGCTCACACCTGTAATCCCAGCACTTTGGGAGGCTGAAACGGGCGGATCACGAGGTCAGGAGATCGAGACCATCCTGGCTAATACGGTGAAACCCCATCTCTACTAAAAATACAAAAAATTAGCCGGGCGTGGTGGCAGGCGCCTGTACTCCCAGCTACTCGGGAGGCTGAGGCAGGAGAATGACGTGAACCCGGGAGGCAGAGCTTGCAGTGACAGCAAAACTCCTATCTCAAAAAAAAAAAAAGAAAACACTTTTCTCATCTTCCCGTAACATCTTTCCTGTTCAAAGTCAACCCATCAAAATAAGGAAAGATCATTAATCTGTTCATCAGCGCAGGAATGCTCTGTAGACGGAGTCAGGCTGTGCTGGGCTCCAGCTAGCACTCAGCTCCATGACCTACTGCCCAGCCAAGCCCCCATGCCCGAGACTGGGCAAAGGTGCCATTATTCTATGCAACAGCGAAAGCCAAGGCAGCTTTAAAGTCAAGACGTTTACCTGGAGACGACCACTGTTCAGCCACAAAAACACCAAGTTTTCCCCAAGGGCTGTGCAGGGGCCAGGCCTGGGCTCTGAGTCTTGAGAAAGGCTCAGAGCTCCCCCTCTTGAGGGGAAGCATCCACCTTCACAAGGCAAGACACTTCCTGCCACCAGGGAGGGTGTGGCCTTGGGGCATGGGGGCTCTTCTGAATGAACAGCTCCCTCTGGGCCCTAAATGCTGCCTGAGACTTGATGTCCCCTGCTGCCCTCAGGGACTGGCCACTTGCAGATGTTGCTGGGATCACACGCTTACGCCTAGAGGTAAGCCTGGCTCGTGGGAGGCCAGGCAAGTGCCTTTCCCGCGGACCAGTTCACCAGGCCCACGCTGAGCGGGGAGGACGATGGGCTGAGGACCGCAAAGCCGGTACTTACGGGAATGTGAGGTAGGGGCACCCGCCCATTGACCTGCACGCTCTCCTGCATCTCCCTGCGGTGCTGCTTACGGATCCTGTATGGGGGGATCCCATCCCTGTCCAGGAGAAAGAGGCAGCCGTTAACTCAGAGAGGAGCAGGAGGGCCAGCACCGTGCCAATAGAGCTCCTGGCCCCGACCGCCGGTCAGCAGGCAATGATGAGGACACCTGTGAGCCACCACCACTGAGACACGTGCACACAGGTGATGCAGGCACCCATGTGTGCACAGGGGAACATGTACACACAAAGGTTCACACGTGATGGTAAAGCCCAGGTGCCCAGCCACGCGTCTTCCTAGCTGGTATTTACTGGGCACCTCCACAAAGCCTCCTTGTGCCTGCCTGTTCTTTAGGGCCTGACAGCTAAGAGTGGTTTCTACATTTTTTTTTCTTCTTTTTTTTGAGATGGAGTCTCGCTCTGTCGCCCAGGCTGGAGTGCAGTGGCACAATCTCGGCTCACTGCAAGCTCCACCTCCCGGGTTCACGCTATTCTCCTGCCTCAGCCTCCTGAGTAGCTGGGACTACAGGTGCCCGCCACCACGCCCAGCTAATTTTTTTGTATTTTTAGTAGACACGGGGTTTCACTGTGTTAGCCAGGAGAGTCTCGATCTCCTGACCTCGTGATCCGCCCGCCTCGGCCTCGCAAAGTGCTGGGAGTAATTACAGGCGCAAGCCACGGCGCCCGGCCAAGGTTTCTACATTTTTAAAGGGTGGGGGAAGAATCTGTGACAGGGACTGCATGCGGCTGCAAAGCCTCACATATTCACTGCCAGCCCTGCACGGGAAACGTTTGCTGGCCCCTGCTTGTGGCCTAGACCACTGTGCAGTGTGCCTGCCTTGGAGGGCATTGCTAAATGGACCAAAAACATTTCAGGATTGCACAGTGGGCAGCCAGGACAACCAGTGCCCCACGGAAAGATAGGAGATGCCAAGGCTGCACACTCTGCTTCTCTCCAGGAGCTGGCAGGGCAGTGTGGTCTCTGAGGGAGGCACAAGGTAGCTCTTTAGCAACAGGTTTTCTTTTATTTTTTTCTTTTTGAGACGGAGTCTTGCTCTGTCGCCCAGGCTGGAGTGTAGTGGCGCGATCTCGGATCACTGCAAGCCGCTCCCGGGTTCACGCCATTCTCCTGCCTCAGCCTCCCGAGTAGCTGGGACTACAGGTGCCCGCCACCACGCCCGGCTAATTTTTTGTATTATTTAGTAGAGACGGGGTTTCACTGTGTTAACCACGATGGTCTCAATCTCCTGACCCCGTGATCCGCCTGCCTCGGCCTCCCAAACTGCTGGGATTACAGGCATGCGCCACCGCGCCCAGCCCGCAACAGGTTTTCTTTATGAACCCTTTAGAAGATCATTAAAACACGAAAGTCAGATTATACATGGTCTGAATAATTACCCCAGGGTTAAGATAACTCACGCACAACCATCCTTCATGAAAGCCCTCGCCCTCTCCCAGCTATTAGAAAAGCTGCCTTCGGGCTGGGCGCAGTGGCTCATGCCTGTCATCCCAGCACTGTGGGAGGCCGAGGCGGGCGGATCACGAGGTCAGGAGATCGAGACCATCCTGGCTAACACGGTGAAACCCCGTCTCTACTAAAAATACAAAAAATTAGCCAGGTGTGGTGGCGAGTGCCTGTAGTCCCAGCTACTCGGGAGGCTGAGGCAGGAGAATGGCGTGAACCCGGGAGGCGGAGGTTGCAGTGAGGCGAGATTGTGCCACTGCACTCCAGTCTGGGCAACAGAGCAAGACTACGTCTCAAAAAAGAAAAGGAAGAAAGAAAGAAAAGCTGCCTTCGGAAGCACGGCAGCTCCAGGGATCCGTGCCGCACCCAGGGGCCTCTCAGAGCTGCCAGGAGACACAGGACGACTGAAGAGAGCGCCCGACCCAGGGCTGCGTGGCAGACACGGCAACTCCTGAGGCATCCTCGGCTGTCACAGCACCACTGAGTGTTGTGGGCAATGGTGAGCCGAGTCCAGGTCTGGCTCAGCCACGGTGGGCGTCAGGAACAAGTGAATCTAAAACTCACCTAACACTTGCCTCGGGGTTTGTTGAAGTGTCCTGAAGCCACCAACCTACTGGTTTCTTAGACATGATACTTGGATTGGGTAACCTCCACAGGCCTCCGTGGATTAGACACTGACCCCACATCTGTGTCCACAGCCCACAGCCTCTCGAGTGCCATGTGGAATGTTGTGAGCTTGCCGCCAGCACAAAAGCTGAGGGCAGCTGCCCCACCGGAATGATGCTCTTCACCTGTCCACTTTTTACCTCTGATTTGCTTTCGAGTACGTGTAGCAATTTCACATTCCAAATTGTTAAACACTTCAGTACAAACCAAGATGAACAGAATATCAAGAAAAAAAATACCTATTTATTTTAGGTCCTCCCTTTAGGAAACATATGTCCCTTTTCTTGGAGAGAATTAGGAGACTTTTTGAGAAAACTGAGTTGGCAGGTTACTTTTTGTTGTAGTAACAGAGTTTTGGGGAAGAGGGAAACCAGATGCTAGGATGCATGTCAGGCGCTCCGTGGGCTGCACTGCACCCAACCACCTGGCCCGAGGCTTCAGGACCACGGCAGGCACTGCTTCAACTCCAGTAACCTCAAGTCAGGTGCTGCTAAAATCACGTCAACATTTTATTTTGAAGATTCAAAATTAAACGAGGATGAAAGAAACCAGGAGAAGCCACACACAGCAGCTCTGCCCGGAAGGGGCAGGGAGCTGCCCCTGCACTACCACAGCTACCTGGGGAAAAACCAAGGGGCCAAGACCTACGGCAATGTGGGCTGGCTGAATCTGGTTCAGAAACAGAATGTGACAACTTGTTCTCCTCATCTGAAATTCAGGTTTTGGAAAAATGTTTAAAGACAGGCAAATGAAAAGAACAAACCAGCCAGGCACAGTGGCTCATGCCCATAATCCCAGCACTCGTGAGGCTGAAGTGGGTGCAGTTTGCGCCCAGGAGTTGGAGACTGCATAGTGAGGCCTCGTCTCCACAAAAATAATCATCATCATCAGCCGGATGCAGTGGCTCATGCCCGTAATCCCAGCACTCATGAGGCTGAAGTGGGTGCACCGTTTGAGCCTCGGAGTTCGAGACTGCATAGTGAGGCCTCGTCTCCACAAAAATTATAATAATCATTAGCCAGGCGTGGTGGCGCACGCTTGTAGCCTCAGCAACTCTGAAGGCTGAGGCAGAATTGCTTGGGACCAGGAGACAGAAGCTACAGTAAGCCAAGATCGCACCATTGCAGTCCAGCCTGGGTGACAGTGAGATCCTGTCTCAAAATGAAAAGAACCATAAAAATGGTACATACAGTGGGACCATCACTTAAAACATATTCATAAAAAGATGGGCAGAATCACCAGTAGGTGAGAAGTCCCTCTCTCCTCCTCCAGCCCTATCCAGATCTCCAGGCTTTCCTCATGGAGAACCCAGCTAAGCGGGAAAGACATCTGGGACACCACTGGCCGCAGTGGGGATGGAGGGTGGTGGTCCGCGGGCTCCAGCTGCTCACAAGTTCATAGCCGCTGGCTTCCTCCAATGCTGAGGCTGCTGCAGGGAGACCCTGGTTCCTGCGGCTCGGCCCCAGCCCTGGCTAGGATGGCTGGTGGGCAGGTGGCGTGTGGCGCACAGACCAGAGCTGGGAAGGTCTGAGCTTCATGGGTAACCAAAACCCCAAATGACCCCCACAGGCTGGCAGCCAGTGCCCTACTGCAACAAGACTGTTGGCATCATCTAATGGCTGGGGTGTACATAGGTCCCAAAAAGCCAGCTGCGAAGCACAGGGGAAGAGGTCATAAAACAAGCACGTTCCTACACATGGGGTTTCCCTGGACAATGAAAGAATAAGCTTCTGCCTGTCACCTCGAGCGTCACACATGTGTGGCCCAGGCCTCAGCACAACCACAGCATCTTCCCTCACTCCTGCTCCCAGCCCCTTGCCAAGTGGGTGACAGGGACAAGACAGGACCCTGTACTGCACCAGCGTCGGCAGAAACGCCACCCTCAGGGACCACATCACTCGCCACAGCCAGTGGTGAGGCAGCTGGCCTGTGCCTGTCTTTAAGCTGAAACCCCAGACTCTGAAAACCAAAGAGCAAACTCTAGCCCGGGCAGCCTACAGACTGTCTTAGGTTCACCCTCGATCCTTCCTCATAGGGAGGTCCCAGCAGCCCTGGTCACAGAGAGAAGCAACCGACACAAAGCTGAGCCCTCACTTGTACTGCTTGGAGGACAGCCTCTGCGGTACAGCCTGCCTGCATGTCCAGACGCACTCTCACTGAGACCTGGGGAGCCAGGAAACACTTTTCCTGAAGACAAAGCCCAGGCATCTCTGGGTCAGCACGAAGCCCCCTCTGAGCTGGCCGCGCTCTGCAGCAGGGTGGGACTTACACGCTGCCATCCGCAAGAAACAGGGTGTCTGGGGCAGGACTTACACATTGCTGTCCTCAAGGGACAAGGTGTCTGGGACCGGACTTACACACTGCTGTCCGTGAGGGACTGGGTATCCGGGGCGGGACTTACACGCTGCTGTCCGTGAGGGACAGGGTGTCTGCATCGCTGGACAGGCTCTGCTGCTCGCTGTCGTTGGCACTGGTGGCTGGGGCCAGGGCATAGCCGGCATTGACATAATAGGGGTTGACTGGCTCCCGCCAGGATCCATACCTGCAAACAGGCAAGCAGGGCATGTTAGTGACAGCCTGCCAACAGCCTCTCATTTTATTTCACATTTTCATGTTATCTGAATATCTCAATGTATTAATTAAAAACACAAGCAATTTGGAGAAAATAAGGAGCATGGAGAAAAGACCAACATCTCCACCTGTCCTCTTGTCCCTCTGTCCTTTTCAACGGGGTGCATTAAAGCACCGGGCATCTTTCCAGATCTCTCCTCTGATTTTAGGCGGGGGCTTTGGTGCACACACAGAGCATCCACACGTGATCATTTGGGTTTGTTTTCCGTGCACGGTACTAGAAATGGGACGCAGATGTTCTGCTCATTCTGCAGTGCGCGTCGGGAGAGGACACTGGGTTTTGATCAGGATGAGGCCCTTGGGATTCAGCTCAGACGTCTCTGCACCTGTGCCCAAGTCCAAGCATGGCCACGGGACTGATGTCAGGGCCGGTATGTGACAGTGTGTGTGGGTGGTGCCACCTCCTGTCCCCCTACCTAGAGCAGAGGTTCCTCCCCAGCTCCTGGGACGATTCACCTCCTCTTGTTACTGCAAAATTAGCCAGGAAATGACACCTTTTTTCAATCTGCACTTCCCTGATTAATGGTCAGATTGGCAGTTTAGCGTATTTGTCATTTAAACTTCTTCCTCTTTATCTGTTCATATGGTTTACCATTTTCTATGGGGTGGATTATGAGTTTCTTGGTGATTTACAGAAGTCTTCAAATAGACTTGTTATTAATCTCTGGTTATATACGCAAAAAACATTTTCTCCCTAAATGTCATTTTTCTTTTTAACATTGCTCAGGTTGATTTTGGTCAAACAAAATTTTTCATTTCTATGAAATCAGACAGGCCGGGTGCGGTGGCTCATGCCTTTAATCCCAGCACTTTGGGTGGCCGAGGCAGGCAGATCACGAGGTCAGGAGATCGAGACCATCCTGGCTAACACAGTGAAACCCCGTCTCTACTAAAAATACAAAAAATTAGCTGGGCGTGGTGGCGGGCGCCTGTAGTCCCAGACTACTTCGGAGGCTGAGGCGGGAGAATAGCGTGAACCTGGGAGGCGGAGCTTGCAGTAAGCTGAGATCACGCCACTGCACTCCAGCCTGGGTGACAGAGCAAGACTCTGTCTCAAAAGAAAAAAAAAAAAAAAAAAAAGAACAGCCTGACCAACATGGTGAAACCCCATCTCTAGTAAAAATACAAAAATTAGCTAGGTGTGGTGGCACGCACCTGTAATCCCAGCTACTTGGGAGGCTGAGGCAAGAGAATCGCTTGAACCCGGGAGGCAGAGATTGCAGTAAGCTGAGATCGCAGCACTGCACTCCAGCCTGGGCGACAGAGTAAGACTCTGTCTCAAAAATAAAATAAATAAATCAATCAGATATTCCAATCTTTTCCTTTATTTATTTATTTATTTTCTATTTTGGAAACACAGTCCTTCCTTATTCCAGAATTACACATATATTCTATTTTTCTTTATATGCTCCAGTTTTTTTTAGACCTTCACCTGAAATGTGTGTATACAAAATCTAGGCCAGTCCAGCAGAGCCTAAAGGTAAAAAATAAAATAATAAAAAATAAATAAAATCTAGCTCACTCCTTCACATCAAAATGGAGATACAGCTGTTAGCATTAAATACCAAATAACCCATCTTGTCCTCAATAATTTTAAGCGCCTCTCTCCACCACATCTAACTCCTGTCAAAGGCATGTGCCCCTTCCGGGCGCTCTGCTGTGCTGCCAACCAACTGGCATGTGGACTCTGCAGGGTCCCTAACTGCCAAGCCCCACAGTGTGCCCTGAGGCTGCCCCTTCCTTCTAGCGGCTGCCCCCACTCGGCTTTGCTTTCCCTAGTTTCAGTTACTTGCGTTCAGCCAAGGTCTGAAACTAGGTGCGCACAGAGCGGTAAGACTGCGAGAGA
Organism: Homo sapiens; assembly: GCF_000001405.40. Classification (NCBI taxonomy): domain Eukaryota; kingdom Metazoa; phylum Chordata; class Mammalia; order Primates; family Hominidae; genus Homo; species Homo sapiens. The sequence continues at coordinate 316,619 of NC_000016.10, forward strand.
AAGAGACCAGCTTTACAGGGGGTTTATCACAGTGCACCCTGACAGTCGTCAGCCTCACAGGGGGTTTATCACATTGCACCCTGACAGTCGTCAGCCTCACAGGGGGTTTATCACAGTGCACCCTTACAATCATTCCATTTGATTCACAATTTTTTTAGTCTCTACTGTGCCTAACTTGTAAGTTAAATTTGATCAGAGGTGTGTTCCCAGAGGGGAAAACAGTATATACAGGGTTCAGTACTATCGCATTTCAGGCCTCCACCTGGGTCTTGGAATGTGTCCCCCGAGGGGTGATGACTACCTCAGTTGGATCTCCACAGGTCACAGTGACACAAGATAACCAAGACACCTCCCAAGGCTACCACAATGGGCCGCCCTCCACGTGCACATGGCCGGAGGAACTGCCATGTCGGAGGTGCAAGCACACCTGCGCATCAGAGTCCTTGGTGTGGAGGGAGGGACCAGCGCAGCTTCCAGCCATCCACCTGATGAACAGAACCTAGGGAAAGCCCCAGTTCTACTTACACCAGGAAAGGCCCTTTGACAAGATGGGAGGGGGGCAGGCAGCCCAGCACCTTGGACTCTGGTGACATGGGATGCCTGGGGAGATGAGCGAGCACTGCGAGCTGGGGACAGCCTGTGGCGGTGCTGGGCAGGGCCTCGCTGCACGGGGCCATTTCCCCTGGGGCTGTGGCCTCCATGCCCTCTGGAGGGTATCGCATGGGGCCAGAACACACAAGCAGGGCCTTTCATACGAACAGTGCTGGTGACCGTGCTCAGCTGCTCGGGAGGCAGGTGCAGGACCCCATGCCACAATGGAAAACACGGTTCACGATGTCAGGCCCCTGCCAGGGCCGATGTCCACGAGTCCCTCTGACCCACCCACTGTGGCCTGGTCGCTCACTGCAGGCCACAGACAGTCACGGCCAGGTGACGGCAGCCTCAGGCTGACAGCAACCATGGGGCCGCTCTTGGGAAATGGGTTCTCTGGAAACACCGACCACCGGTGGCTGGGCTTTGTAAGTTTGGTTCACTCCTCGTCTCCTCTCTGTACCTGACATAGAGCAGATAAAATGATACCAGCCTGCAGCTTCAGGCTCTTTGCTTTAAGCATCATGCAGTATTTATAAATGACACCATTATTCCTTTGATACTTAAAGCCACAGCTGCTCAGCAGCTACTGATATTATCACTGTAACAACCACTGCAGCCAACCTCAGATCTCAGGTTAAGTACTAAAGTCTCCCTATTACTATGAAGGAACACTGAACTTTGGTAACTTTCTATAAACATCTATTTGGCCAAATAAAAACATTTCAAATGGAAGAGAGAAGGCCACTGCCGCACAGAAGTTTAAGAAGTCTACGTCCACGGCACACGGGTGCATCTGTAGCCCACGGCACTTGGTGCGTCTGTAGCCCACAGCACACGGCGCGTCTGTAGCCCACGGCACATGGCGTGTCTGTCTTGGCACGCACTGGAAGCACGTGCCCTGCCCTCATGCTGCCATGGGGCTCACACCTGTCCCGTCACTTGGGAGCCACATACAGCAGAACGAAGCCTTCTGTGTTCATGTGTCCAATTCCAAATCCTTCTCCCACTCTGACTTCCCAGGTGTGCCTTTCACATTTTTGGAAAACCTGTTTGTCTTTAAAATGAGAAGCAGGAGAAACGCAGGTTTCCCATTTTCCACAAGCTCCAGCACACAGCAAGTTCCACTGCACACAAGCACCAAGGTCAGGCAGCAAAGGGGAGAGAAGCGGGAGAAGGCGGCTGGGAGAAAAGAAAAGGAAGAAGGGCAGCCTGTTTACTATTGATCTTCGTAACAATCCCAGACAACTGCCCTGGCTCTCAGGATCTGCCCTCAGCACTCAGATGGCTCCTGTACCTGAAGACACAGGCGGCCGGGCTTGGCCTTCACTACCAGCAGATGCGACCAAGAACGTTCTGGTCAAAGACACGTCCAAGGGGAGGTCACATGGGAGTTCCAGGATCCCCCCATATAGCTGGGATCCAGTGGCGGGAGGGGCATGTGCTCGCGTGCCTGCCTGTGCGTGCGCCTATGGATGCGTGCTTTGTGTGTGCATGCCCACGTATCCATCTGTGTGCGCGCCCGCATGCCCATGTGTGCACCTGTATGCCCGCCCTTCACGAGCACCTCCACCTACACCTGCACTTCTCAGACAGTGGAGATGCTGACCCCTGGCTGTGTGCGGTGAGAATGCGGCTGGGGCCTTGGTGAGAGCGGCTCTGACCCCTGGCTGTGCAGAGAGAATGCAGCCGGGGCCTTGGTGAGAGTGGCTCTGACCCCTGGCTGTGTGTGGAGAGAATGCGGCCGGGGCCTTGGTGAGAGCGGCTCTGGCTGTGCGGAGAGAATGCGGCCGGAGACTTGGTGAGAGCTGTGCCCAGCCCCCCACGCTGATGACCTCAAACAGGAAAACGTGCACAGCTCTTCTGGAACAGGTGCCAGGACTCAGGCAGAGTCCGGGGACACAGAGGCTGGGAGACCCTGTAGAGCCAGGTAGTGACAGACTCCTCGCAACTCTTCTGTGTGTTCAAAGGCTTTCTTTAGGGTCCGGTGTGGTGGCGCACACCTAGAATCCCAGCGACTTGGGAGGGTAAGGCAGGAGACTCGCTGGAGCCCGGGAGTCTGCAGTAAGATATGATCACGCCACTGTGTTCCAGCCTGTGCTCCAGACTCTGTCTCAAAAACAAAAATGTCGTGGAGAGGAGGCATGAGAAGACACGGTGACTTAGGGAAAAACGTGCCCATCACAGAAGGGAAAGTCCAGTGGAGCGGTGAGGAGGCGCTGATGGCAGAATCAATGCCCAGGAGCTGTGTCATAAACAAACACCTGTGGGGTTTGACAGCTACAAGGACCCTATTAGCTTCAAGGCAACAGGAAATGAGAAGCCATGAGGCGGCCAGTGCACTCTAGGCTGGCCTAGGAGGCCCAAATGTCAGGGCCACACAGAAGGTCTCCCCTGCCCAGGTGTTCATGGATGGTGGAGAAAGGTGCTCCTCCTGCCCCAGGAAGGCACCTCTCTGGGACTCCCGCGGCTGCTCCCACATCCAGCATGGCCACGGCACCGGCTCTCTGGTCACTGTGGTACTTTCATCTTCCGTCTTTTCACATTTAACCATTCTATATTCTTCTACTTGTGTAAGCAGCCTGCCTTTTAAAAAGGTAGCATAACAATTTTTCCTTTTAATGAGGCTGTCTGGTCCGGTTACATTTAGTGTGATGTGGAGGGAGCTGGGCCACCGTCGGATCGGGTTGGTTTATCACATCTGCTCTACTTCCTTTTGCTCTTTCTTGCCTTCTTTGGGGTATTTTTTGCTTTCCATTTCCTCCCTCTGAAAAAGTAAATGTTGTACAGTTCTTTCATTGGTTCCTGTGCCTGGACATGTCTCAATCCCACACATCACACCTGCCTCTTCCCAGGCCGCATGAGAACCTCAGAACCGACAGCCCCCCACACACTCACAAGCAACGCATTTCCTGCACTGACATTTTCTTTTTTATTCCCTGGACTCCCACCTTAGCTTCCCAGGTAGGTGGGACAACAGGCGCACACTACCACTCCTGGCTACTTTTTCATTTTTTATATAGATGAGGTCTCACTATGTCACCCAGGCTGGTCTTGAACTCTTGGGCTCAAGTCATCTGCCCACCTCGGTGTCCGAATGTGCTGGGATTACAGGCATGAGCCATCATGCCTGGCCACAAATCAGATCATTTTAATTACTGAACTGCAAAGGGGTAAATGCTTTAAAAGGATTCCAGCAAGGTAAGATGACAACACCAATAATGCAACATAGGGGCGGATAAAATCTAAACAGAAAAGTTACACAAAATTATGATGCTTCGCTGTGATGGTTTCATGGAGAAATTTAGAAACAGGTCAAGCTTCACAGCATCCCTCCACATCCCTTAACACACACGTGCAAATTTGAGAGAGTTCCAGCTTTCCTCATCAATTACCTTTAAAATTACTAAGTACACTCAAGAATATAAAAATTAAAAACAAATATATATGTATATATGTAAATGTATATATGTGTGTATATATGTATATATGCATACGTATATGCGTGTGTGTGTATATATATATATATATATATTTTTTTTTTTTTTGAGACGGAGCCTCGCTCTTTCGCCCAGACTGGAGTGCAGTGGCGCGATCTCGGCTCACTACAACCTCCGCCTCCTGGGTTCAATCGATTCTCCTGCCTCAGCCTCCCGAGTAGCTGGGACTCCAGGCACACGTCACCACGCCCGGCTAATTTTTGTATTTTTAGTAGAGACAAGGTTTCGCCGTGTTGGTCAGGCTGGTCTCGAACGCCTGACCTTGTGATCTGCCCGCCTCGGCCTCCCAAAGTGCTGGGATTACAGGCTTAAGCCACTGCGCCTGCCCACAAAAAATGTTTCATGCCAAAAGACCACCTGGTGTGACGGATGCCACCCAGAACATGGGAAGAGGAGGCTGGAGGTAGATCTGGCCCTGGGAATCACCCGAAACCACTGCTACAGGCCCTCCTGCCTCCTGCTACCCACGCTCTGGGATGCTCTGGGCCCGCTGCTCTCTGTGCCTTCCATACCCAGGCAGGAGCCGCCACCCTCCCTGGTAGTAAGGCACCACATTTCCATACCCAGGCAGGAGCCGCCACCCTCCCTGGTAGTAAGGCACCACATGGCACCTGCTGGTGACAACCACTATGGGGAAACAGCAAACAGCAGCCCCAGGAGAGCTCTGCATAGCACGTGCCCCACCCCGCCAAGACTTCTGTGTTGTTAAAAGTAAGTTCTGATGGTTTTGCTTAAGCAGCACAGGTCAGTACACCACGTAAAATAATTATAGCCATTTTGAAAGGCAAATCGCCTTTTTCTCCAACCACAGAGCTCCTCAACTCACGACAAGGCTGTGTCCTGATAAACCTCTCATAGCTGGGAATACGAGGTAGAAGGTGGATTCCAACCCACGAAGGGTTAAACCCTCTCACAGCTGGGAATATGAGGTAGGTGGATTCCAACCCACGAAGGGTTAAACCCTCTCATAGCTGGGAATATGAGGTAGAAGGCGGATGCCAACCCACGAAGGGTTAAACCCTCTCATAGCTGGGAATATGAGGTAGAAGGTGGATTCCAACCCACGAAGGGTTAAACCCTCTCATAGCTGGGAATATGAGGTGGAAAGTGGATTCCAACCTCAAAGTGTTATCCAGACACAGCCTTGCCCTTCGTTGACGGGCACCCTGAATGCTTCAGGCTGGTTGTAAAGTTGAAAAGGCCTAAGTGGAGCCATCCTAAGTTAGAGACCAGCTGTATTCTGAAAGACAGAGGCTGGAATTAGTAAAATGGCTGGAAACACACATCTGTGAGCCCTGGATGATAAGCCAGGAATGAGCCAATGAAAGCCCAATTCCAAGTGAGCTGGACATGAAGACGGAGGTGGCCGCACAGACCCAAAGATGCACGACCTTCTGAGAAGCACAGAGAGCCCCGTCTTGTGGCCAGGGAAACCCAGGCAGCGCATGCCGCAGGCGTGAGGCTGGGTGCTTCTCCCAGGCCTGGCTCAGGGCAGGGTGGCTGCAAACAGTGGTGCACACCCCAGGCTCCAGGAGGAGGTGACCGAGGGGCAGCTGGGGAACATGGCGCACACCCCAGGCTCCAGGGATGGCCCTGCTGGTAGTGCGGTCTAACGGGAGGCAATAACTCATGACTGAGTATGTCTCCCCTCAACCCATCACCCTGTACCTGCCCGCAGTGGAGTGTGCACCTGTGCTCAGGTATGGGGACAGATGTGCTCCTACGGCTGTGTTTCCTCTGCACAGGTGTGGGAGGCCTGTGCAGGAGCTGAGTTAGCATGGCAGGTGCTGGTGCTGACCTGTGCCTCACCTGGGCACAGAGGCAGAATCCCCTGGGCTGCACATCCTCCTCTCCAAAGCAAGTGGGACCTGGCTGTCCGCGAGGCAAAGAGTCCATGCAGACTCGGGTGTGCGTCTGCCCCTCAATACCCCATCCATGTGTCTCCAGCCACCTGAGTCCCACAGAGCCACTGAGGATGGTGGGTGAATCCTACACACAGAATCGCTGGCTCCCGGGGACCCTCTTCATTTTCTGGAGCTGTGGGCGGTGGACGGATGAGTGCATCCTTTAGAGCCCAGACACTGGCAGACACAAAAGCCTGGCAAGAAGCAACACAGGCAGAAAAGGCCTCTGAGGATGGCGGGCAGTGGCCTGGGGGAAGAGGTGAGCCATGGCCTGCAGCTGCGTCCCAGCTCTGGTCTGCAGTCATGTCCAGGGAAGGGGCTCTGGCACCAGATGGCAGGGAGCGGTCACCTGGCAGAGGCCATGGATGCCAATGCCACTTGCTTCCCAAAACTGAGAGCCAAGCGTGGCTCAGGCCTGAAATCCCAGCACTTGGGAGACTGAGGTAGGAGAGCTGCTTAAGCCCAGGAGTTCGAGACCAGCCTAGGCAAGAGGTCAAGACCCTGTCTTGAAAGAAAGAAAGAAAAAAGAAAAGAAAAGGAAAGAGGCCGGGCGCGGTGGCTCATGCCTGTAATCCCAGCACTTTGGGAGGCCAACGCAGGCATATCACGAGGTCAGGAGATCGAGACCCTCCTGGCTAACACGGTGAAACCCCGTCTCTACTAAAAATACAAAAAATTAGCCGGGTGCGGTGGCGGGCACCTGTAGTCCCAGCTACTCGGGAGGCTGAGGCAGGAGAATGGCGTGAACCCAGGAGGCAGAGCTTGCAGTGAGCCGAGATCGCGCCACTGCACTCCAGCCTGGGCGACAGAGCGAGACTCCGTCTCAAAAAAAAAAAAAAAGAAAGAAAAAAAGCCAAAATAAGATTAAAAAAAACAAAACAAAACAGGCGGGGCACGGTGGCTCAAAACTGTAATCCCAGCACTTTGGGAGGCCGAGGCGGGTGGATCACAAGGTCAAGAGATCAAGACCATCCTGGCTAACACAGTGAAACCCTGTCTCTACCAAAAATACAAAAAATTAGCCAAGCGTGGTGGCAGGTGCCTGTAGTCCCAGCTACTCGGGAGTCTGAGGCAGGAGAATTATGTGAACCCGGGAGGCGGAGCTTGCAGTGAGATGAGATCACACCACTGACTCCAGCCTGGGCAACAGAGTGAGACTCCACCACACACACACACACACACACACACACCAACAAAACAAAACACTGAGGGGTGTGACTTGGGTTCTCACCTGCGTCTCTCTAGGAGCATAAGCACAGGTCTTCACCACTGTGGGTGCAAAGGGAAAAGGTGTCAACTGCGACAGGGGATGGAATACGGCACAGAATGAGCAACCCACCCTGGAGACACCAGCCTGTGGGAGCCCCAAAGCCCACAGGAGAGCCCCATAGTCCATGGGGAGACCTGTCCATGGGAAGCCCCGTAGCCCACAGGAAACCCTGCAGACCATGGGGAGCCCAGTGCAGGAGAGCCCTGCAGCCCACAAGAGTCACATCTGAAATACCCGGGACCGTCCGCACTGACCAGCAGCCTCCATGAGGGGCAGATCTGGGGCCAAGTGTCAGTGAGCCGCCTTACGGGTCTTTACGGGTCTTCCGGGCCACATTACGGGTCGGCACTGGGCACGAGGCCACCTGCTCAAGGACGCCGATGCCATGGCATGGGGGCTACATTTGCTCTACAGGTCTCCTGCCGGATCCTTTCTGAGCCCTCCTGGGAGGAGGCTGGGGGCCGGAATGCGGGTGCATAGAAACGGCTGGAAGCAGCGCAGGGCAGAAGCGATATGGAAAGGCGGGTCAGGCACAGGCCTCACAGGCCCGCGGTCCTCCGGGGAGGTTTGCAAGGATCACATGGCCAAGGGCACCATGAGCAGCTTCCCAACCAACCCGCCCAGTGTCCCGCAGAGTTTGTGGAGATAAACAGAAGCTTGACAAACACAACTGAGCAGAAAACGCCCGCAGGTGGTCAGTAGGCGCTTCCAGTGTTATCACAAGACCACACGCCGCACGTCAGCACATGACACAGACACACTTACTTGATCCCTGTTTTGACAAGCTAAGTCGTACTTTATACCAGGAGGAGGAGGGGCACCCCAGGTGAGCGGTCCAATCCTCAGACACGGCCAGTGCCATCAGCGACCTGCATCCCGACCCCCCGGAACAGCACAGCCAGCAGACAGAACCCGCCCTGCAGAGGCAGCTTCCGGCAGCCGCAGGCCCTTCCCAGGCCCAGCCCCCGAGTCCCGCGCAGGGAAAGGCTCTGCCCAAGCCTTCAGGGAGGCAGCAGCGCCCGGTGCACAGTTCCTAAGGGCGCAGAACTCCGGGATGAACAAAGGCAAGGAAACGGCTGTGTAAAAATCAGCTCTACTGACGCACGGCTGGGTGCTCAGCGGACCCGCACAGAACCACAGTCCTACCTGGCACGTTCTGACGCGCACCAGATCACAGCCTCAGCCCCGCGGGCGCGCCCCAGGAAACCATGGCCTCAGCCCCGCGGGCGGCCCCGCACCCCAGGAAACCATCGCCTCAGCCCCGCGGGCGGCCCCGCACCCCAGGAAACCATCGCCTCAGCCCACATATTCAACCCGGAAGCCTGGGGAGGCTTCCCTTGGGGAAATCCACCTGTCGCTCGAGGTCAGTCGGCCTTTTCTAGAATTCTGTATAAACGCAGTCTCATGGGGAGCTAGTGCCCCCCGCTGCTCCGGCGCCCCCTCCGCTCTGGCTTTCTTCACTGGCACAGGATCCTGAGATGCACCCCTGCCTCCATGGTTATCAGCGACTCATCCCTTTTATGCCGTGGCATGCCAGGATGCACCACGGTGTTTTTCTCCAACTGCTTGGCAGTGCCACTGGAGTTGGGGCAGCGCTTCCCAGCGGGCAGAGTTGACCCCGAGGCCAACAGCCAGGCCACAGCCAGCGCCCTCCCCACGTCTCGCCTCCCCCAGTCCAGACACAAACCTGGTCAAGGGCGCCCAGACCAGGGCTCAACCCACTGCCCGCAGGGGCCGACTGCCAAGGAGCGGTCACCGCCCCAGAGTGATGGCTGCCACAGCGTCGTGTGTACAACTTATGGTCTGTCCCACGTGGCTGCAGGCTCCAGCCCTGAGAAGAAGAGAGGAGAGCCATTCCCCAACACGGCACCTTGCTCTGTGTTAGCTCCATCTTCTCTCATGACGGGGCCTTCGGAAACACCAAGAAACGACCAAAGCAGACAGGCACTGGGAGAAGCAGGACAAGCATTTCCTCACCTCACATGAACTTCCATATGAATGTGACAAAGGCACAGCACACAAAATGCAGATGCTGACCACAGAGAGGGCCCCACTCACTCACGCTGGCCACGAAAAGGCCCGCCCTGGTTCACACCGGCATGGAGAGGTCTCGCTTCTGTTTTAGCAATACTGACAACTGGCCCCCATTCATGCAGATGCTGTCACTTATATACTATATATATAACAAGGGCCAGGCGTGGTGGCTCATGCCTGTAATCCCAGCACTTTGGGAGACTGAGGTGGGCGGATCATGAGGTCAGGAGTTCAAGACCAGCCTGGCTAAAATGGTGAAACCCCATCTCTACTAAAAATACAAAAAATTAGCTGGGCATGGCGACAGGCGCCCATAATCCCAGCTACTCGGGAGGCTGAGTCAGGAGAATCTCTTGAACTGGGGAGGCAGAGGTTGCAGTGAGCCACAATCACACCACTGCACTCCAGCCTGGGCAACAAGAGCAAAACTCCGTCTCAAAAAAAAAAAAAAAAAAATATATATATATATATATATATACACACCTATAGATAAATAACCTACCTTTGCACCCAAAGGTCACAAAGTTTATACTAAAAAATGTGATTGAGAGCCGGACACGGTGGTTCACACCTGTAATCCCAGCACCATGGGAGGCCAAGGCGGGCGGATCATGAGATCAAGAGATTGAGACCATCCTTGCCAACATGGTGAAACCCCATCTCTACTAAAAATACAAAAAATTAGCTGGGCGTGGTGGCACGCCTGTAGTCCCAGCTACTCGGGAGGCTGAAGCAGGAGAATCACTTGAACCTGGGAGGCGGAGGTTGCAGTGAGCGAGATCGCGCCACTGCACTCCAGCCTGGTGACAGAGTGGGATCAAAAAAAAAAAAAAAGTGATCAAAATCAGGCCACCGTCAGCTATGAAAATCTCTATTTTACTTCCTCCATAAAATCAGGGATGTGGCCTCTGCCTGAAGCGTCAGCCAAGATTGCCAGCACTGGCCGGGTGTGGTGGCTCACACCTGTAATCCCAACAGTTTGGGAGGCCGAGGCGGGGGGATCACGAGGTCAGGAGATGGAGACCATCCTGGCTAACACGGTGAAACCCCATCTCTACTAAAAATATAAAAAAAATTAGCCGGGTGCGGTGGCGGGTGCCTGTAGTCCCAGCTACTCGGGAGCCTGAGGCAGAAGACTGGCATGAACCTGGGAGGTGGAGCTTGCAGTGAGCCGAGATCGCACCATTGCACTCCAACCTGGGCGACAGAGCGAGGCTCCGTCTCAAAAAAAAAAAGATTGCCAGCACCCCCATCAGGTCCCAGAATACTCCACCTACGTATCTCGTGGGTGTTCTGCATGGCGGCAGACACTTGGTGTCACCCTCAGGGGCAGGAACAGGTGATGGGCTGACCAGACAGCATTGAATGACCATGGGGCAGGGCACTCTCACCCCTTCTGCTCACACTGAATGAGCAGGTGATTTCTCGGTCACTCAGGGTGGCAGACACAAAAGGGCAAGAGAATGAGTCACCAGGCACCAGGCAGGAGCTTCCGGCTCAGCCCTGCGGCCTGTGCCTAGGAGGCCTCGCTGTGGTTCCACGCTGCGGCCAGCCTTTTCTTTGTTTTATAACACCGCTGGTGCCCCCACCCACTCACTGTGAACCGCACAACACACCAAAGGCCCTTTATGATCAAAATCAAACAGTGACGATAGGGAGGGTGTGTGTTTCTGCAGACTGTCCACAGGCGCAGCACAGGCGGGGCAGCCCTGGCAGCCACCCACACCTGCCATCCCGGGAGTCCAACAGCTCAAACTGTGGCCAAATGCCCCTCACCAGCACTTACTGGCTACTGACCACAGGCAGTCTGCCAATTCCTAGCTTACAAAGCGGAAATGACAGTGGCCACTTCTTTATAAAGTTTCTGAGCATTTCAGCAAACAGTGCTTGGGTGAGGCCAGGCACATGATGCAGAAAGCCCTCACTACAGCCTAGCAACCAAAGTGTCCTGCACATTAGTTAGGGGACTGGGTGGGAAAGGCTGCAGGTCACAGTTAAACCCACAATTCCAACTAACTGTCTGTGAGACTCTAAACAAATGCTTCACCAGGCTGGGGACAGTGGCTCAAGCCTGTAATCCGAGCACTGTAGGAGGCTGAGGCAGAATGCCTTAAAGCCAAGAGTTCAAGACCCACCTGAGTGAAAAGGCCAGACCTTGTCTCTACAAAAAAATGTTGCAAAAATTAGCCAAGGGCTGGGCGGGGTAGCTCACACCTGTAATCCCAGCATTTTGGGAGGCTGAGGTAGATGGATCACTTGAGTCCTGGAGTTCAAGACCAGCCTGGACAACAAGGTGAGACCTCGTCTCTGCAAAATATTTAAAAAATTAGCCAGGTGTGGTGGCATGCACCTGTGGTCCCAGCTACTCAGGAGGCTGAGGCAGGAGGATCGCCTGAGCCCAGGAGGCTGAGGCTGCAGTGAGCCATGATCATGCCACTGCATTTCAGCCTGAGTAACACAGCAAGACTCTGTCACTAAAAAAAATAATAATAATACAGCCAGGTGCAGTGGCTCACGCCTGTAATCCCAATACTTTGGGAGGCCGCGGCGGGCGGATCACCTGAGGTTGGGAGTTCGCAACCAGCCTGACCAACATGGAGAAACCCCATCTCTACTAAAAAAAAAAAAATTAGCCAGGCGTGGTGGCACATGTCTGTAATCCCAGCTACTCGGGAGGCTGAAGCGGGAGAATCACCTGAACCCAGGAGGCAGAGGTTGCAGTGAGCCGAGACCACACCATTGCTCTCCAGCCTGGGCAACAAGAGCGAAACTCCATGTCAAAAAAAATAATAATAAATTAAATACTTAACAAGAACAGCATATTCACAGGAACCCAAACACTCATGATTTTGAAAGGCACATGGCAACGGGTGCTACAGACAGGAGAGATGGCAGGCAGGGAGAGTGTGGCCGGGCACCCTGTCCTCTCTGCACAGTCCCCCACAGACTGAAGCTGCTGCTCCGCTTTCCAGGAGAGATGGCGGGCAGGGAGGGTCTGCCAGGCACCCTGTCCTCTCTGCACAACCCCTGGGTGCTGCCACGCTGCTCACACCAGTAACTATTTAAAATGATAGTGGGCTGGGCACGGTAGCTCACGCCTGTAATCCCAGCACTTTGGAAGGCCAAGGCAGGAGGGAGGATCACGACGTCAGGAGTTCGAGACCAGCCTGACCGACATGGTGAAACCCTGTCTCTACTAAAAATATAGAAATTAGCCAGGCGTGGTGGTGTGCACCTGTAATCCCATCTACTCAAGAGCTGAGGCAGGAGAATCGCTTGAACCCAGGAGGCAGAGGTTGCAGTGAGCTGACATCGCGCCACTGCACTCCAGCCTGGGCGACAGAGCGAGACTGTCAAAAAAAAAAAAAAAAAAAAAAAGATACTGAAAAACATACAGAGTGGGTAACATGAATTAGGATCCCATTTTTGATGAAAAAAATGTGCTAAGAAAAATCTAGAGCGATCTAGATAGAATAGTAGTATCTCTGAGCAGTGGGATATCAGACCATTTCTTTGTTCTGTGTTTTCTTTCTTTTCTTTTTTTTGGATATGGCATCTTTCTCTGTTGCCCAGGCTGGAGTGCAATGGCGTGATCTTGGCTCAATGCATCCTCCGCCTCCCGGGCTCAAGCAATTCTCCTGCCTCAGCCTCCCGAGTAGATGGGATTACAGGCGCACAACACCATGCCCGGCTAATTTTTGTTTTTTTTTGTTTTTGAGACGGAGTCTCGCTATGTCGCCCAGGCTAGAGTGCTGGAGTGCAGTGGCGCAGTCTTGGCTCACTGCAAGCTCCGCCTCCCAGGTTCACGCCATTCTCCTGCTTCAGCCTCCCGAGTAGCTGGGACTACAGGTGCCAGCCACCTTGCCCGGCTATTTTTTTTTTTTTTTTGTATTTTTTAGTAGACACGGGGTTTCACTGTATTAGCCAGGATGGTCTCAATCTCCTGATCTTGTGATCCACCCGCCTCAGCCTCCCAGAGTGCTGGGATAACAGGCGTGAGCCACCGCGCCTGGCCAATTTTTGTATTTTTAGTAGAGACGGGGTTTCACCATGTTGGTCAGGCTGGTCTCAAACTCCTGACCTCGTGATCCTCCCGCCTCGACCTTCCAAAGTACTGGGATTACAGGCATGACCCACTGTGCCCGGCCCTTTTTTTTTTTTGAGAGAGGGTCTCTCTCTGTCAACCAGGCTGGAGAGCAGTGGCACATTCACAGCTCACTGCAGCCTCAACCTCCCGGTCTCAGGTGACCCACCCATCTCAGCCTCCCTAGTGGCTGGAACCACAGGTGCATGCCACCACACTCATCTCAATTTTTCTATTTTTTTCTAGAGATGGGGGTCTCCCTATGTTGCCCAGGTTGGTCTCAAAATCCTGGGCTCAAGCAATCCACCCACCTTGGCCTCCCAAAGTGCTGGGATTACAGATGTGAGCCACTGTGCCCGCTACCAAACGTCTTTCATATAGAACTCTGACAACAATCTGTCTTTGCATTGACTGAAAACTATGCAATAATGTACATGAAGAACACTTTGAAAATTATAATGCACCAAAGAACTCACTAATGAGACTCACTAGTTAGTGCTCAGCACAATCAGTTATGAAACTGACGACCTCTTTCCTCTGCTCAGCGTGAACACCGTGCATTGAATTCAGTTTTGTGCTGCTCACTGCCACATTTCTTCAATGTCACAAAAGTCTCTTCAGAGCCTGGAACTGCACAAATGGCTTCACATCACATTTTTAGGTTCACAAGGATCTGATGAGAAACACTTTATGTAATGAAGAGTGGTAACATTTAAAAAGTAGAACAAAAAAATGTTTTATGCTTTCCTCCCCAGGAGACACTAGCACCCTCACTCCAGCCTTCACCCCTGGAGCAGAAGCCCCCAGGAATTTACTGGTTCCAAAGAACAGCCAATGACCTTTCACAAGCTCAGATTATCTATGCTGCAACAAACATTTGGAAGTGGCAATTCCCAGCAAATTGCAGGCAATTTAGAGTCATTTGCCAAGATGCAATCTGCCCTATTGCTCCAGGGTCTTTACAAAGGCCAGCCAGACTGCAGCCCTTGCAGACTGCAGGGTGGCAAGTCTCACGCCAGCCTCAGAGCCTCCTCAGCAGAAGTCTGAATACATCACTTACCCAGAACCAGGTTGCCGGCTTACAGTCATGGTCCCTGAATCCTGCATAAAACTCACCTGAAGGAGACCAGCTCTCAGTGCTGAAGCTACAAGACGAAAATAACAACTTCTGAAAGCCACGTCTTATTAAAAATTAAAACACTGGACACTTATCAATCTAGTTAAGGTAAAAATTCTGTACATGAAAAAAAAAATTCTGTACATGAAGCACTCTGGTTTGTTCCCTTGAAGTAATTTAGAAACTGCAAGTTCCAAGCTGGGTCTACCCTCTTTATGACATTCTCAGGGATCCTGGAGCCCTTCCCTGGGCTGACAGCTCATGGACGTCCCTAACACTCCAAAGCAGCTGTGTCCAGTTTCCTTGACTCTGAGTGTGCAGCAGGAAGAAGCCTCTGTCTGGAAAGAAACACTCTGAGGCAGAAATAGAAAATCTTTATTTTTATGAGATATTTAATTTTTTTCTGCTTCTTTTAAAAGGAGTTTCACTTTACCCAAATGAAAGAAACGCAACCAACTCATGAGAATCTATCAAACACTCCTATCAGCGTATAGAATGCACAGCAGTAAGCGGACGCATAACAAAGCCAAAACAAAAACTGCCTGGACTGCTTTTATTTGCAAACTTTTTTGTTCACCATGGAAATGCTTTATCTTTGTGGTATCTCCAACATAACTCCACACTGCACCACGAAGCTATAAATTCCAAAGCTAATGGAATTTCCAAGCAAAGGTGCAAGCCTGACACTGCATGAGGGGCCCTCACGCCAGTGCCTCTACTTACGTCACCCTCAGATCTCCACACAGGCGCACCTCGGCCACTAGTCTGACCCCCAGCCTCGCTGAGCCCCTGCTCAAAAGCGCTGTTTCCAGGCCTGTGGGTTCCAGAGACCACGGTGACTAAGGGCCCGACCCTGACTACAGCAGATGGGAAGTTACTTAATCTCCCAGGGCCTCAGTTTCCACATGGATGGCATGACACTCCCACACCTCGTTAGGGGCTCGCGGATGGCCTGACGCCTGACACAGGCAGTGCGAGAGTCCACAGGTCGGCAGCCTTCAGCAGCGACAATGGTCCCTGACAGTCCTCTGTTCACAGCTCCTGCAGATGGTGGTGGACCAGCAACAACTGAGGGCCCCACGGTCCAAGGACAGTTTAGAGAACTCGCAGCAGCAACATCACAATCACAAGTAAAGCATATTTAACTTTTAGAAACAGGATATAAAACCTGCAGCCAGGCTGGGCGCGGTGGCTCACGCCTGTAATCCCAGCACTTTGGGAGGCCAAGGCGGGCGGATCACGAGATCAGGAGATGGAGACCATCCTGGCTAACACAGTGAAACCCCATCTCTACTAAAAATACAAAAAATTAGCTGGGCGTGGTGGCGGGCGCCTGTAGTCCCAGCTCTAGGGAGGCTGAGGCAGGAGAATGGCGTGAACCCGGGAGGTGGAGGTTGCAGTGAGCTGAGACCGTGCCACTGCACTCCAGGCTGGGCGAAAGAGCGAGACTCCTTCTCAAAAAAAAAAAGAAAACAAAAAAAAAATTACACTTAACATCTTAACATCTCCAGAAAGATTTTGATCTAAACAATGTTGATCTAAACCAAAAAAAAAAAAAAAAAGTATAATTTTTTGAGTGTATATTCAGAAAGCAAGGGCAGGAAAAAAATGTATTGAAAAGATATGAAAACACAACAAAAAGAAATGCAAAATATATGAAAGATTTAAAATTTAAAGGATCACTCTAAATGGTCCAAAATCTAAATAAGATCTCAAATAAGTTCTAAAATGAGAAATGGTAAAGATGGAGAGAAGGAATTATCAAAGAAATAACATTTCTGGCCAGATGCAATCAATGGCTCACACCTGCAATTTCAACTCTCTGAGAGGCCAAAGTAGGAGGAGTGCTCAAGGCCTGGAGCTTGAGACCAGCCTGGGCAACACTGGGAGACCTTGTCTCTACAAAAAACTGTAAAAAAATATTAGCGAGGTGGGCCGGGTGCAATTGCTCACGCCTGTAATCCCAGCACTTTGGAGGCCGAGGCAGGCGGATCACCTGAGGTCGGGAGTTTGAGACCAGCCTGACCAACATGGAGAAACCCCATCTCTACTAAAAATACAAAATTAGCTGGGTGTGGTGGCGCATGCCTGTAATCCCAGCTACTCAGGAGGCTGAGGCAGGAGAATTGCTTGAACCCGGGAGGCAGCGGATGCAGTGAGCCGAGATCGCACCACTGCACCCCAGCCCGGGCAACAAGAGCGAAATTCCATCTCGAAAAAAAAAAATTAGTGGGGTGTGCTGGTGCCTATAGTCCCAGCTACTCTGGAGGCTGAGGCAGGAGGATCGCTCAAGCCTTTTTTTCCAGACTCGCCTCAGAAAAAAAAAAAAAAGAAAAGAAACAAATACCATTTAAACTCCAGAATTAAAGGACAAGTTTCTTCAGCACGATGAAAGAAAAAAGCCCCCAGCAAAACACAGTATTATGAAATAACACTGTTGATAAAGAAAACATCCAAAAAATGTCTGGAGGGAAGAAAAAAAGCACCATCCACACCGTATGAAGAGAATGGAGCCAGGTCTTTCCAGGGCAGCTCAGAAAAACAGAAGGTGATGGTGCAAATTCCTCTAAATTTATGGGGGGGGTGCCACCCAACCTAAATTCTAAACCCAACTCATCTCTCCTTCAAGTTCTTTTGGCATGAGCGCATAACACCAGTACCACAGCACAACAGTAACACAGCACGAGGTACCACAGCATGCCAATAACACAGCACCCAGTACCACAGCACACCCAGTACCATGGCACCCAATACCACAGCACACCAGTAACACAGCACCAGGTACCATAGCATGCCCATAACACAGCACCCAGTACCATACCATGCCAATAACACAGCACCCAGTACCACAGCACAGCAATAACACAGCATGCAGTACCATGGCATCCAATAACACAGCACGCAGTACCACAGCACCCAGTACCATAGCATGCCCATAACACAGCACCCAGTACCAAGGCACACCACTAACACAGCATCCAGTACCACGGCATGCCAATAACACAGCACCCAGTACCACGGCATGCCAATAACACAGCACCCAGTACCATGGCACACCAATAACAGCACCCAGTACCATGGCATGCCAATAACACAGCACCCAGTACCATGGCACGCTAATTACACAGCACCCAGTACCACAGTACACCAATAACACAGCACCCAGTACCACAGCATGCCAATAACCCAGCACCCAGTACCATGGCACGCTAATTACACAGCACCCAGTACCACAACACACCAATAACACAGCACCCAGTACCACAGCATGCCAATAACCCAGCACCCAGTACCATGGCATGCTAATTACACAGCACCCAATACCACGGCATGCCAATAATGCAGCACCCAGTACCACGGCAAGCTAATTACACAGCACCCAGTACCACAACACACCAATAACACAGCACCCAGTACCACAGCATGCCAATAACACAGCACCCAGTACCATGGCACACTAATTACACAGCACCCAGTACCATGGCACACTGATAACACAGCACCCAGTAGCACAGCACGCCAATAATGCAGCACCCAGTACCATGGCATGCTAATTACACAGCACCCAATACCACAGCACACCAATAACATAGCACCCAGTACCACAGCATGCCAATAACACAGCACCTAGTACCACAACACACTAATATCACAGCACCCAGTGCCACAGCATGCCAATAACACAGCACCCAGCACCATGGCATGCCAAAAGCAAACCATCCAGTACCATGACACGCTAATTACACAGCACCCAGTACCATGGCACACTAATTACACACCACTCACTAGAGAGAAACACTCTGAGGCAGAAATAGAAAATCTTTATTTTTATGAGATATTTAATTTTTTTCTGCTTCTTTTAAAAGGAGTTTCACTTTACCCAAATGAACCAAACGCAACCAACTCATGAGAATCTACAAAACACTCCCATTGGCGTATAGAATGCACAGCAGTAAGTGGACACATAACAAAGCCAAAATAAAAACGGCCTGGACTGCTTTTATTTGTAAACTTTTTTGTTCACCATGGAAATGCTTTATCTTTGTGGTATCTCCAACATAACTCCACACTGCACCACGAAGCTATAAATTCCAAAGCTAATGGAATTTCCAAGCAAAGGTGCAAGCCTGACACTGCATGAGGGGCCCTCACGCCAGTGCCTCTACTTACGTCACCCTCAGATCTCCACACAGGCACACCTCGGCCACTAGTCTGTACCAGGACACACTAATAACACAGCACACAGTACCACAGCATGCCAATAATGCAGCACCCAGTATCATGGCACGCTAATTACACAGCACCCAGTACCACGGCACACTAATTACACAGCACCCAGTACCACAGCACACCAATAACATAGCACTCAGTACCACAGCACGCCAATAACACAGCACCCAGTACCACGGCACACCAATAACATAGCACCCAGTACCACTGCATGCCAATAACACAGCACCCAGTACCATGGCACCCAATAACACAACACCCAGTACCATGGCACCCAATAACAGCACCCAGTACCACTGCGCCCAGTTACACAGCATGCCAGTACCACACACACCAGCTCCAAGGCACCCAGTACCACAGGATGCCTAAAGAGTAACTGTTTCAACCAGAGTGGGAATATGGAAGACTTCAGGACACATGTCTTCCAGAGAAAAAATACTTTATCCAAGAGGTTTTACAGTGAGGAGAAGAATATTCACAAGCACTCTATTGAGCTGAAGAATATGGGAAGATTTAAGTTGGAAAGTAAAATATTTAATCAAATGAAAAAAACGGCCATTATTAACTCAAAAACAAACACACAAAATTGTACAGGAAAGAAAATGGCCAGGCGTGGTGGCTCACGCCTATAATCCTAGCACTTTGGGAGGCCAAGGCAGGGGGATCACTTGAGGTCAGGAGTTCGAGACCAGCCTGGCCAACATGGTAAAACCTGGTCTCTGCTAAAAATACAAAAATTAGCTGGGTGTGGTGATGCACGCCTGTAATCCCAGCTACTCGGGAGGCCGAGGCAGAAGAATTTCTTGAACCCAGGAGGCGGAGGTTGCAGTAAGCCAAGATGGTGCCATTGCACTCCAGCCTGGGATACAAGAGCAAAACTCCGTCTCAAAAAAGAAAATGATTGACCCACTTGGCTCAGAAGTGAAAGCACCATGCCCTGGTGCATGAACACCTCAGGGTAGGGGTGAGACAGGAGAGCAGCAGAGCTCTCAAAGAGCCAGTGGACACAAGATAGCAGTGAGCACGTTACTCAGAAAAGGCACTAAGGACCGAACCGTGTCGCCCAATTAATATGTGTCAGCCCTGACCATCACGTGGCTGTGCTTGAAGTAAGGAAGTGTTATTGTTAGATGAGAACGCAAACGTGGGGCCCTGACCCAAGAGGGCTGGTTCCCTAAAAGAACAGACACCAGCTGGGCGCGGTGCCTCACACCTGTAATCCCAGCACTTTGGGAGGCCAATGCGGGCAGATCACGAGGTCAGTCCAAGACCAGTCTGGCCAATATGGTGGAACCTCATCTCTACTAAAAATACAAAAATTAGCCAGGTGTGGTGGCGCATGTCTGTAATCCCAGCTACTCAGGAAGCTGAGGCAGGAGAATCATTTGAACCCAGGAGGCGGAGGTTGCAGTGAGCTGAGGTTGCACCACTGCACTCCAGTCTGGGCAACAGAGCAAGACTCCGCCTCAAAAAAAAAAAAAAAAAACAAAACATAAATACAAGAACTTAACCAGGTGTGGGCCAGGCACAGTGGCTCACGCCTGTAATCCCAGCACTTTGGAAGGCCGAGGCTGGTGGATCACAACGTCAGGAGATGGAGACCATGATGGCTAACACGGTGAAACCCCGTCTCTACTAAAAACACAAAAAAATTAGCCGGGCATGGTGGCAGGCGCCTGTAATCCCAGATACTGGGGAGGCTGAGGGAGGAGGAGCTCTTGAGCCTGGGAGGGAGAGGTTGCAGTGAGCTGAGATCACACCACTGCACTCCAGCCTGGGTGACAGAGCAAGACCCCGTCTCAAAAAAAAAAAAAAAAAAAAAAAAAAAAGACACATTTACGTGTATCCTTTTTAAAGAAAAAATGTGCTTTTGAATAGCTGCATATTTTAAAGCTTTTATTCTTTTAATAATATACTTTCTAATTATAAACATGCTGTTATAGGAATTTGGAAAATACAGAAAAACAAAGAAAAAAATTAAAAGCCCACATATCCAACTGTATGAATGCCACTGGGCATTCAAGTCATCCTATTTGCTGGAATATTACAAGCAGCACTCCTTAGGGTTATTTTAAATGTTTGTTTAGGAGCAGACACCAATCCCATAGACTACAGGTGAGCTAGTAAAGATCCAGAGTGGGTCAAAACCAAAAAAAAAAAAAAAAAAAAGCACTGGAGCAACCTCAAAGGAGGCAGGAGGGTGAGTGCCATGAGCAGGGCACAGGACCAAGCAGCCCACTGCAGCTCACAGTGAGGACAGCGCCTGCCAGGACACCCGGACGCCCAGCTACCCGGCCACCTGGCCACCTAGCCAGCTGAGCCAAGAGCTGAGCCCATTTGCCAGCAGATGCTTCAACGGATCACAAAGGAAGCCCGTGGGCCGAGGCTGCAATCCACACAAGCCAGCGTTCAACTCCGGACAGGGCCCAGGGTCCTTGCTGGAGGAGAAGGGGCATGGAATCTGGGCCCTATGGGCACTCAGCCGGGCGTGCGGCCTCTGGGGGCCCCCTGGACGCCACAGCAGTATGGCAGAGCTGTGTGTGTTTTCACAGAGCCCTGTGACCAGTCTCCATCTCTCAGGGAGTGGAGAGACCGAACACCTTCTGGAGCTAATGGGTTCTGAGAGAACCCTGAGTGGTTATTCTCACAGATGTGACACGGGGAAAAACTGAGGTGAAGCTGCTTCCCTCCACACGCACAAGTAGGCAGCGGAGGGGCCCAAGAAAGAGCCAACAGGCGGCCCTCTCTCCCTGACAGCCACCATAGCCCAGCCTGGCCCCCACCTCCGATAACTGCAGGGTACGCTGCTACAAATGACGTCTGCGTTTGACAAGGATGAGCAGAACCGGAGCGTGTGCGTCAATTCAAATCTGTGACACTGGCGCAAAATGTGAGAATGGGCTGGGGTGCCAGGCGGCCAGTCACGGCTAGGGCACAGTTCCAAGAAGGGCCACAGGGGCCCGCAGGGACACTTACCCCAAGCCCTCCAGAAACAGCTGCTGCAGGTCAGCACCAGCACCAGGGCCAGGCACACAGTCTCATCGGCACGTCTGCCACTGGCTGTCTGCAAAGTGCTTCCCTTTCACAACCCACCCACACAGCTCAGGACTGAGGTCCGCCCAGGCAAAGGGGCCTCTCGGTTCCAGAATCCTTTGGCCTGACAGGCAACTACAGATACTTTCGTGGACTCTGCTGAAACCTGTCTGAGACTATGGAGCTTTACGTGGCTAAGGAAGAGAAAAAATATGTTTGGAGTCCTTGCCCACTGACAGGTGCATAAAAATACAAGATGGACTGGGCACAGTGGCTCACGCCTATAATTCCAGCACTTTGGGAGGCCAAGGTGGGCGGACCACTTAAGGTCAAGATTTCGAGACCAGCCTGGCCAACATGGCGAAACCTTGTCTCTACTAAAAATACATAAAGTAGCCAGGAGTGGGGGCATGCACCTGTAATCCCAGCTACTCGGGAGGCTGAGACTAGAGAATCACTTGAACCTGAGAGGCAGAGGTTGCAGTGAGCTGAGATCGCGCCATTGCACTCCAGCCTGGGTGACAAGAGCGAAACTCCATCTTGGGGAAAAAAAAAAAAAGTGGGATGCAAGCTGGTGCTGTGGGGACAGAGTCCAGCAGAGCACCAGCAGAGTCCAGCAGAGTCTGGGATTACAGGCATGAGCCACCGTGCCTGGCCAGGAATCATTTTTAAAGTTTTCCTTGGACATCCACAAACAAAAAAAATTTCCCTTTGGGCAGGGTGTGGTGGTTCACACCTGCAACCCCTGCACTTTGGGAGGCCGAGACGGGCAGATCACTTGAGGTCAGGAGTTCAAAACCAGCCAGCCTGGTCTCAAAAAAAAAAAAAAAAAAAAAAAAAGGCCGGGCGTGGTGGCTCACACCTGTAATCCCAGCACTTTGGGAGGCTGAGGTAGGCGGATCACAAGGTCAGGAGATCGAGACCATCCTGGCTAACAAGGTGAAACCCCGTCTCTACTAAAAATACAAAAAAAAAAAAAATTAGCCGGGCGTGGTGACACGCGCCTGTAGTCCCAGCTGCTGAGGAGGCTGAGGCAGGAGAAGTGCTTGAACCCAGGAGGTGGAGCTTGCAGTGAGCCAAGATTGTGCCACTGCACTCCAGCCTTGGCGATAGAGCGAGACTCCATCTCAAAAAAAAAAAAAAAAAAAAAATTAGCCAGGCATGGCGGCAGGTGCCTATAATCCCAGCTACTGGGGAGGTTGGGGCAGGAGAACTGCTTCAACCTGGGAGGCGGAGGCTGCAGTAAGCCGAGATGGTGCCACTGCACTCCAACCTGTGTGACAGAGCAAGACTGTCTAAAAAAAAAAAAAAATTCTCTTCAGATCTGCTCAAACAGGGGAAGCAAATACCCCAAAGGAGACTAGAAACCCCCCACACCCAGGCAAGGGGAGCCCACGCAAGGGGCAGTATGGCTCACAAGCACCTCTGCCCCCTCTGCACCACAGCAGAGGTCCCCTTAACAAGACAAGCCTGGGGGCGACCCCACCCTGGGCCACACCCTTTGCACAGGAAGCAGAGTTCACCCTTGCAACACAGCCCCTCTGCAGCCGGGCACCTTCAACAGCACCACCGCCTGAGGTCCAACGGACATGGAAACCCAAAACCACTCCTCCACAGACAACTCTGTACACATTTTGGGCCCTTTCTTTTTCTTCTTCTTCTTCTTCTTTTTTTTTTTAACCATTTCTTCTCTTAACCTTTTAGGCCATTACCAGAAACACAGTCAATAAACTAATGAGCAGGTCCGACGGTTCCTCACGCACCCCTGCGGGAACCTGAACGGCAAGGGCTGGCTGCCCACCTCGAAAGGACCCACCGGTCCTCTGAGCAGCTCCAGGAACCAGCAGCCCAAGACAAGCCACCATGTTGCTCCTGCTGTGGACATGTCTGTTGTCCACTCTCTGGCCACAGCCACATTGACCAGCCCTATCCACAAGTGCATCACTGGACTGGCCCGGGAAGACACACGAAAATATCCAGGAAGACCCTGTCCCCAGTCATCAAGGAAGGTCAGGGCAGTCAACAGAAGGGGCCAGCGGCGAGGAGACTGCGGGCTTGACCAAGCGGACCTGGCAGGGGCATGCAAGGCCAGCCCTGAAGGCCACCTGGTGGGCCAAGCCACCCTGAAGGGAAGCAGAGCCTGAGCCCGCCAGCCAGGGAGTGCAGGCCCTGGGCCTCCCGCCCAACACTCAGTCAACAGCAGAACCTGCCTGCTGATCCACACCGCTGAAATGACGAGGTGAACCAGCCAGCTCTGTTCAAAGTTCCACTGACAATGGGAACAAAGACCCGAGGGTGCAGAAAGTGTTCCCACAGAGGCAGAGCGGGGGAGCCAGGGAGGAACCCCATGAAACCTTGGCCCAGGAGCTCAAAATGACAGTGGGTGAGTGGGACAAACACAGAAAAGGGCCAGGAATGGAGCTCTTTCCTAGGCTGAGACAAAGACCTAAGCAGAACACTTCACTTTCCTCAAATCAAGTATGTGAAACCACCACGCGGCTCACACACGGACCAACAAGGACCCGCACTCAGGCGTCCCACAGGGGAACTGGATGCCTGTGGCCGTGCTGGACCGCAGCAGCCCCACCGCAGGGGATGAGCGACTGTGGCAGAGATGCAGGCAAAGTAGCCTCCAGGACAGAGGGGTCAGCACCCGAGGGCTGGCCCTCCTGGCACGTTCCTCCACGCAAATTCCACCCCGGTGAGAGGTGACAGCGTGCTGGCAGTCCTCACAGCCCTCGCTCGCTCTCAGCGCCTCCTCTGCCTGGGCTCTCACTTTGGTGGCACTTGAGGAGCCCTTCAGCCCACCACTGCACTGTGGGAGCCCCTTTCTGGGCTGGCCAAGGCCGGAGCCGGCTCCCTCAGCTTGCGGGGAGGTGTGGAGGGAGAGGCGCGAGCGGGAACCGCGGCTGCATGCGCTTGCAGGCCAGCTGGAGTCCCGGGTGGGCGTGGGCTTGGTGGGCCCGGCACTCAGAGCAGCCGGCCAGCCCTGCCGGCCGCGGGCAATGAGGGGCTTAGCACCCGGGCCAGCGGCTGCGGAGGGTGTGCTGGGTCCCCCGGCAGTGCCGGCCCACCGGAGCTGCGCTCAATTTCTCGCTGGGTCTTAACTGCCTTCCTGCAGGGCAGGGCTCGGGAGCTGCAGCCCGCCATGCCTAAGCCCCCCACCCCCTCCGTGGGCTCCTGTGCGGACCGAGTCTCCCCGACGAGCGCCCGGTCCCATTGACCACCCAAGGGCTGAGGAGTGCGGGCGCACGGCACGGGACTGGCAGGCAGCTCCACCTGCAACCCCGGTGCGGGATCCACTGGGTGAAGCCAGCTGGGCTCCTGATTCTGGTGGGGACGTGGAGAACCTTTATGTCTAGCTCAGGGACTGTAAATACACCAATCGGCACTCTGTATCTAGCACAAGGTTTGTAAACACACCAATCAGCACTCTGTGTCTAGCTCAGGGTTTGTGAATGCACCAATCGACACTCTGTATCTAGCTACTCTGGTGGGGACTTGGAGAACCTTTGTGTGGACACTCTGTATCTAGCTAATCTGGTGAGGATGTGGAGAAGCTTTGTGTCTAGCTCAGGGATTGTAAACGCACCAATCAGCGCCCTGTCAAAACAGACCACTGGACTCTACCAATCAGCAGGATGTGGGTGGGGCCAGATAAGAGAATAAAAGCTGGCTGCGGGAGCCAGCAGTGGTAACTCGCTCGGGTCCCCTTCCATAGTGTGGAAGCTTTGTTCTTTCTCTCTTTCCAGTAAGTCTTGCTGCTGCTCACTCTTTGGGTCCACACTGCCTTTATGAGCTGTAACACTCACCGCGAAGATCTGCAGCTTCACTCCTGAAGCCAGTGAGACCACGAACCCACCAGAAGGAAGAAACTCCGAACACCTCCGAACGTCAGAAGGAACAAACTCCGGACAGGCCGCCTTTAGGAACTGTAACACTCACGGCAAGGGTCCGCGGCTTCATTCTTGAAGTCAGTGAGACCAAGAACCCACCAATTCCGGACACACCGGGACGACTAACCGGCTCTCCACAGGATATGCATCCCCTAACACGTGAGGCCTAAGCTCCAGGCCCTGCTGTGGTAGCAATGCTCACCAGCCGCCTGTTCAGTACCCACTCTCCTTTTCCCTTTGCATTACCCGCAGCCTTCCTTTGGAGGACTGCCCCCAGCTCCCCACTGGGGAGCAGCCGTCTGTCTGGGTGGAGAACCCACTTTCCTTCAGGAGTGACCCTGCTGCACAGCCCCCAGCGCACGCACCGTGACTGTGCTGAGACAGACGGGACACAGCGGCACACGTGCCCTCCTCAGAGCAACAGCGGGCCCATCCGTCAGAGCTGCGGGAAGCATCTGTAAACAAGGGAGCCCAGAGCCCAAGGTCACTGCAGCAGCCACCTCCAACACAAAGCCCACGAAGTCGCCCACCAGGCAGGCAAAGTCAGAATGGCACAAAGCAAAGGTGCCAGGCCCTAAGGCACACCTGAGGCTCTGCCTCAACAGTGCCCTTCAGGGTTGGGCTCAGGTGGGTGGGTTTCCACGACTTCCAACCTAGTGCACCCTCACCTACACCTGGCAGGACAAAGAGAATGGTCTAAATGTGAGGAACGCAGCCTGGACTTCATGCCCTGTCTGTGCTGACAAGCAACCATTCCAACATCAGAGATCTTCAAGCCACAAGGCTGCACCACAGGCCACCTCCCACAGAGAGGATTCAACCGCAGACACGACTCCCAAGCCCCAGGGTCCTCTGCCACCAGCAGCCCCAGAGCAGTCAAGTTAGGACCCAAACTGTGTAGACAGAGCTACACAAAATTAGACAGGAGAAGCCAATGTATCCCACTAATTTCATAGCAAAGGTTCCTTATTACAAATACAGCAAACCAAGGACAGACAGCAAAGCTACTGCTCGCAGCCAAGAACTGAAGAGTGGCTGGGAGGGAGGCACTGGGGTTCCAACAGTGGAAATCAGAACGGAGCTCATTTTCCTCCTGCAGCCCAGCCCTCAACTTCAGTCCCATCTTAAAAATAACCAGCCGGGGCCGGGCGCAGTGGCTCACACCTGGAATCCCAGCACTTTGGGAGGCTGAGGCGGGCAGATCTCTTGAGGAAAGGAGTTCGAGACCAGACTGGCCAACGTGGTAAAACCCCATCTCTACTAAAAATACAGAAAATTAGCTGGGCATGGTAGCTCACACTTGTAATCCCAGCTACTCGGGAGGCTGAGGCAGGAGACTCACTTGAACCCAGGAGGCAGAGGTTGCAGTGAGCTGAGATTGCACTACTGCACTCCAGCCTGGGCGACAGAGCGAGACTCCATCTCAAACAAAAAAACAAGCAAAAAAAATAACCAGCCAGGTGCAGTGGCTCCCACCCGTAATCCCAGCACTTTGGGAGGCTGAGATCACTGGAGTCCAGGAGCTCGAGACCATCCTGGCCAACGTGGCGAAACGCTGTCTCTACCACAAATACAAAAATTAGCCAGGCATGGTAGCACACACCTGTAATCCCAGCTACTCGGGAGGCAGGAGAATCACTTAAACCCAGGAGGCAGAAGTTGCAGTGAGCCGAGATAGCGAGATAGTGCTACTGCACTCCAGCCTGTGTGACAGAGCGAGACTCCATTTCAAAAAAAAAAAAAAGAAAGAAAGAAAGAAACTCTCAGTTTATACCAGGCTTACTCAACAGGATAACTTTGCGGCATATTGTGTCCTAAAATGCTTGCTAAATAAATACCACTTGGCTAAAGACAATGAACAAAAGGGAAAAAAGGCCGGGCGTGGTGGCCCACGTCTGTAATCCCCGCACTTTGGGAGACTGAGGCAGGCGATCACGAGGTCAGGAGATCGAGACCATCCTGGCTAACATGGTGAAACCCAGTCTCTACTAAAAATACAAAAAATTGGCCGGCATGGTGGCGGGCGCCTGTAGTCCCAGCTACTTGGGAGGCTGGGGCAGGAGAACGGCGTGAACCTGGGAGGCGGAGCTTGCAGTGAGCCGAGATGGCGCCACCGCACTCCAGCCTGGGCGATAGAGCAAGACTCCATCTCAAAAAAAAAAAAAAAATTAACCAATTAACCTACACAATCCTTTTTTGTTTTTTTTTTGTTTTTTTTCTGAGACAGAGTTTCACTCTTGTCCTCTTGTCGCCCAGGCTGGAGTGCAATGGCACAACCAAGGCTCACTGCAACCTCTGCCTCCCAGGTTCAAGCGATTCTCCTGCTTCAGCCTCCCGAGGAGCTGGGATTACAGGCATGCGCCAACTCGCCTATCTAATTTTTGTATTTTTAGTAGAAATGAGGATTCACCACGTTGGCCAGGATGGTCTCGAACTCCCGACCTCAGGTGATTCGCCCGCCTCGGCCTCCCAAAGTGCTGGGATTACAGGTGTGAGTCACTGCGCCCAGTCGACAGTCCATCTTAAATCGTATCACTTAGACTACAAGTTTAACCTTAGACATGTTTAATCCTGTGTTGATGAGCGAGTAGCCAATTTCTGTGTCACAGTAAGCTTGAAGAACTAATGCGAGTTTTTAATAACTCCTCAGGAGAGTCCCAGCACATGGGGCTGTGCTTTCGGAGTCTTGATTAGGTCAGCAGGGGTCACATGAATTCCAGGCTTTCAAAGTTACACAGGCCGGAGCCTCCGGTCACCAGCTCTAGGGAAAGAGTGGGAAATGCATGCGCTCTGCTCACAAGCACAGTAGATGCCAGCCCGAAAGCCAAATAAACCTCCAGGAACCACGCAGGGATCACAGGGAAGGAAGAACGAAGAAACAGGTTCCAAGGCTGAGCACCACTCTGCTCCCTCCCAGGCAACACACGCACCCCACAGGCCCTGCCAGGATCGCCTCAGGGTCCAGGCTGCTGTGGACTACACAACAGCACCAACAGATTTTGTTGGCAGGAAAAAAGGCCCAATCCTGGAATGCCCACTATAGCCACAGGAAGTTTTCAAAGTACTCTGACCATTCCCCACACGTAAAACGTCCCCCCTGCTATTTCTCAGCCTGTAGGAAGAAGCTTAGAAGATCATTATAAAAGCAATAATCTGGCCGGATGCGGCGGCTCACGCCTGTAATCCCAACACTTTGGGAGGCCGAGGCAGGCAGATCACCTGAGGTCGGGAGTTCGAGACCAGCCTGGCCAACATGGAGAAACCCCACCTCTACTAATAATGCAAAATTAGCCGGGCGTGGTGGCACATGCCTGTAATCCCAGCTACTCAGGAGGCTGAGGCAGGAGAATCGCTCAAACCCGGGAGGCGAAGGTTGCAGTGAGCTGAGATTGTACCATTGCACTCCAGCCTGAGCAACAAAAGTGAAACTCCGTCTCAAAAAAAAAAAAAAGCAAGAATCCAATTCTCCAATTCTTATCGATGCCCTGAAACGTCCACTCCTCCCTTTATTAAGCGGAAAGGACCATGTCTACTGGGTAGATCCAGCTCCTATTTAAGAGGTGACAGACTTTACTGCTGAAGGGTAAAGTTTACATGTCATTGTGACTTCTAAGAATTCCGATGTTCCTAATGACTCATAAAGTCATATATTTTAGTCTGTTCTCAGTAAAAGTGTTCTCAACATTACAAATATAAAAAAGTAATGACAAATGCAAAAGTATCACAAATAAGAACAGAACCAAAATTCAACCCCAGCGGCAGCAGGACATCCGGTGTGGGTTAACGCCCGCCTCATCAGCACCTTTCCCTGGCTTGTTCTCCAGCTCTCGGAGGTGAGTACAGAAAGTGGACGCCTGGCGTCGGACTCACCTGAACTCTCTGCCTTCGCTGTACCGTCTACTGGAGGAGACCCTCGGGGCAGCTGTCTCCAGGAGCAGCTTCTGAGGGAGTCTTCCGGGGGGAGCAGCGTCTCTGCCATCGTCCTCATCCATGTCCTGGTCACACTTCCATTCCTCATCTTCATTTAAGGTCGGCAGGTATCCAGATATGCCCTTCCCTGTCCCTGACCCAGAGCTCTGGTCACTACAGACTTTGGGGCTCTCCGAGCCTGTCCTCGTATATTCCAAATAAATATCAGACTTAAGGAAGGAGGGATAGGTGTTTTCCTCCATAGTGGCCTGGATTTCGGTCTGGGCCTGGTCAAACATGGCAGGATCGATCAGCTGCTTCATGATGCAGCCCTTTATGAAGCTCTTGGTGGCTGGCTTGGTCTGCCGGGACACGATGCCATTGTTATCAAGAATGTACTTTCGGTAGATGGCTCTCGCCAGCTTCAGCCTCTTCTCCTCGTTCGAGTCACAGGGCTCCAGCTTCCTGAAGCCAGTGCAGGCAAACCAGAAGTCCAGCAAGTCGGCACAGCCCTCCTGCTTCAGGAAAGTCCTGAACAGGCTTATCCCATCTTGGTCATCCAGCAGGGAATGCAGTGACTCAGCCCACTTCAAGTATGGTGGGGTGGGGGAGGCACTGCCCTCAGGCTCATACCCCAGGTCCAGATCCGAGCGCCTCGGAGTGGCCGTCGAAGTCTCACCTTTAATGCCAACACCTTTCCCGGAGCAGAAACTGTAGCTGGCGGGCCTCGGGTCTGTGGACACCAGTTCTCCCTCCTCACCAGGCACTGGGGGTCGGGGAGCATCTTCGGTGAAACTTGCTCCGAGGTCCAAGGGGAAACCCTGCTCTTGGATATTCATTTTGGGACTCTGCGTCAAGGAACAATGAGCGCTGCACCCTAATACATCAGTACTTACAGCTCCAAAGTGAATCAATCTGTCCTGTTGAAACCATTAAGAGGACAAGGATTAGGAAAGGTGGGTCCATGAAACACGACCAGAGGTTTTCTCAAGACAAGACTCACGATGACGCCCTCCCGCTCAAACTCAAAGCAAGAAACTCAGTTTAAATGTTCAATCAAGATATATTTTGGCCACAAGCATAGTTCTACTTTAAAGCAATTTCTGGAAACTTTTACAACTACAGGAATGCCTCTCATGCTAAGAAGGGATGCCCAGGACATGGGAATGCCACTCCCCACAAGTCTCACTGCACAAACATCACGGAGGCTGGCAGCTTGAGCACCTCCCACCTCAGCTGCAGAGCTGAGGGACAGGGAAGGCAGGAAGACCGGAGGAAGGAAAGCTGCCTCTAGTCCTGACTATGTGTACAAACCTGAGTGAGGGCTGGACCCTCACAAGTAAGATGGAGACAATCGCTCCACCAGCCCCAGCAACACTCAGAGAGAAAGGAAGGTGCGCTACAGCCCCGAAGGTGGTGGGCGTCTTCTGAACCCCACGTCCTCCAGGCCCACGGCCACTGTTTTCTACCTGCTGCATCACGTCACGCGTGGTACACCTTCCGACACATGAGAACACACTGCAGGGTGTTCCTCCGACTCTCAACACACGCCTCAAAGAGAGATAATCATGGGTCACCTTCAGCCCCATCGACCGAGGGATCAAGGACACCACCCAGGCCCACAGAGGCGCTCGGACACCGTCACTGGAGACAATCTTAAAATGCTCTGTCAGAATGCTGCACTTGACTCTGAAAAGCCTCTCTGATGAGGATTCAGATAGCAAATAGTAAATGGGTACTTCAAGGAACAGAGAAGGTACAGAATAAAAGGAAATGCAAATACAATTTTTAGCTAAGGAAGCTATAGTTCATGTGACTTCACTCCTTAAGCTGAAAACCAAACCACCCACCCTCTTAGACATCAGGGAACTATAGAATTTGCTGCTACTACTGCTGCTGCTGCTACAAGCCTGCAAGGGGTGTGCAAAAGAGAGTAGATAAGGGCTCCAACAGAACCCCTGCCATGGTCTATGGTCCTTCCTGCCACGTCCTACAGGAGCCCAGGAGCTCTGGCTATGCCTGTCAACCCGGCCATGCAGGTGACTGAAACAACAGCCTGCCATGATGTAAGTGGTCCTGGCTAAAAGGGGCTGGAGAGAGGGCTTTAGAGAAGCATGTTGGGTTCAAAAGCCTAGAGTGCTGAACAAGTCACAGCAAACAAATAAAACCCTAAAACCCAGGACCAACTGAAGGGGGATCTATCCCCCAGCCACCACTCCACACTGCTGTCCCTTGTCTATGTGGAATCTGTCCCCCACACCAACTTCCTCACATTGCACACACTTTACCAGCCAACAGCTGCTCACGGCTGGAAGCACGAAGGATCCACAGAGCCAGGCGTGGTGTCACGCACCTGTAGTCCCAGCTACTCAGGAGGCTGAGGCTGGAGGATCCCTTGAGCCCAAGAGTTCAAGACTAACCTGGGCAACATAGTGAGACCCAATCTCTACCAAAAAACAGTTCTTAATTAGCCGGGTATGGTAGCGTATGCCTGTAGTCTCAGCTACTTGGAAGACTGAGGCAAGAGGATCACTTGACCCAGGAGTTCAAGGCTGCAGTGAGCTATAATCGCACCCCACTGCACTCCAGCCTGGGCAACAGAGCAAGATCCTGTCTCTAAAAAAAAAATAGGCCGGGCACAGTGGCTCACACCTGTAATCCCAGCACTTTGGGAAGCCAAGGCGGGCGGATCACGAGGTCAAGAGATCGAGACCATCCTGGCTAACACGGTGAAACCCCATCTCTACTAAAAATACAAAAAATTAGCCAGGCATGGTGGTGGGCACCTGCAGTCCCAGCTACTCGGGAGACTGACGTGGGAGAATGGCATGAACCCGGGAGGCAGAGCTTGCAGTGAGCCGACACCGCGCCGGCCACTGCACTCCAGCTTGGGCGACAGAGTGAGACTCTGTCTCAAAAAAATAAAATAAAATAAAATAAAATAAAATTAGTAAATAAATAAGAAGCACCCATAGATGGAGGATGGTTTGCAACTATGTGCCCCCAATGACATTTCAGCAGCTAAGGACTTTTTGTGAACGCTGCTGGGTAGTATGTCATCTTGGCCTCAGCAGGAACACACAGCTTCTAAAGGTCAAGGCCCAGTGAGCTGTGACATCCTGCTGCTCACAGACCACTTCAGCGGCAGTCACTCCGTGAGCCACATCAGCATGGAGGGAGCACCCTGGGCGTGGGCACCTCCACACTAGCTCACGGTCATCTGTCTGGGACGCCATCACAGGAAAGAAGGCCTGCACCCTGACCACCTGAGCCTTACCACTATAGATGTACTACCATTCACTAGCTTGAAGAACCAAGTCACCGGAGAGTGGAAAGTGATTAATCAGACAGTGCTCAGAAGGGAGGCTAACCACAAGTCACCATCATGCTCTCATAAGGGACTTAAGTCTTCTGTGTTAATTATTGGTAGTAGCGGGACCCACAGCACCCAGCACAAGGTCCTGCAACTAACGGGCACCAGTAAGTCATTCACTGATGTAAAAAAGAAAAGACATTTGTCACAGACGCCAAACACTGGCTCTCTACAGGGGCTGAACTACTGTACCACAGAAAACAGCAGCAAATTCTTCCAAAACTAATGGGTTTTGTTGTTTTGTTTTTTGTTATTTTGAGACAGGGTCTCGCTCTGTCGCCTAGGCTGGACTGCAGTGGGGCGATCTCAGCTCACTGCAGCCTCAGCTTCCCAGGCTCAAGCAATTCTCCAGCCTCAGCCTCTCAAGTGGCGGGGACTACAGGCACGAGTCATCAACGCCCGGCTAATTACTGTATTTTGGGTTTCACCACGTTGGCCAGGCTGGTCTCAAACTCCTGAGCTCAAAGCAATCCACCCGCCTCGGCCTCCCAAAGTGTTGGGATTACAGGCCACTTTGCCTGGCCCCAAAACTAATGTTTTAATTCATGTGTGAACCAAATTTTCAGAGCCCAGAAGAAAATTTTCTTACAATCATGTGTATTTTTGGCTGTCAACTGACAGAAGACTTTTTGGTGTCCCTGGAAGCACATGAACCCCTCTACAAGCTACTGATGTTGTTGAAACATGTCCCAATTCCTGAAATCTCTGGGTTCCCACAGGGAAGCACACCAAGCATTTAGTGTACACACAAGTACACACCACACATAAAGCAGTCACGTTTACTCAGTTCAGTATCAAATGCCTGCAAGCACTGAATCTGGCCCACAGCCTGTAGCTACCATCAATAAAGTGAGTCCATAAAACGGGCGGGATGCCTACAAGTATGATACTGTATTTAAAATTCCCTTTCGTCACCGCTTAGGCATATGCTCCAGGCATCATGGCAGCAAACTCAATGCTACCTACGTGTGTAGGTATTTATTTTACCCAAACGTAACTTTTGACATTTTGATTTACATGGAGGAGGCAAGTAACACAACACGACTCTGACATCTTCCCAGCTGTCCATTGATTTAACTCTTGAAGGTTCAGGGCTACTATTTCACATGTAATTTATTCCCCCATCACTGAAATTCTCAATGACCAATGTAATCCGAAAAAGTCTGCTTAGCTTTTCTGAAACTAGAAACCCAAGACAAGTCAACACCAGCTGAAAATCAAACAAAAACAGTCTGTTTTTCATGCTTTCCCATCCTTGTCCCTGAATGGAGATCTTAAAACTGAAACCAAAGCCAGGTGAGGTGGCTCACGCCTGTAATCCCAGCACTTTGGGAGGCCGAGGTGGGCGGATCACCTGAGGTCGGGAGTTCAAGACCATCCTGACCCACATACAGAAACCCCATCTCTACTAAAAATACAAAATTAGTCAGGCTTGGTGGCGCATGCCTATAATCCCAGCTACTTGGGAAGGCTGAGGCAGGAGAATCGCTTGAACCTGGGAGGCGGAGGATGCGGTGAGCGGAGATCACGCCATTGGACTCCAGCCTGGGCAACAAGAGCAAAACTCTGTCTCAAAAAAAAAAAAAAACTGAAACCGAGCTATTGCTGAGTATCTCGGGTAGCCGGTTTAGACTGTGTTTTCTCCAAAATAGGGCCTGTGGATCCAAGTAAGCTCGAGATTCTTCCTGAAGAAGCAGAGAACAGAAGTGTGAGCAAAAACAAGGGGCTGACATGCACATAAGAACCCTTTATAAATTATCTTAGAAGGGGCCAGGCGCGGTGGCTCACGCCTGTAATCCCAACACTTTGGTAGGCCAAAGTGGGCAGATCACCTGAGGTCAGGAGTTCCAGGCCAGCCTGGTCAACATGGTGAAACCCTGTCTCTACTAAAAATACAAAAATTAGCCGGATGTGGTGGCGCATGCCTGTTATCCCAGCTACTCAGGCGGCTGAGGCAGGAAAACTGCTTGAACCCGGGAGGCGGAGGTTGCAGTGAGCCAAGATAGCGCCACTGCACTCCAGCCTGGGCTACAGTGCGAGACTCCGTCTCAAAAAAAAAAAATTATCTTAGAGGACGGTGGTCACCCCTGTAGTCCCAACACCTTGGAAGGCTGAGGCAGGTGGATCGCTTGAGGCCAAGAATTCAACACCTGCTGGGCAATATAGTGACACCCCATCTCTACAAAAAATATATATATATATATCTTATAGATGGGCTGAGAAAAATCCCCAGAGAACTGACATGTTTTTCTCTACTTTCTTCAATGCCAAGCTGAAAGTTTCACTGCTCGGGCAGTGCAGCTCTGGTTTCACGGGGGCTAAATTCCAAAGTGCGGGGCGGGGGTAGAATCTAAGAACCACACCCAAGAGAAAGACCAGTGTTTGGGCAGCAAGGCATCAACCTGGAGGGTACGGACGCCGGAGCACGCGGCTACTCAGGCCGAACCCCGACCCGGACCCGGCACGCGGCCTCGGCGAGGGCGGGCGGGAGTGTCCTCCTCCGGGACAGCCGGACTCCCGCCGACTTCTGGGCGGCGGGGAGGGCTCCAGGCCCGGCTCTCCCGGGCCCCCGCACGCGATGCGCGGCCCCTGCAGCTGCTCCGTGCCCCGAGACGCGCCCGAGGCCTCGGACCTCCAAGCGGCCACCGCGCCGCCAGTCCCGCTGCCCAGGGACACCCCGGCCCCAGCTCCCCGCGCGCCCACCCCCTCGGTCCCACGCGCGTCAGCCACCCGCGCCCCCCGCCGCTTCCGGGTCCCGCCCGCCCGGCCTACCGCGGCCTAGCCCGCCCCGGAGCCCGGCCCTACTCACCCGCGCGCGGTGGTGGCGGGACCCCGGGCCCGGCTCCCGGAGCGGCGCGGCGCGGTCCGGGCCCATGCGCTCAGCGGCAGCGCGGCGGGCGGGACCCGGCGGGGGCGCGGCCCGGGGCGGCCCCCATCTCGGCGGCTGCGGCTCGGCGGCCCGGAGGCGGACGCGGGGCAGGCCGCGGGGGCGCCGCAGGGGCCCAGCCGCCAGCTCCCACCCGCCCGCTCCGCGTGGACGCGGCTCCGGGCCGACTCCGGCCGGCTCTGGCGGCGGCAGCGGCCACGATCGCCTCCCGAGCCAGAGCCCGAGCCAGAGCGCCGAAGCCCAGGCCCGAGCGCCCCCGCCGGCGGCGTCCGGAAGTGCGGGGGCGGGGCCGGGGCGCGGGGACGAGGTGAGAGCGCGGGGCGGGGCCTCAACACGGGGCGGGGCCGGCAGCGCGGGGACGAGGTAAAGGGTGTGGGGCGGGGCTTCAGGCGCGGGGCGGGGCTGAAAGCGCGAGGATAAAGTGAGGAGCGTGGGGCGGGGCCGACAGCGAGGGGACAGGTGAGGAGCGCGGGGCGGGGCCGGGGCGTGGGCGGGGCCGGAAGCGAGAAGACGAGGTGAAGAGCTCGGGGCGGGGCCTCGGGCGTGGGGCGGGGACCAGGGAGTAAGGCGGGGCCCGCCTCGAGCAGAAGAGGTAAAGAGCGTGGGGCGGGGCCTCCGGCGCGGGGCGGGGCCGGAAGCGAGAAGACGAGTTGAGAAACATGGGCCGGGGTCTCTGCATGGCCGGGAGAGGGCGTGGTCAGTGCCTGCCGGGGGCGGGGCGTGCCGGGGGCGCGGTCGCGCCGTCTTCCCGAGGGGCGGTGCGGAAGCGGAGCCCGGGAGGCTTTGGCTTCCCAGAGAGCGGAGTGGGAGAGGCGGCGTTGCAGGTCCTTGGAATGGCCGCGGCCGTGGGGAGCACTGGGCGGACTGCGCGCCCCGAAGGGCGCACGTGGGGCGCAGCCCTTTTCTGCCGCCAGTACATCGGAGGGCAGTCAGGGGGCTGCAGGCCTCGGGGCTCCCTGCCCAGCCGGCCCTGGAGAGGAGGCCCTCGTGGGGACCGCCACGGCCTGCCCGCCGCCGTGAGGGAAGCAGGCTCCCAGGAGTGGGGTGGTCGGCAGGCAGGGATGGCCAGGGCCCTTGGAAGGTGGGGTGGGCTCCACCCTCCTGAGTCCCAAGGCAGCCTGGACTCACAGCGCCAGGGAACACGTTAGGCCCCAATATATGGTGGCTCTCACCCGGACAGGAGCCACAACCTCCAAAGAGCCCACCGGCTAGGACCCTCTGCCTTGATTTCTCCCAGGCACCATCTAGTATCAGAGAAGGGTTCTCCTTCCCTCCGCTGCCCAGGCCAGCCCGAGAGCAAGGCCATTGGAGTGTCCAGACCCCTGCACCCCTTCCCCTGGGCTGTCTCCACAGCGGCCCTGCCAAGGGGTCCAGTCCGATCCTGCCACCCTGGCTGCCCAGATCCGTGTCACTTGCCCTGCAGGCCACAGAGCATGAGGTCACAGCCCCAGGCACCCCACGGCAGAGAGGCACGGGCCCCCAGCAGCAGCCCCAGCACCAGCTCTGGCCAGCCCAACCCTGTCAGAACCAACCCTCTGCTCTCCACCCAGGCCTCAGCCAACCATCAGGCCCTCCCCAAGGAGGAGGATGTGAGTACCAGGATCTGCCGCCTCCCACAACAGCCCAGGGCCCTGTCCTTCCCAGAGCACTATTGGGCCTGGCACCTCCCGGGATGCTCCAGGCAGCCCCCTGGGGTCAGCTATACCCCCGTTTCACAGAGGAGACAGCTGCAGTTCAGGCCACACAGGACCAGCTCGCCTCCTGTTGGGTGAGGGCTCCCCACCTCGTCCGCCCCACACCTGAGACAACAGCCCTCATCTATCTGCCCTCTGCTTTAGGCCTCCCAGGGCTCCCTGCTGCCCACAGCCCTTCAGGGCCCTTCCTAAGGGCGCCTCCCCCACACCTTCCCCTAGATGCGTCTGGCCACTTGCCCGCCTCCGTGCTTCCGTGTCCATCATGTCCATACCTGCCAGCTCCCTCCAGGCACCTCTCACGTCACCCCCATGTCTTTCCCTGGGCTGTGTCACCCTGGATGCCCAGCCTCACCCTTCAGAGCTCCCAGGCAAGCACAGAAGTCCCAGCTCCAGGCTCCCCGAGCTTCCAGCCTACCCCCAACCAGATGCCCACAGGTGGGACTGCATGGGGAACCATGTGTGGAAGCCTCCCAGCCCTCGCCCCTGCCAGCACTCAGCATGGTGTCTGATGCCAGCATCGCTGTGTGGGAAAGGGGGTAGCATGGGACAAGGGCCACTAGGCTGTCCCCAGCCTGCCAAGGGCCCAGGCCCACCTCCCAGGGCCATCACTGTGCTCAGAGCAGGTGGGCAGGGGCTGGGGATATGAACGAAGCTGCACTGTTAGACCAACACCTGGCCCCGCTGGGTCCTGGCCGCAGGCACCCTGCCAGGTCCCACAGTGCTGGACACTGGGGCCTCCCCGCAAGCCCCCTAGCCCATTCAGCCTCAGAACCTTAGAGGAGACAGAGTGGGTGGCCTCCATGGTAAAGCACAGTTTCCAGGGATGAGGGAGTCCTGGGTGGCCAGACAGACAGCAGGACCTCAGACACTGGCCCCTGGGCTGCCCCCCGACTCCCAACAAGGTCCCCAATGCTTGCCTTGGTTCTGCAGAGCTGCTGCTGTGTCCGGGCCAGGCTCTCGGGGCTGTGTCCACGTCCATCCTCCTCTTGGCCCTCGGTGGCAGGTGTCCCCAGGCCCTGGGACCAGAACAAGGCCCTTGGGCCTCCAGCTCCTCGGGGCCCCTGCCCTGCAGGGACAGGAAGGGGGTCAGAAAGCCTGGAGGAAATGCAGCAGCCCTTCTAAAGTAGGTTGTGGTGTGGGTGTGGAGGGGAGATTCTCTGAGCCTAGTGGGGGTAGGAGGAGACCAGAGGCAGGCCAGGCAGAAGAGAGGTAGAGGAAGGCCCTGAGGAGGGGCAGGGAGGCGCGCGGGGGCCTGTGGTGTGCAGGGTGAGGTTCAGCCACCTCCCTTCCTCACAGAGCTCCTTGAAGAGGCAAACGCCCTTTGCTTCGAGCGTGAGTTTGCCACGAAGGCTTTTATTTGATTGACCGTAGATGACATTTAATCAGGTTTTGTTTCTAGGCACCAAATGAGACACTTAAGAGCAGACATGGAATTATTTTCTTCAATGTAGACATAAAAGGTATGTTTTTTTGTTTGTTGGTTTTTGGAGACGGAGTTTCATTCTGTTGCCCAGGCTGGAGCCCAGTGGCGTGATTTTGGCTCACTGCAGCCTCCACCTACCATGCTCAAGTGATCTTCCCACCTCAGCCTCCCGAGTAACTGGGATTACAGGCGTGTGCCACCACACCCCACTAATTGTTTGTATTTTTGCTAGAGACAGGGTTTCATCATGTTGCCCAGGCCGGTCTCTAACTCCTGAGCTCAAGGGATCCACCTGCGTTGGCCTCCCGAAGTGCTGGGATTACGGGCCCAAGCCACCATGCCCAGCCTAAAAGGAATACCTTGAAAATAAAGTGGCTGGCCCGGAGCGGTGGCTCACGCCTGTAATCCCAGCACTTTGGGAGGCCGATGCAGGTGGATCACGAAGTAAGGAGTTCGAGACCAGCCTGACCAACATGGTGAAACCCCATCTCTACTAAAAATAGAAAAATTAGCCAGGCGTGGTGGCGCACACCTGTAGTCCCAGCTACTCAGGAGGCTGAGGCAGGATAATTGCTTGAACCTGGGAGGCAGAGGTTGCAGTGAGCTGAGATCGCCCCATTGCACTCCAGCCTGGGTGACAGAGCGAGACTCTGTCTCAAAAAAATAAAAATAAAGAAAAGGCCAGGCACGGTGGCTCACACCCGTAGTCCTAGCAGTTCGGGAGGCCAAGGCCAGAGGATCACTTAAGCTTAGGAGTTCAAGACCAGTCTGGGCAACATAGTGAGACCTTGTCTCTACTAAACAATTTTTAAAAACTAGCTGGGCGTGGTGTTGCGCACCTATGGTCTCAGCTACTCGGGAGCGCGAGGCAGGTGGATCACTTGAACCCAGCGGTTGGAGGCTTTAGTGAGCTGTGATTGAGCCACTACACGTCAGCCTGGGCAACAGAGTAAGACCGTGTCTCCAAGAAATAAAAATTAAGAAAATAATAAAGTGAGTTTTGATGCCTTAAGTGTGTTTATCCATTTAACTGAGGAAGACCACTTATAAAAAATGACCCAAAGGAAACCCTGGAAGACACCCCAAGGACATTAGCTGGGGAGTGTTTGCCGCTGTACGATGTGTGATGGAGACAGCCAGCTGCAGAGATGGACACTGTGCAGCCACCGACCCTGCATCAGTGTAAGGGGAGCGGGGGAAGAGGACGGACGGTTCTGATCCAGGGTTCTGGAGGCTGAGGGAAGCCTTGGGTTCAGCCTCTTCCAGTCTGCCCCTTCTCTGCCCCCTCCGCTCAGTCCATAGGTGTGAGAGGTGGGAGTGGGCAGGCAGGGGAGGCCGCTGGAGGGGAGGGAGGCCCCTCGAGGGGGAGGGAGGCCTTGGACCATCCCGTTCAGGCGAGGGAGGACTGCACTTTCCATCGCAGGCAGAGCCCCCACCACCCTCCACCGCCTTCCAGGCTGTAAGGCGAGCCCCAGCTCTCATCCCTGAGCCTTCTTTTTCCATCAGTTCTGAGCCCACAGGAGAGGCCAGATGCTGCCTGTGCCCCCATCCCAAGCCCGACAGAGAACAAGGAGCTACAACACCCCAGAGACATGCCGCCAGGCCACGCACACAGGGCACCACTTTTCCTGAAAATAGAAAATGTGGGCGGGGCGCAGTGGCTCACACCTGTAATCCCAGCACTTTGGGAGGCTGAGGCGGGAGGATCACTTGAAGTCAGCGGTTTAAGATTAGCCTGGGCAACAATGCAAGACCCTTTCCCTATAGAAGCATTGTTTTTAATTAGCCAGGCATGGTGGCGTGCACCTGTGGTCCCAGGTACACGGAGACAAGAGGATGGCTTGAGCCCGAGTGGTCAAGGCTGCAGTGAGCTGAGATGGTGCCACTCCACTCCAGTCTGGGTGAGAGAAAGACCTGACACTGGGCCAGGCGTGGTGGCTCACGCCTGTAATCCCAGCACTTTGGGAGGTCAAGGCAGGCAGATCGCCTGAGGCTGGGAGTTCGAGACCAGCCTGACCAACATGGAGAAACCCCATCTCTACTAAAAATACAAAATTAGCCAGGCGTGGTGGCGCATGCCCGTAATCCCAGCTACTTGGGACACTGAGGCAGGAGAATCGCTTGAACCCGGGAGGCGGACGTTGCAGTGAGCTGAGATCGCGCCACAGCACTCCAGCCTGGGCGACAGAGCGAGACTCTATCTCAAAAAAAAAAAAAGGGCAAGAAGACTCAAAACAGTCCACGTGTTATTAGTGGAAGCAGAAGCATGAAGTTCCATTTTCTTCTTTGCATGTTCAGGAATGTCTACAGGGATGTAACAGTTATGGTCCCGTGGAACGGTCTGTGTAAGTTAACCCACTGAAGGAGACGGGCATCACGGCTGAGGCCCTGAGGGGTGGAACTGACCACTGGGCAGTGTGTGTCCAGCAGGGTGATGGTCACGGCTGATGGCAGCCACATCGCCCCACGGTGGCCTGGG
Organism: Homo sapiens; assembly: GCF_000001405.40. Taxonomy (NCBI): domain Eukaryota; kingdom Metazoa; phylum Chordata; class Mammalia; order Primates; family Hominidae; genus Homo; species Homo sapiens. The sequence continues at coordinate 358,043 of NC_000016.10, forward strand.
GCCTGGCATGGAGGTTCTGCCACCTTCCTGAGAGACACACCCTGCCAGGGGCTTCCTGGGCCATCCCAGCTGTTGGTGTCACTTTGGGCTGGGGCCTCCCCGGCCTCCACATCTGGCAGCCCCCTTAGCACTGATGTGCCCCTAGATAGGTCCTTCCTCCTCTCCCCCTCACACCTGTCGGGCAGGTGTGTCATCCAACTATGTTGCAACACGCTTCCTATTTGGAGTGGTCCACATAGCTCTGTAGCCAAAGCTGCCTCCGCAGGGCAGATGCCCCAGGAGTGATCCTGGTCCCCACAAAAGGCAGAGGCCTGGGGGAAGGGGAGCAGGGCCCTACCTCATATGCCCTGGCTCCAATATCAGGTCAGTGTGACTGTCACCATGGCCATGGATGACCTGACGGCCTCTGCCCCCGGGACCCACCATTGGCTGGGCACCTGTGGTCAGGAGGACCCACCCACAGAGAGGTGGAGGGTGAACCACTCAGCCGCTGCGGGGCAGGGGCCCAAAGAAACGGGTGCTGTGTGTGGCCAGGCTCGGTGGCTCACACCTGTAATCCCAGCACTTTGGGAGGCTGAGGCGGGTGGATCACCTGAGGTCAAGAGTTCGAGACCAGCCTGGCCAACATGGTGAAACCCCGTCTCTACTAAAAATACAAAAATTAGGCCAGGCACAGTGGTTCACGCCTGTAATTTTAGCACTTTGGGAGGCCAAGGTGGGCGTATCACCTCAGGTCAGGAGCTCGAGACCAGCCTGGCCAACGTGGTGAAACCCCATCTCTACTAAAAATGCAAAAAATTAGCCAGGTATGGTGGCAGGCCCCTGTAATCTCGGCTACTGGGGAGGTTGGGGCAGGAGAATCACTTGAACCCAGGAGACAGAGGTTGCAGTGAGCCAAGATTGTGCCAAGGCACTCCAGCCTGGGCAACAGAGTGAGACTCCATCTCAAAAAAAAAAAAAAAAAAGAAAAAGAAATGAAACGGCTGCTGTGGCCACAGTGCTTGGTCCCCGCTGGCTCCGGGTCCATACTTGTCCCCTGGGGCAGGCCCCAGACCTGCCGTCACCCACGTCGCCTGCGCCCAGCCCCGTCCAGCAGACCTGACAGTCCCCACATCCCCGCTGGCCTCCAGGGGTCAAGGGTCAGGACGCCAAGGCCAACAGGAAAGCACTGGCAACAGGGCGGGGGCCTGGCCAGCCAGGCGGCCCAGAGGCGGTCCCCTCCATCCCAGGGTACTGTCCACACCTCCCAGTGTCCTGAGGGGAGTCCTCCTGCACTGCCTTTCTGAAGAGTTCTGACCCCAGGGTGTCCAGGGGCTGGGACTGGGGCCAGGTGGATACCAGGATGTGGTCAAGTAGGCCTGCCTGGAGGGTCCGGCCGCAGGGGCTGGGGAAGTAGGAGGGGAGGGCGGCCACCACTTCCCAACTCGGGAGCTGCTGACATCAGGGGACTGTTGGGCCTGGCCTGGCACCTGCCTCCCAGGAGACCTGAGTGCCCATCCTTGTCTTGGGCCAGCCTGTAGCCCTAGGCAAAGCAGGCACCTCCTTGTGCCAGTGTCCCCCTGGGCAAAGTGATCGTCCTGACCTGGCCTCACAGCCCCAGAGGTCCGTGTGTGACCCTCTCTGACAGGCCGGGTGGCGGGATGGAGCCCACGGCTGGCCATGGACCAGGTCTGGTGTCCCAGGCACATTGTGAGCACAGGGCAGGGCCTGCTGGCCTCCCCCAACCTCAGTGCTGTTTTCCCAAAAAGAGGTGGCATCCAAGTGCAGGGGCCATGCCCCGAGGGGCCTCGCGCTGACTTCGGGAAGTAGCAGGTGACGTCCCACCTCCCTGGGCAGCCTCAGGCCGCTTCCTGTCCTTGTTGGGGGGACTCCTGCCCCTGCCACACCGACCACAGTCCTTGTCCCTGCTGTTCCCTCACCTGAACGCCCTTCCCTGCCCTGACGGCCTCCATCCCACACGCCTCTCCGGGCGCTGCCGCCCCCCCGTTGGTGCTCATCTGTCCTTCTGCCCACTATCCCCAGCGGCCCCGATACCTGCACACCCCAGTGCCCAGCGGTTCCCCCTCGAGCTGGCAAGGGGACATTAAATGGGAGGTGAGGAAGTGCGGCCCCCAGCGGGCAGCTGCCTTTGCCCCGGCCCACCTGCGCCCCCGCCCACCTGTGCCCTCCGCCGCCTCCCTCTGCTTGGCTGTCCCAAGATGTCTCTCTCCACTGCCTAGGAACCCTGAGGCCGCGGCCAAGTTCTGAGCGTGTGACTGTGTGTGCTGGGCCCCAGGCCCCTTTGTCGCCGCGGCGTCTGTCGTGGCAAACAAAAGTGAACCGGATTAGCCACAGTGGATTAAAAGATTTACGTCTCAGAGTTTACCTAATAACCTAACAATCGTGTCAACGGGAGCTTTGAACCCCCAGGGCGCGCCTGCCAGGCCAACTGAGAGCTCAAGGCCTCTGTGGGCAGCAGGACGTGGTCGGGGGGAGGAGACGCAGCCACGGCTGTCCTCACACCCAGCTCGGCCCCTGCGGGCTCCTCTGGGCAGAACCTGGGGAAGGCACGGCCTCTAGCAGGAGGTGGAGGCCTTTGAAAGGGTGCAGGTGTTGGGACCAGGTACCCGGCCCAGGCCCCCAGCCGCGTCCACACACGTCGCACACGGCAGCAAGGACGCAAGCAGTGTGGAGGTGGCCGCGTCGGCGACGTATGGGCCCCGTGGTGCTGCGGTGCACGACCTCTGTGCTGTCACCCCACAGTGTCCGCTCCTGCACGTACACGCGTGCACGCGCACACACGTGCACACGCACACACACACAAGCACGCCCCGCTTTGATCTCTAAAGGAGAGTCCATTGACAAGCTCTTAATCGCAGCTGCCCTTGCAGGGCCTGTCCCTGAAGTCCCGAGTAATGGGATTTGGCGCTTCTGATCCATCGGGCTGGCCGCTTCCCGTGTCATAGGTGGACATTTTTTTTCTTTATATCGCTTCTGTTTCTTTTTTTTTTTTCTCCTCGAAAAAATGCTGCTTAAACGGCACCGACTTGACATGGCTTGTCTCCTAACCTTGGAGTGGCGGCCGGGACGCCGGCCTGGATCAGTCGGGGGTCTTTGATGCCGCCTCCATGTGAAACCTGACGTGGAAGACCCACCGGGGCGGTTTTGGGGTCCGAGGTCCGTCAGGATTCATCCTGCCTCACCCTGCTCCCTTTGTCTCTTCCCCTGACCCTTCCTCGGGACACCCGGAGAGGGTCTGAGGGTGAGGGTGCGGGCGCTGCGTGTGGGCTTGCACTCGAGGGTGGGGTGGGCCGAGGGCAGGGCCGCAGCCGCGAGAACAATGGGCAGAGGAGGCGCGTCCACCTGTCCGCCCGGCCGCCTGCCCGGCTTACCTCACCTGCCTGGCTCCGTGTGCCTGCTCACGCCCCACCGTCCCGCTGTCCGCCATGATGGGCTTGGCCGTCCGTCCGAGCACTTTCAGCCACTCTGGGAAGCAGGTCCCTGCTCTTGGCCACTGTGTGGCTGGGAGGCAGAAGCGTGACTCTGGGCTGCAGCTCGGGCTCCTGCCGCCGATTGGCTGAGGCAGGGACCAGATGACGGGCCTCAGAACCCTATGGTAGCCATGGCAACCAGCCCCTTTAGACACCGCCACCCCCGAGCCACTCCTGACTGCTGAGGGAGCAGGCGGCACTGCCCGTGGGCCCATGCCAGGGTCCCCTTGGAGGAACGAGGTGGGCATGGCTGCATGGTAGCTGTCCCCACAACAGCTGTTAAGCGTTTCCGTGTGTTTCATTCATGTCCAGTGTGTGGGGTCCTTGCCCCTCTCCTGGCCTGTCCGGGGCCACTCTGTGCCCTGCCTTACCCCCAGCAGAGGCAGAAGCACTGGCCTTGCAGCCCCTGCTGAGAGGAGGACTTCAGGTCAGGCTTGCCTCAGGGGCTGAAGGCCAGGCCCAGTCTGGTGGGAAAATAAAGGGTGGGAGCAGTGGAAGCGGGAGCAGGGAGAACTTCCCAGCCCCACTGGGCAGAGCCAAGCTCTCGCCCACCTCAGACGGCAAAGGCTGCCAGCTTTCTCTCCGCCCACAGTCCACTCCGCCACCCTCTCGTTAGCTGCGGCCTGTGGAATACGTGCACGTGCTCACACAGTCCCGTCTCACAAGCCCCCTGAGGCCCCTCCCGAGGCCTTGCTCCCTGGACCTTGGGTTCCCACTGGGCAGGACTCTGGGTCTTTGGCCACACTGAGGAGACCGTCTCGCCATCAGTCACACACCTGCGGCTGCACCCGCTCTCCCCTGGGCTGCAGTGCCCTCTTGCGTCCCAAGAACGCCTCTTCCCTCCAGGGCGCACCAGCATTGGCCCCTGGCAAAGCTTTCCCGTATGTCTGGAGACGAGGCTTCTCAACCGTCACCCGTGGACATCCTGGGCACTGCAGGGCACTGAGCATCCCCGGAACCACCCCCTGCCCCCAGCCCCGTGACAGCCAGAAACAGTGTTGGCTTGTCCACGCGCTCTGACAGCAGCACTGCCTGGCCAAGACCCCTTCGAAGGCTTCCCCTAAGCCCGGGAAGCTGAGTCCCACTTCCTGGCCCAGGCCCAGCACCCGATGAGCAGAATCTGGTGATGAACAGCTGCAGGACTGCAAGGAGCAAGCGAGAGCCTTGGGCTGCTGCAGCCCAGGGAGGCCACTACCAAGGCCATCAGAGGGACCCGGGATCCAGGGGAGCCTGGAGCATGGTCCATGGGGATCCACCTTCAAGAGAGCGACTTCGGGGCCAGTCCCAGGGAACCGGGCTTGGCATGGGCCTGGGCGCCGGGGGTCTCGGGCCGCGGCTGCTCCCCCAGGACTCTGGGCGCCGGGGGTCTCGGGCCGCGGCTGCTCCCCCAGGACTCTGGGCGCCGGGGGTCTCGGGCCGCGGCTGCTCCCCCAGGACTCTGGGCGCCGGGGGTCTCGGGCCGCGGCTGCTCCCCCAGGACTCTGGGTCCGGATCCAAGCTTCTTCGCACTGGCCTGGTTGTGAGCCGCCTGTCCCAGGATGGAACCCGGCCTTGAAGCCCTTCCCATGCCATGCTCAGAGCTACCAGCTTGTCTGGGGACAGGATGTGGGTAGGGACACCATCCCAGGACAGCAGGCAGTGGTTAGGGAGGATGGTCCAAGGCTGGAGCCCGCCTAGGGAGGGCTGCGGGGCGCTGCGGCAGAGGGAGCCAGGACCGCACGGGAGCCCAGGCTGCTGGGTGTGGCCATGTGGCCAGGGTTCCAGCTTGGGTGGCTGGTGGGTGTCAGAGGGACAGGGACTCAAGGGAGCCTGGGAGCCCCACACAATCCAGCCCGTGCCTGGGGCCAGCAGAGGGCTGGAGTTACAGACGGGCACTGGTGAGAGGGCGAGGGCGGCCAAGGACTGAAGGTGGAGGCGGAGCCCTAAGCAGGCCCGCGGGACACACAGTGGTCTCCCGGCAGCTCCCTTGGGCTCCCAGCACCCTGACGGGGGCACAGGACAGGAGCAGAGTTGCCAAGCGACCCAGAGGGCCCGCCCGCTCTCCATGCCCTTCCCTCCACTATCCTGCTGCTCTGTGCACCTGAGCAGGACTCAGGAAGCAGGCGAGACCCTTGGGGTCAGGGGTCAGACATGGACTTGTGACTGGGTGCCTCAGGCCAGCCTCACATCCACTCCACCCTACCCTTCCTGGCCTTGGCTTCCCCGTCTCTATGTGGAGTGATGGGGTCACTGACACCCCTTCCAGTCCTCCAGTTTTCTACCCCCAAGGGATCCCTGCCCATAGCCGTGAGGGTCCACCCCGGAGTCCACCCTCAGGTCCACAGCCCATTCTCTGCCCGACACCGCGGCTGACTGTTGTCATGGAAACACATGGCCTCTGCCAAGCCTGGGACACGCGTGGGGAACTCCTGGCCCCTGAGGGCTCCGAGAGGCTGGGGCTGGTGCAGGCCGGCCCAGGGCAGCTCTGCCTCCTGTGGGGTTGATCTTGCTCTGCACAGATCCCTCTCCCACTCCAGGTGCCTGAGGGTCTGCACGCCTCAGTGAGGGAGAACTGGCCGTTCTCAGAGACGGAGTCCAACACTTCAGGAAGGAGCCTGACAGGTGTGATTGGTGAGGATGGCAGAAGGAGGGTCTGGTGGCCCCAGCCCGGCCTGGCTCTGGAAGGGGTGGGGTGGGCATAGGGAGGGCAGGGAAGGGGTGGGGTGGGCGCGGGGAGGGCGGGGTGGGCGTGGGGAGGGCGGGGAGGGCGGGGAGGGGTGGCCAGCAGCCATTCCCAGGTTGGCTGCCCGGGCTCCCAGCTCAGTTCTCAGTTCCCCACACACATGTTGGAGCCGGTACAGTCCCTGGGACCCCTCCCCACAACCCAGAAGGCAGAATAGCATGCTGGATCCAGCTGCTGGGTCTGTCCCAGACCTGAGTCACGGTTTGGTCTTGAGGGATGGGTCCGGCATTTACGGAAGGCCTCTTACCTTTTTCTCAGTCAAGGACTTTTGTGGCCTCTGACCAGAAAGTTGTCAGGGCCCTGGCCACACCCAGACCCCACCTCAGTCTGGCCTGGCCTCCCCTGCGGGAGGACTAAACAGCCATGGGTTCCATCGAGGTGACTGGCAGAGGAGGTAACCTGCTGAGGCCAAATGCAGCTTCTCCCACTGGCCAGCTGGTAGCCTGGTCCCAAACCCACAACCCTGAGTCAACACAAGTCAGGACACACTGATAAGCACGTGCCACCATGGCCGACAGGGGGACCGAGGCCAGCGCCTACCAGCCCATTGCCAAGCCTGGCCCCTAACTTCTTGGGGCCCCCAGAGTCTGACCCAGGAAGCCCTACAGGCCTTGGCAGGAGCCCTGCTTACCGTGGGGCTTGGTTGGGGTGGGAAAGAGCAGGTGGTGAGTGAGGGGCAGCCACCGAGGCCTGAGTTGGGAGGTGCTGGACACACACACCATCAGGGAGTCAGGGGCAGGCCGAGGGGCTGGAGGGGGCTTGGCTTAAGTTCACAGCTGAACACGGGAACTGTGCAGGGCAGGGCGTGGCCACAACATCCCAACTCTGGCTAGAGCTGGGGCACGGAACAGCACTCATGCTGTGGGCAGCTGGGCTGAGCCTCATGGCCCCACAGAGCTGACTGAGCACTGTCTGTTTTTCATAAAGTGTTTTTTTTTTGAGACAGAGTTTTGCTCTTGTTGCCCAGGTGGAGTGCAATGGTGCAATCGTGGCTCACTGCAACCTCCACCTCCCGGGTTCAAGCAATTCGCCTGCTTCAGCCTCCCAAGTAGCTGGGATTACAGGTGTGCGCCACCACACCCGGCTAAATTTTTGTATTTAGTAGAGATGGGGGTTTCACTATGTTGTCCAGACTAGTCTTGAACTGCTAACCTCAGGTGATCTGCCTGCCTCAGCCTCCCAAAGTGCTGGGATTATAGGTGTAAGCCACAGTGCCCGGTATGATTTTTATTTATTTTTTTGAGACGGTGTCTCGCTCTGTCGCCCAGGCTAGAGTGCAGTGGTGCGATCTCCACTCACTGTAACCTCCACCTCCCGGGTTCATGCCATTCTCCTGCCTCAGCCTCCCGAGTAGCTGGGACTACAGGCACCTGCCACCATGCCCAGCTAACTTTTTTGTATTTTTAGTAGAGATGGGGTTTCACCGTGTTAGGTCTCGATTTCCTGACCTCGTGATCCGCCCGCCTCGGCCTCCCAAAATGCTGGGATTACAGGCGTGAGCCACTGCGCCCGGCCTTTTTTTTTTTCTTTTTGAGACAGAGTCTCGCTCTGTCACCCAAGCTGGAGTACAGTGGTGCAATCTCAGCTCACTGCAAGCTCTGCCTTCCAGGTTCAAGCGATTCTCCTCCCTCAGCCTCCCGTGTAGCTGAGATCACAGGCATGTGTCAACATGCCTAGCTAATTTTTTGTATTTTTAGTAGAGATGGGGTTTCACCGTGTTGGCCAGGATGGTCTCTATCTCCTGACCTCGTGATCCACCCGCCTCGGCCTCCCAAAGTGCTCGGATTACAGGTGTGAGCCACCGTGCCTGGCCTAAAATTTTTTTCAAGGTCGTTCACAGAGCAGGGGCATCACATGAAGGCACTGGTGTGGGGAGCAGCAGGACATGTCGGCAGAGGTGCCCGGTGTGGAAAGAGACCTCGGGGGCCCTCCCAGGGCTCTGAACCAGGCAGGTCCTGACCCCAGGGACCCCTTGCGGCCCCGGGAGCCACGTGCTCCCCTGCAGTCCAGCAGGGCCAACTGCAGACTCCCTCTGGACTCTGCCACAGCCCCCTTGGGAGCCAGGGGCCCCTCAATCAGCCAGCAGGCCCACGTCAGGCAGCTGCCTCCAGTTCACCCCATCCTGCCACCAGCTGGGGCTGGCTTAGGCTCAGGGGACATAAACCCCCCCTTGTCATTCTGCACATGCAGCTGGGGGAGCCCTCCCTCTGTGCTCCCTGGGAAAACCGAATGGGTCCGGAGGATCAGGATTTCCAGGTAAGGGTTGGGGGAGAGGGTCAGGTACCCCCAAAACCTCAGGGCGGGAAATGCCTTAGGGTGCACAGCCCGGCTTCCCGCTGGCCAAACCTCCACCCTGCAGGTCAGGTGGAGGTAGCAGGAGGGGACACCAAGGTCGCAGGTCCCCAAGTTCGTGTCGCCCCCACCTCCTCTACCACTCGCCACAACAGTGCTGACCAGGGAGAGGCTCCTGACTCAGGCAGCTGCACCAGCACGGCCCTCTGAGGGCCTGCCCCTCCTGGTTCCTTCCAGTACCTGCAGAGCCAGACCACAGCCTCCCTTGCCCTGCTCTGAAGAATGTTCGAGAAGGGCAGGAATGTGCAATGGAGAGGGAATGGGCATCATCCGGCTGCACCCCTGGATGCCCCCAGCTACACCAGACCCTCTACCAGAGGAAAGAAAGACACAGAATACGGCCAGGGGAGGTGGCTCACGCCTGTAATCCCAACACTTTGGCAGGTTGAGGCAGGTGGGTCACCTGAGGTCAGGAGTTCAAGCCCAGCCTGGCCAACATGGTGAAACCCCTTCTCTACTAAAATACAATTAGCCATACATGATAGCGGGGTGCCTGTAATCCCAGCTACTCAGGAGGCTGAGACAGGACAATCACTTGAACTCTGGAGGTGGAGGTTGTAGTGAGTCCAGATCGTGCCACTGCACTCCAGCCTGGGTGACTGAGCAAGACTCCGTCTCAAAAAAAGAAAAGAAAAAAAAACACAAAACACAGAATTGAACCTCGCTCTCTGCAGCTCACCGGGGGACGGGCACAGCCAGAGTCAATGCCCACGGCTCATCCGAGGTCTCAGGGGCAGCAAGGGCAGGGGTGACAGGATCAGGATCCCCAAAGAGAACACCAGTCCTCAAAGCAAAGATACACACACACAGCCTGGCCCAGACTTTACTCGCTCCCGGCCCCACGGGCACAAGGAACACTGCCGCAAACGTCGGGGCCCAGCCTGAGAGGAGCCTCTGGGCGGCCCAGGCCTCCTGGGGATCCCTGCCAAGCTGGCCCCGGGCTGGAAGGTGCATGGGCAGCACACGAAACCAGGATCCACCCACTGCCCACCGGTGGCCCTCACAGCTCCCCGGGATCTGTGTCCTCAGTGCAAAGGGCCTGGCAGGGAAAGCTGGGCCTGTTGGTCAGGCATGGAGGAGCTGTGTGGTCACTGGCCACTGGCTCTCTTCTGCACCACCGCCGGCTCTGACAGTGCCTGCTGCTGCAGCTGCTGGATCAGCTCCGCCACATAGATCTTGAACAGGGGTACAGGGTCCTGAAGGAGAGAGGGGCTCATGGTGAGGCCAGGGAAGCCCAGGGCAGCTGGAGTTCCGACGGGGATGGGATCAGCAGCTGCCGCCCAGAGGAACCGGGGCATGAGAGGCCCTGGAGGGCAGAGTCCTGTCGGTGAGATGAGGAACCCCCTCCCTTGGGGATGCCGGAGGCACACACATACCCCTGTCCCATCCCTGTGGTCATGGATAAACAGAGGGAATAGGGGCAGCCAGCTGCCATGCCATCAGGGGCTCCCTGTCCTGACAGCTACCTCAGGCTCCAGACCCTGGGATGCTGGTGGCCGAGCAAACCCTCAGTGCAGGAACCCACTCCTCCTACTGAGGGTCCTGGGACAGAACAGGGTGGGGACTTGGAGGGGAGGGAGCGGGCCATGCTCCTCTGGGTGGGCAATGCAGAGCAGCAGCTCTTCCCCAAGCCCACCCAGTGCACCAGCCCCTTGTGCAGGCTCTCTCCAAGGCAGCACACTCCCAGACCCTGAACACCAGGCTCTGGGCAGGCAGCATCGGCTGGTGCTCACACACTCACCTTCTCCTCCAAAAGTCTCTGCTTCTCAATGGCCTCCTCCAGCGTGAGGCCCACCCACTCTGCCTCCTCCTCTGGGATGGCAAATTCCTAGGCAGGCAGAGATGGAAAGGGCAGTGAGGCCCAGGGCCGGGCCACGAGTCCCCAGGTGTAGGGAGCGGGACGGAAACCCTCACCTTGTACTTGTCGTAGATGGCTGCCCGCCGCTCGGGGTCCTCGGGGTGCAGCTGGGGGTCCTGCCGGGCAAGCCGCAGCAGCATCCCTCGCTTCAGGTCCATCCCAAACTTGGAGCACAGGTCCTCCTTCGGGGTCTGGCAGAAGGCTCACATGGGGCCAGGTGCTGGTGGCAGGGCCCCACCTACCCTTCCAGCCAACCCACCTGGCTCCTCTCTAGCCGCTGGTGGTCCCAGGACAGGACAGAGAAGGCCCGGGTGGGGCCGCCTCAGCACCCCAGCCTGGGGGGTGGGATCAGCACAGAAGCAAGTCCAAGTGCAGGGAAAGGGGCGGCTGTGCTCGCTCAGGCCCCACGGGCAAGTCAGCCACCCACAGAGCGACAGCCTCTCCTGAAGGCAGGAAACCCCACTGGTGCTGGCCAGAAAGGGGCATGGCCCCACTCACGCTTTCCCAGTGACCCTCCTGTGCAGATGTCAGCGTGCCCCGGTGTGATGCTGACCTGGGGCTCCCGTGAGTCTGACTGGCCCATCCCAGACCCTGTGTGCACTGACTCGCCCCACCCCGCTTGCCTTGAGGATGTAAAAGTCGAGCCCATAAGCCTCATCGATGAGGTCCAGGGTCCGCATGGTCACAGTCACTGTGAACTTCTTGTCCAGGATCTCACTGTAGAACTCTCGCTCAAACAGCTGTGGCTTCCACACTTTCTTCAGCCTCTTGGAGAGCTGAGGGTGCAACAGAGCCTCCATGAGTACTGCTGCTTTCTCTTACATACCAAGGGGGGCCCAGGCAACTGCCCTCACCTCCCCCCCGGAGGCTCCATCACAGAACCACTGCTGTCAGACTGGGGACCTAGAGCTAACTGGGCCGGCCCCCAGCCCAGTGCCGCCCCAGCCCGACCCGGGTCCTGACTGTGTACCCAGAAGTCAGCTGCTCCCCAACAAGCTGGGCGTTCCCGCCCTGGTCACATGGTTGCTGCATGTGTTTCAGAAACATGTGCGACCCCACAGTTTACAGGTTGTCACATTCCAACCTGGAGGTGACACAAGTCTCCCCACAGGCTTCAGCAGTCCCGCCAGGAAGTCCACCACAAGCAGCCTCGAAGCTCTGCTCGCCTCCCCCACCTGCTCTGCTCGCCTCTCCCACCTGCTCTGCTCATCACACAGGCCTCCTCCCCATCCTAACTTTACCCCGACTCCCCACGGCCTCTGGTTGCTCCCCCGGCCTGAGTCACCCCACCTCACCCCTACTTTATCAGTCCTGTTTGCCAGAACTGCGGTTCTTCACTCAGCGTGCTCCTTTGCCGGAGATGTGTCGCCTCCAGGCTGTAATCCCCAGGGCCCACCCAGGTCTCTCCAGGTACCCCGGGCGTCCGGCACAGAGCCGGCACAGCCAAGCCCTGAGAGGAGCCCCTGAAGGCCGCCTGCGGACCCACCTTGTCGTTGTTGGCATATATTTGGCCCAGGATCCAGCCCTCGCCGCCCCACAACCCCCGCTGGGATTCGGGGGGAAAGTAGATGGGAATGGGCACGTCCTCCACACGCTCCCGCTGCCCGTTCTTGGGGTTGATCTTGAACTTGGCCCCATGAGGCCTATAGTGCACGGGAGTGGGCGTCCGCTCCTCCTCCAGGGAGCGCAGGTAGTGGCCGGGCAGGCGGGAACAGATGCCCTCCCGCAGCTGCAGCCGCTTCCAGAGCCACACGGGATACTTGTGTAGAGGCATCGCGAGCCTGGCGGGAGGTGGGGGCTCGCAGTCAGTCGCAGCCTGGCCAGGCCCCCGGCACTCACCCCCTACCCCGGCCCCCGACTCTCACCCGCTACCCCGGCCCCCGGCTCTCACCCGCTACCCCGGCCCCCGGCTCTCACCCGCTACCCCGGCCCCCGGCTCTCACCCGCTACCCCCTACCCCGGCCCCCGGTTCTCACTCCGGCCCCTGTCCCGCACCCACCTGCCCCTCCCCTTCTGCCCCGGCGCCCCCCCACACCCCACCTGCCCGCGCCCACCTTTCAGGGTTCAGAGCCCACCGGAACCGGAAGCCGATCTGCCGCGCCTGGCCCTCCTCCCACCGCTGACTGGCTGTAAAAGCCATCCGTCTACCCCCTCGTCCCGCCCCGCTTCCGTCTTTAGGGACCGTAAAAAACACCCCACATACAGCAGCAGCAGCTCAAGGCACCGTTAGCTACGTGCGGCCCCGGCGTTTCCGCGAAGGGCGGCACGGGCGGGGCGGTGCTTGTTCTCCCGGGCCCCACTTACCCTACCCGGGAAGGAGCACAGAAAAAATGTAAAAACTCGTTTAGTTTGAAAAATCAATGTAGAATATTAAATTCACCAAACACAGATAGATCAGATCTACATAAAAATATGTCTTAATATCTTAGAATTTTCCTTTACTCCAAAAAACCCCATATATATATGTTTCTCCTTTATAAGCTTAGAGATTGCTTTGGTGGTCAAGTGCAGGGCGGCTGGGGGAGGTAAGACCTTCAGGAAGGCCATATCCCGGACAAGACCCAGAAGGGAAGCCCCCAGAGCCAAGGGTAGGAGGGCCCCACCCGGGTCTCAGCCACTCACTTCTCCAGGGCGGATCCGAGACACTCACAGGCCTCAGGGAGGGGCCAGGTGCTGCTCCTGGTCATTGCTTCCCCCACAAGGTTTGCATGAGGAGCAGAGACAGTCCAGTCTCCTGAACACCCACAGGGCACAGAGCCCAGTGCAGGGGGCAGACACCACCGCAGCTCCTGGGACCAAGAGGAAGCTCCCAGAGGGGGGCCCAGGAACGCTGGGGTGGGTGGACAGGGCTGGGTAGGGGTTCCTTCTGGGCCAAACCCCCAGAGCAGCAGAGCACCCCAGTCCAAGGAAGCTCTTCTCAGGGACCCAAGGCTCCAGAGCCAGGAAAAAGGGAGGGGCGGGGCGGGAGCCTGCATCCCCAGTGCCCATCAGCTCTGGGGGAAACCTCCGTCTCCCGTCCCTATGGTGACCACAGCAGCAGAGGGGGATCCTCCATGCCCCAGGCAGGCTGGCATCAGGGCCACACAGGGGCCAGGAGCAGGGGTCTCGGAGTCCACAGCTCCCGGCCCCAGTGGTGGGCTCAGGGCTCCTGGGCGCCATGGGTCTCACCACAGCCTCGCCAGGGAACAGGACCATAGGGAGTCCTTCTCCCCATCTCTAGCCACCCACAGGCCAGCAGAGCACACAGCCCCACCCTCGCACAGGCACCTGTGGTCTCCAAGTAACCAAGCCCAGGCCCCAGGGGCCACTGCAGACAGCAGCTGGGATCTGCAGAGGGATCTCAGCAGCGAGCAGGCAGCTGGCGAGGAGAGGTGCGTGTGAGGGAGGGGTGGCCCTCTCCTCAGTAGGAGGAAGTAAGAGGGTATCTAGGCCAATTTATTCAGCTGGAAATCAATCTGTCCAGGGCTGGACCAGGCGCCTCCCCCTCGATACAGCTCCTGGCTGAAGAGGTCATCAGAGCAGCAGCTGTCCCCAGGCCAGTGTCACGTCACTGCGTACAGTTCCTCCCGATCGTTCTTGCAGATCTGATAGTGGCAGGGGAATTTCTGCGAGCAGGCCCAGGGCTCGGCGGGCTGGTCAGGTGGCGGCAGCAGCAAGGCTGCGCTCCCGGCCAGCAGGATGTGCCAGATGCTGTGGGTGTAGTAGTAGTTGTCGCTAGTCATCATGGAGGTGTAGATGGCGATGCCCACAGAGGCCATAGAGACGCCGGGCAGGAGGTAGAAGGCCCAGCGCTGCCACGAGGTGGGGTAGCACTGGCGCCGGTGCCCGCAGCGGTAAGCCTGGAGAAAACAGCCACGCAGGTATCAGTGCAGGTGGGGCCGCGGCTGCAGCTCCCAGGGCCCAGATACGGTGGTTACTGGGGGCCTGCCCAGGTCTGGGCAGCAGAACGACAAGGGTGGGCTGCTTCGAGGGGGCTCAAGGCCACTGGTCCTCAGGCCCAGGCCTCAGGGACACAGCCATGCTGGGCCTCTGTGGGTGCCATGGCAACCCCCAGCAGATATGGGCATTCACTGGTTGGAGCAGGACCAGGAACGTGGCTAGAGCAAGGGGCCAGGCTCTCTTCTCCGAGCACCTGGGCAGCAGTGCCAGCCAGCCCGGCTCCTTACCCACATGGAGGCCATGATCACGAAGGCAAAGAGGCAGGGCCCCAGCATGTTCCACATGCCCCTGCGGTCCAGCTGCAAGGACATGGCGATGACCAGTGTACCCAGAAGAAACAGCACCTGCGCAAGACACAGGGATGACTGCAGGGACGTCTCTGAGGGCTCAAGGCCCAGCAGGAGCACGCGTACCCCACGGCCCCACAGCACCTCTGCCTGCCCCCTCGGAGCTGCTGCCACCCTCAGACCAGCTCTGCCAGCCTCTGACTAGCTCTGCCAGCCGGCAGGGACATGCCCCTCCTTCAGCTTCTGTATTGCATCCACAGGTGAATGTGGCCAGGCAGGCATCTCTGGGGGATTAGACGATGCTCACACAAACTGGACAGACGCATATGGCCGCTCTGCACCCACACACTCACTAGCCCCCTGTACCACTGGGTTTCTAGAAGTCCCCCATCAGGGTGGCTTCAGTCTCCCACCCACTGTTCCATGGGGAGGGGCTCCCACCCCCCAGTCTCCATCAGACACCTCTGCCCACAGCCTACAGTTCTCTGCCTATCTGCAGGTTCAGGCCCCGCACTCAGCCCTGCAGGACCCTGGTGCTTCCCAGCCTCCCCTCTGCCCTGGCTGTGGGGCTCCCATGGGCACCCCCTTGGGGCAGTACCCAGCCTGCAGTTCCCAGAGCAGATGGGAGGGCAGAGCATGCAGCTCACAAGCCCAGGGCATGAGTCTCCCCTTGCCAGGGCCAGCTGCCACAGAGAGTCCCCAAAGCATCATTGGCCCCAAGGACCCAGGGAGCATGGGTGGGGGCTTCTCGAAGGCAGGGGGCCTGGCCTCCCCTGCCTACCACCTTCCTTCCTGGCATCCTCCAAACAGCTGGCACTGCCCCCTCACAACTGCCTGCGGGGTCTCAGACCCGCATCTCCGTGTGGCATCACAGAAGACATGAGGTTTCTTTTCTTTTCTTTTGTCACCCAGGCTGGAGTGCAGTGCTGTGACCTCGGCTCACTCCAACGCCTCCAATGCCTGGGATCAAGCGATCCTCCCACCTTAGTCTCCCGAGTGGCTGGGACCACAGGCATGTACCACTACGCTCGGCTAACTTTTCGATTTTTTGTACAGCCCAGGCTGCTCTTGAACCCCTGGCCTCATGGGATCCTCCTGCAAGTGTTGGGATTACAGGTGTGAGCCACCATGCTCGGCCAAGGCATTACAGGTGTGAGCCACCATGCTCGGCCTAGGGATTACAGGTGTGAGCCACCATGCTCGGCCGAGATGTGAGGTTTCCAGGGGCCGTGCCCAACGCCAGGTCCGGCCTCTCCCACGGTACTGCCTTTCGCAGGCTGCACTTGGGGGCCCTGCTCCCCCGGAGCCCACACCCCACGTCGAGGGCCACTCACGTATTTCAGGACTGTCTTGAGCCGTGCCATGCACAGGATGGTGACCCAGATGGCCGCCCCGGAGCCCAAGAAGTCGCAGTACTGCAGCGTGTCGTAGCTGAGGATGCACAGCACCGCCTCCCCGGGCTGGTCGCAGGCGTGGTAGAACTGTGGGGAGGCTCCATGAGCGCGGTCCTGCCCTCCCACCCCACATCCCTGCAGGAGGGGCCAGCCTACCGTGGAGAAGAACATGGTGTAGGCGTAGACGGAGGCCTCCACCAGGAAGAATCGCCGCACTGAGACGGCGATGGGGGCCAGGAACATGAGGTTGCTGAGCGTGAGCAGCAGTGTGGCCGCCCTCTGCTGGGCCACCGTCTGGGCTGTGCTGTTGTCCGTGCAGCTCCACCCACGCCAGCCTGCGGTCACAAAACCCCGACGCGGAGGCTGGGGGCACTGCTGAACCTCAGGGCCCACCCCTCACCCAGGACCCTGCAGAGAAGCCCCTTCCTCACCCAGGAGCAAGCAGGGTAGGCACGGCGGGCGGGGTCCAAGGTCAGGAGGCAGTACCACCCCCCGGGGATACCTGGTGCCTGTGCCAGGCAGACGGATTGTTGGTGGGGAATGGGGGAGTGGGGAGGAGGCTTTGCCCCTGCATTGCTCTGCAAGGGTCTCTCTCCAGCCCCTTGCGGCGCTCCCCCAGGGGAAAGGCACAGCACAGCACTGGAAGCCAACAGCAGCAGCGTCTCGGGGCGGGCGGGGCCCTGGCACTCACCTGCCTTGCAGCTGCAGCTGGCATACAGGTAGCTGTGTCTGCGGAGCAGGAGGCACTGGCCATAGGGTCCACAATCGTTCAAACAGGGCACCAGGTACAAGGTGGTCTCCACGTGGACCACAGCCTGCTCACAGTCCCTTTGAGGAAGGGGCCACAGGAAAGCTGGTGCAGTGATCTGACAGCCCAGCTGCCACCAGCGCTCCCAACAGGCTGACAGACATGAGAACGCAGCATTAGGGCCCCCAGCTTTCAGCAGCCCTGGAGGAAGCACCCCTCTAGCTGGGTCACTCCGAACGCCAACCTCAGGCAGCCCGGCCTGTGGTCCTGAGTGAAATGACAGGGTGCCTGGCCCCCGTCTCTGCCCTAGGTTTACTTACTCAGCATTCTCAGGGCACATGAGCTGCAGGGAGAGGTACCAGTTGTCTGTCTCTGGGTAGGGGATGATGAGGTTGGCCCTGCGAGACCAGGCGCTCAGAGACAAAGGGTAGCCCTGGAAGAAGGCTGCAGGGGAGCCAGAGGGCCCCATCAGAGGAGGCCGGGGCGGGGGGCTGGCCGGGGCCACGCTGACGGTGACGCCTGCCCATCATACCTGTGGTGCAGTTGAGCGAAGTATTGAAGCCAAGGAAGGGCGAGGCAGCATTCACGCAGGCCACTACGACGGTCTCGTTCCGCATCTCTGTCTGGAAAGGGAGGCGGTGCCGGCTCAGCTCCAGCAGCCCCTGGCCGCAGTGGGGTCATCTGCCCCACGTGCCAGCTCAGCCTGGTGCTGGTGCCTTTCTTTTTTTTTTTTTTTCTGAGATGGAGTCTTGCTCTGTCGCCCAGGCTGGAGGGCAGTGCCGCGATCTCGGCTCACTGCAACCTCCGCCCCTGGGTTCATGCCATTCTCCCGCCTCAGCCTCCCGAGTAGCTGGGACTACAGGCGCCCGCCACCACGCCCGGCTAATTTTTGTATTTTCAGTAGAGACGGGGTTTCACCGTGTTAGCCAGGATGGTCCCAATCTCCTGACCTCGTGATCCACCCTCCTCGGCCTCCCAAAGTGCTGGGATTACAGGCGTGAGCCACCGCGCCCGGCCGGTGCTGGTGCCTTTCTCTGAGACTCCTGCAGGCCCACGGTGCACCGGGACCTTCCTCCCCGGGCCCTGGGACATCCTGCCTCCACCCCACCTCTGACCCGAGCTACCCCACAGCCCCGGGGCCTGTTGACAGGAACAAGGCTGCCCAGCAGGGGAGGCCCCCCAACATGGGCCCCTGTCTTGGCCCGTGCCTGCTGGTGTCACTGTGCCGCCTGTCCCGTGCCAAGGTAAATGAGGAGGCGCTGCAGGGGTTGCCCGGCGCCCTGCCCGAGCCCAGGCCACAGGCCGCTTGCAGACAGCAGGTACCTTGTTGGCCCGCAGGGAGATGGTGAGGGAACCCCCGCTGTCCATGCCGGTGTTCAGGCGCAGCCGCATCACGGAGGGCGTGTCCGAACACACCCTCACCGAGACCCTGTCCAGGGGCTGGAAGTGCACCGACACCACGTCCATGTCCTCCCGCGTGACTGGGTAGTTTGTGAGGCAGAAGGGGCTGCGGTCCACCCTGCCACTCCTGCCCAGGTCCTGGTGGTCGGGGCTCGGGGACAGCAGACCAGAGGAGGCATTGAAGCTCTGGTTTTGGCTGCTCTGCAGAAGGGGCTGGATGGTCACGCTCCGTGGCCTGCAAGCTGCCGAGAGGACAAGGGGTTTGGCTGGAGGAAAGTCTGGGGATCTGGGGAGGGGCAGGGCCATCCCTCCAGCCCTTGTGCGGCCCACCTGTGAGGGCAGCTACAGCACTGAAAGCCACTGTCCCGAGGGGCCCCACCAGGCTCTCAGCTGTCACTTGCAGCCACCGGTCCCAGGGCGGTGAGGGCAGCAGCAGGCGGCAGGGCCAGGGGGCACCGGTGCAGGTGAGCACCTTCTGGAAGTTGCTAGGCAGGGTGACCGGGCCCACGGTGAGACGCACGGGGCAGCCCAGGCTCCCATTGGACACGCAGTCCCGCAGCTCCAGCAGAAGCTCCCGCGTGTAATCGGGGACAAAGACCCTGCAGCGAGGGGACACAGCTGGCTCAGGCTCTGCCATTCCTCAGCCCAGGGACGCAGCGTGCCCAGGCTCTGCTGTTCCTCAGCCCACTCTGGTGGGGGCCAGGCATCTGGACCACTTCCCAGCCCAACCCCAGGACTCAGGGCCAGGCTCTCGCACCCACTCCACCGAATCTGAGAAGGGGCCGGAGGGCAGAGCCGGGCTGCCCCCCAGGCCCCCGCTCACTTGAGGTAGCTGGGATGGGAGAGGAGGGTCTGAGGAAGGGGCACGTCCGGCTCCATGATGGAAATCTCGACCACCCGCGTGACCAGCAGTTCAGGCTGGAAGACGTAGGCACAGGTGGGAGCCAAGCCCTAGGGAAAGAACAGGTGTGGGCGGGGGCGGTGTCAGAGAATGCAGGTGTGAGGGCATGGTCTCACCAGACGCCCCCGGCATGCAGGGAGCAGGGCTGGCCCCAGAGTGCAGCGTGGAGCCTAGAGCGAGGACCACCCCAAAGAGGTGAACGGCAGGGACAGGCCATCGCCGCAAGGTTCTCTGCCTCCATCCCGGAGGGCAGCCCCCCTCACCTTCAACTCGATCTTCTGGGATGAGGGGGGCAGGTGGGCGGCCACGAACCAGTCCCCGGGGGCCGGGTGGGAAACGTTGACGGAGGCATTGCTTCTCGGTGTGGTGCTCAGCGGCACCCCGACCTGGAAGGAGGGCTGTACCGCGGTGTCGTCCGGGAAGCTGGTGCCCAGCGGGTTGATGACCGGAGGGGCGCCGGAACGGAAGTGCCTGGAGACGGGAGAGCAGCACCGGGTTCAGGCACAGGGCTTGGCCAGGCGCGGGAGGGTGGGCAGGCGGGCGGGCAGCCACCTACACGGTGATCTCCGCGTCGGTGCAGGCAGCGCCGCTCTCCCGGGAGACCTGCAGGAGCCAGCGTAGAAGCACAGCATCTGGGGGCACGCGGAAGCGGAAGAGCCTGGCACTGCCGTACCAGCTGTAGAAGGACAGCCTCTGCGGGGCCTGCGAGAAGTGCTCGGACACCAGCCCCACCTCTGTGAGGAGAAGGAGGTGTCAGCCAGGCCGGGACCCTCCTCCAGGGCCGCAGATGGGGAGGACGAGTCCCCCAGATGGAAAGGGCTGGAAGCCCCCGGGGACCCACCTGGAGATCTTGGCACACCAACTCTGACCTTGGCAAAGGTCACCGACACCCTCTGGCCCCTCAGCCAGATCCTCTGCTGTCCCTCCCCAGATGGCCTACATCCCACCCTCCTGGCATCTGGGTCTTTTCACAGCTGCCGCCTCACTGCAGCAGCTTCCAAACAAGCCGCAGGGTACCTCAGCAGCCATCGCCACCCTGACTGCCATCGCCACCCGCACTGCCATCCCCACCCGCACTGCCATCGCCACCCTGACTGCCATCGCCACCCTGACTGCCATCGCCACCCGCACTGCCATCCCCACCCGCACTGCCATCCCCACCCACACTGCCATCGCCACCCGCACTGCCATCGCCACCCGCACTGCCATCGCCACCCGCACTGCCATCGCCACTCTGACTGCCATCCCCACCCGCACTGCCATCGCCACCCTGACTGCCATCGCCACCCGCACTGCCATCGCCACCCACACTGCCATCCCCACCCGCACTGCCATCGCCACCCACACTGCCATCGCCACCCGCACTGCCATCGCCACTCTGACTGCCATCCCCACCCGCACTGCCACCCGGACCCCCTCCAACCTTAGAAGACTACACTCCCCATGGCCAACCCAGGTCGAAGCCGAAGGACCCAGCAGGTGTCAGGAAGGAGCCCCCGCCCCTCATCACAGATGCCCTGGATATCAAGGCACGGTCCTCCCACCTCCTCTCAGCCTCCCACATCTCCATCCCTGGATGGGTTGGCTGCCTGCTTGGGCTATGATGACTTTGGACACGGCGAGACCGGAGCCCAAATTCCCCTTACCCAGAGGGAGATACTGCATGTGGGAGGGACCCAGGCCAGAAGCCTGGCCAGTCATGAGAACAAGGGGACAGCTGCCCTCTGCGTTCCAAGCGGGCAAGGCTCCTAACTGTCCTCAGGGAACGCACCCACGCCTGGTGCGGGGATGGAGAAGGGCCCGTGGGAGACATCCTGCTCATGGCCCCAGGCGAGGACTCAGGCTCTCACCCCCAGCCCCCCGTGCCAGCTCCAGCCTCGTGCCCTTGCGACCTTGGGCATCCTTCCCTCCCTGGGTCCCAGCCTTCTCCTGGGTAGGTCAGGGCGGAGGGCACATCCCTTTGGGGGCCCCTCCCTCCGAGGTTAATTAACGACAAAGGCTTCAGAAGGAAAAGCACAGTGGACACAGCAGGGGGCGGGACCCTCCCCTCTGCTGCAGCTCCCCCTCCCCACACACTCAGGAGCGCTGCCTAGGTCTCACTGGAGAGTGGCTGGCTCAGGCCCAGGCCCCTCCTGAGGAGGGAGACAGGTGAGCAGCAGGCTCTCCTGCCAGCCTCGTGACCCTCCCATAGAGGCACCAGAAGAAACGATACACCTGCCAATAGCAGCCTGTCGGCAAATCCAGGCCAAGCTCCAGGGGAACCTGGCGTGGCGACTGGGCAGGGGCTGGCCAGGCTCCACCCACGACGCACTCCAGGCTTTCCAGGTGTCTGCTGGCCACCAGGTCCCACCCACCAGGCTGTGGCCTGATAATGTGGGCAGAGAAAGCTCAAGTGCTGGGAGCTGAAGCAGGACAGCCCCCCAGGACCACGGTGTCCCGGAGAAAGCCGGCCTCTGCGGGGGCAGGCAGGGGAGGCCACCTGCAGCACACACAGCCCCTGGGCTGCTGGGGCAAAGCCCTCAGCCCCTCTGGCCCTGGAGCGCCAGCCTGAGGGCACCTAGAACCCAGCTGGTGGCTGTGAAGTTTCAGCAGGTACACAGAGATAAGAGATCTGTTCAAGGTTGTCCTAACACCCAGTCCCCGACTCCCAGGGCTCACAGCCCCTCCAGGCCTCTCCCAGGGCTCTGCAGCCCAAGCTCCCTGCCCAAGTTGCCCACACATACCAGGCTGTTAGGGGTGCTCTGAGCCGAGGTGACCACAGGGTGAGGAGGGCCAGCTACACAGCCCCCTGCCTGCCCCACAGCCCCTCCACGGACACAGGGCTGGGTGGGGAAGGTGGTAATGCAAGTCCCTGGCCCTGTCCTGGGAACCTGAGTGAAGACCCCAGACCCACGTCCTCCAAACCGGGACAGGCACCCATGGGAGACCCTGACCACCCACAACGCCACAGAGCACTTACTCCTCGGCAGGCTGGGAGGAGTGAGGGGCTGAGCCAGCACACCAGGCCTCTCCACTGTCCACACACAGGGGTTCCATCTCCCAGGAACCCCTCACCAGGCCTGAGTTCTGGGACAGGAGAATTTCCTTTGCCAGTTTCCAACGGAGTAAGGTTTTGGTATTTCTGAGGGTCTCACTCTGTCACCCAGGCTAGAGTGCAGTGCCATGAACACGGCTCACCGCAGCCTCAGCTTCCTATGTAACTGGAACCGCAGGCTTACATTACCACACCCAGGTTATTTTTTTTTCTTTCTGTCTTTCTTTTTTTTTTTTGAGATGGAGTCTCGCTCTGTTGTCCAGGCTGGAGTGCAATGGAGCGACTTCGGCTCACCGCAACCTCTGCCTCCCGGGTTCAAGCGATTCTCCTGCCTCAGCCTCCCGAGTGGCTGGGATTACAGGCATGCGCCACCACTGCCGGCTAATTTTGTATTCTTAGTAGAGAAGGGGGTTTCTCCATGTTGGTCAGGCTGGTCTCGAACTCCTGACCTCAGGTGATCCACCCGCCTCAGCCTCCCAAAGTGCGGGATTGCAGGCGTGAGCTTCGCGCCTGGCCATGGAGCAATTTAATCCGGGGCACGGTCCTCGGGGAAAACTGCCTTTCATCTCTACCTGTGCCAAGCTCAGAAAGCAGGAGGCACAGCCCCCGAAAGAAACAGGAGCTCAAAGGAGCATTATTTCAGGGGCAGGGGAGGGGAGGGGCTGGGGGCCGGGAAGTCGGGGAACAGCACCGCATCAGCTGCCGGGCACCTGGGCACCCGCGTGGCTGGGGACGTGTGGGAACTTCCAGCCGGCCAGAAAGGACACGGCCCCTCCAGAGTCCCAGGCCACAGAGGCCGGGGCAAGTCCTCACCATCTCAGGGTGGCCAAGGCCTGACGGTCTCCACACCCACGTCCCTACCCCGTGGAAGGGCTACGCCTTCTCCCTGGTCCAGCCGCCTCCTTGGACCTCAGTCAGGGACGGGGACCCTCAGGGAACAGAAATGCAAAGGGAGCCCGGCGAGTTTCCCAACAAGAGGGGAGAGGGGCGCCCTTTCCTCAGCCCCTCTTCCGCCAGCTGGGAGTCCCTCCTCCCAGAAGCCGGGCCGGCGGCAGGAAGCGGCCGTACCAGGGCTGGGGGTCACTGCGGAAGGGCTGGAGCCATGACGCCCACGGGCCCCCGCTACAGGGTCTAACAACTTTCTCCCGGCTCTGCCCCTCTCTCAGGCCGGACCCGGCCGGTGAGCTCACGGCCCAGCCACTCCTCCCAGCTGGAGTCCCGGGCAGAGTCCCCTGGGCCCCTCCACTTCCCCGCGCCGGGCGCGCCGGACCTGGGCGCTCTGGGAGGAGGAGGGAGGGGAGGGGGCGCTCCAGGGGCCGATGTGGCCCAACCCCGATCGGGGGACCGAGGAGGAAGCGCGGGGTCCCGTCCGCCTCGACCCCTAGGACACGAAGCGCCCCAAAGGGCCACTGTGCACCCCCAACCCGCGGCGGGGACCCCCAACCCCGCGCCGGCGCCAGATGAGCGCACAGGTGCGCCCGGGGTGTCACAATCCCGCCCCGCCCGCAGCCCCGGCCCCACGCCCCCGATGGCGCCCGCGCCTCCCGCTCACCGCTCTTCCCGCTGTAGCCGGCGGAGGCAGGCGGGGGCCGGGCAAGCAGCAGCAGCAGCAGCGGCCCCGCCACCACCGCGGCCACCGCCTCGCCCCCGGTCCCGGTGCCAGCCCGGCCCATGGCTCCGCGCTCGGCCCGGCGCTACCCGGCCCGCGTCCCGCGCCGCCGGCCCCCGCCGCCGCCCGGGCAGCCTCTGCCGCCTCCGCCTCTGCCGCCTCCGCCTCTGCCCCCGGCGCCCATGGCCCGGCCGGTCCCCGCCGCCGTCGCCCCGGGCACTTCCGCCCGCAGGCCCCGCCCCGCAGGCCGAGCCGGGAAGGCGAGGGCGGGGTCGGGGGGCGGGACCGGGGGGGGCGCGGACGCCGGGGGGAGGGGTCACGTGGGGCGCCGGTAGGGGGGAGGGGTCACGTGGGGCGCGCGGGGGACGGACCGGGGCGCGCGCGGTCCGGGGGGACGCTGGAGGGAGGGCGCGGGATGGAGGGATCGCGGGGGTCCCAGGACGGAGAGGTCGCGCCGGGCGCGCTCGGAACACGCAGGAAATTCTCCCCGAGGCGTGGGCTCCGCGGGGCTTCCCCGCCGGTTCGCTGAGTCCCAGCTCCGCTCGGCCGGGACCTCCGTGGCAGGCTCGGGGAGCCCGCGGGGGGCAGAGGCGCCGACCTCCGCCTGGGACCGAGAGGAACCCGCGCCCTGCCCTGCCCCGCCCGGCGCGCGTGGGCCTGAGTCAGGCGCCTCAGCACGGGGACCCCCGGGCCGGCCTTCACGCCGCAGAGCCGCTGCAGGTGCGTGTCAGATCCACGCTTTTATGCACAGACGAGAAGGCTGCTTGTGTTTAGGGACTGTAGTACCCGATCGGGGTGGCGGTTCACACGGGTGCGTGGCATCAACTCCCGGCGCTTTGCACCTGGATGGATTCCCACCATGTAAGATTTGAGCCGAAAAAAGGAAGCGATAAAGCCTAGAAAACTCGGGGAAGCTTTTTCCGTCTTAGGGCCAAGTCGGCTTTTCCAAGCGTGGCACAGAGTCCAGAAGTTCCGCCGCGTCGTGGGTGGGAGGGGGGTGGGGGCGTCTGCAAAGCCAAACTGCATAAGCGAAGTCCAAAAGACGAGCCCCCGACTGGGAGGTGGGGGACACAGCTTGCAGCTCACACCGCAGAGCTCACCTTAATAAGACTAGTAACAGTGCAGTAATAAACAGCTCTAAATCAATCACAGAAACGCTCCCCTAGAAAATACTGAAGGACAGCTGCCAGGGATACGCTGATCCTCCTCCCTCAGCGCAGAAATGCAAATTAAAAACTACTCCAGCTACTCCGGAGGCTGAGGCCAGAGAATCGCCTGAACCCGGGAAGCGGAGGTTGCAGTGAGCCGAGATCGCGCCACCGCACTCCAGCCTGGGCGACAGAGCGAGACTCCGTCTCAAAAAACAAAAACACAAAAACAAAAACAAAAACAAAAAACAAAACACTAAAGTGTCCTTCCCAGGATGTGAGGGTAAAAAGTTTAAAAAAAAAAAAAATTAAAGGAAAACCCCATTAAAGTGACTTCTTTTTCCTTTCACCTAACACATTGGCAAATAAAAACTGTACTAACAGGTGAGACTGTGGCCCACAGACACTGCTTGCAGCAGGCAGAGGATGTGGGAGCCTCGTGGGAACCCCCCCGACTTGTCCACTGAAGTAACAGCAGCAATGACCTTCCCTCGGGAATTCCACCTCTGCGTTTTTCCCTCCAGGTACGTTCACGGAAGTGGCACACTGCATGCGTCCAGTGAGTCAATGTGGCACCGCCTACATGCGTGTCACTGGCCGGTGGGACATTCAAATCATTCATACGGGGTCTAAACGAGACAGAGCGTGGCCGAGACAGGAAAGACAGGAAGCGCTGTGCTGCTTGGAAATGGTCCACCAGGTGCAGCAGTAGCTGCAAGAAAGGAACAGGAAGAACGGTGTGTTCAAAGCTCTACCATTTGTGTAGAAAAG
Organism: Homo sapiens; assembly: GCF_000001405.40. NCBI lineage: Eukaryota > Metazoa > Chordata > Mammalia > Primates > Hominidae > Homo > Homo sapiens. Next base: position 383,677 of record NC_000016.10, read on the forward strand.
GGAGAAAAACACGTTTCCTTTGTGTGTGTCAAAGGCATCGAATGTCTGGAATGATCCAGCACCGGCTACACTGGTTGACCTTGGAGGAGGAGAGGCGGGGTGGGGATGGGGATGGCCGCAGGGACCATACCTGTTTGTACCTTTTGAACGCCGCAGCGGGTGGTGAGGGTTTACGGAGCGGGGGAGGGGAAGCTGACTCCACGAGCCCAGACCCCTGAAGGCCAGAGCAGCGGAGGTGGAGGGTGTTGGCCGGGGAGGAAGGAAGCCCCGGCTGAGCCTTAAAGAGACCCTTTGTTTCCCGGGAATCCCAGCTGGGCCGTCCTCAGCCCCGACTGAGGGGAAAGGGGGGCTCCCAGGGGTTCTCATTTTAAAGGCACGGAGGTCAGATTGCAGATTTTGCTGAGCCGTGATTTGAGTGTGCTGTGCCGGACTGCACCCAGCAACCAAGGTCAGCACCAGCACCCAGGACTGCTCCAGACCCAGTCCCTGCTCCAGGCTGGGCCCAAGCCCCCCTCCTCCCACTGCCCTCCCCTGAGTGAGTCACCTTAGTCTGAGGTTCCTGTGCCCCAAGTCACCCACCGGAGAGGGAGAGAAGCGGCAGAGCCCCCACTTCCAGTGCTCCAGCTGAGGGCTGGTGAACTTGAAGGTGGGTAAGAATCCCCAGACGGAAGTCCAGAGACGTCTGCTAAGTCACAGAGTGTTGGCAATGGAGAGACTCTTCTGTAACAGGAAACACAGCTCAGTCAGGCTACTGGTCAGGGAAACAAAACAAGCCACTTTGTCAAAAAACAGCCACGCAGCCCTTGCCACAACAGATGCTCACACTTTGCTGGCAGGCATGTGAACCCCCTCAACCTTCTGAAAATTATTGTGCCAACATTAAAATGTAATGGAGAGGGCCGGGCGCGGTGTCTCACGCCTGTAATCCCAGTACTTTGGGAGGCTGAGGCCGGCGGATCACGAGGTCAGGAGATCGAGACCATCCTGGGCTAACATGGTGAAACCCCTTCTCTACTAAAAATATAAAAAGTTAGCCGGGCGTGGTGGCAGGTGCCTGTAGTCCCAGCTACTCCAGAGGCTGAGGCAGGAGAATGGCGTGAACCCAGGAGGTGGAGGTTGCAGTGAGCCAAGATTGCGCCACTGCACTCCAGCCTGGGCGACAGAGCGAGACTCCATCTCAAAAAAAAAAAAAAAGTAACGGAGAGGCCGTACGCGGTGGCTAATGCCTATAATCCCAGCACTTTGGGAGGCTAAGGTGGGCGGGTCACCTGAGGTCAGGAGTTTAAGATCAGCCTGGCCAACATGGCGAATTATTTTTGTCTCTACTAAAAATATAAAAATTAGCCAGGCATGGTGACATGAGCCTGTAATCCCAGCTACTCAGGAGGCTGAGGCAGGAGAATCACTTGAACCCGGGAGGTGGAGCTTGCAGTGAGCAGGGATCAGGCCACTGCACTCCAGCCTGGGCAACCAGAGCAAGTCTCCATCTCAAAAAAAAAAAAAATGTAATGGAGAACACTAAGGCCTAGAGACAGACACACAAGGATGTTTGCAGCAGAACTGCTTGTATTTGGAAAAACCTGGGCGCTCCATGAGGGCAATGGGTAAATAAATCATGCTATAATATACTCTGATTTTTTTTTTTTTTTTTTTTTTGAGACGGAGCCTCACTGTCGCCCAGGCTGGAGTGCAGTGATGCGATCTCGGCTCACGCAAGCTCCACCTCCCGGGTTCACGCCATTCTCCTGCCTCAGCCTCCCGAGTTGCTGGGACTACAGGCGCCCGCTACCATTCCTGGCTAATTTTTTTTGTTTTTAGTAGAGATGGGATTTCACCCTGTTAGCCAGGATGGTCTCGATCTCCTGACCTCATGATCCGCCCGCCTCGGCCTCCCAAAATGCTGGGATTACAGGCATGAGCCACAGCGCCCGGCCTACTCTGATTTTTTTTTTTTTTTTTTTTTTTTGAGATGGAATCTCGCTCTGTCGCCCAGGCTGGAGTGCAGTGGCGCGATCCTGGCTCACTGCAAGCTCCGCCTCCCAGGTTCACGCCATTCTCCTGCCTCAGCCTCCCGAGTAGCTGGGACTACAGGCGCCTGCCAACACACCCGGCTAATTTTTTGTATTTTTAGTAGAGACGGGGTTTCACCATGTTAGCCAGGATGGTCTCGATTTCCTGACCTCGTGATCTGCCCATCTCAGCCTCTCAAAGTGCTGGGATTACAGGCGTGAGCCACCGCGCCCGGCCTACTCTGAATATTTATGCAACTTTTAGATGGGTCTATAAATGTGTCTTCAGAAGGAATGTCAGTAAAGTGAAAAATCCAGTTGCTGGATAACAGGGACGCATCGTATTTCCAAACAAACAGGAAGACCCTCAAGCCCCCTCCCCAGGTCCCCCTCTAGTGAGCCTGGGTGAGGGTAGACTCCAGCTGCCTGCAGCCTGGCCGGAGGGGAGGGTTGCTGGGTGTGGGAGCAGCTTTCCACAGTCGGTGTGCTCTTCGCCCAGCAGCAATAAGCATTATTATAGTTGTCTTGGATAAAAATATCAAAAGTTAAATAAAAGCAAAAAAAAAAAGCCGTAATCCAATTTTCTCCAAATAACCACCCTGTGCACCTCCTGCAAATGCTTCCTGTGTGCAAGACTGTGTGAGGACCCCTCTCTCTCTGTGGACACTCTCCCAGGCTCTGCAGGTTGAAAGGAGTTTCCCTCTGTCTGTTCATGGCCACCTGGTAGACATGGGAGACCCTGTCTTCCCACTCCGCCCCGAGTTTCCTGAGGGCAGGAGATGGGTCTCTCTCACTCTGTGGTCAGGCAGGAGGAGTGCAGACCGTAACCCTGTCTTTCTGACCCAGTGCCCTAACCTGTCAGCATGAACCACACCACAGGTGCCCAGACATCAGAGTTTCACAGACAGAAATAGTTTCCCCAGAGTTTTGGGGCTTTTTTAGGCTCAACTATCATGCATTATTATTCTTTCATAAAAAAAGGGTCATTTTCCCAGCCTGGGCAACATGGTGAAACCCAGTCTCTACAAAAAAAAAAAAACCAAAAAAAAAAAAAAAAAAAATTGGCCTTTTCACAAGATGGCGCTGAAAGCAAAGAAGGAAGCTCCTGCCTCTCCTGAAGCCGAAGCCAAAGCGAAGGCTTTAAAGGCCAAGAAGGCAGCGTTGAAAGGTGTCCACAGCCACATAAAAAAGAAGACCCGCACGTCACTCACCTTCCAGCGGCCCAAGACACTGCGACGCCGGAGGCGGCCTGAATATCCTTGGAAGAGCACCCCCAGGAGAAACAAGCTTGGCCACTATGCTGTCATCAAGTTTCCGCTGACCACGGAGTCGGCCGTGAAGAGGACAGAAGAAAACAACACGCTTTTGTTCACTGTGGATGTTAAAGCCAACAAGCACCAGATCAAACAGGCTGTGAAGAAGCTCTATGACGGTGATGTGGCCGAGGTCACCACCCTGATTCCGCCTGATGGAGAGAAGAAGGCATGTGTTCGACTGGCTCCTGATTACGATGCGTTGGATGTTGCCAACAAAATTGGGATCATCTAAACTGAGTCCAGCTGCCTAATTCTAAATATATATATATATATATCTTGTCACCATAAAAAAAAAAATTGTAGCCAAGCATGGTGGCATGTGTGTCTGTAGTCCCAGCTACTCCACAGCCTGAGGCAGGAAGATCCCTTGAGCCCAGGAGGTCAAGGCTGCAGTGAGCCAAGATCGCACCACTGCACTCCAGCCTGGGTGACTGAGCGAGACCCCATCTCAAAAATAAATAAATTAACTAATTAAATCATTCAAGGGCTGGGGACGGTGGCTCACACCTGTAATCCCAACACTTTGGGAGGCAGAGGCGGGTGGATCACAAGGTCAGGAGTTCAAGACCAGCCTGGCTAATATGGTGAAAACTGTCTCTACTAAAAATACAAAAAACTGGCACGCACCTGTAGTCCCAGCTACTTGGGAGGCTGAGGCAGGAGAATCGCTTGAACCCGAGAGGTGGAGGTTGCAGTGAGCCAAGATCACATCACTGCACTCCAGCCTGGGTGACAGAGCAAGACTCCGTCTAAAAAAAAAAAAAAAAAAAAAAAGGAAAGGTCATTTCCCAATCCAAAAAAGTAGGAAGTATGTACCCTTTTTGAAGGGGATCTGCTCCTCCACACCTGTGGGTATTTCTCGTCAGGTGGGACAAGAGACTGAGAAAAGAAATAAGACACAGAGACAAAGTATAGAGAAGGAAAGGGGGGCCCAGGGGACCGGCGCACTCAGCCTGAGAGGACCTGCAGGGGCGCTGGTCTCTGAGTTCCCTCAGTATTTATTGATCATTATTTTTACTATCTTAGCGAGGGGAGTGTAGCAGGCCAACAGATGGAGAGAAGGTCAGCAGGGAAACATGTGAGCAAAGGAATCTGTATCATGAGTGAGTTCTAGGAAAGGTACTGTGCCGGGATGTGCACATAGGCCAGATTTATGTTTCACTTTACATAAACATTTCAGTGTAGCGAAGAGTAACAGAGCAGTATTGCTGCCAGCATATCTCGCCACCAGCCACAGGGCGGTTTTCTCCTATCTCAGAATAGAACGAATGGTCGGCTTTACACCGAGACATTCCATTCCCAGGGACAAGCAGGAGACAGAAGCCTTCCTCTTATCTCAGCTGCAAAGAGGCCTCTCTCCTTCACTGCTCCTCCTTAGCACAGACCTTTTTACGGGTGTGGAGCTGGGGGATGGTAAGGTCTTTCCCTCCCCACGAGGCCATATCTCAGGCTGTCTCAGTGCGGGGAAACCTTGGACAACTCCCAGGCTTTCTTGGGCAGAGGTCCCTGCGGCTTTCCGCAGTGCACTGTGTCCCTGATTAATCGAGAACGGAGAATGGCGATGACTTTTACCAAGCACACTGCCTGCAAACAAATTGTTCACAAGGCACATCCTGCACAGCCCTGAACCTATTAAACCTTGATTCAACACAGCACATGTTTCTGTGAGCACAGGTTTCTGTTAAAATTACAGGTTAACAGCATCTCAAAGCAGAAACAATGTTTCTTAGTACAGATCAAAATGGAGTTTTCTACATAGACACAGTAACAATCTCATCTCTCTTCTTTTCCCCACACTTTTTTTTTTCTTTTGAGACGAAGTCTCACTCTTGTCCCCCAGGTTGGAGTGCAATGGCGCGATCTCAGCTCACTGCAACCTCCGCCTCCCAGGTTCAAGCGATTCTCCTGCCTCAGCCTCCTGAGTAGCCGGGATTACAGGTGGACACCATCATGCCCCGCTAATTTTTGTATTTTTTAGTAGAGATGGGGTTTCATCATGTTGGCCAGGATGGTCTTGATCTCCTGACCTCAGGTGATCCGCCCGCCTCGGCCTCCCAAAGTGCTGGGAATGACAGTTCAGTTTTTTGTTGTTTTACATTCAGTCCAGCTTTTTGTTGTTGTTTTACGTTCAGCGGATGGCAGTAGACGGGTTTTTCTTTTTCCTTTTTTTTTTTTTTTATTGAGACAGGGTCTTGCTGTGTCGCCCAGGCTGGAGTGTAGTGGGAACATGGTGGCTCCCTGCAGCAATGGCCTCCTGGGATCAAAGGATCCCCCTGCCTCAGTCTCCCAGGTGATTACAGGCCAGCACCAGCACGCCCAGCAGTGGTTCTTATTTATCCCCATTTTGTCTGAGCAAATGAATGCCTGTCCTGGGTGTGGGTGCGAGTGAGCTGGAAGATGAAGGGCATGGGCAGTGACCGCACAGCGCTCAGCCTGCAGGGAGCCTGGGGTGAGTCCAGCAGCACTGGAGCGCGGAACCACAGCAGATGTCCTTGTCCCTTCCAAGGGGTGGGAACAAAGGTGACAGGGACAGAGATGGCTGCCGGGGTAGGAGGCCCAAGAGTTGCTCTCTGCTGAGAAGGCTCCCCTTGGTGTCCCTCAGAAGTGTACCTGGGCGGGCCGATGGGACTGGGACTGAGGCTGTGCTCCTCCTACAAGGAGGGGCCCACTCTTCCTGGATCTCCCTGCAGTGACCTCAGCAGAGGTGAAAGAGGTCTAGCCGGGCACAGTGGCTCACGCCTGTAATCCCAGCACTTTGGGAGGCTGAGGCAGGCGGATCACCTGAGGTCAGGAGATCGAGACCATGGTGAAACCCCGTCGCTACTTAAAATACAAAAAAAATTAGCAAGGCGCAGTGGTGGGCACCTGTAGTCCCAGCTACTCGGGAGGCTGAGGCAGGAGAATGGCGTGAACCGGGGAGGTGGAGCTTGCAGTGAGCTGAGATCCCGCCACTGCACTCCAGCCTGGGCGACAGAGTGAGACTCCGTCTCAAAAAAAAAAAAAAGAAAAGAAAAAGAAAGAGGTCTAGCCTGTGTACACGTGGAAATCCAAGAGGACAGGGAAGACAAACTGAGACAGAAAAAAAATATGTGAAGAAATACCCCAAATTCTAAAATTCGGTGAAAGGCATTCATTTACAGATTCAAGCAGCTTAGTGAAGCTTAACAAGAATCAATGCAAAGAAAACCATAGCCAATTACATCATAGTCAAACTGCTGGAAAACGAACTTATAGAGAAAATATTGAAAGCAGACAGAGAAAGATAACACATTATAGTCCAGGGAACAATTGAATGGCATAACTTCCCATTAGAAACAATGGGGTCCAGGGCCGAGGGCTGTGGCCACGCCTGTAATCCCAGCACTGTGGGAGGCCAAGATGGGAGGATCAACAACAGCTTCATGGTTTCTAACGGGAGTTCAGGCGCGCACCACTACACCCACCTAATTTTTAAAATTTTTTTGGGCCGGGCGCGGTGGCTCTCGCCTGTAATCCCAGCACTTTGGGAGGCCAAGGCAGGCAGATCACGAGGTCAGGAGATCGAGACCATCCTGGCTAACACGGTGAAACCCCATCTCTACTAAAAATAGAAAAAATTAGCCGGGCATGGTGGCGGGCGCCTGTAGTCCCAGCTACTCCAGAGACTGAGGCAGGAGAATGGTGTGAACCTGGGAGGCGGAGCTTGCAATGAGGCGAGATTGCGCCACTGCACTCCAGCCTGGGCGACAGAGCGAGACTCCGTCTCAAAAAAAGAAATTTTTTTTGTAGAGACAGGGTTTTGCCATGTTGCCCAAACTGGTCTCCAACTCCTGGCCTCAAGGGATCCACCTGCCTCGGCCTCCCAAAGTGCTGGGATTACAGGCGTGAGCCACCGCGCTCAGCCAGAATAAACATTTTTTTCAAGCGCACACAATTTGTTTTCCAATACAGATCACATGCTGGGCCATAAACCAAGTCTCAATTAATTTAAAATAGTTTAAGTGGTAGAGAATATGTCCTCTTTCATTAATTAATTTATTTATTTATTTATTTTGAGACGGAGTTTTGCCCTTGTTGCCCAGGCTGGAGTGCAATGGCTCAATCTTGGCTTGCTGCAACCTCCGCCTCCCGGGTTCAAATGATTCTCCTGCCTCTGCCTCCCGAGTAGCTGGGATTACAGGTGCCTGCCACCATGCCCAGCTAAGTTTTGTATTTTTAGTAGAGACGGGGTTTCACTGGTTGGCCGGGCTGATCTCGAACTCCTGACCTCATGACCCGCCCACCTTGGCCTCCCAAAGGGAATATGTTCTCTGACCACAGTGGAATTAAGTTAGAAACCTGTAACAATAAGATATCAGGCTGGGCACGGTGGCTCACGCCTGTCATCCCAGCACTGTGGGAGGCTGAGGCAGGCGGATTACGAGGTCAGGAGATTGAGACCATCCTGGCTAACACGGTGAAACCCCGTCTCTACTAAAAATACAAAAAATTAGCCGGATGTGGTGGCGGGCGCCGATAGTCCCCGCTACTGGGGAGGCTGAGGCAGGAGAATCATTTGAACCTAGGAGGCAGAGCTCGCAATAAGCCAAGATCATGCCATTGCACTCCAGCCTGGGCGACAGAGCGAGACTCCGTCCAAATAAATAAATAAATAAATAAATATTTAAAAAAATAAAACAGGTGAGAGACCTCCATGTAGGGCAATGCCCTCCCTACATGGGTGTAACAGTCGTAGGGCTGGGACAGAATTCAGCTGTCCTGATCCCCCCGCTGTCCCACCCTGCAGGTATCTTTTTGAGCACCTTCTACAAGGACCATCCAGCACATCCATAGGAATGTTCCAGAAATCCACGGCCGTGCTCAGCCCTGATTCCTCACTCCACCTCATCCTCAGTCAGGCTCTGGGGCCCTCTGAGTGGTGCCACTCCAAGAGTGAAACCAGATAGGCAGTCCATGCTTTGGATGGCAGTGAGACCCAGACGCAGTTCCAGCGCTGGCCTCTGAGCGGCAGTACAGCCCCATGGACCACCAGAGCCCCTGAAGCCCAGCTCTGGTTGGAGGTGATGCCACTCTGCACCTCCCTGGCTGCTGTTTGTATTAGTCATCTATGCTGCATAACAAATACCCCACAACTTCATGATGTAAGCAGCACACGTTCATTATCTTCCAGATTCTGTGGACAGGAGGCTGGGTGGGGCTTAGCAGGGAGCCTCTGAGTCAGAGGCTCTCACAGGCTGTGGTCAAGGTGTCAGCCACGCTGAGGTTACCCCAAGGCTTGACTAAGGGGGGATGTACTTGTTTTTTTTTCCAGACCGGGTCTCGCCCTGTTGCCCAGCCTGGAGTGCAGTTGAACAGTCTCAGCTCACTGTTCCCTCTGCTTCCCAAGTTCAAGCGATTCTAGTGCCTCAGCCTCCCGAGTAGCTGGGACTACAGGCGTGTCACATCCCACCAGGCTAATTTTTGTATTTTTGGTAGAGACGGGGTTTCATCATGTTGGCTGGGCTGGTCTCAAACTCCTGACCTCAAGTGATCTGCCCACCTTGGCCTAGCTAGGTGCTGGGATTACAGGTGTGAGCCACTGCACCACGCCCACTTTTTTTTTTTTTTTTTAAGAGATGGGATCTCGCTCTGTTGTCCAGCCTGGAGTGCAGTGGCACAATCACTGCTCACTGCAGCATCAACCTCCTGGGCTCCAGCAATCCTCCTGCCTCAGCCTCCTGCAGATTCACTTCTAAGCCCACCTATGTTGCTTTTGGCCAGAAACATCAGTTCCTTGTCATGGGGGCCTCCGCACAGGGCTGCTCACAACAGGGGAGCTGCTTCTCCCAGGAGGTGGCGGAGCAGCAGCAGCTGCAGTCTTTGGTGACCAGATTGTGAAAGTGACACTCCGTCTCTTTTGCTGTGTCAGAAGTCAGTCACCAGGCATGGTCCACACTCAAGGGGTAGGCATTACACAAGGAAATGAACTGGGTTTTGCTTTTCTTGTTGAGTTACGAGAGTTCTTTTTTGTTTTGTTTTGAGACAGGGTCTCATTCTGTTGCCCAGGCTGAGTGCAGTGGTGCGATCACAGCTCAATCCAGCCTGGACCTCTTGGGCTCAAGCAATCTTCCCACCTCAGCCTTCCCGGTAGCTGGAAATACAGGCGCACACCAACACGCCCCGCTAATTTTTTATTTTTTTGTAGAGACAGGTTTCACTATGTTTCCCAGGCTGGTCTCAAACTCCTGGCCTCAAGTGATCCTCCAACCTCTGCCTCCCACAGTGCTAAGAGTACAGGTGTGAACCATCCCATCACGCCTGGCCAAGAGAGTTATTTATTTATTTATTTATTGAGACAGAGTCTTGCTCTGTCTACCAGCCTGCAGTGCCATAACACAATCTCAGCTCACAGCAACCTCCGCCTCCCAGGGTCAAGCAATTCTCCTGCCTCAGCCTCCCAAGTAGCTCGGATTACAGGCACCTGCCACCAGGCCCGGCTAATTTTATATTTTTAGTAGAGACAGGGTTTCTCCATGTTGGTCAGGCTGGTCTCAAACTCCCAACCTCAGGTGATCCACCCGCCTCAGCCTCCCAAAGTGCTGCGATGACAGGCATGAGCCACCTCGTCCGGCCCAGCATAATTTTTTTTTTCTTTTTTTAAGATGGAGTCTTGTTCTGTCACCCAGGCTGGAGTGCAAGGGCACGATCTCAGCTCACTGCAACCTCTGCCTCCCGGGTTCAAGGGATTCTCCTGCCTCAGCCTCCCGAGTAGCTGGGATTACAGGTGCATGCCACCACACCCAGCTAATTTTTTGTATTTTTAGTATAGACAGGGTTTCGCCATGTCGGCCAGTCTGGTCTCGAACTCCTGACCTCAGGCGATACACCCACCGCAGCTTCCTAAAGTGCTGGGATGACAGGCGCGAGCCACTGCGCCCAGTCTCAGCATGTTTTTAATGTGCAAAATAAAATACAAGGAAATAAAAATATAAAAAACTATACTGAAATAAATTATCAAAATATTGTAGGCCAGGCCGGGCGCAGTGGCTCACACCTGTAATCCCAGCACTTTAGGAAGCTGCGGTGGGTGTATCGCCTGAGGTCAGGAGTTCGAGACCAGACTGGCCAACATGGCGAAACCCTGTCTATACTAAGAATACAAAAAATTAGCTGGGTGTGGTGGCGAGCACCTGTAATCCCAGCTACTCGGGAGGCTGAGGCAGGAGAATTGCTTGAACCCAGGAGGTGGGGGTTGCAGTGAGCTGAGATCATGCCCTTGCACTCCAGCCTGGGCAACAGAGTAAGACGATGTCTCACCAACAAACAAACAAAATATTTTAGGCAGCGGGGCGTGGTGGCTCACACCCGTAATCCCATCACTTTGGGAGGCCAAGGCGGGTTGATCACAAGGTCAAGAGATCGAGACCATCCTGGCCAACATGGTGAAACCCCATCTCTACTAAAAAACAAAAATTAGCCGGGTGTGGTGGCGCGTGCCTGTAATCTCAGCTACTCAGGAGGCTGAGGCAGGAGAATCGCTTGAATTGGGAGGCGGAGGTTGCAGTGAGCCAGGATTACACCACTGCACTCCAGCCTGGCAACAGAGTGAGACTCCATCTCAAAAACAAAAACAAAAACAAAAACAAAATATTTTAGGCCAAGTGCGGTGGCTCAGGCCTGTTTTCCTAGTTACTGGGGAGGCTGAGGCAGGAGGATCGCTTGAGGCTGGGAGGTGAAGGCTGCAGTTGAGCTATGACTGCACCACTGCACTCCAGCCCAGGTGACAGAACGAGACCCTGTTGCTAAAAAAACAAAAATAAAACATTAAAAAATGTACGATATAGTGGCCGGGCGCGGTGGCTCATGCCTGTAATCCCAGCACTTTGGGAGGCTGAGGCGGGCAGATCACAAGGTCAGGAGATCGAGACCATCCTGGCTAACATGGTGAAACCCCGTCTCTACTAAAAATACAAAAAAAAAAAAAAATTAGCCAGGCGTGGTGGCAGGCGCCTATAGTCCCAGCTGGAGGCTGAGGCAGGAGGATGGCGTGAACCCGGGAGGCGGAGCTTGCAGTGAGCCGAGATCGCGCCACTGCACTCCAACCTGGGTGACAGAGTGAGACTTCGTCTCAAAAAAAAAACAGAGTACGCTATAGTAATATCTGCTTTTTCCTTTTTGCAATAGCTTTATTGGGATACAATTGACATACTATACACTTCACTCATATATTTTTTGTTTATTTACTATTTTTTTTCAAGAGACAGGGTCTTGCTATATTGCCCTGGCTAGTCTCAAACTCCTGGGCTTATGTGATCCTCCTGCCTCAGCTTCCCAAATTGTTGGGATAATAGGCCTGAGCAAGAGTCCAGCCTCTAAAAAGAAAGAAAGTCACTTCTTTATACCATAGTACTGCAAATTCTAGTCAGAGCAACTAGACAAGAAAATAAAATAAAAGGCATTCAGATTGGAAAGAAAGAACTGAAACCGTCTCTATTCCCATATGACATGATGTTTTTTCTTTTCTTTTTTTTTTTTTTTTTGAGACAGAGTCTTGCTCTGTTGCCCAGGCTGGAGTGCAGTGGCATGCTCTCGGCTCATTGTGAGCTCCACCTCCTGGGTTCAAGCCATTCTCCTGCCTCAGCCTCCTGAGTAGCTGGGATTACAGGCATGCACCACCATGTCCAGCTAATTTTTGTATTTTTAGTAGAGACGGGGTTTCACCACGTTGACCAGGCTGGTCTTGAACTCCTGACCTCGTGATCCGCTCGCCTCGGGCTCCCAAAGTGCTGGGATTACAGACATGAGCCAGTGTGCCCCGCTCCATATGACACAATCTTATACAAAGAAATTCCCAAGGAATTAATTAAAAACTATTAGAACTAATAAATGCATTTGGAAGGCTTGCAGGATACAAGATCAATACACAAAGCTCAATTGTTGGCCAGGCGTGGTGGCTCACGCCTGTAATCCCAGCCCTTTGGGAGGCCAAGGCGGGTGGATCACCTGAGGCCACGAGTTTGAGACCAGCCTGGCCAACATGGCGAAACCCCGTCTCTACTAAAAATAAAAAAAAACACCAGCCAGGTGTGGTGGCAAGCTCCTGTAATTCCATCTACTCGGGAGCCTGAGGCAGGATAACTGCTTGAACCTGGGAGGCGGAGGCTGCAGTGAGCAGAGATATGCCATTATTGCACTCCAGCCTGGGCAACAAGAGCGACACTCTGTCTGAAAACAAACAAACCTCAATTGTCTGTTATACACTTGCAATGGACAATTCAAATAAGAAAACAATTCCATTCACAATAGCAGCAAAAAGAACAGGCTTTTTCAAGACTCATTAAGTAAGTTCTAGCAGTGGGAGACCTAACCATTTCAAATAGTAGCATGCTGTGCTATCTACCCAAATATTACCGTACCTGTGAATTCTGTTGGTGACAAAGTCACAGGCCCTGCAACTATGAATGTGGCTTCTTCCTTATATCCGCAATTGAATGAATTAGAGGAATGCAGTCACATCAGAGGCCATTTGAGAATAAAGGTCGGATTTTTCCCCATTCAAATTCACAGACCAGGCTCACATCTGTAATCCCAGCACCTTGGGAAGCCAAGGCAGGAGGATTTCTTGATCCCAGGAGTTTGAGACCAGCATGGGCAACATAGGGAGGCCCCATCTCTACAAAAAATTAAAATATTAGCTGGTTGTGGTGGCGCGGGTCTGTAGTCCCGCCTACTCGTCCTGGCCGCAGAGTCAGCGTCTCCGGAGCGCCTCCTTCTCCCGCCCTGGGGCTCACGTGGGAATTTCACCCTCCATTGGAGGGGGCTCAGACCAGGGCTTCTAGACCTCCTTTTGGTCCGTGAATTTATTTTTGAGACAGAGTCTTGCTCTATTGCTCAGGCTGGAGTGCAGCGGTGCAGTCACAGCTCACTGCAGCCTCAATCTCCTGGGCTCACGCGATCCTCCTGCCTCAGCCTCCCGAGTGGGCCTTCCTCCGTGGGAAAGCGTTAAAACGATAGTTAACGGTTGCGTCGGTGTAAAGACGAATGCAATTCGAGAAGGATTCATTATTATTTTGTTTTTTCTTCTGATTTTTAACAGAAATTGGCGTTGAACATTTCCCCCGTGAGCGCCGGGCCACGGGGGTCCGGGGCGGCGGGGGGCTCCGGGGCGGCGGGGGGCTCCCGGGCGGGCGGGGGCGGGTCTCGGGCTGGCACCGCCCTCCGCGCCCGCTCCTCGCGCTCACAGCGGCCCGCGGGCCGGGCGTCATGGGCGGCCTCTTCTGGCGCTCCGCGCTGCGGGGGCTGCGCTGCGGCCCGCGGGCCCCGGGCCCGAGCCTGCTAGTGCGCCACGGCTCGGGTGAGTGGGGCCGCGCGCCCCGGCGGGGACGCGGAGGGGAGGAAGGGGCGCGCGCCGCTCGGCCTTTGTGCGCGCACGTGCGGGCTGGGGTCCGACTCCCCCAGAGGCCTCGGGGCGCGGGCTGCGGGGTCCGTCCGAGTTGGGGAAGGCGCCGGCTCGCACCCGCACGCCCCTCCAGTGCCCGTCCGGCTCTGCGGCTCCTTCTCGCCTCCCCAGGCCCCAGGCTGCAGGCGCCCGGCGAGTTGGCAGCCTGGGCGGGTCCGGGGCGACCGAGGGCCCGGGAGCGCAAGGAAGGCAGAGGCCGGCTGCAGCACTGGGCGGGGAGGGGGTCTCCCGGCCGGGGTGGGGGTGGGGGTGTGGGGGGGTGAGGGAGTCGGGGGGTGGGGGTGGGGGTGTGGGGGGGTGAGGGAGTCGGGGGGTGGGGGTGGGGGGAGCCGCTCCGCTGGGGCGTTCGCTGAAGGCCAAGTTAGGCCAGAATCTGACTGGGACGTCAGGCCCCAAGTCCCCGGCCCCGCCGCTGCCCGGCCCCCCCAGCTGCCACCTCACAGGACGATCCATGTCCCAGGGCTCCCTCCATCGGCTCTGAAAAGTGAGCCGCCGCCTGCAATGCCCGCACCAGCCGCAGCAGAGCCCCAGGCTACACAAGGCGCCCTGCAAACTGGGTTTTGGGGGAACAAACCAACCAGGGGGTCTTCCTCCCGTGGGCTTCAGCCGCCTGCTGGGGTTAACTTTTCCTCCTGGCCTGGCGGAGCCCCTTTGGCTCTGTCCAGATTCTGTGGGACATACAGGGTCTGGGCTCCTCTGGAAACCAGGGACCCGATGCCGGAGGGTAGCTTGGCTCTGGAGCAGCCTGGGACTATAGGAAGGTGAGGACGTCTTCTGTTTCCCTGGCAGCGTCCCCTCCAGAGGAGGACGGCTGGGGCGGAGCTCAGCGCTGACCCTGGGTCTGGAAGCGACAGGCCTTGAAACTCCACAGCAGCACAGGCCCCGTCTCCTGGCTCGGACAGAACCCTGCTACCTTCCCTCTTCAATCTTCAGGCCCCTTTTTGTCCGTGTTTCCAGGGCTCACCTGGTGGGGAAAGTGTGTTTCTCCCTGGTTCCCTGCCACTCATTCACCTCAGACACAGGGTGGGCTCTGGGTTCTTCCTCATGTGGAAAGTCGGGGCTTCAGACCATGTCTGTCGTCATCCAGAAGGGATGGAGTCAAAAGTGAGGCTGGAGTTTTGCAGGATCTCCAGACTTCCCTGAGGCCACTGAGCTGGGCTGTGCCTCTGTGGACCTCAGGGTGGTCGCTGAGCTGGGCTGTCCCTCCCTGGACCTTGAGGTGGTCCCTGAGCTGGCTCTGCCTCTATGGACCTTGCGGTGGTGGTCCCTGAGCTGGGCAGTGCCTCCCTGAACCTCGGGGCGATCTCAGGCAGCCTCTGCCTCTGCTGGGAGGAGCCATGGCCCCTGGGAGAGGCTAGAAGCCCTGGGGACACATTGCCTTGGGTGTCCCTGACAGGGACTATCATGGGGGTGTTTGTGGCTGTGGGCACCATCCCTGTCCCTTCCAGAGTGCCCTGCATAGAGGCAGACACCCTGAAGCCTGGTGACCCCTGGGCTCTGGCTGGGAAACCCGGGTCGTGGGGACGTGAAAGGGTGAGGTGGCAGTGCCTCTGACCTCTTGCCTTTTGAAGGAGGGCCCTCCTGGACCCGGGAGCGGACCCTGGTGGCGGTGAAGCCCGATGGCGTGCAACGGCGGCTCGTTGGGGACGTGATCCAGCGCTTTGAGAGGCGGGGCTTCACGCTGGTGGGGATGAAGATGCTGCAGGTAGTGGGACTCTGGGCTTGTGGGTGTCCCTGTGGGGATGGGGTTGGGGGATCCTTCTCGGCCTTTCACATCCCAGCCAGCGCCGGGGCAGGGCCTGGCTTTGGCAGTTGAAGGGGCAGGAGGGATCTATTCTGCGGTGGGGGTGCTGCCCATGCTGGTGTTATCTGCAAGGTGCCTGAGGTCAGGGCATCACAGCTGCTGTGCTAGTGCCCACGTTTACTGTCTGCGGCTCCTCCTTACCTCAATGCCACCCAGGCACCAGAGAGCGTCCTTGCCGAGCACTACCAGGACCTGCGGAGGAAGCCCTTCTACCCTGCCCTCATCCGCTACATGAGCTCTGGGCCTGTGGTGGCCATGGTACGGCAGGGCAGGGGTGGTGGAAGGGCCTGTGGGTAAAGGGCGTGTGGGTGTGTCTTTCCCCCCAGCAAAGGGAGGGGCCCTGGATTGAGCCCAGGGGCCCTTGGTGTTCCCCACTTCTCCCCAACCATTATCTCTCGCTGCAGGTCTGGGAAGGGTACAATGTCGTCCGCGCCTCGAGGGCCATGATTGGACACACCGACTCGGCTGAGGCTGCCCCAGGAACCATAAGGGGTGACTTCAGCGTCCACATCAGCAGGTACGGGGGTCCTGATACACCAGGCTGCTGCTGGGGGCAAGGAGGGCCATCACTTGGGGTGGTGGCAGATCCACGAGACCTGGCTGTCTTGCTGTGCTAGGATGAAGCCAGGTCGGACATGACAGCTCACACTGGTGAGAGCCGTGTTCTCCCAGGGCACACAGGGCAATGAGGTGTTCCCTTTGTGTTGTGTGTACCGTGCCATCGTTGCCTGTTACCTGACACCCCAAGGGGTTGGCACGGGGCAACTTGGGGGGAAATGAGGCTCCCAAAAGCTGGGGCCTGGGCGGGTCCACGAGGCTGTAAGAGGCCGAGGCCAGGCTGGAACCCGGTTTCCCAGCTCCACTGTTACTCCTTCCCTGTCTGCAGTCACAGGCTTGCTCCCCTAGACAGAGGGCAACGGGAGCAGCAGATGGTCCCTGGGATTCCTCAGGGTGCACATGAAGCCTGAGCCTCACATTGCTCCTGTCCTGGCACAGGAATGTCATCCACGCCAGCGACTCCGTGGAGGGGGCCCAGCGGGAGATCCAGCTGTGGTTCCAGAGCAGTGAGCTGGTGAGCTGGGCAGACGGGGGCCAGCACAGCAGCATCCACCCAGCCTGAGGCTCAAGCTGCCCTTACCACCCCATCCCCCACGCAGGACCAACTACCTCCGTCAGCAAGAACCCAAGCCCACATCCAAACCTGCCTGTCCCAAACCACTTACTTCCCTGTTCACCTCTGCCCCACCCCAGCCCAGAGGAGTTTGAGCCACCAACTTCAGTGCCTTTCTGTACCCCAAGCCAGCACAAGATTGGACCAATCCTTTTTGCACCAAAGTGCCGGACAACCTTTGTGGTGGGGGGGGGTCTTCACATTATCATAACCTCTCCTCTAAAGGGGAGGCATTAAAATTCACTGTGCCCAGCACATGGGTGGTACACTAATTATGACTTCCCCCAGCTCTGAGGTAGAAATGACGCCTTTATGCAAGTTGTAAGGAGTTGAACAGTAAAGAGGAAGTTTTGCACACCCAGTTCCATAACGTTGTTGGATGTATGAGCCAGGCAGGGGTCCAGAGACCACCAGCCTGCAATCCGGAGAACCCAAGCTAGGCGCGAGCCGGTGCTGTGATCCCGCCAAAGGAGAAGCTGCCTTCCCGGGGAAGGGGCAGAGAGGGGCCGGCGGGCTGAGGCCAACCAGCGCAGAAAGGGCCTGGCAGCCATTACTGTAGCGCTGGCGGCTCTGTCACGCCCCTGAAGCCGCTGGCCCGCGGGTGTGTTCAGCTCAGGAGCGGCCCTGCGTGTTTTTCCCCCGTGGCCGTCGCGGACCCCCGTCTTCCAACAGTGGTGCGGGCGGGGCGCCCCGTCCTGGGTTCGCGGCATAGCCCCGCCCGGGCCCCCACGCGGAACAGAAGTAACGGACCCTTTTTTTTTTGTTTTTGTTTTTGAAACGGAGTGTCGCTCTGTCGCCCAGGATAGAGTGCAGTGGCGCGATCTCGGCTCACTGCAACCTCCGCCTCCCGGGTTCAAGCGATTCTCCTGCCTCAGCCTCCCGAGTAGATGGAACTACAGGCACCCGCCACAATGCCCGGCTAATTTTTGTATTTTTAGTAAAGAGGGGGTTTCGCCATGTTGTCCAGGATGGTCTCGAACTCCTGACCTCGTGATCCGCCCGCCTCGGCCTCCCAAAGTGTTGGGATTACAGGCGTGAGCCACCGCGCCCGGCCCCGGACCCTTCTTTATTGGCCTCAAAACGGGTCATTTTGGGAAGCGGCGCGGGGCTGGCCGCGCTTCCCTGGGCCCCGGCCCTCCCCATGGTGTTTACGGGGAGGCGAACGGGGAGCCCAGAGGCTGCGAGCCTGGCCTGGACCCAGGAGCCAGGGGTATCCCACAAGTCCTGGAGGCTCTGAACGCGGCGCTGACGCCGAATACCTGTGAAAAAGACTCGGGGAGGAGACCCGCAGACCGCCGAGCTTCTGCCGCGGGAACCGCGCCCCCGGCCCCGCAATGCGCCTGCGCCTCGCGCGCCGACTTCCAGTCCCAGCAGGCCGCGGGCGGGGGCGGGGCCTCCGGGGAGAATTCGGGGGAGGGGCGGGGCCTCCGGGAAGCAATCAGGGCAGGGGCGGGGCGTCCGGGGAGTGGGGCGGGGCTCCCGGTTCCAGGCGAGTTCGCAGCTGCGCGCCGGGTCCTGGAGGCCGAGGCCGCTCCCGCCCGTTGTCCCCGCAGTCCCCGACGGGAGCGCCATGGCCCAGCCGCCGCCCGACGTGGAGGGGGACGACTGTCTCCCCGCGTACCGCCACCTCTTCTGCCCGGACCTGCTGCGGTGAGCGGGGCCTGGGAAGCGAGCGCAGCCTTGGTGCGGGGTCCGGTCCGCGGGCGCCGGCGCCCCCACGTGGTCCCCGAGGGCTCGCGTGTTAGGAAACCTGTCTTGCCTGGCTCCTTTCTTTCTTTTTTCTTTCTTTTTTTTTTTTTGAGACGGAATCTCGCTGTGTCGCCCAGGCTGGAGTGCAGTGGCACGATCTCCGCTCACTGCAAACTCTGCCTCCCGGGTTCAAGCGATTCTCCTGCCTCAGCCCGGCTAATTTTTATTTTTAGTAGAGAGGGGGTGTCACCGTGTTGGTCAGGCTCTTTTCGAACTCCTGACCTCAGGTGATCCACCCGCCTCGGCTTCCCAAAGTGCTGGGATTTACAGGCGTGAGCCACCGCGCCCGGCCCAACCTGGCCTCTTTCTTAACAGAAAATTTTAGGTTGAAATCATTTTTCCGGAAGACCCAGAAGGCCCAGGAATGCCAGGTTTTGCCCAGCAGCTCTTCATTTTCCTGCAAACGCCTTGGTGTTCACAAGAGAAGGCAGCCCGGGCAAAGGTCGATCCTCCCCGGTCACCTGCCCTCACTCGGCTAATGGGCGGATCCTTTTTTTTTTTTCCTTTTCTTTTTTTCAATTGGCAACATTTTCAAGTTTCTATTAAAATTTTGATCTTTTGCCAGGAGCAGTGGCTCACGCCTGTAATCCCAGCTCTTTGGGAGGCCGAAGCGGGTAGATCACCAGAGGTCAGGAGTTCGAGACCAGCCTGGCCAACATGGTGAAACCCCGTCTCTGCTAAAAATACAAAAAATTAGCCGGGTGTGGTGGCGCACACCTGTAATCCCAACTACTTGGGAGGCTGAGGCAGGAGAATCACTTGAACTCGGGAGGTGGAGGTTGCAGTGAGCCGAGATCGCACCATTGCACTGGGCAACAAGAGTGAAACTCCATCTCAAAAAAAGAAAACAAGTTTTAAATTATGTTCTCCAAGGACAGGTATTGACAATTCTCTCTGAGTGTTCTGCAGGAAAAAAAAAAAGTTTTTTTTCGAAACGGAGTCTCATTCTGGGTTGAAGCAATTCTCCTGCCTCAGCCTCCCAATTCTCCTGCTTCAGCCTCAGTGCGCCCAAGTGGGACTATAGGCACACAATACCACGCTGGGCTAATTGTATTTCTAGTAGAGGTGAGTGTCACCATGTTGGTCAGGCTGGTCTGGAACTCCTGACCTCAGATGATCCACCTGCCTCGGCCTCCCAAAGTGCTGGGATGACAGGAGTGAGACGCTGCACCTGGCCCAAAATTAATCTTTAATAATTAAGAATAGGAAAGGCAACTTGGAGATCAGCAAAAGTTTGCCATCCATCTGGTACAGTTTGTGCCAGTCATACCGATCAGTACACATTTAATGCGTACAAGAAAATCTCTAATAAATAAAAAAGCCATATTATCCCGACGTAGCTTGCTGAATCTCAGGTATCATATTTGATATTAGTGCCATGCAGGGCTTAGGAGAGAGGAAATTATAACCTCTATCTTGTTTAAGCCAGGGTATTTTTCTCTCTTGTATCTACTTCTGTCCATTTCTGTCAAAAGACACAGAAATACCCTTTCCCCCACTGCACTTTGCAAGTTTGTGTCAGCACAAGTTCAGGACCAGCCTGAGCAACAAAACGATACCCCTCTCTAGAAAAACTAGATGAAAAATTAGCTGGGCACTCTGGCATGCACCTGTAGTCCCAGCTACTGGGGAGGCTGAAGCAGGAGGATCCTTCTAGCCCAAGAGGTCAAGGCGGCAGTGAGCCGTGATGGTGCCACTGCACTCCAACCTGGATGACGTAGCAAGAACCTGTCTCAAAATAAATAAATAGGCCCGGTGTGGTGGCTCATGCCTGTAATCCCAGCACTTTGGGAGGCCGAGGTGGGTGGATCACAAGGTCAGGAGATCGAGACCATCCTGGCTAACACGGTGAAACCTCATCTCTACTAAAAATACAAAAAATTAGCTGGGCGTGGTGGCAGGTGCCTGTAGTCCCAGCTACTCTGGAGGCTGAGGCAGGAGAATGGTGTGAACCTGGGAGGAGGAGTTTGCAGTGAGCCTAGATCATGCCACTGCACTCCAGCCTGGGCGACAGAGCGAGACTCCATCTCAAAAAAAATAAAAAATAAATAAATAAATTAAATAAAATACTATAATTTTATGAATTTTCATTTTATTTATTTATTTATTTTTTAAGACCATGTTTCGCTCTTGTTGCCCAGGCTGGAGTGCAATGGCGCAATTTTGGCTCACCACAACCTCCGCCTCCTGGGTTCAAGTGATTCTCCTGCCTCAGCCTCCCAAGTAGCTGGGATTACAGGCATGCACCACCACACCCGGCTAATTTTTTATATTTTTAGTAGAGACGGGGTTTCTCCATGTTGGTCAGGCTGGTCTCGAACTCCCGACCTCAGGTGATCCGCCCGCCTTGGCCTCCTAAAGTGCTGTGATTAGAGGTGTGAGCCAAGGCACCTGGCCGAATTTTCATTTTAAATCATTGCCGTATAGCAATATGGGAGGTGTATTTTAACAGGGCTCTTTTATTTTTTATTTATTTTTATTTTATTTTATTTATACATATTTTTTGAGACGGAGTCTTGCTCTTTTGCCCAGGCTGGAGTGCAGTGGTGCGATCTCGGCTCACTGCAACATCTGCCTCCCGGGTTCAAGCTATTCTCCTGCCTCAGCCTCCCAAGTAGCTAGGACTACAGGCACCCACCACCACGCCCAGCTGATTTTTGTATTTTTAGTAGAGACGAGGTTTTACCATATTGTCCAAGCTGGTCTCGATCTCCTGACCTTGTGGCCCACCCACCTTGGCCTTCCAAAGTGCTGGGAGCCACCGGCCCGGCCCAATAGGGCTCTTTTAAAAGAGCCTCCTTTTTTATTCTCAGGGACAAAGTGGCCTTCATCACAGGAGGCGGCTCTGGGATTGGGTTCCGGATTGCTGAGATTTTCATGCGGTGAGACTGCTCTGTGTCCCTTCCCTGCTCCTCGCTTCTCCCTGCCCGGGCCCTGCTGGATGCCCGACCCCTGGAAAGATGTTGGTGGGAGGTAGATGTCCCCTGCTCACCTACCCGACAGGATCCAGGTGCCTGCCAGAGGGACTGGGGAGCGGTCGAGGATTGCCCTGGGGGGAGTCAGGACTTCAAGGCCCCTACAGGTCAGTGGAGATTGTGTGGCTCTGGTCTGGGGCCTGCTGGGACCTCGAGAGTCAGGGCTGTGTCGGGCCCCAGTGCTGGCGCCCTGCAGAGCACATTTTCTCCTGGGACACAATTCTGTGGCTTCAGGCCAGGGTCAGCAACTTATCCCACCTGACAGTGGCTAGAGTTAGGCTGGGGTGGGGGAAAGGGACCCTTCCTCAGTTCCCCTGAGGCCCCTGCTTTTCAGACCAAAAAGGTGAGTCCCACAGGAAGAGATATGGCCTTTCCACTGGTGGCTTTGTGCTCAGGGCATCTGAGGACCAGATGGGACATTGCAGCTCCAGTGGGACCTGCCTAGCAGGGGTAGCTACCTTTATGGTTATTGTGGGCAAGCAACCCCCGAACCAGAAGAGCCGAGAAACCAAAGAACAAGGCAGACAGATCCCGTTTGTCTGTGTCAGGTGATTTTACCAGGGAATTTGTGGGCAGAAGCGTAGTCTTGGGTGGCTGTGAGACGGGCGTCTCCATGCTGTTACCCCCAGGCCCAGGGCTTCTATACCACAGGGAAAGGGGTCCTGCTTCAGAGGGAGTGTGTAGGAATTTGTTTAGGATAACATCAAGGTGGTTTTGACCTAAAGGCAGGACTTCTTTGTGCTCTTTCGCAAGAACAGTAGATAAGCTGGAAATCCTAGCGGCATTCCTGGAACCAGGGTTCATAGAGGCCAACGTGGTGGATTCGCATCCACGTGGTCAGGAAGGGGAGCAGGGAGCACCCCGCTTCAGAACAGTCCTCCACGCCAGCCCCACAGGGAGAAGGGGGTGGAGAATGTGGGCCCAGCAGGCCCCAGGCAGATGTGTGGGCTGGGCGTCTGTGGCTCACAGCTGTCTCTGTACCTGGTGTTTGGGGCAGGACCCGCAGGCCTGTGCGGTGGGATGTCCCATGCCAGAAACCCCGGGGTGGGCACCACCTGAGGTCCCTCCAGAGTACCTCAGTCCTGTTCACGCCCCTGTGCCCTCTGCCAGCTGGGCCTTCAGCCTGGACTGGTACTTCCGCCTGAGAGACTCCTGCTCAGGAGCTGGGCAGATGCCCCGGGAGTGCCCCTCGCCCACACTGCCCTCACACCTGCTTCTGGTTTTGCAGGCACGGCTGCCATACGGTGATTGCCAGTAGGAGCCTGCCGCGAGTGCTGACGGTGAGAGGGCCTCTCCCATGGTCCCCTGTTCGGGTGGCTGTGGGGGGGCTGGGGCTGGGCCTGGGCCAGGAGAGTCCAGAGGCTATGGGGATGTTGGCACCAAAACTTTTTTTTTCTGAGACGGGAGTCTCGCTCTGTCACCCAGGCTGAAGTGTGGTGGTGCGATCTCGGCTCACTGCAGCCTCCACCTCCCAGGATCAAGCGATTCTCCTGCCTCAGCCTCCGGAGTAGCTGGGACTACAGGTGCCCGCCACCACGCCTGGCTAATTTTTGCATTTTTTTGGTAGAGATGGGTTTTCACCACGTTGACCAGGCTGGTCTCGAATTCCTGACCTCAGGTGATCCGCCCACCTCAGCCTCCCAAAGTGCCAGGATTACAGGTGTGAACCACTGTGCCCGGCCGGCACCTCAGCCTCCCAAAGTGCCAGGATTACAGGTGTGAATCACTGTGCCCGGCCGGCACCTCAGCCTCCCAAAGTGCCAGGATTACAGGTGTGAACCACTGTGCCCAGCCGGCACCAAAACTTGCACCTATCCTAAATATGGAGCTTCAGTGTAAGTGGCCTCCCAGAGACATCTTTGACTTTTTAAAAAATCTAGTTATTGGGTTCTGGGAGGGACCTTCCTGTTTGGGGGTAATGTGGCCCCAAGAAAGACCTCTGGGCTCACCTGGGTTATTTAGGTGGTCCGTGCGTCCCACCTACTGGAGCCCTCGACCTGGGAGGAGAGTCTCACCTGTGCCACCTCTGGTCTGCAGCAGGGGCAGGACATGGGTGACAGTGGCCTGGAGGGCGACGCAGAGGGAGGATTCTAGGACAGGTGGCAGGTGGGGGGAGAGCGTGGCAGGTTCCCACAAACATCCACTGGGGTCGTGGGCACTTGCAGGCTGTGCTTCCCCAGAGTGGGGTCCAGCAGCAAACCCAGGGTCCCCGAGGAACCCGGAAGCATCGTCCTCTGCAGATTCCAAAGGCCTTTTCTCCAGGCCGAGGCTGCAGGGCTGCTGTCTGCCTCTTTACCTGGCTTCTAGGCCGCCAGGAAGCTGGCTGGGGCCACCGGCCGGCGCTGCCTCCCTCTCTCTATGGACGTCCGAGCGCCCCCAGCTGTCATGGCCGCCGTGGACCAGGCTCTGAAGGAGTTTGGCAGAATCGACATTCTCATTAACTGTGAGTCGGTGCTGAGTGAGGTTGGTGGCTTCTCACAGGTTGGTGGTACCATTTGGAGGCCCTAGAACTCTGGTCATGGGGTGGGGACCATGCCAGGGAACCTAGCTGCCTGTGCTGGGGTGGGCTGCACCCCATCCAGGTACCTGAGGCCAAGACTCAGGCTCCGGCCCCCTGTCTCCGGCCCCATCTCCGGCCCCCTGTCTCCGGGCCCCTGTCTCCGGGCCTCTGTCTCCGGGCTCTGTCTCCGGGCCTCTGTCTTCGGCCGCATCTCCGGCCCCCTGTCTCTGGGCCTCTGTCTCCGGGCGTCTCTCTCCGGCCCCATCTCCGGCCCCCTGTCTCCGGGCCTCTGTCTCCGGCCCCATCTCCGGCCCCCTGTCTCCGGGCCCCTGTCTCCAGGCCTCTGTCTCCGGCCCCCTGTCTCCGGGCCCCTGTCTCCGGGCCTCTGTCTCCGGCCCCCTGTCTCCGGGCCCCTGTCTCCGGGCCTCTGTCTCCGGCCCTCTGTCTCCGGGCCCCTGTCTCCGGGCCCCTGTCTCCAGCCCCCTGTCTCCGGACCTCTGTCTCCGGGCCCCTGTCTCCGGGCCTCTGTCTCCGGCCCCCTGTCTCCGGGCCTCTGTCTCCGGGCCTCTGTCTCCGGCCCCCTGTCTCCGGCCCCCTGTCTCCGGGCCTCTGTCTCCGGGCCTCTGTCTCCGGCCCCCTGTCTCTGGGCCTCTGTCTCCGGCCCCATCTCCGGCCCCCTGTCTCCGGGCTTCTGTCTCTGGCCCTCTGTCTCTGGCCCTCTGTCTCCAGGCCTTTGTGTCCCGCCTTCTGTCTCTGGCCCTCTGTCTCCGGCCTGACTCCGCTTCTCTGGGTGGCAGCAGGTCAGCACAGCTGCAGCCCAAGTGGACGCCATGAACACAGCTCAATGGTAGAGTCGGGTGCCCTTGTGTCCTGAAATTCCGTCTTTAAAAAAAAAAGTAATAGCCTTTTTTTTTTTTTTAGACAGCATCTCACTCTGTCACCCAGGCTGGTGTGATCATGGCTTACTGCAGCCTCCACCTTCTGGGCTCAAGCCATCCTCCTGCCCCAGCCTCCTGAGGAGCTGGGACTACAGACGTGTGCCATCACGCCTGGCTAATTTTTATATTTTTTATTTTTTGTAGAGACAGGGTCTTAGTGTGTGTTGCTCAGGCCAGTCTCAAACTCCTAGGCTCAAGCAATCTTCCTGCCTTGGCCTCCCAAAATGCTGGGATTACAAGCAAGAGTCATCAATAAAATAGAAGCTAGCCTGGCCTAGCTTTTTTTTTTTTTTTAGAGGGAGTTTCGCTCTTGTTGCCCAGGCTGGAGTACCATGGTACAATCTCAGCTTACAGCACCCTCCGCCTCCCGGGTTCAAGCAATTCTCCCGTCTCAGCCTCCCAAGTAGCTGGGATTACAGGCGCCCGCTACCACACCTGGCTAATTTTTGTATTTTTAATAGAGATGGGGTTTCATCATATTGTTTAGACTGGTCTCGAACTCTTGATCTCAGGTGATCCGCCCGCCTTGGCTTCCGAAAGTGCTGGGATTACAGGCGTGAGCCGCCGCGCCTGGCCCCCAGCTTTTATTTTTATTTCTTTATTTTTTATTTTTATTGATTTTTATTTTTATTTTTTGAGAGAGTCTTGCTGTGTCGCCCAGGCTGGAGTGCAGTGGCGCAATCTTGGCTCACTGCAAGCTCCGCCTCCCGGGTTCATGCCATTCTCCTGCCTCAGTCCCCCAGTAGCTGGGACTACAGGTGCCTGCCACCACGCCTGGCTAACTTTTTGTATTTTTACTAGAGATGGGGTTTCACCATGTTAGCCAGGATGGTCTCGATCTCCTGACCTCGTGATCCGCCCGCCTCAGCCTCCCAAAGTGCTGGGATTACAGGCGTGAGCCACCACGCCTGGCCGATTTTTTTTTTTAAATCACAGTTTTAGGTTTATAGAATAATTAATAGTATATGGAATTCCATACTCCCACCTACAGTTTTCCCTGTTAACATCTTGCGTTTGTTACAATTGATGAACCAACACTGGTTTCACTCTGCAGAAATTCCCTTTTAAAAACATCCTGTGTATTAGTTTCCTGGGCTAACAGAGTACTACGACCTGTGTGGGTAAAACAACCGAAATATAATCTCCCAGTTCTGGAGGCCAGAACGTCCAAGGGGAAGGCGTCGGCAGAGCTATGCTCTCTGAAGGCCCCAGGGGAGAGCCTCTTCCTGCCTTCTGCGTGGCTTCGGGTACTGCCATAGCCCTTGGCCCTCCCGGGCTCGGAGACCGTCGCTGCACTGTCTGCCACTGTCTTCCCGTGGCGTGTGTCTGTGTGTCCTCTTCCCTTGTTATAAGGATGCTGGTCATTGGATTTAGGGCTCACCCTAATTCGTTGTGACTTCAGTGTAATTCGATTATCTCTGCAACCCACCCCATTTCCAAACAAGGCCACAGTCGCAGGTACGGAGCCAGGGCTTCAGCATGTCTTCTCTTCTCGGGGACACAGTGCAGCCAGGACGCCCGTCTTGCTCTGGTCATTTTGGAATTTATCCTAGGGCATGGGTCTCCTCCCTGTGCCACAGGGCACCTGGGCTCCCTCCTGCACCCTCCGCTCTGCCCACCTGGCCACCACCCACTTGGCATCCCTCTCCCCAGGCTCCAGCAGCTCCTGCGGTCTCCCATTCTGCAGGTGCGGCCGGGAACTTCCTGTGCCCCGCTGGCGCCTTGTCCTTCAACGCCTTCAAGACCGTGATGGACATCGATACCAGCGGCACCTTCAATGTGTCTCGTGTGCTCTATGAGAAGTTCTTCCGGGTGGGTGCCTCGTGCGCTCTGTGAGAAGTTCTTCCGGGTGGGTGCCTCGTGCGCTCTGTGAGAAGTTCTTCCGGGTGGGTGCCTTGTGCGCTCTGTGAGAAGTTCTTCCGGGTGGGTGTACTCCCAGCGGGGGCCTCCCCCTGACGGCCGCCCGCTCCCTGCCCTGGGCCTCCCCATGACGGCCGCCCGCTCCCTGCCCTGGGCCTCCCCCTGACGGCCGCCCGCTCCCTGCCCCGGGCCTCCCCCTGACAGCCACCCGCTCACTGTCCTGTGACCTCCCCCGACACCCGCCCGCTCACTGCCCCGGGCCTTGTGTGTTGCAGGACCACGGAGGGGTGATCGTGAACATCACTGCCACCCTGGGGAACCGGGGGCAGGCGCTCCAGGTGCATGCAGGCTCCGCCAAGGCCGCTGTGGGTATGACCACCCCCCCCCGCCCAGGTTTGCCCACGTGGGTCCCCAATGGGCCGTCTGCTTCCATCCCAGGAGGCCAGCAGTCTCCACTTGAAGCTGAGCCCAGCTGCAGGCAGCGAGACCTGGCCTTGGCCCTGCGCCCTCGCAGAGGGCAGAGCGGCCCTTTCATATCCAACTTTCTTCTGTGCAGACGCGATGACGCGGCACTTGGCTGTGGAGTGGGGTCCCCAAAACATCCGCGTCAACAGCCTCGCCCCTGGCCCCATCAGTGGCACAGAGGGGCTCCGGCGACTGGGTAAGGCTCTCAGGGAGCCCAGGCCTCCCACAGATCCTCTCCTGGGGCACAGGGTGCCCATGAAGCTTCCAGAACCTTGGCAGGGTGTATGTTGAAAAGCCCTGTGCTGGTTCCATGGTGGCAACTATGTTCTGTGCCTGGCCTGATCCTGCTCCATGCTAGGCCTTGGTGACACTGACTGTGTCCTTGCTGTTCCCAGATGCCTCTCAGGGAATGAGCTGGGGGAGAGGGGAGGGTGCTGGGTCTTGGGGCTCACGGGGCCTGAGCCTTCTGCTGCCCTCCAGGTGGCCCTCAGGCCAGCCTGAGCACCAAGGTCACTGCCAGCCCGCTGCAGAGGCTGGGGAACAAGACCGAGATCGCCCACAGCGTGCTCTACCTGGCCAGCCCTCTGGCTTCCTACGTGACGGGGGCCGTGCTGGTGGCCGATGGCGGGGCATGGTTGACGTTCCCAAACGGTGTCAAAGGGCTGCCGGATTTCGCATCCTTCTCTGCTAAGCTCTAGGTGAGGTACTGCTCCCGCTTCTTGGGGTCATCTGTGTCCTTGGACGCTGGTCACTGCATGGGCAGGTCTCTGCGGGACCCACGGGGCTGGCGTCTCCTTTGTCCCCATCCTCCCGGCCCCTGCGCCAGCCTGCCCACACATGGGTGCTGCCCAGTGGGGCTGAGCAGGAGGCGGGCGCTGGTGTACTTGCTCTTCTGTAGCGGCCTCGGCCTCTGCCGGCATTTCTGGCAGGTGCTGGGTGGCCGAGGCAGCCGAGGTGTTTTAGGGGGAAGCCGTCCTCAGCCGGCTACTAAGTTCTGAAACTCCTGCAGGAATCTTCCGGCCGCTGCTTCCTGCCGCCTCACTCAGCCAGGTGGAGAGCACCAATCTGAACCAGCAATGCCTGCAGCCCAGCCCCTCCTCTGAACACTCAGCTATTACTGCGCTTTCCCTCCCCACGGCCCCAACTCCAGGGCAGGAGCAACTGGACAGTGGGCCTGGCCCGTGGAGCTGCCACGCAGGTGCCTGAGGGCCAGGTGCCACGCAGGTGTCTGAGGACCAGGTGCCACGCAGGTGGTGGGGGTACAGACAAGATGCTGGGATGTCCCCTGCCCCATGGTCAAGGGTGTCCTGCCTGCCTGGGTCCAGGGCCTGAGGGAGCCACATGGATCCCGAGACTTGTGTTCTCTTGGCTGAAAACACTGAGGTGCTCCCATCTGTGCGTGGCCCATGAGCTGGGATGGTCCTCCAGCTGCCCACAAGGTCCGCCCCTCTGTCTCTGCACCACCTGTTTGCATAAACACACTTTGCTACAATCTTGCTAGTGCGTTTTCTTAAAAGATAATCTATTTACTGTAAAAATAAATTGGACTTTGCAAAAGCTTTTAGAAGGAAAAGAAAGAGGATTAAAGAGAATTGCTGGTGATCCTATCGTTTAGGGGTTGTGTTTCCTTTCTGTCTTTTCTGTGATGTTTACTTATTATTAGTAGTAGTTTTGTTTTCTTTCTTTTTTTTTTTTTTTTGAGACGGCGTCTCGCTCTGTCGCCCAGGCTGGAGAGCAGTGGCGCAGTCTCGGCTCACTGCAAGCTCCGCCTCCCGGGTTCACGCCGTTCTCCTGCCGCAGCCTCCGGAGTAGCTGGGACTACAGGTGCCCACCACCACGCCTGGCTAATTTTTGTATTTTTAGTAGAGATGGGTTTTCACCTTGTTAGCCAGGATGGTCTCGATCTCCTGACCTCATGATCTGCCCGCTTTGGCCTCCCAAAGTGCTGGGATTACAGGCGTGAGCCACTGCACCTGGCTTTATTTTTTATTTTTAATTTTAATTTTTATTTTTTTATTTTTTGAGATGGAGTCTCGCTCTGTTGCCCAGGCTGGAGTGCAGTGGTGCGATCTTGGCTCACTGCAAGCTCCACCTCCCGGGTTCACGCTATTCTCCTGCCTCAGCCTCCCTAGTAGCTGGGACTACAGGCGCCCGCCCCCACGCCCGGCTAATTTTTTGTATTTTTAGTAGAGACGGGGTTTCACCATAATAGCCAGGATGGTCTCAATCTCCTGACCTTGTGATCCGCCTGCCTCGGCCTCCCAAAGTGCTGGGATTACAGGCGTGAGCCACCGCATCTGGCCTATTATTTTTTTTGAGAGTGTTTCGCTCTTGTTGCCCAGGCGGGAGTGCAGTGGTGCGATCTCAGCTCACTGCAACCTCCGCCTCCCAGGTTCAAGCGATTCTCCTGCCTCAGCTTCTCGAGTAGCTGGGATTACAGGCGCCCGCCACCATGACCGGCTAATTTTGTATTTTTAGTAGAGACGGGGTTTCACCATGTTAGCCCAGGCTGGTCTTGAACTCCCAACCTCAGGTGATCCGCCCGCCTCAGCCTCCCAAAGTGCTGGGATCACAGGCGTGAGCCACCACGCCAGGCCTTCTGTGACGTTTAGAACACTCTTCCTGCCTCATGCTGGAAGCCCCAGTCTACAGGCAGGGTGCTGCTCTCTTGGCAGAGGCCGCGTGCTCAGATGCAGCCGACACTGAATGTTGGGCCCAGGACCAGCCAGGCCACTGGTTGCCTCTCTCCTGGGTTTGGTCACTGCCACAGCTTTCCTCCTCTGTCGACATGGCCCCCAGCCCTGCTGCACGTGGGAGGTGCTGAGCAGCAGGAGGCTGGAGGGAGGTGTGTGGCTGTGCCCACCAGGGCCCCCATGGCTGCCCTCACAGGAGGGGAGCAGCTCCCATCAGGTATGCCCCTCAGCCCTGCGGTCCCCACTCTGTTCCTCCGAGCTCCCAGCTCACTGTCACACCAGACCCTGAATGTATTCAGGCTTTTACTTCCTGACAAGGAGGAAAAAAGATTTGTTTTTTGTTTTGTTTTGTTTTTGTCAGAGACAGGGTCTGGCTCTGTCAGCCAGGCTGGAGTGCAGTGGCACAAACATAACTCACTGCACCCTCCAAACTCCTGGGCTAAAGCGATCCTCCCACCTCAGCCTCCTGGGTACCTGGGACCACAGGCACACACCGCCATGCCTGGATGTTTTTTGTATTTTTTGTAGAGACAAGGTCTTGCCATGTTGCCCAGGCTGGTCTTGTTTTTTTTTTTTTTTTTTGAGATGGAGTCTCGCTCTGTCACCCAGGCTGGAGTGCAGTGGCGCCATCTCAGCTCACTGCACCCTCTGCCTCCTGGGTTCAAGTGATTCTCCTGCCTCAGCCTCCCAAGTAGCTGGGCCTACAGGTGCATGCCACCACACCCAGCTAATTTTTTGTATTTTACTAGAGACGAGGTTTCACAGTGTTGCCCAGGCTGGTCTCAAACTCCTGAGCTCAGGCAATCCACCTACCTCGTCCTCCTAAAGTGCTGGAATTAC
This sequence comes from Homo sapiens, assembly GCF_000001405.40. Lineage (NCBI taxonomy): Eukaryota > Metazoa > Chordata > Mammalia > Primates > Hominidae > Homo > Homo sapiens. The sequence goes on from NC_000016.10 coordinate 414,414, forward strand.
AGGCGTAAGCCACCACGCCCGGCTGCCCAGGCTGGTCTTGAACTCCTGGCCTCGTGTGATCTGCCCGCCTCAGGACTGCAGGCGTGAGCCACGGCGCCTGGCCGAGGTGGAGAGAAGATCTGTATATTGTAGTTGACTCCTGCCCCGTTTGGAAAATACAGTGTGGAGCTTATAACTGCTGAGTTGGCTTTTTAGGTGGCTGAGGGTTGGCCTCACCTTATGAATGTGGCCACTCCCACAGCTGCCGTGGCCTGGGAGAGGGGCTGCTTCCAGAAAATGTGTCAGCAGACCATCCATTGTGGGTTCCTGACTGGCACCGACCAGCATGGCCACGACCCACACACACCCTGTGTGCTAAGTGCTCAGCGAATTCCTTCCAGTGACTGCATGGGCTTCGGGACCCCCTCTGGTGCCAGGGAACCTGGGGAACCTCAAAGGCAGATCCTGGGTCCCTCCACAGGCTCTGAGGGAGGGATGTGGTGGAGCTCAGCGAGGAAGCTGGGATGCGGGGCCCTGGGCCGGGAGTATCTTCCCTCCTTCCCTTCCCTCCACCAGCCTCTGTGAGCCTGGGCCTGCCCTGCTGCCTCCAGATCCCAGCCCCAGCAGCCGCCTCCACAAGTCGTGGCCCAGCCACTGAAGAGAGGGACAGCATTCCTTCTGCTGGCCTCACATCCACATTCCTGAGGAAAGATGCAAGTTCACCTTTGGGGCTAGAAATCTGGCTCTTGTGCAATGAACTGTGGTAGGGCCGGGCATGGTGGCTCACGCCTGTAATCCCAGCAATTTGGGAGGCTGAGGCTGGCAAAACACTTGAGCCCAGGAGTTCAAGACCAGCCTGGGCAACAAAATGAGACTCCATCTTAATGAATAAATAAATAAATAAATAAATAAATAAATAAATAATGCCAGGCATGGTGGCTCACACCTGTAATCCCAGCATTTTGGGAGGCCAAGACGGGTGGATCAGGAGTTTGAGAGCAGCCTGGCCAATACAGTGAAACAATATAGTGAAACCCTCTCTCTACTAAAAATACAAAAATTAGCTGGGTGTGGTGGCACTCGCCTGTAATCCCAGCTACTTGGGAGGCTGAGGCGGGAGAATTGCTTGAACCTGGGAGGCGGAGCTTGCAGTGAGCTGAGATGGCAGGACTGCACTCCACCCTGGGTGACAGAGCAAGACTCCATCTCAAAAAAAAAAATTAAAAAAAGCCAGGCATGGTGGTTCAGGCCTGTAATCCTAGCACTTTGGAAGGTCAAGGTCAGTGGATCACTTGAGCCTAGAATTCAAGAGCAGCCTGGGCAACATAGCAAGACCTTGTCTCTATAAAAATAAATAAATAAAAACAAAAACCAGGCTGGGCATGGTGGCTCACGCCTGTAATCCCAATGCTTTGGGAGGCCAAGGCGGGCAGATCACCTGAGGTCAGGAATTTGAGACCAGCCTGGCCAACATGGCGAAAACCCCATCTCTACTAAAAAAATATAAAAATTAGCTGGGCATGGTGGCACGTGCCTGTAGTCCCAGCTACTCACGAGAATTGTTTGAACCCGGGAGGCAGAGGTTGTGGTGAACGGAGATTGCACCACTGCACTCCAGCCTGGGTGACAGAGCGAGACTGTGTCTCAAAATAAATAAATACAAAATAGTGCGTCGGCCAGGTGCGGTGGCTCATGCCTGTAATCCAAGCACTTTGGAAGGCCGAGGCGGGCAGATCACCCGAGGTCAGGAGTTCGAGACCAGCCTGACGGAGGCAGAGGTTGCGGTGAGCCAAGATCACGCCATTGTACTCTAGCCTGGGTGACAAGAGTGAAACTCCGTCTCAAAAAATAATAATAATTAAATAATTAAAAAATAAAGAATAAACAGTGGCTGAAGGTTGGCCTCACCTTATGAATGTGGCCACTCCAACAGACGCTGTGGGCTGGGAGAGAGGCTTCTTCTAGAAAATGTGTCAGCAGACCATCCATCACGGGTTTCTGGCTGGCACTGACCAGTGTTGCCATGACCCACACACACACCCTGCTACTAAGTTCTCAGTGAGTTCCCGAGTTCCTTCCAGTGACCGCATGGGTCTCAGGGCCGCTCTCTGGTGCCAGGGAACCTGGGAAACCTCAAAGGCAGCTGGGAGGTGCCAGACTGCACCTGACAGGTGTTTGTCCAAGCAAGAATGAGAAATATTCGCCAGAAATAAGAAGAATTACCTTTCAGCTCTTCGACCATCACGTGTAACTTGGAAAACTGTTACACAGGGAAGAGGAGAGTGATGAGAACTAGCCCTTCGCTGCTGCTTTGGAAAATGTAGAGGGGCTGAGAAACGAAGCTCTGCATAGCCTCTCCTGCTGGCTCCTCAGGGCCCCTCTGCAGGCTGCGGTTTGGCCTCAGGGAGCACTGAGGGTGCAGAACGGGGGCTCTGGAGGGCTCCAGGCCTGGTGGGAGCCAGGGCAGCCAGGCCATCCCAGGAAGACAGAGCAGGCACCGTAGCCTCATAGTGAGGTGTTAAAATAAGAAAACCATCAAAACTTGGGCTGAGTCAGGAGGAATTCAGTTGTGCCTTATACACTCATGTTCCATTTTTACTCTAAGACATGTACTTTACCAAATTTGAAGGTGAGAATACAAATTCTCCCCCACTGAATAAAATATCAGTAAACACAAGTGAGGCTCTGTGCTCTCAACTGCTGGAGGCCACAAGGGAGAGTGAGACCTGGTCCTAAAGGTGACTTCGCTCTAAGTTTATTTACTGAATATAAAATGTTAATGTAGTTTTCACAGTTGTCTGGCCAGGTGCAGTGGCTCATACCTATAATTCCAGCACTTTTGGAGGCCAAGGCGGTGGATCACTTGAGGTCAGGAGTTCGCGACCAGCCTGACCAACATGGTGAAACTCCATCTCTACTAACAATACAAAAATTAGTCGGGCGTGGTGGTGGACACCTGTAGTCCCAGCTACTCAGGAGGCTGAGGCAGGAGGATCGCTTGAACCCAGGAGGCGTAGGTTGCAGTGAGCCAAGATCGCGCCAGTGCACTCCAGCCTGGGCAACAGAGCGAGACTCCATCCCAAAAAAAAAAAAAAGTTGTCAGTTAAAAATAGTTTGCAGGCAGTTTTTGTTGATAGCTTTATGGATACACAGTTGACACAAGGCAAACCGCACATAGGTAGAGTGTGTAATTTGATGAGGCTGATGCGTCTACGTCGTGAAGCCCTCAGCACTATCCAGGCTGCACGTGTACCTGGTAATCCCTCCCTCTCACCCATCCCTACCCCTTATTTCCCAAGCGACTGCTGATTTGCTCTCTGTTGCTATTTATGTTTTTTATTTTTATTTTTTGAGATGGAGTCTCTGTCACCCAGGCTGGAGTGCCGTGGTGTGATCTCAGCTCACTGAAATCTCTGCCTCCCAGGTTGCCTCAGCCTCCCGAGTAGCTGGGACTACAGGCGTGTGCCACCACGCCAGGGTAATTTTTGTATTTTTAGTAGAGATGGGGTTTTGCCATGTTGGCCAGGCGGGTCTCATATTCCTGACTTCAAGTGATGTGCCTGCCTCGGCCTCCCGAAGTGCGGGGATTACAGCGGTGAGCCACCGCGCCTGCCTGGTGTTTGTATTTTCTAGGATTTTATGTAAGTGGAGTCATAAGGTACGCACTCTTTTTTGTCCGGCTTCTCTCACTGAACCTGATTGCTCCCAGAGTCACCTGTGATGTCGTGTGTGTCAGTAGTGAAATCCTCTTCAGGGTTGAGCCGGGCTCCGCGCCGGGTCCTCCTGGGGGTTGAGCCGTGTTCCGCAGTGTGGATGTGCCAGTTTGTTTATTCACCTGCTGATGAGTACTTGGGTTGCTTGCAGGTTTGGGCTATAACAAGTAAAGCTGCTATGAACATTTGTACAGAAGTGGGTGCATGGACACGTACTTTCATTTCTCCTAGGTACTAGGAGTGGAATGGCTGGGTCATATAAACAATGTATATTTAGTTTTATTTTTTTAATTTTTTTTTTTGAGATGGAGTCTCGCTCTGTCACCCAGGCTAGAGTGCAGTGGCGCGATCTTGGCTCACTGCAACCTCCGCCTCCTGGGTTCCAGTGATTCTCCTGCCTTAGCCTCCTGAGTAGCTGGGATTACAGGCGTGCACCACCACGCCCCGCTAAGTTTTGTATTTTTAGTAGAGACGGGGTTTCACCACTTTGGTCAGGCCGGTCTCAAACTCCTGACCTCGTGATCCACCTGCCTCAGCCTCCCAAGGTGCTGGGATTACAGGCGTGAGCCACCGCGCCCGGCCTGTATATTTAGTTATGTAAGGTATTTGCCTTATTATTCAGCCTTAAAAAAAAGGAGACATTGAGGCTAGGCACGGTGGCTCACACCTGTAATCCCAGCTGTTTGAGAGGCCAAGACGGGGCGGATCACCTGAGGTCAGGAGTTCGAGACCAGCCTGACCAATATGATGAAACCCTGTCTCTACTAAAAATACAAAAATTAGCTGGGCGTGGTAGCAGGTGCCTGTAATCCCAGCTACTCGGGAGGCTGAGACAGGAGAATCTCTTGAACCCAGGAGGCGGAGGTTTCGGTGAGCCGGGATCACACCATTGCATTCCAGCCCGGGAAACGAGCGAAACTGCCATTTGTGACAACGTGGATGAACCTGGAGGACATTATACTAAGTTTTTTTTTGAGACAGAGTCTTGCTCTGTTGCCCAGGCTGGAGTGCAGTAGCGCCACCTTGGCTCACTGCAACCTCTGCCTTCCAGGTTCAAGTGATTCTCCTGCCTCAGCCTCCCAAGTAGCTGGGACTACAGGCACCCACCACCACACCTGGCTAATTTTTTCTATTTTTAGTAGAGACAGGGTTTCGCTGTGTTAGCCAGGATGGTCTTGATCTCCTGACCTCATGATCCACCCGCCTCGGCCTCCCAAAGTGCTAGGATTACAGGTGTGAGCCACAGCGCCCAGCTGCACCCAGCTAATTTTTGTAGTTTTAGTAGAGATGGGGTTTCACCATATTGGCCAGGCTGGTCTTGATCTCCTGACCTCGTGATCCACCCACCTTGGCCTCCCAAAGTGCTGGGATTACAGGCGTGAGCCACCGCACCCGGCCTATGCTAAGTTTTTAAACGTTTTCTTACTTTAGAGAGGGAGTTTTGCCCCGTTGCCCAGGCTGGAGTGCAGGGCTATTCACAGGCACAATCACAGCTCACTACAGCTTCAAATTACTGGACTCCAGCATTATGCTAAGTGAAATAAGCCAGTCAGAGAAAGAAGACTTCATGGTCTCATTTATATGTGGAATCCAGAAAAACCTCTGGGTCTTAAGAGCTCCTCCCACCTCAGTCTCTTGAGTAGCCGGGACTACAGGTGTGCACCACCACACCTGGCTAATGTTTTTTTGTTTGTTTTTTGAACTCCTGGGCTTAAGTGATCCTCCTGCCTCAGCCTCCCAAAGTGCTGGGATTACAGGCATGACCCACTGTGCCCAGTGGAAATGAATGTTATAGATATAGTCAAAGTTGTACTTCACCCTTTCTCTTCTGTCTGTCCTCTTGAATATAATTCTTTTTTCTTTCTTTCTTTTTTTTTTTTTTTTTGAGACAGAGTCTCGCTCTGTTACCCAGGCTGGAGTGCAATGGTGTGATCTCAGCTCACTGCAACCTCCGTCTCCGGGGTTCTAGCAATTCTCCTGCCTCAGCCTCCCCAGTAGCTGGGATTACAGGCATGCGCCACCATGCCTGGCTAATTTTTTGTATTTTTGTAGAGACAGGTTTCAGTATTTTGGCCAGGCTGGTCTTGAACTCCTGACCTCAAGTGATCCACCCCATTGGCCTCCCAAAGTTGGGATTACAGGTGTGAGCCACCGCACACGGCCTCAATGTAATTCTCAAGTATGTTTAGGTATTTTTTACTACAAACGAAAGCATTTGAAAACAAGATAGGTCATTGATCATGTGTTTTTAAACTTAACAAAAATTGGCTAGGCACGTTGGCTCACGCCTGTAATCCTAGCACTTTGGGAAGCCAAGGCGGGCAGATCACCTGAGGTCAGGAGTTCCAGATCAGCCTGGCCGAGATGGTGCAACCCCGTCTCTACGAAAAATACAAAAATTAGCTGGGTGTGGTGGCGGGCACCTGTAATCCCAGCTACTCGGGAGGCTGAGGCAGGAGAATCGCTTGAACCCAGGAGATGGAGGCTGCCGTGAGCTGAGACCGTGCCACTGCACTCCGGCCTGGGCAACAAGAACAGAATTCTGTCTAAAAAAATAAATGAAAAATGGTATTACATAGCATGTACTATCAATTGTGCAGATGTGGTGCACTCACTTAAACTGCTACACTTCACAACAGACAACAGGCTCCACTGAAGCCGTTCGGCTCTTCTTCCAGAGAAGTACAAATCCCCGAAGGAAACAAGGTCTTTCCATCTCCCTGCGGACATGTGCAGTTTCTCCGGCAGGTACTGGAAGGCGGATCCCACACTGGAGTATTCCGACCTTCAGCTGCACGACTGGTGCCAAATCCCCACTCCCTGGTGTCCCCAGACTTACTCTGATTGGTGTCAAGGGCTACACTCACACATTTTCCTGGTGACCAGTGAAGATGAGCATCTTTTTCATGTGTTTACCGGCCACCTGAATTTCCTCTTCTGGAGCTGCTTATTCATATTCTTTCCTCGTTTTTCTATCGGGTTGCTGTTCGTTTACTGTTTTTTGAGAAATTCTTTTGTGTATTCTAGAAATGAATATTTTGTCCATTAAATCCATTCTAACTCTCTCTTCCCAGTTGCTACCCCAAAATTTATATATTGGAGTCCTAACGCCAACGGGATGGTATTTGGAGATGAGGTCTTTGGGAGGTATAACTTAGGGTTAGGGCCGGGCGCGGTGGCTCACGCCTGTAATCCCAGCACTTTGGGATGCCGAGGCGGGTGGATCATGAGCTCAGGAGATCGAGACCATCCTGGTTAACACGGTGAAACCCCGGCTCTAGTAAAAATACAAAACAATTAGCCAGGCATGGTGGCGGGTGCCTGTGGTCCCAGCTACTGGGGAGGCTGAGGCAGGAGAATGGCATGAATCCGGGAGGCAGAGATTGCAGTGAGCTGAGATGGCGCCATTGCACTTCAGCCTGGACGACAGAGCAAGACTCCGTCTCAAAAAAAAATAATAATAATAATAATTAGGGTTAGATACGGTCAGCAAGGTGGGGCCCTCACGATGGGAACAGTGCCCTTATTAGAAGAGACAGTCTTTTTTTTTCTTTTTTCTTTTTTTGAGACGGAGTTTCACTCTTGCTGCCCAGGCTGGAGTGCCATGGCACAATCTCGATTCACTGCAACCTCCGCCTCCCAGGTTCTAGTGATTCTCCTGCCTCAGCCTCCCAAGTAGCTGGGATTACAGGCATGCACCACCATGCCTGGCTAATTTTTTGTATTTTTAGTAGAGATGGGGTTTCACCATGGCAAGCCTGGTCTTGAACTCCTGACCTCAGGTAATCCACCCGCATCGGTCTCCCAGAGTGCTGGGATTACAGGCGTGAGGCACCGTGCCCAGCCTTATTTTTATTTTATTGTTTTCCTTGAGATGGAGTTTCCCTCTTGTTGCCCAGGCTGGAGTGCAATGGTGGGATCTTGGCTCACTGCAACCTCCACCTCCCGGGTTCAAGTATTCTCCTGCCTCAGCCTCCCAGGTAGCTGGGATTACAGGACACGCCACCACGCTCAGCTAGTTTTTGTATTTTTAGTAGAGACAGGGTTTTACCATGTTGGCCAGGCTAGTCTCGAACTCCTGACCTCAGGTTATCCACCCGCCTTGGCCTCCTAAAGTGTTGGGATTACAGGCGTGAGCCATTACGCCCGCCTTTTTTTTTTTTTTGAGATAGTCTCGCTCTGTTGCCCAGGCTGGAGTGTAGTGGCTGGATCTCAGCTCATTGCAACCTCTGCCTCCCAGGCTCAAGTGATTACCCTGTTCAGCCTCCTGAGTAGCTGGGATTACACGCACCCGCCACCGCCCCCGGATAATTTTTTTTCTTTTTTTTTGAGACAGAGTCTCACTCCATCACCCAGGCTGCAGTACAGTGGTGTGATCTTGACTCACTGCAACCTCCACCTCCCGGGTTCAAGCAATTCTTTGCCTCAGCCTCCTGAGTAGCTGGGATTACAGGTGCCCGCCACCACGGCCGGCTAATATATACATATATTTTTTAGGTGGAGTCTCGCTCTGTCGCCAGGCTGGAGTGCAGTGGTGCGATCTTCGCTCACTGCAACCTCTGCCTCCCAGGTTCAAGCGATTCTCCTCCCTCAGGCTCCCGAGTAGCTGGGACTACAGGTGGGTGCCACCACACCCGGCTAATTTTTGTATTTTTAGTAGAGACAGGGTTTCACCATGTTTGCCAGGATGTTTTCGATCTCTTGACCTTGTGATCCGCCCACCTTGCCTCCCAAAGTGCTGGGATTATAGGCTGAGCAACCGCGCCCGGCCTAAATTTTCTATTTTTTAGTAGATACGGGGTTTCACCATCTTGGCCAGGCTGGTCTTGAACTCCTGACCTCGTGATCCACCCGCCTCGGCCTCCCAAAGTGCTGGAATTACAGGCATGAGCTCCCACGCCCAGCCCAAAAGAGACAATCTTTCTCCAACATGTGAGGACAGAGTGAGAAGATGGAGGCTATGCTTTGAATGTTTATACCCTCCAAAACGCATGTTGAGGCCAAGTGTGGTGACTCATGCCAATAATCCCAGCACTTTGGGAGGCCGAGGTGGGCGGATCACTTGAGGTCAGGAGTTTGAGACCAGCTTGACCAACATGGTGAAACCCCGGTCTCTACTAAAAATACAAAAAATTAGCCGGCCTTGGTGGCATACGCCTGTAATCCCAGCTACTCAGGAGGCTGAGGTAGGGGAATCACTTGAACCCGGGAGGCGGAGGTTGCAGTGACCAGAGATCGCGCCATTGCACTCCAGCCTGGGCGACAGAGTGAGACTCCATATCAAAAAAAAAAAAAAGATAATAAGGTGCTGCAGATCTGTGGTCTCAGCTACTGGAGAGGCTGAGGTGGGAGGATCTCTCTTCTATTTTTATTTTTTATTTTGGAGACGGAGTCTTGCTCTATCATCCAGGCTGGAGTGCAATGGTGCAATCTTGGCTCGCTGCAAGCTCTGCCTCCCGGGTTCACGCCTTTCTCCTGCCTCAGCCTCCCAAATAGCTGGGACTACAGGTGCCTGCCACCACACCTGGCTAATTTTTGTTTTTTTGTATTTTTAGTAGAGACGGGGTTTCACCGTGTTAGCCAGGATGGTCTCCATTTTCTGACCTCGTGATCCGCCCGCCTCAGCCTCCCACAGTCCTGGGATTACAGGCATGAGCTACCACACCTGGCCTAAGGTGGGAGGATCTCTTGAGCCTAGGAGGTTGAGGCTGCCGTGAGCTATGGTCGCACCACTGCACTGCAGCCTGGGCAACAGAGCAAAACCCTGTCTCGGGGAAAAAAAAGAAAAGAAAAGAAAAGAAGGAACTGCTACAGCCCACAGCCTACAAAGGGGACACAGATAGTAGCTCTGAACAGCAGACGGATAGACGGGAACTTGTCCCTTTAGTCTTTCATGAACAGCCTCTAACTGGTCCAGGCAGGGAGGTGCAGGCTTCCAGGCTGTGGTTCCATGGAGGACACCAGCCGGGCACGCAATGGACGTTTTCCAGCCCTAGCACAGACAGAGCGTGCGGGCCCCTGCTCTCAGAAAGCCAGCCTTCTGCCTCTGGCAGCGCCGGCACATAAAAGCAGAGGGAGCCTGCTGTCTCTGCCTCGCCCACACTAACACCCCTATTTAGAAAGGTTGACACATCACTATCACTGCTTCTGAAAATTTTATCCGGCCGAAGGCATCAGCCCAAATTTGAATTCTTGCCAAAGCTGCTGGTGATTTCGTTCTTTGAATGCAGTATCTTCCTCATGAACACGTACAGCTCTTACAAGAAAATGAGAATACGGTTTGGGGAGGAGGATCCCTCACATTCCTTTTCCTAATGCCAGCCTCGCGAAGTCTGGTCCCATGTACCCTGGGATTCTGCCACGGAAGATGACTCACTTAATTAACACGCTGCTCCTGACCGTACACTTGGAAGCAGAGGTTCCGTTCCTTTGGTTCTTGCCAAAGCTGCTTACGAAACCATATCTTGTGTTGGTGCCCATGGTGTGTAAAAATACAAGTTCATCATTTCCCTGATACAAATTATGACAGGCTAAATTTAGTGCCTCACCTGTCCTAACTAGCTTTCCCACCATCATGCCTGCCGCCGGGCTGTGGTCCTTTCTGAGGTCCCGTGTCCCTCTGAGGACAGGGACACCCAGACACAGAGGTCAGTTGTCAGACGCGGCCACGGTGCTCGGGAGGCTGGCTGCAGACGGGCGATTCACCCTGGGTGTCTTCTTGAGTCTTATTTTTTGTAGAGACGAGGTCTCGCTTTGGTGCTCAGGCTGGTCTCAATCTCCTGGGCGCAAGCGATCCTCCCGCTTGGGCGTGGGCCAGCGCGCCCGTCCCAACGCTGGGAGTCCCGGAGATCTTGGTCACAGGCTTAAGGGAAAGGCCTAGCGCGTGGCCGCGCGTGCCTCTGGTTTCAAGGGACATGGACTGCGTGTCTGGGGCCCCTCCGCACTCCGTGTCAGACCCTGCGTCCCCCGGGTCCGCGCGGGACCCGGGCAGGGCGTCGCCCTCTGCGGCGTCTGCGCCCCGCGAACCCTGGGGCACCTGCAACCCCTGGGCCGCGGAGCCAGGCGTGCGCCGCCTCCTGGTCTCATCAACGTGAGAACGCTTTACCCCCGAAGAGCTCAGCTCCTAGGGGGCTATGTCCCTTTGCGTCTCTCGCTCGCCAGGCGGTGCCGTTTACTCGACCGCACCATGCGTGGGTAGCGGTCGCGCCCGCTGGTAGCTGTGCGGCGGGAACACGTTCTAAGTAAGGCCTGACTCCGCGCGCCTCTTGCCAGGGACGTCACGTCACGCCTCCACTCGCAGCCTCGGAGCACCCCCGCGTCCCGCGCCCGAAGCTCGGGACCCCCGCTCTGGCGAAACGAGGAATATGACATACAGCAAAACACCCCTTCGCGGCCGCTGCACTGCCGCGACACACCCGGCGCCTGCCTCTACAGCAAGCCGGCGAGGGGCTGGGACCCCGCCGGGACGTGCTGACGTCAGGCCCGACGGGGGGCGGGGCCTGGGCGGCGGCGGCGTTAGTTCTCCGGGTACCTCAGGCGCCTCAGCCTCCTTAGTCTCCTCATCCTGCTTCACAGGCTCCGCGGCCTCCGGCCTCCTCGGCCCCCGTCCCCCGGCCTCCTCGGCCCCCGTCCCCCGCCATCCGCCGCCCGGATCCTCGCCGCCCTCCCTAGGCCGCCCCGCCGCCATGGGCCTGCGCCCGCCGCGCCGCCGGGCCGAGGGCAGCTGAGGCGCGGTGCGAAGATGGGCGAGGACAGAGCAGGGCCCGAGCGCCAGCCCCAGCAGCCCGGGCGCCCCGCGCGCGCCCGCCCGCGCCGCCGAGGGGATGCCCGCGCCCGCCGCCGCGCCCTGAGCGCCTTTGTCTGCCGCCCGCGCCCTTCCGCACCACTAGCCTCTCGGGAGCATGGCGTCGGCCCCGCCGGCCTCGCCCCCGGGCTCGGAGCCGCCGGGGCCCGACCCGGAGCCGGGCGGGCCGGACGGGCCGGGGGCGGCACAACTGGCTCCGGGCCCTGCGGAGCTACGCCTCGGAGCGCCCGTCGGCGGCCCCGACCCGCAGTCCCCGGGCCTGGATGAGCCTGCGCCCGGGGCCGCTGCAGATGGCGGGGCGCGTTGGAGCGCCGGGCCGGCCCCGGGGCTGGAGGGAGGCCCGCGAGACCCCGGGCCGTCCGCCCCGCCGCCGCGCTCCGGCCCGCGGGGGCAGCTTGCGAGCCCCGACGCCCCGGGCCCAGGGCCGCGCTCCGAAGCGCCGCTTCCAGAACTCGACCCGTTGTTCTCCTGGACTGAGGAGCCCGAGGAGTGTGGCCCCGCGAGCTGCCCGGAGAGCGCGCCTTTCCGCTTGCAGGGGTCCAGCAGCAGCCACCGAGCGCGGGGCGAGGTCGACGTCTTCTCTCCCTTCCCCGCGCCCACGGCGGGCGAGCTGGCGCTGGAGCAAGGTCCCGGGTCCCCGCCGCAGCCCTCGGACCTCAGCCAGACCCACCCCCTTCCGAGCGAGCCCGTGGGGAGTCAGGAGGACGGCCCCCGCCTCCGAGCCGTGTTCGATGCCCTGGACGGGGATGGGGACGGTTTCGTCCGCATCGAGGACTTCATCCAGTTTGCTACGGTCTACGGGGCAGAGCAGGTACGGAGCGGCCCGGGCCGGGGCGTGGGAACTGGGCAGGTGCGCGCTGGCCGGCGGGGTTGATGTGGGACCGGTCGACGCTGCCCCTGGAGTCGGGAAAGGCACTGTCAAGACCTGACGGTCCTGCTTTTTCTGCTTATTCACCACTTCGGCCCTGGATTTCTGGTTGAATTGCGCTGGAGTCCCTCTTCCCTTCTTAAAAGGAGGTTCTATTCTGGGGAGTCAGTTTCTTCCCCTCCCCCCAGCGCCTCGTCAGCTGGATCTTACCGAGGTCAGCTCCTCGCCTGGGGACACCCCCCCAGGGGGCCTGATCGCCACCCCCCCAGGGTGCCTGATCGACGTGCCCCTGAATGAAGAAGTTCCCCGCGATTCCCCCACCCGAGGGCCCAGATACTGCTCGGCTGAATTCACCCAAGTTCTAGCCGCAGAGGCCAGGCTGCCCAGACGCCTTGAGATCCTACTGATAGACACCTATTTTGAGTACAATTACTTTACTGTGTGTGGTTGACATCTTTTCTACTTAGATTTCATCTTTTATTTGGGAGACAGTCAATGCTTGTAGAGAGTCCTGGAATTAAGAATTTTTACTTTGGTGCCTTTGGGGAGGAAGGCAATGAGCCTCGGAGCTTGTTGGCAAATGCAGAAGTCTAGCAGAACTCCGTTAGGGCCACGTCCACTCTCGTAGGAGAGGTGAAATGCGTGGACAGGCACTACGCACAGTACAGTGTGGAAGGGGTCCACGCGGTCCTCAGGGCACCTGCTCCTGGGGGAAAGGTGGGCCCCAAGATGCAGTTGTTCCTGTCTACCTCAGCACTTAATAAAGTTTAAGTGGAGATAACAGCAGGGCCGTGTGTGTTCTGCCAATAACCCGGTGGACATCAAATAATACCAGTGCTCACTTTTAAATATTTTACTTAGCAGGAAATCCCTAAGGTGCATCTGTCAATTTTTTGTATTTTGACTTCTCACACATGCAGACATCTGGTAAGTGGGTGTTCAAGTACATATGCATGTTTAAGCCAAGAGGTCTGTAAGAAAAGAGGTAAAATTGGCACACTGCTATTTAGGGTGTCAGTCATAACATTAAGAACCTTGATGGTCGGGCGCGGTGGCTCATGCCTGTAATCCCAGCACTTTAGGAGGCCGAGGCGGGCGGATCACGAGGTCAGGAGATTGAGACCATCCTGGCTAATATGGTGAAACCCCGTCTCCACTAAAAAATACAAAAAAATTAGTCGGGCGTGGTGGCGGGCACCTGTACTCCTAGCTACTCGGGAGGCTGAGGCAGGAGAATGGCGTGAACCCGGGAGGCGGAGCTTGCAGTGAGCGGAGATCGCGCCACTGCACTCCAGCCTGGGCGACAGAGCGAGACTTCGTCTCAAAAAAAAAAAACAGCAACAAAACAAAAAACACAGGGTCCTGATAAATCAGGGTTCCTTGCTGAGTTCACATTAAGAAGATGTGCAGACAGGTGCGTGCGGGGCAGCCTGCAATGCTCGCAAGCTTAGCTCCGGTTGGGATATTGTCAGGGTAGTTTTCCACCTACACTAATGGGCAGTGAAATATGTGACTGATACTTTCCTGTATGGTCAGCGTGGATGGTGGTTGCTGGTCCAGGTGTTTTGCTGCGTTTCCTTCTTGCCCCTGGGCTGGAGAGCACCTTGAGCTCCCTTGGTTGCTGTTGGCTACTGCGCTGTCTCTTCTCCCAAACATACTCTTGCTTCAGTACAGCAAAGAAGTTAGGAGAGTACCACATTTGCTCCTTGTTACCATAACCCAACTCTTGATAGAGAACTTCTGTGAGGCTCAGGATGTTTCCACTGGATCATACCACAGTTCTCTGAGATAGTAGGTAAGCAGGATTCATCCCCACTTTACAGGTAAGAAACTGGAAACCCAGAAAGGTCAGATAGCTCTCCCAAGGTCTCACAGGAGTAGAACTAGGTCTTTTGGCCCTTAGACCTTAGATGCCTCTTCTTAGATGTGGTGGCTCACAATATCCCTATTGTGATAATATCTTACTGACTTTCATACAATTCTTTTTATTTGAGAAACATCTTTTGTCATAACCTCCCTTAATGATCACAATGGGAAAAACTTTGTGTTGCTATTTGGGGCTGAGCTTTCTTGTCATCACAAAGTAGAAATGAGACAAAATTCTTCACTCTGAATTCCAAGAGCTCTTGATGAAATTCGAAGGTTGGGGGCAAGGGCTGGATGACTTGGGATTTGGTGAGGATGGGGAAGTGGAAGGGATCTCCTGTGGTATTACTCCTTGTCTGTTCTTCTAGACGGCTTAGGAAGAAGCAATGTTGGGTGTGATCTGAGTGCCTGGACTTGGGCCGGCTTCCTGGGATGGAGGAGAGCTCTTGATTTCTTAAAGCTAAGTTACTGTTTGGCAACAGATAATTTACAGGGTAAAGAAAGGTTGATTTTCATGTTATGTAACCCTGTAGCCATTGCTCAGTTTTAGCAGTCTTGGTTCATCTGTAAACTCACCACTCACTACCCCCAGATGATTTTTGAAGTGGGTTCCTGACATTATATCATTTCTTCCATAAATGCTTCAGTATATATTTCCAAAAGATACCGATTCTTTTAAAGACATTAATGATTTTTTTAAAAACGCTAGGGAACAGTTCAGATTAACTGGATAACAGCAATAAAGGTCATAAGTTTTTGTACTTTCTACCTTGAGATTTCAAAATATTGAGCACATGAGAGACTCTTAGTCCAGTCACATTACTGTCCTTGATGATAACAACTAGATTATCTTAATTTTTTTTTTTTTTTGAGATGGAGTCTCGCCTGCTCTGTCGCCCAGGCTGGAGTGCAATGGTGTGATCTCGGCTCACTGCAACCTCTGCCTCCCGGGTTCAAGCGATTCTCCTGCTTCAGCCTCCCGAGTAGCTGGGATTACCGGTGCCCGTCACCACACCTGGCTATTTTTTGTATTTTTAGTAGAGACGGTTTTGCCATGTTGGCCAGGCTGGTCTTGAACTCTTGACCTCAGGTGATCCACCCGCCTCGGCCTCCCAAAGTGCTGGGATTACAGGCATGAGCCACTGTGCCCGGCCAAGTATCTTAATTTTTATCAAATTTTCAGAGGTAGCATATTGAGTATCTTCTATGTAATCTGTTTATGAAGGTAGCATTTTAAATTATTTAAATGGATTATCTGAATTTTTAATAGAAGCAGCTCCTGTTTATAATACAGATGGCTTTTGTGTCCCTGTTTCTTTAGCAATGTCATGGTGTGTTTGGATCTAATTACGTCATCTGGTGATAGATCAGGTGTAGTGTAATATAACACAGTGTTGTGTTAGCAGAAATCAGCACATGAAAGGAGCAAGTGGAGCTTTCTGGTTATATTTTTTTGAAACAGGAATTTATAGTCAGATGTGTCCAGGAATTAGGTATGAAGTTGGAATAGGTGATTTTTAAGGCTTCAACCATCTCTGGAGATTGACATGACCCCTTCATACTGAGAGGACTGATGCTTTTGTATTTACTGCCACCTATCATGAAGCAGAGATTGTAAAATAAATTCTAAGAGTGTTGTGAGAAAGGATTACTTTAATTTTGTTTTGTTTTTAAAGATTATAACTGTAATTTACATGTTATTTTTACAGTCACTTAAGCAGTTGCGTTTTAATAGCCACTGATTCTTTTCAGAGAATGTCCTTCAGTAACCTTGGTAGGCATTGTCTGTCTTCAGTACTTGCAGAAATAGGCTGCCGAAGGAAGTGTCGATGCTCAGATCTCCCTACGTTTTTTTATTCCTGCACCGCTAATGGTGGCAGTAGGAAGTTCCTAGGGACATTTGACTGCACCTTTTTGTTCGTTTGTTTTGAGACAGGATCTCACTCTGTCACCCAGTCTGAAGTGCAGTGGCAAGATCTCAGCTCACTGCAACCTCCACCTCCTGGGCTCAAGCAGTCCTCTCATCTTAGCCTCCTGAGTAGCTGGGACTATAGGCAGGCATGACCATGCTCCGCTAATTTAAAAAAATTGGCTGGGTGCAGTGGCTCACGCCTGTAATCCCAGCATTTTGGGAGGCTGAGGCGGGCAGATCATGAGGTCAGGAGACGGTGAAACCCCGTCTCTACTAAAAATACAAACATTTTTAAAAATTATTTTTGTAGAGATGAAGTATAGTATAGTGATACTGCCCAGGCATATTATTGAACTCCCAGGCTCAAGCGACCGTCCTCGGGCCTCAGCCTCTCAAAGTTCTGGGATTGCAGGCATGAGCCGTAGCGCCCAGCCTGGCATCGCCTTTTATTTGCCCTGTATCATTTCCAGTCTCTTAGCCTTGAATTTGAGTGAAAGTGTGTGTGAATGAGAGTGAGCATGTGTGTGTGTGAGCAGTTACATATGTGAGCTGGTGTGTGTGTGTGTAATATGTGTGTGCGGTGAGATGTGTGGGAGCATGTGTCTGCAGGATCAGGGATGTGTGTATGTGGGAGTGGGATATTTGTGTGTAAGTGGCATATTATGTATGTGTGTGAGCAGGTGAGTGTATGTATTCTGGGTCTACATGCTGACTGAATTGCTGAAAGGCAAATGAAGCTTGGGTTGTATAAAACAGAAAATGACCAATAATCCCACTATCCTGAGAAAAATAACATTCCCATTATTTTACTACATTTCTTTTCAGACTTTTTTTTTTTTTTTGAAATAGAGTCTTGCTCTCTTGCCCATGCTGGAGTGCAGTGGCACAATCTCAGTTCACTGCAACCTCCACCACGTGGGTTCAAGCGATTGTCTTGCCTGAGTCTCCTGAGTAGCTTGGACTACAGGCGTGCAACGCCTGGCTAATTTTTATATTTTTAGTAGAGACGGGGTTTCGCCGTGTTGACTAGGCTGGTCTCGAACACCAGACCTCAAGTGATCCACCTGCCTCAGCCTCCCAAAGTGTTGGGATTACAGATGTGAGCCACCGCACCTGGCCCAGACCTTTTTTAACACAGACATAGACACACAGGTGACTGTCTATAAAAGTACACAATTGAGATCATATTGGGGTAGAAGCTAAATTTTTTTTTTTTTTTGAGATGGAGTCTCGCTCTGTCACCCAGGCTGGAGTGCAGTGGCGTGATCTTGGCTCGCTGCAAGCTCCGCCTCCCGGGTTTATGCCATTCTCCTGCCTCAGCCTCCTGAGTAGCTGGGACTACAGGCGCCCGCCACCCCTCCCGGCTAATTTTTTTGTATTTTTATTAGAGATGAGGTTTCACCGTGTTAGCCAGTATGGTCTTGATCTCCTGACCGCATGATCCGCCCACCTCGGCCTCCCAAAGTGCTGGGATGATAGGCATGAGCTATGGCGCCCAGTGAAGCTAAATTATTTTTATAGATGTTCATTGTTTTAAAAGAAACTGGCCTGGCGCGGTAACTCACACCTGTCATCCCAACACTTTGGGAGGCCAAGGCGGGTGGATCATCTGAGATCAGGAGACCAGCCTGGCCAACATGGTGAAACCCCATCTCTACTAAAAATACAAAAATTAGCTGGGTGTGGTGGTAGGCGCCTATAATCCCAGGTACTTCAGAGGTCGAGGCAGGAGAATCGCTTGAACCTGGGAGGCAGAGGTTGCAGTGAGCTGAGATCTTGCCATTGCACTCCAGCCTGGACGACAAGGGTGAAACTGTCTCGAAAAACTAAAAAGAAACTAAAACTAGTAGGTAAAATACTAGTAGATAAAATAAGAAAAATAAGGAGCCCTTGTAATCCCCCCATCCATTAATATCATTAAGAGATAATTAAATATTTAATATGTAAATTAAAATGTATGTAATACATACTTGATTATAGATAAATGTTATAATTTGCATGCATGTTGCTTTGAATCTGCTTTTTGACCTGGTTTTTTTTTTTTTTTTGTGTGTGTGTGTGTGTGACAGGGTCTCGCTCTGTGGCCCAGGCTGGAGTTCAGTGGTACGATCTCGGCTCAGTGCAGTCTCTGCCTCCCGGGTTCAAGCAATTCTCCTGCCTCAGACTCCCTCAGCCACTTAGCTGGGATTACAGGCGCCTGCCACCACTCCGGCTAAATTTTTGTATTTTTAATAGAGATGGGGTTTTGTCACGTTGGCCAGGCTGGTCTCAAACTCTTGACCTCGTGATCCACCCGCCTTGGCCTCCCAAAGTGCTGGGATTACAGGCATGAGCCATTGCCCCTAGCCTGAGCTGTTTCTTTTTAATTGATAGAAATATTTGTACATATTCATGGGATGGGTACATGTGGTATTTTGTTACAGGCATACACTGTAATGATCAAGTTGGGGTGTCTGTCACCTCCATATTTATCTTTTTTTTTTTTTTTTTTTTTTTGAGACATAGTCTCTGTCTCTTGCCCAGGCTGGAGTGCAGTGGCGCGATCTCAGCTCGCTGCAAGCTCTGCCTCCCGGGTTGATGCCATTCTCCTGCCTCAGCCTCCTGATAGCTGGGATTACAGGTACATGCCAGCATGCCCAGCTAATTTTTGTATTTTTACTAGAGACAGGGTTTCACCATGTTGGCCAGGCTGGTCTCGAACTCCTGACCTGGTGATCCGCCCACCTGGGCCTCCCAAAGTACTGGGATTACAGGCGTGAGCCACCGCTCATTGCATATTTCTAACCATTAACCGTGCTCTTTACCCTCCTGATGCTTCCCAGCCTCTGATATCAATCGCTCTATTCTCTACCTCCATTAGATCCACTTTTCTAGCTCCCACATAAGAGTAAAAACGTGATATTTGTCTTTCTCTGCCTGTCTTACTTGACTTCACATAATGACCTCCATTTCCTTCCACGTTGCTGCAAATGACATGATTTCATTTTTTTACGTGGCCAAATAGTACTCCAGGCCGGATGCGGTGGCTCACGCCTGTAATCTCAGCACTTTGGAAGGCCAAGGCGGGCGGATCACGAGGTCAGGAGATCGAGACCATCCTAGCTAACACGGTGAAACCCTGTCTCTACTAAAAATACAAAAAAAAAAAAAATTAGCTGGGTGTGGTTGCGGGCGCCTGTAGACCCACCTACTTGGGAGGCTGAGGCAGGAGAATGGCGTGAACCTGGGAGGTGGAGCTTGCAGTGAGCCGAGATCGTGCCACTGCACTCCAGTCTGGGTGACAGAGCGAGACTCTGTCTCAAAAAAAAAAAAAAAAAGTACTCCATTGTGTATCTATATTACATTTTCTTTATCCATTCAACTGTTGATGGACACTTAGATTGATTCCATATCTTTGCTATTGAGAACAGTGCTGCAGTAAACATGGGGTGCAGGCATCCCTGTGGTATATGGATTTCCTTTCCTTTGGATAAATCTCAGTAGTGGGATTGCTGGATTGTATAGTAGTTGACCTAAATTTTTTGAAATTGAAGGTCTCTGATATCAGATGTATATTTATTTATTTAAAAATTTCTTTATTTTTTGAGACAGAGTTCACTATTGTTGGCTAGGCTGGAGTGCAATGGCACGATTTTAGGTCACTGCAACCTTCGCCTCCTGGGTTCAAGCAATTCTCCTGCCTCAGCCTCCTTAGTAGCTGGGATTACAAGCATGTGCCACCATGCTCGGCTAATTTTTTGTATTTTTAGTAGAGGCGGGGTTTCGCCATGTTAGCCCAGGCTGGTCTCGCGCTCCTGACCTCAAGTGATCTGCGTGCCGCAGCCTCCCAAAGTGCTGGGATTACAAGCGTGAGCCACTGCACCCTGCCAGATGTATACTTTATTTTTTTGATATAGAGTCTCACTCTGTTGCCCAGGCTGGAGTGCAGTGGTGCAATCACTGGTCACTGCAGCCTTGACCTCCCAGGCTCAGGTGGTCCTCCCATCTCAGCCTCCCAGGTAGCTGGGACTACAGGTACGTGTTACCACACCTGCCTAATTTTTCTATTTTTTATAGAGACAGGGTTTTGCCATGTTGATCTCCAACTCCTGGGCTCAAGTGATCTTCCCACCTTGGCCTCCCAAAGTGCTAGGATTACAAGCATGAGCCACTGGCCTGGCAGATGTATACTTTAATGGAAACCTAAGGTTTACTTGTCCCCAGGAAGATTCAGAATTGTTAAGGATGGCCGGACGCAGTGGCTCACACCTGTAATCCCAGCACTTTGGGAAGCCGAGGTGGGCAGATCACTTGATGTCAGGAGTTTAAGACCAGCTGGCCAACATGGTAAAATCTAAAGTCTACTGTCTACTAAAAATACAAGAATTAGACCAGGCGCGGTGGCTCACGCCTGTAATCCCAGCACTTTGGGAGGCCAAGGCAGGTGGATCACGAGGTCAAGAGATCGAGACTAGCCTAACCAACATGGTGAAACCCCGTCTCTACGAAAAATACAAAAAATTAGCCGGGCGTAGTGGCGGGTGCCTATAGTCCCAGCTACTCGGGAGGCTGAGGCAGGAGAATTGCTTGAAGCTCAGAGGTGGAGGTTGCAGTGAGTCGAGATCTTGCCACTGCACTCCAGCCTGGGCGACAGAGCGAGACTCCGTCTCAAAAAAAAAAAAAAAAAGTTAAGGACTATTCTGGTTCCAGTTTAGGATCTAACATACAGGAAGAGTTTAGTTCTGTGTAGATGGTGCAGACAAGGTTGTTAAGGGCACCAGGCTTATGGATTGCTTCTCTTCCAAGCACTTATTTTGTTTAAATTCTGGAAACATTCAATGTAAACATTAGTTATATCAGACAAAAGGATTAGGCATCCACTTAAGTCTATTATGTAGCTCATAAAAGTGGTAATTATAAAGGCTCCAAATTTACTTAGATTAGCACTTCTAAGTTATTATGATAGAGTGATGTACTAAATATACATCACACTTACAACCAGGTAGAATTGAAAGAAGTTTTGAAGAAATATTAAAAGTGCTTTTAGTTTTGTGTTGGGAGATATGAGTGTGTAGGAGAGGGCGTATGGTGGGAAGGGTTTTATTTGAGGTATTGGCTATATTTCCTGTTGTGTTACTGATTTTGATTATTTTGAAAAGTAGTGCCTTTGCACATAGCATAGAGTTCAAACAGTACAGAAGGGAATCTAGTAAAAAAAATCATTACAGTTGGTAGAAATAAAAAAATTTAAGTAAACCCTAAAGATAAAATATTTACATACTTTGACTTCATTAAGGTTCATATAAAATATACAAAATACATCTAAAGAAACTTGGATTTTCTAGTAAATTAAAGAACTAGATAGAACATTGAATTTGCATCTGCAGATGCTTTATGAAGATGGGCTATTTTTACTGATATTTGGAGAAATGCATATTAGAAAATGCCTGTAATTCCTGCTTCTTGGAGAAGGAAAAAAAGAGATGGGATCATTGGCCAGGCACGGTGACTCACACCTGTAATCCCAGCACTTTGGGAGGCCGACGCCGGCGACTCACAAGGTCAGGAGTTCGAGACCAGCCTGGCTAACATGGTGAAACCCTGTCCCTGCTAAAAGTACAAAAAATTAGCCGGGCGTGGTGGCAGGCGCCTGTAATTCCAGCTACTCGGGGGTTGAGGCAGGAGAATTGCTTGAATCCGAGAGGCGGAGGTTACAGTGAGCCAAGATCGCGCCACCGCACTCCAGCCCAGGCGAAAGTGCAAGACTGTGTCTCAAAGAAGAAGAAAAGAGATGGGATCTCAATTTGTTGTCTAGGCTGGAGTGCAGTGGTGTGATCATGGTTCACTGCAGCCTTGAAGTCCTGGGGTGGGTTCAAGGGATTCTCCCACCTCAGCCTCCAGGGGCATGCCCCCACACCCAGCCAATGTTTCATTTATTTATTTATTTATTTGTTTATTTATTTTTGAGACAGGGTTTGGCCCTGTTGCCCAGGGTGGAGTGCAGTGGCATGATCTGAGCTCACTGCAAGCTCCACCTCCCAGGTTCAAGAGATTCTCCTGCCTCAGCCTCCTGAGTAGCTGGGACTATAAATGCCTGCCAGCACACCCAGCTAACTTTTGTGTTTTTTGTAGAGGCGAGGTTTTGCCATGTTGTTAGCCTGCTAAGCTCAAAGGATCTGCCCACCTCGGCGTCCGAAAGTGCTGGGATTACAGATATGAGCTACCGCGCCCAGCCTTATTTTTATTTTTCGTAGAGACGAGTTCTCACTGTTACCCGGATGAACCCCTGGCCTCAAGCAGTCCTCCTAGTGTTGAGATTATGGGCGTAACCATCTTGCTAGGCCAACAAATTCTTAGTGACAGAATTATAGCTAGATAGGAAGAATAAGTCCTAGTGTTCTATATCACTGTAGGATGACTGTAGTTAATAATCTGTTTTTCCTAATAGCTAGAAGGAGGAGTCGGGTGCAGTGGCTCACACTTGTAATCCCAGCACTTTGAGAGGCTGGGGAGGGTGAATCACCTGAGGTCAGGAGTTGGAGACCAGCCTGGACAACATGATACAAAACCCTGTCCCTACTAAAAATACAAAAATTAGCTGGGTGTGGTGGCGGGCACCTATAGTCCCAGCTACTGGGGAGGCTAAGGCAGGAGAATCGTTTGAACCTGGGAGGCGGGGGTTGCAGTGAGGCAAGATCGCGCCACTGCACTCCAGCCTGGGCGACAGAGGGAGACTCTGTCTCAGAAAAAAAGGCTAGATGTGGTGGCTCATGCCTGTAATCCTAGCACTTTGGGAGGCCGAGGCGGGCGGATCACCTGAGGTCAGGATTTCTAGACCAGTGTGGCCAACATGGTGAAACCCCATCTCTAATAAAAATACAAAAAATTAGCCAGGTGTGGTGGTGCGTGCCTGTAGTCCCAGCTACTCAGGAGGCTGAGGCAGGAGAATCACTTGAACCTGGGAGGCGGAGGTTGCAGTGAGCTGAGATAGTGCCATTGCGCTCCAGCCTGGACAACAAGGGTGAAACTCCATCTCAAAAAAAAAAAAAAAAAAAAAAGTCAGATGGATATTGAATCTCCCAACCCAAAGAAGTGATAAATGTTGAAGATGAGAGACGTGCCAAGTACACTGAACTGATAACTATATGTTATAGACATCAGAACATCACTGTGCAGCCACGAGCGCGCAAGACTGTTATGTCATTTAATCAAATAAAGTGAAAAATTCTTAATGAAAAGAATTGTACTAATTGCATTGTAATTATTATTATTTTTTGAGACAGTGTCTCGCTCTGTTGCCCAGGCTGGAGTGCAATGGCACGATCTTGGCTCATTCTTGGCCCATACCCACTGCAACCTCTGCCTCCTGGGTTCAAGTGATTCTCCTGCCTTAGTCTCCCGAGTAGCTGGGATTAAAGGCTCGTGCCAGCACACCTGCTTAATTTTTATATTTTTAGTAGAGATGGGGTTTCACATATTGGCCAGGCTGGCCTTGAACTCCTGACCTTAAGTGATCCACCCACCTTGGCCTCCCAAAGTGCTGGGATTACAGGCATCAGCCACTGCGCCTGGCCTTCCCCCACCTCCTCCTGAGATGGAGTCTTCCTCTGTCACCCAGGCTGGAGTGTAGTGGTGTGATATCCACTTACTGCAACCTCCGCCTCTCAGGTTCAAGCAATTCTCCTGCCTTAGCCTCCTGAGTAGCTGGGATTACAGGCACGTACCACCATGCCCGGCTACTTTTTGTATTCTTAGTAGAGATGGGGTTTCACTATGTTGGCCAGGCTGGTCTTGAACTGTTGACCTAGTGATCTGCCCACCTCGGCCTCCCAGAGGGCTGGGATTACAGGCATGAGCCGCTGCGTCCGGCTTTTTTTTTTTTTTTTTTTGAGACAGAGTCTTGTTCTGTCACCCAGGCTGGAGTGCAGTGGCACTATCTCAGCTCACTGCAACCTCCGCTTCCAGGGTTCAAGTAATTCTCCTGCCTCAGCCTCACGAGTAGCTGGGACTACAGGTGCACGCCACCACGCCTGGCTAATTTTTGTATGTTCATATTGGCCAGGCTGGTCTGGAACTCCTGACCTTGGGATCTGTCTGCCTTGGGCTCCCAAACTGCTGGGATTACAGGCATGAGCCAATGTGTCTGGCCTTTTAAATTTTTTTTTTTTTTTCCTGAGATGGAATTTCGCTCTAACACCAGGCTGGAGTGCGGTGGCGCGATCTCAGCTCACTGCAACCTCCGCCTCCCAGGTTCAAGTGATTCTCCTGTCTTAGCCTCCCAAGTAGCTGGGACTACTGGCACGCGCCACCACGCCCAGCTAATTTTTGTATTTTTAGCAGAGACGGGGTTTCACTATATTGGCCAGGATGGTCTCCATGTCTTGACCTTGTGATCCGCCCGCCTTGGCACCCAAAGTGCTGGGATTATAGGCGTGAACCGCCGCGCCCGGCTAAAACATTCTTTAAAGAGATAGGGCCTTGCTCTGTCACCCAGGTAGGAGTGCACTGGTGCCATCACAACTCACTGCAGCCTTGAACTCCTGGGCTCAAGTGATCCTCCCGCCTTAGCCTCCTCTTCGTAGCTGGCACTACAGGTGTGCACCACTGTACTTGGCTTTCAAAAGTTCTTGAGACTAACAGGCTAGGAAAAATGGATTCAGTGTCATGATTAGGGAGGAAAATAAATTCTTTAAGTAGGTACAGTTCTATTTTTGTGTCCAGATATTTCATGCTTGTATCTGTCCGTCTGTCTTTCTGTCTGTTCATGGCTAGTCAAGTGAAGCAGTGGGAATGGAGAAGGACCAAAGCAACCCGTAACGATTGTGATCAGTTAGTTGTAAACACCACTGCACTAGGACCAGCTCATCTTGTTTTAGCAAATTGGTATTACTCTGGTTACCATCTTGTGATATTCTTGTGTTTATCATAAGTTTCAAAACAGGGCTCATGTTGAGCCAGTGTCCTGTGTGTGCCACTAAAACCGGCGTCCTAGCTCTTCAGCCTTTAGGTCTCCTGATGGCTGTGGACCCACAAAATCTGAGACAGATCTCAGTTAGTTTAGAATGTTTATTTTGCCATGGTTGAGGATGCACACCCGTGACACAGCCTCAGGTACTCCTGATGACATGTGCCCAAGGTGACTGGGGCACAGCTTGGTTTTATGCATTTTAGGGAGACATGAGACATCAATCAATATATGAAAGAAGTACATTGGTTCATTCTGGAAAGGTGGGACAACTCCAAGCAAAGGCAGGAAGACATGAAGCAGGGAGGGGCTTCCAGGTCACAGATAGGTGAGAGACAAACAGTTGCATTCTTTTTTTTTTTTGAGACGGGGTCTCGCTCTGTTGCCCAGCTGGAGTGTGGTGGTGCAATCGCGGATCAGTGCACCCTCTGCCTCCTGGTTTCAAGCAATTCTCCTGCCTCAGCCTCCTGAGTAGCTGGGACTACAGGTGCCTGCCTCGTCTGGCTAATTTTTTGTATTTTTAGTAGACACGGGGTTTCACTGTGTTAGCCAGGATGGTCTCGATCTCCTGACCTCATGATCCGCCCCCCCCATCGGCCTCCCAAAGTGCTGGGATTACAGGCGTGAGCCACCGCGCCCGGCCTTCTTGGTTGATTAATATTTATTTCTTTACTTTTATTTTCTTTTGAGACAGGGTCTCATTCTGTGCCTTATAGTTGCATAAAATGGAAATGTTTCTGGACATTTCTGGACAATAAATTTCTGTGTTCCTTTTTCTTTTTATTAAAGATTTACTAATTTTTGTATTTTTAGTAGAGATGGGGTTTCGCCATGTTTCCCAGGTTGTTCTCCAACTCCTGAGCTCAAGTGATCCGCCCACCTTGGCCTTCCAAAGTGCTGGGATTACAGGCATGAGCCACCTCGCTCAGCCCCTCTGCTGTCGTCCCTTCCCTGGGATCAGTGGCCCAAAGTCCAAGGGAGGCTCTTGCTCTGCCTACCTTCCCCCTTTTCTCCTACCTGGTGGGCATTCTCAGCTAGGCCTGGCCAGCTGGCATCTTAATTTCCTGAAGGGATTTTCTCTTTGCTGAAAGATCCCCTTGCTTTGCTGGCCGTGTCCTGCCTACTGTTTCTTAGGTCAGTGATGCATCTTCCTCACAAAGATGTTCAAAATACACAGATGCTTTTATCCCTTATGGGAAGGAAGACTTCTGAAAATGCTGTGTGATGAATCTGGGAATGTTAGTTCTGGAGACCAGCCATGCTGGGGGATCAGGAAGGCATCCCTGCCATCCCTGCTGGTTCAGCTGCAGCTGTGCCTGCGGGCAGGAAGTGAAGAGGTGAGAACAGGTGCTGGCACAGGCCCGCCTGGCTGCCCTCTTCCCACCCTCTTGCTCCTTCAGCCCTCCTCCAGAACACAGGAAGGTCAGCTGAGTCCATTTTTCTTTTTTTTTTTTTTATTGAGACGGAGTCTCGCTTTGTCGCCCAGGGTGGAGTGCATTGGTGCAATCTCGGCTCACTGCAACCTCCAGCTCCCAGGTTCAAGCGATTCTCCCGCGTCTGCCTCCCGAGTAGCTGGGATGACAGGTACCTGCCACCACGCCTGGCTAATTTTTTTGTATTTTTATTAGAGACGGGTTTCACCATGTTGGTCAGGCTGGTCTTGAACTTCTTACCTCAGGTGATCCACCTGCCTCAGCCTCGCAGAGTGCTGGGATTATAGGCCACCGTCGCCATCGCGCCTGGCCCTATTTTTCTTCAAGCCTGTTCCTGATCACTCAGTAACCTGGTATTCCCACTCACTCAGTAGCCTGATGTTCCTGATCCCTAAGTCGTGCGTATCCACGATTAAACAAACCCATGCTCTAGGAGTACACAGCAGGGGACATGAGGTCTTCCCATCACTGTCGACCTCTGGCATGTTCTCACGGGGGGTGAGTTTTCCCCTCTGTGTCACCCTCCAGTAAGTCCTGCCGATTCATTCAAAGCCCCACCTGTAGACCAGTGATGAAAATTAATTATTTGAAGTATCCTGTAACAGTCATAAAATAATCGCTATGCTGGGTACTCTGTCGTTGCCTCTCTAAATTGATCTCACGCACGCGGACCCTAATGTGCACAGGGACTAGCCTGGAGTTGGTGCCAGCTGCTCCTCTGGCTGGAGCCCTCTGCCCCATGCTGCTCCTTTCTTGGTCATGCAGCAAACACACATTTGTGTTCCCACACCAGGCACCCTTCCTTCTGTGACATAATAACAGCCTTTGAGTGACTGATACTTTTGATTTGTCTGCCTAGAGAAGGAATTCCACAACTCTTGAACTATGAAGTTCTCTAATCATGCTTTTTTGTTTGTTTGTTTTGAGACGGAGTCTCGCTCTCTCGTCCAGGCTGGAGTGCAGTGGCACCATGTTGGCTCACTGTAAGCGCCACCTCCCAGGTTCACGCCATTCTCCTGCCTCAGCCTCCCGAGTAGCTGGGACTACAGGCACCCGCCACCACGCCTGGCTAATTTTTTGTATTTTTAGTAGAGACGGGGTTTCACCGTGTTAGCCAGGGTGGTCTCGTCTCCTGACCTCGTGATCCGCCCACTTCGGCCTCCCAAAGTGCTGGGATTACAGGCATGAGCCACCGCGCCTGGCCTCATGCTGTTTTTTTAAGAAACGGGGTCTCACTGTGTTGCCCAGGCCGGAGCGCAGTGGCTGTTTATAGGCTCTGTCACAGTCACTGCACCCTCCAGCTCCTGGGCAGTCCTCCTGCCTCAGCTTCCTGCGTAGGTGGGACTCCTGGCCCATGCCACTGCACCCAGCTTATGATGCTGGTTTTTGAAATGGGGTTGCTATTCCCATGGTGAGTGTCTTGGGGGAGTTTGGGCATGGTAGTTGGAGTTATAAATTCAACTGAGGTCTTTTGTTTCATTCTGGAGCGTTATTAGAACCCTCGTGAAGGGGGTTGCTATTTCAGGAGGAGCTGCAATGGCCAACCAGGAGTGTGCTGGTCTCCTTTCTGGTCTTCCTCCCGCTCAGCCGGGCTGCCGCTTCTGGTGTCTGGTTGCTTCCATGGTTCTCTACTTCTGAAGTGGCAATCCAGGGTGGTCAGGCAGGGGTGAATTGTCTTTCGGTGTCATGCTACTTTTTTTCTGACGTAGTGGCAGTGTCTGCTGAGTCGTCCCAAAGCACAGAGATGTGATTTGCAGAAGGTATGTTGTGTCTTCGTGGGCAGGAGCTGGAGCTCCACCCTGTTGCTTTAGCAGGCGGCCTTTGACCAATTAAGAGAGCAGGTCTTTCTTGTTGGCGTAACTCTCCTGAGGGTCACAACAGGCTCCGTGCTAGAGCGGTCATCTCTGCAGATGTTTCTTCCTCTCTTCTACCACTCTCACCCCTTATTTTTTTCCCGCTTGTTTACAAAGTTTTATTTCATTCCAACATCGGGTGGGTTGGTTTACTTTACTAAAATCCAAGAAAAACAAGGCTGACGTTTTTGCTGTTGGAAATGAAAAGCCCTTTTATGAGAAAGTCCATCCCCGTCAGCATGGCTTATTCTGTCTGGTGAGGAGAGAAGAAGCCATGAAGACATTTCCTCTTGGTGATTTAATTTTTAAGAACCCTCTTCAGGAAGCCAGCCCTGTGATGCATTTTAAGAGAAATACCAGTTAGTGAGGTTTCATCAGCACTGAGGAACACTTGGCTCTCTCTTGCAGACTAAGAAATACCAAGCAGGAGGAGTCTTGGCATTTGGAACGGGTAAATCAAGAACCTGCTCTTGTTGGCTTGCGAGTGCCTTTAAAGCGAAAGCAAGAAGCTTAGAAGGAAAACGTCACAGATCATGCACGCTTAAAATAAAAACATGCAAAAGAAGTAAATAAAAATAATAACTTGCAAATAAAGGAGAAAATAAAAACCCCATCCAGCACCGTGAATCTTTTCAGCCTTCTGGCTTTTAAATTTTTCTTTGTATAGGACAGTTAAACAAAACCAGAGTCATAATTGACCATTTTAACCTAGTTTAAGTCAACATATTGTTACCACCTCTCGATATCAGTACATCTGCTTCTGCAGCATGATCTTTGGTGGTGGTGGTTGTTGTTGTTGAGAGGGAGTCTCGCTCTGTCGCCCAGGCTGGAGTGCAGTGGCGCGATCTTGGCTCACTGCAACCTCTGCCTCCCAGGTTCAAGCGATTCTCCTGCCTCAGCCTCCCGAATAGCTGGGACTACAGGCGCCCGCTACCACGCCCGGCTAATTTTTGTACTTTTAGTAGAGACGGGGTTTCACCATGTTAGCCAGGATGATCTAGATCTCCTGACCTTGTGATCCGCCCGCCTTGGCCTCCCAAAGTGCTGGGATTACAGGCATGAGCCATCGCGCCCGGCCTGGATATGTAGGGTTTAAAGCATTTAAGAAAATATTTTCCGTCACCAAATTGTCTTCCAGAAAAGTATTGCCAATCTGATACAGGAAGAATGGCATATCAACGGAGTTTCAGTTTGTATTTCCTGGAGTGTATTTGAGCTGATGTTCCTCTGCATGTTAATAAACAAGTGTTTTCGTTCTTGTGCGTGTCTGTGTTGTGGTGTGGGTGTTCTCCACCCTGAGGCCTCTCTTTCTCAACCTGTGCATGGAGGTTGGCCGAGGCAGCCTCTGAAGTACATGGAGCCCTGGACAGCGCCCTGAGTTTCTGTAGGGTTTCTTTCTTTTGTGGTATTATCCTTTCTTACGAGTTTCAGATATAGGCCATCAGTCTGCGTCATTCAGTAAGGAATAAAGAACATGGAAATGCCTACTTTTCACTACCTTTGTTCCGGTGTGACGTTCTCCTTGTAAAGGGCAGAGGGTAGTAGACTAAGGCAGGCAGCAGCAGGACGGTGCTGAGAACGGCTCTGAAGAGTCTCTCTTTTGTGCTGACTTAAAAGTTTTCTCTACTGTTGGATGATCTCTTGATAATTAAAAAAGAAATTATGATACTGATAGCTGTTCGGCCTGCAGAATAAAGCTGCAGTTACTTCATTCAGCAAGGTCTCAGGCTCCTAATTTTAGAGCTCCTAGAATTTTGTAGTCCTCTCAAGATTGGGTTCTGGCCAGGTGCCATGGCTCACGCCTATAATCCCAGCACTCTGGGAGGCTGAGGCAGGTGTTTTACTTGAGGTCAGGAGTTCGAAACCAGCCTGGGCAACACAGCGAGACCCTGTCTCTATTAAAAAAGATTGGGTTCAGGCCGGGTGCAGTGGCTCATGCATGTAATCCAAGCACTTTGGGAGACCCAGGCAGGCAGATCACTTGAGGTCAGGAGTTCGAGACCAGCCTGGCCAACATAGCGAGACTATCTCTATTAAAAAAGACTGGAGCCTGGTGCGGTGGCTCACGCCTGTAATCCCAGCACTTCGGGAGGCCAAGGCAGGTGGAATACGAAGTCAGGGGACCGAGCCCATGCTGGCTAACATGGTGAAACCCTGTCTCTACTAAAAATACAAAAAATTAGCCAGGCATCATGGTGGGTACCTGTAGTCCCAGCTACTCGGGAGGCTGAGGCAGGAGAATGGCGTGAACCCGGGAGGCAGAGCTTGCAGTGAGCCGAGATCTCACCACTGCACTCCAGCCTGGGTGACAGAGCGAGACTCTGTCTCAAAAAAAAAAAAAAAAAAGAAAAAAAGATTGGGTTCAGGCTGGGTGCGGTGGCTCACACATGTAATCCAAGCACTTTAGGAGGCCAAGGCAGGCAGATCACTTGAGGTCAGGAGTTGGAGACCAGCCTGGCCAACATGGTGAAACCCCGAATCTACTAAAAATACAAAAAAAAAAATCAGCCAGGCCTGGTGGCAAGTGCCTGTAGTTTCAGCTACTTGGGAGGCTGAGGCACGAGAATCGCTTGAACCCAGGAGGCGGAGTTTACAGTGAGCTGAGATCTTGCCACTGCATTCCAGCCTGGGTGACAGAGCAAGACTCTTGTCTCAAAATAAAAATAAAAATAAAAAAAGATTGGGTTTTAGGTACTATGCCAATATGGGAGCTCTTTTAAATTTAAAGCAAATCTCAAAATAAAAAAATGGACATTCTATAATCTCCCCCTTGCCCACCCAAGGGAGTGACTCTGGTCTGGTATGGGGGGATGAGAATCTGAGGCTGACACCCTCAGGCAGGTGGCTGAATCTCAGGCCCACAGAGACTGGGTTGCTGTTGGCTCCTGTAGCGGCTCCACTGTGGAGAGAAAGGTTCTGCCAGAAAATCTGGGAGCCACAGATTAGAACCTTCCTCCAGGCACTCACCATTTCTCCCCATCTGTGCTCTCGGCGGGAGGTGCTTTGTGCCCACTTGGCCCAGGTGCAGGGACCCAGCAAGAATGGGACAGACCTGGCTGCTCCCTGGGGGAGGCAGATGGGCAAAAGGACGTTATGGCCTGAGCACCTAGCAGCCTCCAGGTACAGGTGTTCTCTGGATGCAGTCCTGAGGCTCAGGTGTAGGCCCCTGTGTGAGGTGGGGGTAGGTGGGGCTGGAAAGTGTTCTAGACACAGAGACGAGGGTGCATCATAGAATTTGGGGACGTTGGGTCCTACTTGCTCTTGGGGAATGGGAGCTTTGCATCCTGTCATCTTTGTTTCCCTAAAGATCACCCTGGGTGCTGGGCATGGGGGTGCGTGTCTCAACTACTCGGGAGGCTGAAGTGGGAAGATTACTGGAGCCCAAGAGTTTGAAGCTGCAGTGAGCCATGATCACTCCTGTGACTAACCACTGCACTCCAGCCTGGGCAGCATAGTGAAACCCCGTGTCTTTGAAATAATAAAATAAAGATCACCCTGGCCTCTTTCTGACCCGTATCTGAAATTGGTTGTCTATGTGAAGCAGAACAGTGGTACCCAGAGAGGCAGGGCACTGAGGCTTGTTTTATTTTAGGGGACGACATTGCAGGTGGGCTTTCCTTGGGAGCAGATATTTCCTTCAGAGGGACATAAAGAGTGCTCCTTGGCAGGCTGTCTTCCAGGTGGCCTTTGGCACTGCCTGCAGATCGGGTGGGCAGTGCAGCTGGGGAGCTCTGTGCACTGGCAGGGTCACCTGCACGTGGTCTCATCCTTCACAGTAGAAGTTTGTGGCATCTGCTGCTCTAGCCTGGTGTCCAGATGTGTCCTACAGAGACATGTTGACCTGTTTTCCAAGCACACTTCAGTGTGAGGACTTATTTCCATATAGTCCTTTTTATTCATATATCTCAAACTTTTTTGTTTTTTTTTTGAGACGCACTCTCGCTCTGTCGCCCAGGCTGGAGTGCAGTGGCGTGATCTCAGCTCACTGCAACCTCCGCCTCCTAGTCCTGGTTCACGCAATTCTCCTGCCTCAGCCTCCCGAGTAGCTGGGATTACAGGCACATGCCTCCGTGCCCAGCTAATTTTTGTATTTTTAGTAGATTCGGGGTTTCACCATGTTGGCCAGGCTGGTCTTGAACTCCTGACCTCATGATCTGCCTGCCTCGGCCTCCCAAAGTGCTGGGATTACAGGCGTGAGCCACCATGCCCGGCTTTAAAAACATTTTTTTAAGAGACGGGCTGGGTGTGATGGCTCACAGCTATAGTCCCAACACTTTGAGAGGCTGAGGCAGGAGGATCACTTGAGGCCAGGAGTTCAAGACCAGCCTGAACAATATAGTGAGACTCTGTTTCTACAAAAAATATAAAAATTAGCCAAGTGTGATGGTTTACCCCTGTAGTTCCAGCTACTTGGGAGGCTGAGGCAGGAGGATCACTTGAGGCCAGGAATTTGAGGCTTCAGTGAGCTATGATTGTGCCAGTGCACTCTAGCCTGGGCAGTAGAGTAAGACCCTGTCTCCAAAAAGGAAAAAAGAGAGTCAGAGAGAGAGAGATGGCGTCTCGCTCTGTCACTCAGGCTGGAGTTCAGTGGCACAGTGGCAGCCTCCTGAGTAGCTGGGACTACAGGTGTGCACCACTGCACCTGGCTAATTAAAAATATATATATATTGTGGCCGGGCGCAGTGGCTCACACCTGTAATCCCAGCACTTTGGGAGGCCGAGGCGGTGGATCACGATGTCAGGAGATCGAGACCATCCTGGCTAACACGGTGAAACCTCGTCTCTCCTAATAGTACAAAAAAATTAGCCGGGCGTGGTGGCAGGCACCTATAGTCCCAGCTACTCAGTGGGCTAAGGCAGGAGAATGGTGTGAACCCGGGGGGCAGAGGTTGCAGTGAGCCGAGATCGCGCCACTGCGCTCCAGCCTGGGCAACAGAGCGAGACTCCATCTCCAAAAAAGAAAAGAAGACTAAAACGTATAAATTATACCTGTCTCCCTACAGAAATTCATTAAGAGACTCATGCTCAGACTGTTGTCTGGTTAATGTGAACAACATGAGCACATCTGAAGAAAGGGTGAGAACAAAGGGTTACATTCAGCTTTCAGGTCAACTAATTTAAAACAACAGGACGGGCCAGGCACAATGAATTGTGAAAAATAACGCTGACAATTTAAAATAGTGGAACAAAATTAAAAAAGGAAAAAGAAAAAAAACTGTAAAGAAAATTTGACATATGAAAAAGCGTATTGTCCAGGCGCAGTGGCTCACACCTGTAATCCTAGCATTTTGGGAGGCCGAGGTGGGCGGATCATGTGAGGTCAGGAGTTTGAGACCAGCCTGGCCAACATGGTGAAACCAATCTCTACTAAAAATACAAAAATTAGCCGAGCGTGGTGGCGCGCATCTGTAGTCCCAGCTACTTGGGAGGCTGAGGCAGGAGAATCACTTGAAACCATGAGGCAGAGGTTGCAGTGAGTCGAGATTGCGCCATTGCACTCTAGCCTGGGCAATGAGGGAAACTGTCTCAAAAAAATAGCCGGGCGCAGTGGCTCATGCCTGTAATCCTAGCACTTTGGGAGGCCGAGGTGGGCAGATCACCTGAGGTCAGGAGTTTGAGACCAGCCTGATCAACATGGAGAAACGCCGTCTACTAAAAATACAAAATTAGGCCGGGCGCGGTGGCTCATGCCTGTAATCCCAGCACTTTGGGAGGCCGAGGCAGGTGGATCACGAGGTCAGGAGATCGAGACCATCCTGGCTAACACGGTGAAACCCCTTCTCTAATAAAAATACAAAATATTAGCCGGGCATGGTGGCGGGCGCCTGTAGTCCCAGCTACTCGGGAGGCTGAGGCAGGAGAATGGCGTGAACCCAGGAGGCGGAGCTTGCAGTGAGCCGAGATGGTGCCACTGCACTCCAGCCTGGGCAGCAGAACGAGACTCCGTCTCAAGAAAAAAAAAAAAAAAAAAAATACAAAATTAGCCGGGCGTGGTGGTGCATGCCTGTAATCCCAGCTACTCGGGAGGCTGAAGCAGGAGAATCACTTGAACCTGGGAGGTGGGGGTTGCGGTGAGCCAAGATCGCACCACTGCACTCCAGCCTGGGCAACAAGAGTGAAACTCTGTCTAAAAAAAAATTGAATAACATAAATAAGTAAATAAATAAGTAAATAAAAACAGGATGGAAATTATACCTGAAATTTAAAAAGTAAGATGGCTGTGGTAGGCCAAATAATGGCTCCCAAAGATAGCTAGGTCCTGCTCTGTCCGCTGAGACCACCACACTCTACACAGTAGAGTCCTCCTCATGCTATGCTCTGGCCCTCTTGCCCCTCCAACCTCACTTCCAGCTGCCGGCCCCCTGCTCACTCTGCTCCTGACACTCCACAGGCACACATCCTCCTCCAGGCCTGTGCAGTAGCTATTCCCTCTGCCTGGAATATGCAGTCCTGTATATCTCCAGCTCAGTGTCTCACAGCGCTGTCACCAGGCGGGACAGAGTGTCGGGCTCATTCAGGTGCTCAGCAGAATTCAGCTCCTTGAGGTTATAGAACTGAGGACCCTGTTTGCTGGTTGGTCGTTTGCCAGAAATGGTTCTTAGGTCCTGGAGAACCCTCAGGTTCAACCACATGGTCCTCCCAGGTATGGCAGCTTACTTCTTCTTTGAGACCAGGAGGCTGCTACGATGGAGTCTTAAGTTAACATAAATCACAGCTAGGTGTGGTGGCTCACACCTGTAGTCCCAGCTACTCAGGAGGCTGAGGTGGGAGGATCGCTTGAGCCTAGGATCTTGAGGCTGCAGTGAGCTGTGTTTACCACACCACTGCACTCCAGCCTGGGTGACAGGGAGACCCTATCTCAAAAAAAAAAAAAAAAAGTTTTAGGCCGGGTGCAGTGGCTCACAGCTATAATCCCAGCACTTTGGGAGGCTGAGTTGGGTGGATCACTTGAGGTCAGGAGTTTGAGACCCGCCTGGCCAACATCGTGAAACCCTGTCTCTACTAAAAATACAAAATTAGCCGTGCGTGATGGCGGGCATCTGTAATCCCAGCTGTTGCGTAGACTGAGGCAGGAGAATTGTTTGAACCCGGGAAGCAGAGGTTGCAGTGAGCCAAGGTCGTGCCACTGCACTCTAGCCTGGGCGACAGAGTGAGGCTCCATCTCAAAAAAAAATTTTGTTTTAAAGATTAAGTTAACCTCGTCACAGTGACTGTGCCACCACATGCACAGGCCTTGCCCACACTCAAGAGAGGGGGTCTTAGAATTCTGCCTGCTACCATGGTCTAGTCTTGGCACACCTTCCTTGACAACATGGAAGCCAGGTCACTACCCAGGCCACCTACAAGGAAGTTCACCATTTGACCTGCCGAACGTGCACAACAAACTTTTTTTCTCTTTCTTGAGACAGGGTCTCACTCTGTCGCCCAGGCTGGAGTGCAGTGGAACAATCTTGGTATACTGCAACCTCTGCCTCCCGGGCTCAAGCGATCCTTCTGTCTCACCCTCCCGAGTAGCTGGGACCACAAGCATGCACCACCATGCCCAGCTCTGGCTAATTTTTTGTATTTTTGGTAGATATTTTTGTATTTTTGTTTCACTGTGGTGCCCAGGTCAGTTTCGAACTCCTGACCTCAAGTGATCCCCTGGCCTCCAAAAGTGCTGGGATGACAGATGTGACCCACCACGCCCAACCAAGTATTGGATAACTTTTTAGTTTCTTTTTCTTCCTCCTTTACTTCCGCTCAGGGGTCTAGGTCTGAGTCAGGGCTTGAGGGTGTCCCCATGGGGGCTGGTGTTACCCAGGACACTGCAGCGGCTAGCAGGGCTTGGCTGGGCTGGCGAATGAGGGCCCCACTTCTCTTTTTTGTACAGGGAAGGGACCGAGGATCTGAGTGACATCTGTAGGTCAGAGGGCATGCTGACCTTGAAAGCAAGGTGGGAATGGAGTTCTATGAGCTGAGGAGTCCCAGCTGGCTCGCATTCTAGAGAAGCGCCATAAAGGGAGTCTATTCATTAGCCCCAGGGAGAGAGCCTCCCGCTCCCTCCCTCCCCGCCCCCCACCCCACCCCACCCTTAGGAGCTGCTCACCTTCCCCTCGCCTGGGGCACACACCTGCTTCTCCAGGGACCAGACCTGAAGTGCAGGAAGGAGCCCCGCGGCCTTCTGTTACCGCAGCGCTCTGCCTGCCATCGTTGAATGTGTGGACTCTTTGGTTGCTTTCATAAATTCTGTTTTATTTCCTCATCATGTTTGCTGAAAGCTTGAATGTATCCACTTGGCTGTTTTCCAAGTATTCTCATGTGCATTTTAAGAGTCTCCTGTCTTTAAAATAATGTGGAGGCAGCTCTGAATATACTAAAACCATTGAATTGTACCCTTCAGATGGGTGATTTTGTGGTATGTGAATTTTATTTCAATGAAGCTGTTAACAGAAATAGTACAGAGTCCGTACTGTTGTGTTTTCTGGAGCACCTGGAGTCCCCTCTGTCCCTGGCCATCCCTCCTTCCCCACACCTCACCCCTGTACCTCACCTTCCCCACCCCCCTGCCTCACCCCTGCACCTCACCCTCCCCACGCTTCCCGTATCAGGGAGCTTCTTAAACACAGAATGGGGTGTTAAGATGATTGGAGGGCAGCAGCCTATTGGAATCCCGATGAACGTGGAAAGGTGTCAGGGAGGGGTAGCTGTGGTGTGGAGGAGCCCCACATTTTCGTCCCTGTCTTGTCACAAAGAAGGAGCCCATCGCTGTGATTAGAAGGACTTAGGCCGGGCATGGTGGCTCACACCTGTAATCCCAGCACTTTGGCAGGCTGAGGCAGGTGGATTACCTGAGGTCAGGAGTTCAAGACCAGCTGGCCAACATGGAGAAACCCCGTCTCTACTAAAAATACAAAAAATTAGCCAGGCATGGTGGTGTGTGCCTATAATCCTAGCTCCTTGGGAGGCTGAGGCAGGAGAATTGTTTGAACCAGGGAAGCGGAGGTTACAGTGACCCGAGATCACACCATTGCACTCCAGTCTGGGCGACAGAGCAAGACTCTCTCTCAAAAACAAACAAAGGAAAAAAACAAACAAAAAGGCCGGGGCTCGGTGGCTCATGCCTGTAATCCCAGCACTTTGGGAGGCCGAGGCGGTGGATTGCCTGAGGTCAGGAGTTGGAGACCAGCCTGGCTAAGATAGTGAAACCCCATCTTTACTAAAAATACAAAAATTAGCTGGGCGTGATGGCAGGCGCCTGTAATCCCAGCTACTCGGGAGGCTGATGAGGGAGAATCATTTGAACCTCGGGAGGGCAGATGTTGCAGTGAGTTGAGATCGCGCCACTGTACTCCAGCCTGGGCGACAAGAGTGAAACTCCTTAAAAAAATAAAAAGGAAACAAACAAACAAACAAAAAATCAGCTGGGCATAGTGGTGGGGGCCTGTAGTCCCAGGTACTTGGGAGGCTGAGGCAGGAGAATTGCTTGAACCTGGGTGGCTGATATTGCAGTGAGGCAAGATCATGCCACTGCACTCCAGCCTGGGTGATAGAGTGAGACTCCATCTTAAAAAAGGAAACAAAAAAAAGCCACAAAGAAGGACTTAGAATTGGGTGCTAAGCAGGCCTCTTCCTACTGATAGGTGGACACATCTATTTCTTTATTATTATTATTATTATTATTTTTGAGACAGAGTCTTGCTCTGTTGCCCAGGCTGGAGTGCGGTGGCATGATCTCGGCTCACTGCAAGCTCCGCCTCCCCTGTTCACGCCATTCTCCTGCCTCAGCATCCCGAGTAGTTGGGACTACAGGCGCCCGCCACCACGCCCGGCTAATTTTTTGTATTTTTAGTAGAGATGGGGTTTCACCATGTTAGCCAGGATGGTCTCGATCTCCTGACCTCGTGATCTGCCCGCCTCGGCCTCCCAAAGTGCTGGGATTACAGGCGTGAGCCACCGCGCCTGGCCTATTTCTTTATTTTTTAATTTTTTTTTATTTTTTATTTTTGAGACGGAGTCTCGCTCTGTTGCCCAGGCTAGAGTGCAGTGAGCGATCTTGGCTCACTGCAAGCTCCACCTCCCGGGTTCAAGTGATTCTCGTGCCTCAGCATCCCGAGTAGTTGGGACTACAGGCGCCCGCCACCACGCCCGGCTAATTTTTTGTATTTTTAGTAGAGATGGGGTTTCACCATGTTAGCCAGGATGGTCTCGATCTCCTGACCTCGTGATCTGCCCGCCTCGGCCTCCCAAAGTGCTGGGATTACAGGCGTGAGCCACCGCGCCTGGCCTATTTCTTTATTTTTTAATTTTTTTTTATTTTTTATTTTTGAGACGGAGTCTCGCTCTGTTGCCCAGGCTAGAGTGCAGTGAGCGATCTTGGCTCACTGCAAGCTCCACCTCCCGGGTTCAAGTGATTCTCGTGCCTCAGCCTTCTGAGTCGCTGGGACTACAGGTGCCCGCCACCACGCCTGGCTAAATTTTTGTATTTTTAGTAGAGACAGGGTTTCTCCGTGTTAGCCAGGATGGTCTCAATCTCCTGACTTCGTGATCCACTCGCCTTGGCCTCCCAAAGTGTTGGGATTACAGGTGTGAGCCACCATGCCCGGCCTGGCCACATCTATTTCTGATGGATAAAAGTGGATTCCTGAATATGTGATATGCCTCTCTGGGGACCTGTGGAATGACATTTTGCATGTCAGACCAGCACAGTGCTTTTATTCTAGACTTTTCTAAACCTTCCCCTCTAAACCAGGGAAAGCGAGTCGGTTCCCCGGTTCCTCATCATGGGTAATCAGAACAGATCTCTGATTTAGGAAGTTGGTTTTTTTTTTTTTTTTTTTTTGAAGCAGAGTTTTGCTCTTGTTGCCCAGGCTGGAGTGCAGTGGCGCGATCTTGGCTCACTGCAACCTCTGCCCCCTGGGTTCAAGCGATTCTTCTGCCTCAGCCTCCCCAGTAGCTGGGATTACAGGCGCCTGCCACCACGCCCAGCTAATTTTGTATTTTTTTTTAAGTAGAGGCGGGGTTTCACCATGTTAGCCAGGCTGGTCTCGAACTCCAGAGCTCAGGCAATCTGCTCACCTCGGCCTTTCAAAGTTCTGGGATTACAGACGTGAGCCACCACACCCGGCCAAGGAAGCTATTTTTGTACTTCAAACAGAAAAACTGAGCTGCCAGTGAGCACATTTCAGAGTAGGAAAACTCATATTATTCAGCCTACCTGTCTTTCTTCCAAATTTCAATTTAGAGATAAACACACCGTAGCTTTTAAGTTGCCAAGAAAAGAGACATGAGATGTACTCAAATGCCTTCATTTTCCCAGTAGGACCTCATCATTCCAGGTGGTTGAAGCATCCAGTAGGCGGGTCTTTGTTCCTTGCTCACACACCCAGTTAAAAGCAAAGGCCTCCCCTCATCTAGAGCCAACTCTGAGCAGGGTCGTTAAGCATCAACTGCCAAGCATAACCCCCTATAAAGTTGCTTGCTATAGTAGTTGGTGCAAAGCTGACTAAATGGGAATTAAAAACTGTCTCTAGCCAGGCACAGTGGCTCATCCCTGTAGTTCCAGCTACTCTGGAGGTCAGTTGGAGGATTGCTGGAGTCCAGGAGTTTGAGACCAGCCTGAGCAACATAGCGAGATCGCCTCCCTACAAAAAATACAAAAATTAGCTGGGTTTGGTGACACTCACCTCTAGTCCCAGCTACTCAGGAGGCTGAGGCAAGAGGATTGGCCGAGTCTAGTCGTTCACATCTAGCGTGGGAAACATGTTGTAGACCTCATCTCATATTGTATACCTCCTCAAAACCAAAACCAAAAAACCCCAAAAGCAAAAACCAAAAAAACCCACAAAACCAACCATGAAAACACCCCTGTCTCTGGAACTCCTTGTCCAAGGTCCCTGAGGCTAATGTGATTTGGAACAGAAGCCAACTTTCCTGCAGGTTTAGAAAGTGTCACATACAGGCTCTTTCTCATTCAAGCGTATAAGAACAGGCTTTCTTGGCCGGGCGCAGTGGCTCACACCTGTAATCCCAGTACTTTGGAAGGCTGAGGCAGTAGGCAGATCACCTGAGGTCAGGAGTTCCAGACCAGCTTGGCTAACATGGCAAAACGACGTCTCTACTAAAAATTCAAAAGTTAGCGAGGCGTGGTGGTACGTGCCTGTAATCCCAGTTACTTGGGAGGCTGAGGCACGAGAATTGCTTGAACCCGGGAGGTGGAGGTTGCAGTGAGCCGAGATTGCACTACTGCACTCCAGCCTGGGTGACAGAGCGAAACTCCGTCTCAAAAAAAAAAACAAAAAAACTAGGCTTTCTTTCTTTTTTTTTTTTTTCTTGGCCACATGCACCAGATTGAAGAATAAGCTTTCTTGTCTGTTCTCTATACAGTGATATGTAAAAATCACCACTCAGATCAAAGAATTGAGAACTGCGCAGCCAGGCGCCATGGCTCACGCCGGTAATCCCAGCACTTTGGGAGGCCAAGGTGGGCGGATCACCTGAGGTCAGGAGTTCAAGACCAGCCTGGCCAACATGGCGAAACCCCGTCTCTACTACAAAAATCAGCCGGGCGTGGTGGCACGTGCCTGTCATGCCATCTACAAAGGAGGCTGAGGCAGGAGAATTGCTTGAACCCGGGAGGTGGAGGCTGCAGTGAGCTGAGATCACACCACTGCACTCCAGCCTGGGTAACAGAGGCGACTCTGTCTCAAAAAAAAAAAAAAAAGAATTGAGAACCGCGCACACTCTCACAAGCACTCAGCAGTGGTCAGTCCATTCTTGGGTGGGTGATCGGATATGACTGGAGCAGGTGCTCCCTGTCACTGTTTTTGTTGTTGTTGTTGTTTTTTGGGAGATAGGGTCTCACTCTGTCGCCCACGTGGAATGCAGTGACGCAATCATGGCTCGCTGCAGCCTCAACCTCCCAGGCTCAGGCAATCCTCCCACCTCAGCCTTCCAAGTAGCTGGAACTACTGGCACGTGGACCGACGAATTTTTTGGAATTTTTTGTAGAGATGAGGTTTCACCATGTTGCCCAGGCTAGTCTGGAACTCTTGGGCTCAAGTGATCCATCCGCCTTGGCATTTCAAAATGCTGGAAAGCCAGGTGTGAGCCATTATGCCTGGCCTTAGTTTGGTTCAGGCTTTATACTAAGTGCATCTCAAATATTTTATTGAACATCCTTTCATTTCTAAGAGTACTTCAGTTATCTCTGTTAAAATGAACCAACCAGAAAGATTCCCACTCAAGTGCAGGACAACAGATATTAGTATCAAGAATTAAGGCCGGGCACGGTGGCTCGCTCACACCTGTAACCCCAGCACTTTGGGAGGCCAAGGCGGATGGATCACCTGAGGTCAGGAGTTCAAGACCAGCCTGGCCAACATGGTGAAACCCCATCTGTAAGGTGGGCTGAGTGGCTCACACCTGTAATTCCAGCACTTTGGGAGGCCAAGGTGGGCGGATCACTTGAAGTCAGGAGTTCGAGACCAGCCTGGGCAACATGGCAAAACATTGTCTCTACCAAAAATACAAAAATGAGCCGGGTGTGGCGGCACACACAGCTACTTGGGAGGCTGAGGTGGGAGAATCGCTTGAACCTGGGAGGCAGAGGTTGCAGTGAGTTGAGATTGTGCCACTGCACCCTAGCCTGAGTGACAGAGTGAGACCCTGTCTCAAAAAAAAAAAAAGAAAAAGAAAAAGAAAAACAAGGCTGGGCACGGTGGCTCATGCCTGTAATCCCAGCAATTTGGGAGGCCGAGGTGGGCAGATCACTTGGGGTCAGGAGTTCAAGACCAGCCTGCCCAACATGGTGAAACCCTGTCTCTACTAAAAATACTAAAAAATTGATTGGGCATGGTGGAAGGTAGCTGTAATCGCAACTACTTGGGAGGCTGAGGCAGGAGAATCATCCAAACCAGAAGGCGGAGGTTGTAGTGAGCTGAGGCCGCACCACTGCACTCCATCCTGGGCGACGGAGTGAGACTCCATCTCAACAACAAACAAAAAAACCAACAAAAAAACAACAACAAATCAAAACAAAACGAGCACTTGTTGGGAACAGCAGGGAAAGCCCTTTGTGTATATGTTTAGCTGCTTCGCGTCTGCTTTTAGAAAGAAGTGTCCGTGCCATCGGCAGGTGAGCCGCAGGCTTCAGTGCCATTGGGAGATACTGTATAGCCAGGCTTCCAGAGCCGCCTCTCTCCCTGCCCACGCTGGCCCATGTGCTGATCTAGTGTGAAGTTTACAGATAGCTTCGGGAACTCCTAGGAACATTTTGCTTATTATTGCTGTGGTTTCTGATAAGATAAGCTTTGTTGAAAACAGTATAATTCAAGTATGATAGTAACAACAAGATGCAGAAAGGCGGTTTCTCGTTCTGAAAGGTGCTTTGCTGTGAAGCCATAATACAGTGTGTTATTCGAGAATCCTGGGAGGAGTCTCTGGGATCCTAGTTGACTGTGGTGGGAGAACTTGTTCTGCTTTCCTTTC
This sequence comes from Homo sapiens, assembly GCF_000001405.40. Lineage (NCBI taxonomy): Eukaryota > Metazoa > Chordata > Mammalia > Primates > Hominidae > Homo > Homo sapiens. Next base: position 457,255 of record NC_000016.10, read on the forward strand.
TTTCAGATTAGTGGATCATGTTTCTACATCCATAGTAGGAACAATGCAATTTGTCAGTAAGTTTTTCATACTGCAGTCACCCTGGAGCCAGTGACTGAGTGGATTCTCCACCATGGTGTTTCTGTAACTTATTGTCCGTCTGCTGGAGCGGTGCTGGCTGGCTTTGGCCACTCTGGTTTATGTCTCTTGGCTCGGTTTTCTGCCACTACTGGATTTTGCAGGGAAGGGCAGGCTGTCTCATTTTTCACAGTTTCACCTTTTTTTTTTTTTTTGAAAGCCTCTGAATTGAGTATTTTGGACTTGGAGAATTAGAACTATCCCCAAATCATCAATTACATGAAATCCATCTGTTCTACAGATTATAAAGAAAATATAATTAAAATGGAGTTTTAAAAATGTATACTTTGATTCACTCTTGTTCATTCTAACATGGTAACATGTAAAAGGGGCCTATTCTAGTTAATGATTTGTTTAAAAAATATTTGGTTAATGTTTCAGAATAAACAACTTGGTACTTTGTGTTCAATTAGTAGCTTCAGTGTGGAAATTCTTAGGAATCTTCAGGACAGATTGGCCAGTCTGGACTCCGGATTAGGTAACTCTCAGGTACCCAGCAAGACTCTCACATTCTTAGGAATGAGCTTAGGAATGAGGACTTTTGTGAGATAAGTGGGGAGATGTTTTATAAACTCCAGTTGTCTCCAGGAAGTTGGTTGATGATGGACTTCCGAGGCTAGAGTCACGCTAGCACACAGAGCCCTAGGATTGGGGCGATGGCCCCGGCCTCTTCCGTTGTGAAGGGGAAGCGGAAACTCAGTCTCTGGCTCAGGAATTCCACACTGTGGGGTCCCTTAGCTGGGGCTGGCCCTGTTTGAGCCTGACTTTATGAGGCATGTTGGCTGACAGTGGCGAGAGGGCCAGCCACGGGGGCCCGGGCCTTGCTCTGGTGCCCTGTGTGCTTCGGGCTCTCTGGATTGCCTCCTGGGCGATGCTATAGCCTTGCTGACCACGTGCTACACCCCCCATCCTTTTCCTGAAACAGAGCAGCTGTGTCCTGGCATCTCCAGCAGGGCTGCCCTTGAGGGTTCTGTGCTTGCTGCTTGGTAGCAGCCCCGGCATCTGGACTTCACCACAGGGCCTAGGGGGCCTTCCTCGGGTTCACCGATGCCCACAGGGCCTGGGGGGCCTTCCTCGGGTTCACCGATGCCCACAGGGCCTGGGGGGCCTTCCTCGGGTTCACCGATGCCCACAGGGCCTGGGGGGCCTTCCTCGGGTTCACCGATGCCCACAGGGCCTGGGGGGCCTTCCTCGGGTTCACCGATGCCCACAGGGCCTGGGGGGCCTTCCTCGGGTTCACCGATGCTCATCTGCCGTAACCTGCCTGAGGCCCTAGGGTTTTGTCAGTTAATGGATGTGGCTACAGCCAGGGCTCCTGCCAGCCTGTTGCCTCTCCCTGTCCCTGAGCATTTTCACAGTCCAGCCCGCCACCCAAGAGGGGCTTTCTTCAGGAGTCTGCCCCCTCTGTGGCTGAATGCTGCCTCCTTTTTCCTTTCTCCCTGGCCCACACTTCTTTCTTCTTTGCTCTCTTTTTCTCTTTTGCTGTTCTTGAAGTTTTCATTATGGAAGAGTTCAAACCCATATGAAAGTGGAGAGTAGTGAAATGGTGCACTGGTACCCATCCCCAGTCACAGCAACGTGCAGGCATGCCTCTGGTGACATCTGTGCCTCACCCCAGATTCTAGAGGTATTTCTAAGTATTTCAGTACATGTGTCTAAAAAGCAGTGCTCTTTAAAAAATTATGAAAATGTCATCACACCTACAAAAATGAACAGTTCCTTAATATCATCAAATATTTATCAGTGTTCAAACTTTTTTTTTTTTTTTTTTTGAGACAGAGTTTCGCTGTTTTTGCCCAGGCTGGAGTGCAGTGGCACGATCTCAGCTCACTACAACCTCCACCTCCCGGATTCAAGCAATTCTCCCGCCTCAGCCTCCCGAGTAGCTGGGGTTACAGGTTCCCACCACCACGCCCAGCTAATTTTGTATTTTTAGTAGAGATGGGGTTTCTCCACGTTGGTGAGGCTGGTCTCGAACTCCGGACCTCAGGTGATCCGCCTGCTTCAGCCTCCCAAAGTGCTGGGATTATAGGCGTGAACCACCACACCCAGCTTCAAACTTTTTTTTTTTTTTTTTTTTTAGCAGACAAATTCTCATTTTGTAGCCCAGGCTGGAGTGCAGTGGCACAATCTTGGCTCACTGCAACCTCCGCCTCCCGGGTTCAAGCGATTCTCCAGCTTCAGCCTCCTGAGTAGCTGGGATTACAGGCGAGCGCCACCACACCTGGTTAATTTTTGTATTTTTAGTAGAGATGGGGTTTTGCCATGTTGGCCAGGCTGGTCTGGAACCCCTGACCTTCGGTGATCCCATCTCAGCCTCTCAAAGTGCTGGGAATACAGGCGTGAGCCACAAGGCACCTGGCTGCAATGTGGTTTTAATTTAATTTGCATTTCTTTAAGGACTAATTGAGCATTTTTTCATGTGGTTATCAACCATTCACACATATTTTCTGATGAAATTTCTATTTAAGTTTTTTGCCCACTTAAAAAAAAATTGAGTTGTCTTTTTTTTTTTTTTTTTTTTGAGACAGAGTCTCATTCAATCACCTAGGCTGGAGTGCAATGGCGCAATCTCTGCTCACGGCAACTTCTGCCTTCCGGGTTTAAGCAATTTACCTGTCTCAGCCTCCTGAGTAGCTGGGATTACAGGCATGCGCCACCACGCCTGGCTGATTTTGTATTTTTAGTAGAGATGGGGTTTCTCCACGTTGGTCAGGATGATCTGGAACTCCCAGCCTCAGGTGATCCACTCACCTCGGTTTCTCACAGTGCTGGGGATTACAGGTGTGAGCCACCGCACCTGGCCTGAGTTGTCTTCTTAATTATAAGATTTCCTTATATATTCTGGACACAAGTCATTTAACAGATATATGATTTGCAAATACTTTCTCCCAGTCAGTGTCATTTTTTTGCTTTTATTAATGTCTTTTGAGTATGAAAGTTTTAAATTTTTATTTTTAAGTTTTGGGGTACATGTGTAGGATGTACAGGTTTGTTACATAGGCAAACGTGTGCCATGGTGATTTGCTGCACCTGTCAGCCCATCAGCTGAGTATTAAGCCCAGGTATTTTCTGTAATACTCTCCCCCCTCCCACCCCATCCCCTGAAAATTTTTAAATTTTTATGAAATCCAATTTACACTTGGCAGAATAAACCTGCATTCTTTCTGAAGAGTTTCATTTTGTGTTACGTCCATGTGTGAGTCACCCTACTTAGCGTTTATGATTTTTGATATCAAGGGTCTTTTTCCCTGAGTTATTCGCTACCAAGGACTCTGCAGAGCCAGGAAGGCATTTCTGAATGGGCGGTGTGTGCTTATCTATGTTATCTATGTAACATATCTATGTTGGCATGCTGGATCCTTGCCGGAACAATACCTAAAACTTCAGAACTGATCTCCCCACGTAAGACCCTGGCTGCTGGCGTTCAGTGGCCAGGGTCCTACTCCTGTGGTTCATCACGCCAGGTGCTGCTGGCAGCCCATTTACAGGGTGCTGCCTGTCCTGTGGCTGTGACCGTCTGCAGTGGCCCATGGAGGCCGTGCTGCCTCCTGCACGTGAGGAGTCAGAGGCTGTCACTGTCAGCACCGCCCCTGTTGGCGGCTTCTTTGCATGTGGTGAAAAAGCCAAGCTCGCGATACAGCCTAATCCCGATTCCCTAAAGCGGCCCGCAGCCTTCTTGGCACCAGGGATTGGTTTCATAGAAGACGCCTTTCCACAGACGGGCAGGGCGTTGGGGTGGTTTCAGGATGATACTGTTCAGATCATCCGGCGTTAGAGTCTCATAAGGAGCGCGCAACCTGGACCCCTCGCATGCGGAGCACACAGTAGGCTTTGCGCTCCTGTGAGAAGAACCTGATGCTCCTGCTGATCTGACAGGAGGGGAGCTCAGGCGGTAATGCTCCCTCACCTCCTGCTGTGCTTCCCCGTTCCCAGCAGGCCACACACCAGATCTCTCCCAGTCCGAGGTCCAGGGTTGGGGACCCCTGCTGTAAAGGCTTAGGGTAACCTAGTCTCATTTGGCAATTACAGGTGAAGGACTTAACTAAGTACTTGGATCCCAGTGGGCTCGGCGTGATCAGCTTTGAAGACTTCTACCAAGGGATCACAGCCATCAGAAACGGAGGTCAGTCATCCCCGCCATGAGCTCCCACCTCCTCTCCCGTTCCTCAGCCACCCTCTCAGCCACCTGCACATCACCAGGCTCCTCGTGCTGACTCTAACATCTTTCCTTCTCCTTGAAGCCCCCAACATACCCCAGGTTTCCAGGTGGTCTCTTTCCTTTCTTGTTACCTTCTCCTCACATACCCTGTTTTCCAGAATTTGCTGCGTTAACTACTTTTCCATAATGCTAGAAAGCAACTGCCCCCTTCCTCAAAGATTTCATGATGACAATTTGAGAATTTTCAAAATATTGAAAGAATGATTCCATGGCCACCCAAGTGGGTGTTCATCACCCGTGCTCTGCAGGCAGCACTTCGTCGCACTCTCTCCCCACGTCTCTGTCCATCTCCAGTCTGTCCCCCAGCCCCTCTTGAATGGGATGTGTTTGTAATCAGCATGCTTCCGCGCACACCGCCCTGAACACTGCAGCCCGTACCACCATCGTTCCCTAGAGCTCAGTGTTTGTTTCCAGTCTTCCTTTGAGTAAAAATTTACCTGCAGTGAAATGTACAGCTCACACCTGCTCCTCTGTGAGCTCCGACAGAGTCCTGTGCCTGGCAGTGCGGAGCCTGTCACGCACATCACTGTCCCCATGTGGGTGCCGCATACCCCTCGCCCTCAGGCAGTGCCTTCCCTCCTGCTGGCACCATTGCTGATTTCTGTCACCATGGATTAGTTTTGCCTATCTCTCTTTTTTTTCTTTGAGACTGAGTTTCACTCTTGTCACCCAGGCTGGAGTGCAATGGCCCGATCTCGGCTTACTGCAACCTCCACCTTCCGGGTTCAAGCGATTCTCCTGCCTGAGCTGGGATTATAGGCACCCACCACCATGCTCACCTCTACTAAAAATACAAAACATATAAAAATTTTTGTATTTTTAGTAGAGACGGGGTTTCACCATGTTGGCGGGGCTGGTCTTGAACTCCTGACCTCAGGTGATCCGCCTGCCTCAGCCTCCCAAGGCTGAGGTGCTGGGATTACAGGCATGAACCACCGTGCCTGGCCAGTTTCACCTGTCTTGAGGGTTCGCGTGCTCTCACTTGGCTTCTTTCCTCAGCACGATCCCTTCCCCAGCACGATCCCTTCCCCAGCACCATCCCTTCCCCAGCACCATCCCTTCCGCAGCACCGTCCCTTCCCCGGCACCGTCCCTTCCCCAGTCCCCCGGCACCGTCCCTTCCCCAGTCCCTTCCCCAGCACCATCCCTTCCCCAGCACCGCACCATCCCTTCCCCAGCACCGTCCCTTCCCCAGCACCATCCCTTCCCCAGCACCGTCCCTTCCCCAGCACGATCCCTTCCCCAGCACCATCCCTTCCCCAGCACCATCCCTTCCTCAGCACAATGTCTTCCCCAGCACAATGTCTTCCCCAGCACCATCCCTTTCCCAGCACGATCCGTTGCGTGCTTGTGCCGTATTTCGTTTCTTCATTCTCCTGGTGATGGGCACGTTTGTGTACAACTCTTTGTGTGGATGCGTGTCTTCAAGTCCTTGGGGCCTGTATCTAGGAGTGGGTCATGTGCTGGGGTAAACTCGGTTCTTCACAGTGGCCGTGCCTTTTCACACTCTCACCAGTCCCCATACTATACACTGTCCGTCTTACGTCAAGTTCTGAAGCTCTGAACAGGCCATCTCACTTCCTCATGTTTGGCCAGGCGGTGTAGGGGTGACGGTGGCGGGTCCTTTCCCTCCTTCATGCACGTGCAGGATAAGTAGACCTTGGCTGGGGCCCTCAGAGTCAGCAGGTGCAGTGAGGGAGACGGATGCCCTTGGACCTCGACCTCAGGTCTTGTCTGTCTCCTCCACAGAATTATTGCCTGACAGTGTCTCTAAGGGTTTTCTCAGATGCCAAGTCTTTAGATGGCTCTGGGGAAACGTGCTGTGTGTTGTTCCCCGGTTTTTTTTTTTTTTTTTTTTTTTTTGAGACAGAGTTTTGCTCTTGTTGCCCAAGCTGAAGTGCAATGGCATGATTTCGTCTCACTGCAACCTCCGCCTCTCGGGTTCAAGCGATTCTCCTGCCTCAGCCTCCCGAGTACCTGGGATTACAGGCATGTGCCATTGCGCCCAGCTAATTTTGTATTTTTAGTAGAGACAGGGTTTCTCCGTTTTGGCCAGGCTGGTCTCGAACTCCTGACCTCAGGTGATCCACCCACCTTGGCCTCCCAAAGTGCTGGGGTTACAGACATGAGCCACTGCGCCCGGCCTGTTCCCCATTTGTTACTCTTTATTTGACTGTCTGTTCTTCCACCCATGAACATGTTGTGGGACCAGCACGGCCTCTGCGCTGGGCTTGGCCCCGGGGCCTCTGTGGTGAACCAGCACCAGAGCAAGGCCAGCGGGCTGCGGCAGGACAAATGGGTGAGGTGCTGCTGCTGTCAGCGTAGCAGGCCGGGGGTGAGATGGGAACTAGGCAGGCAGCCCTCTCTGAGGAGGGGTGGAGGGGAGAAAGGACACCCTGACAACCAGGTAAAGACCATCTGGCCCAGGTGAGGAAGCAGTCCTGAGGTGGGGCGAGGGGCCCAGGACGAGGATGGAGAGATACTGCAGGCTCTGCAGGCTGAGAGGAGCGTGCAGGCAAGCTCTGGGTCAAGGGGGCCTGCAGAGCAATGGGCAGAGTGGGTGGCCACAGACCCTCAGGAGGCAGCATTGGCAGGAGAAGGGGGAGGAAGAGGACAGTCAGGAGGCCTCAGAGTCTGCAGGCTGAGCACCAGCAGGTTGAGGCTGATGGGGCCGTGTCTCAGTCTAACTGATAAGCTGCAACCCTTAAGTAACATCTTAAGAGGATAGGTGTGTACTTTATACATTTATTTAACGTTTGTCCTTCTGTACAAAGCTTTCAGTAGCGGCTTTGTGAGAATTTTGGCGTCTCACATACTGTGCCTTGAGGCTTGCTGCATGGCGTGCTGCAGGTCCTCCCTCCAGGCCTTCTGGAAAGTCTGGTTCTCCTCAGGTTACTCCTGGGACATGGCAGCTGTGCCCATGACCCTCGGGATGAGTTTGTTCTCTAACTGATTCACCGGTTAGCTCTGGGGAGATTCTAGGTGTAAATTTTTTCCTCTTAGTTTGAAAAATCCATTATGGGCCAGGCACAGTGGCTCATACCTGTAATCCCAGCACTTTGGGAGACTGAGGTGAGAGGATCAGTTGATCCCAGGAGGGTGAGACCAGCCTGGGCAACATAGTGAGACCTTGGCTGTGCAAAAAAATAAAGTAGTTGAGCATTGTGGCGTATGCCTGTAGTCCCAGCTACTTGGGAGGTTGAGGTGGGAGCATCCCAGGAGGTGGAGGCTGCAGTGAGCTGTGTTTGTGCCACTGCACTCCATGCACTCCAGCCTGGTGACAGACCCTGTCTCAAAAACAAACAAAACAAAAAAAACTTGCCATTAATTCCAAACAGAATTTTGTGTGTAATAGAGAATGCGATCTTTATGACACTGATGCTTTGGTACTTGCTGGGCCGGCTGGGTGGTTTTTATGCATGTGATGGGTACGCCTGAGAGGATGCTTCTTTTCTAATCATTGGTCCCCTGAGTTCATGGAGGTGCGAGCTGGAGACTCACGTTAGCTTGGTCTCAGTCGCAGGGAGGAGAAAAGCCGCTCATGAAGCTGGTAGCTGTGTCGTTTTTGTTTTGTATAGCTGTGTTTCGTCTTCACTCTTAAGTCAAGAATTACTGGATGCAGGCTTCTAGGTTGATGGTGAGGGAGCCCGGGGACCCCCAGAACTGGTTGTCATCGGAGAGGCCTCAGTGTTTGGGGCTGAGATGGGTGCATGGAGGCCAAGCACAAGACCCCAGGAGGCAGTTACCACTTCCATGAAAAACAAGAAGTGGAATAAGACAGCCTGTACTTCTTGGTCCAGTAACAAGCCATATTTTACATAGCCATAATAGTTAAATTGAATATTGATGTAACTGAAGATGGCGATGTAACCATTTTGGAAGATTGGAGGAGGGAAAATGGGGCAGGGTGCAGTGTGGCAGGGCATCTCATGGGGACTGTTTGGCAAAACAGAGGGAAGTAGATGCGAGCTTAGAGGGGAGTGTGGGCGGCCTGTCAGTAGCCACGGCCTCTCAGCACTGGCTCCTTTTTCTTTTGAGATGGAGTCTCGCTCTGTCGGCCAGGCTAGAGTGCAGTGGTGTGATCTCGGCTCACTGCAACTTGCGTCTCCCAGGTTCAAGCGATTCTCCTGCCTCAGCCTCCCGAGTAGCTGAGACCACAGGCTCGCGCTGCCACACCTGGCCAATTTTTTGTGTTAGAGATGGGGTTTTGCCATGTTGGCCAGGCTGGTCGTGAACTCCTGACCTCAGGTGATCCACCCACCTCGGCCTCCCAAAGTGCTGGGATTACAGACGTGAGCCACCGCGCCCGGCCAGCAGTGGTTCATTTTCTAGTGACAGGCACGTGTATGAAATCACAGGGAACAGGACTGTAACTCCACGCATTTTGAATAAAACCAGGAATTCTTTGTTGTGACTGCTGGTCTTGTTATAAATGTTACAACCCATTTCCTCGGTGCCACAAAGACTCAGAGCACTCAGGGCCCTGGCCAGTCACTGGCTGTGCTGGTCTCGGCTTGTCATAGGGTAAACTTGCTCTGCACAATGTGGCTGGCAGAGCGTGTTCCTGGGCCTGTGACTGAGGGCAGCCTGCAGGAGATTTGGGCTGGAGATGTGTTCCCTCGGGAGTCAGGGACACAGCCTGTCATGGAGAGTTAAGACGGGTCTTTTGTAGGTTTGGACAGGTGAAGTGCTCAGATCCCTCTGCAGGGTCAAGGCTGGGAACAGCAGTGGCCCCGGGTACCATGACATGGGCAGGAGGGAGCCACCTGGGTCCACGATTCTGTCGTCAGGGTAGGGGTTGGTTTGTTCCTGTGGACCATGGCTAACGTGAAATGGGGCAAGCTCAGCTCTAGGGGTTCCTGGGAGGCCTTGGCTTGGAAGGTGCCCACTCTCAGCTCAGGAGTCAGGGTGTGGGAGATGCCCACCAAGCAAAATGAAGCCTCTAGCCTGGCCTGCTGCCCTCGGAGGAGCCCGATGCTCTGTCTGGGAAGCCTGGGGGCTGCCAGCTGTGGACTGTGGCTGCCTGTGGTTGCCGGTGTCTTGGCTTAGTGACTGAAGGGGTGAGAGAGTGATCGTCCAAGGACAGCCCATCTCCAGATGTTTCTTAGTGGTTGCCCAGCCACCTGACACGCCAAGCTGGGGCCTTCTCCCAGACACCGTCCCCTTCTCTCTTTGCTGTCACCTGGGCCAATCCCACAGCAGCTGGGGCACCCCGTTCTCCTTCCCAGCAGCTGACAGATGGGCCTGGGAGGGCTCCTGCGCCTGTCTGCTTGAGAGGGCGGTGAGCTAGTCATCGTGAGCCGGCCAGGGCTCTCCTATCTCACTGCATTAGAGCTTGAGCCAGGCTGGTGGAGGTGGCTGCAGCCGAGGGAGAGCACGGCTGGCACCTGTGAGGACCATGGATGGGGACACATGGGGCAACGGGCCCGTGAGTGCTGTCGAACCAGCCTGTTCCAGGCTCTGGGACGTAGCACGAAACGGCAGTGCAGAACCCCTGCCCTTGGGAGCTGGCTTTCTAGTGGGAGACAGACCACAAAGTAAGGCAGGAGCTAGGGAGGCAGAGGAGTGGGGAGGCCTCCCTGAGAACGTCTGGGATGGGAAGGCAGCATCCCAGCAGGGCTGCACCTGGCATGTTTGGAGGCCACAGGGAGGCAGGGTCAGAAGGAGCAGGTGAGAGGCAGGCCTCACAATTCTGTCTCCAGCTCCAGGCTCCTGAAGAGGATGGTGGGGCATCCCTGAGAGCTGGTGTGAGGGGTGGGACACTGAGCTGACTGCAGAGCTGACTGCAGAGTGGAGTGGGCGTCAGGGAGGAGGTGCAGTAGCCTCAGGGAGGAGGTGCTGGGACGTCAGGGAGGAGGTGCAGGGGCCTCAGGGAGGAGGTGCTGGGACGTCAGGGAGGAGGTGCAGGGGCGTCAGGGAGGAGGTGCGGGGGCGTCAGGGAGGAGGTGCAGGGGCCTCAGGGAGGAGGTGCTGGGACGTCAGGGAGGAGGTGCTGGGGCCTCAGGGAGGAGGTGCTGGGGCGTCAGGGAGGAGGTGCTGGGGCCTCAGGGAGGAGGTGCTGGGGCCTCAGGGAGGAGGTGCAGGGGCGTCAGGGAGGAGGTGCAGGGGCGTCAGGGAGGAGGTGCTGGGGCCTCAGGGAGGAGGTGCAGGGGCCTCAGGGAGGAGGTGCAGGGGCGTCAGGGAGGAGGTGCTGGGGCCTCAGGGAGGAGGTGCTGGGACGTCAGGGAGGAGGTGCAGGGGCCTCAGGGAGGAGGTGCTGGGGCCTCAGGGAGGAGGTGCTGGGACGTCAGGGAGGAGGTGCAGGGGCCTCAGGGAGGAGGTGCAGGGGCGTCAGGGAGGAGGTGCAGGGGCGTCAGGGAGGAGGTGCTGGGGCGTCAGGGAGGAGGTGCTGGGGCCTCAGGGAGGAGGTGCAGGGGCGTTGGAGGAGGTGCAGGGAAGTCAGGGAGGAGGTGCAGGGGCGTTGGAGGAGGTGCAGGGAAGTGAGGGAGGAGGTGCAGGGGCGTCAGGGAGGAGGTGCTGGGGCCTCAGGGAGGAGGTGCAGGGGCCTCAGGGAGGAGGTGCAGGGGCCTCAGGGAGGAGGTGCAGGGGCGTCAGGGAGGAGGTGCAGGGAAGTCAGGGAGGAGGTGCTGGGGCGTCAGGGAGGAGGTGCTGGGGCGTCAGGGAGGAGGTGCAGGGAAGTCAGGGAGGAGGTGCAGGGGCGTCAGGGAGGAGGAGGTCCTGGGGCGTCAGGGAGGCGGTGCTGCCATGGCATTGGACACATGGCCTCTGGGGCTGCGGGGTCTGCTTTACTTTTGAGTAATTTGATGTCATGATTTATGTTTCGTTCGGAAGGAGAGTGAAACTAGAATAAAACGAAGTCGAAGATGATTTTGGAATTATTTCATAGCATTTAGAAGAAAGGAAAATGTGATCATCCAAACCGCACTTCAGCCAAAGTTCACTTCAGGTGTTAGCTCCATCGTGGCTGCAGCAGCCTGTGTTGTCTGTCAGCCCTGTCTGCGTCGAGGAGTGACCAGCAGGATGTGCTGGCCTAGTTTGCTGGGAAGCACAAGGAGGCTTTCCTGTCACAGCCACAGGCCTTGTTTCAGGAATAGAATGAGATAGAGAGGGATTGTTCCAAATAGGCCATTGCTGTGTCTCACACACCCTCACGCTTTGGAAGAATAAGGGAAACGCACGTGAAAAATTCCTAATTAATTGAAAATTGTTTTAGTTTTTATAAGGAAAACTAATATGAGAATGGTATTTAGGTCCTACCAAGAATATAAAAATGCCATCTGTGTTCATATCCCCTGCTCCGCCCTCTGGGGCAAGACCCTCAGATTGTTTGCCCACTGTCAGAACCTGAGCTGTCATGCGCTGTGTCCAAAATGCTTCGCTGTATATTGAAAGTTTTTAGTTCTGTGTTTCAGTGTTTATAAGCGCAGGCAAGACTGTTAGCATTTTAAAATGTAATTTAATTTTTAATTTATTATTATTATTATTATTATTTTGAGACAGACTCTCGCTGTAGCCCAGGCTGGAGTGCAGTGGCGCGATCTTGGTTCACTGCAACCTCTGCCTCCCGGGTCCCGGTTCAAGCTATTCTCCTGCCTCAGCCTCCCTCCCAAGTAGCTGGGATTACAGGCACATACCACCATGCCCAGCTAATTTTTGTATTTTTAGTACAGACGGGTTTTCACCATGTTGGCCACTATGGTCTCGAACTCCTGAACTCGTGATCTGCCCACCTCAGCCTCCCAAAGTGCTGGGATTGTAGGCGTGAGCCACCATGCCCGGCCTATTTTTTATTATTTTAAATGTATTATTTATGTATTTATGAGACAGGGACTCACTTTGTCACCCAGGTTGGAGTATAGTGGCATGATCTCAGCTCACTGCAGCCTCCACCTCCCAGGCTCAAGTGATTCTTGTGCCTCAGCCTCCCGAGTAGATGGGACTACAGGCATGCCCCCACCACACCTGGCTAATTGTTTTTGTGGAGATGGGGTTTCACTGTGTTGGCTGGGATGGTCTAGAACTCCTGACCTTAAGTGATCCGCCCGCCTCGGCCTCCCAAAGTGCTAGGATTACAGGCGTGAGCCACCACACCCGGCCTTATCTTTATTTTTTGTAGACATAGGATCTTTGCTATATTGCCCAGGCCAGTCTTGAACTCCTGGACTTAAGCAATCCTCTAGTGTCAGTCTTCCAAAGTGCTGGGATTACAGGTGTGAGCCACCATGCCTGGTCTCCACTTTTCTTTTTTCTTCGAGACAGGGTCTTGCTCTGTCACTCAGGCTGGAATGTAGTGGTGCAGTCTTGGCCAACTGCATCCTCTGCCTCCCTGGCTCAAGCCTTCAGAGTAGCTAAGACTACAGGTGTGTCCCACAATGTCCAGCTGATTTTTTTCTTTTCTTTTCTTTCTTTCTTTTTTTTTTGAGATGGAGTCTTGCTCTGTCGCCCAGGCTGGAGTGCAGAGTGGTGTGATTTCGGCTCCCTGAAACATCCGCCTCCCAGGTTCAAGTGATTCTCCTGCCTCAGCCTCCCAATTAGCTGAAATTACAGGTGTTCGCCACTATGCCCAGCTAATTTTTACTATTTTTAGTAGAGATGGGGTTTCACCATGTTGGTCAGGCTGGTCTTGAACTCCTGACCTCAAATGATCCTCCTGCCTCAGCCTGCCAAAGTGCTGGGATTACGAGTGTGAGCCACTGCACCCGACCTAATTTTTGTATTTTTGTGGAGATGGGGTTTCACCATGTTGCCCAGGCTGGTCTCAATCACCTGGGCTGAAGCAATCCACCTGCCTCAGCCTCCCAAAGTGCTGGGATTACAGGCATAGGCCACCGTGCCTGGCCCCAACCTTCACTTTTAAAATAAGTGATTGACATTAGAATAGATTGTGTTAAAGGTATTAAGTAATGCTATTTTATAAGTAGCTGGTCTATTTTAGGCAAGTAGTTGAATTAATAGTGAGACAGTGTGAAGACACCTAAGTGTCTTCTGTCACTCACAGGCCCTGGAAGGTGCTTTGACCTGTGAATATCACTGAGACGCTGGAAGCCAGTGCCTTTTCCTACAGGAGGAGAGGCAGGTGCTGCGGGATTGGTTGTGTTTGCAAAGTGATGACTGTAGCTGACGTAAGAATTATAGCCTGTCTCTCATGAGAAGATAGCTTTTCCTTTAAAGTTTTTCTCATAGAACATTGATTATAGAAGATAAGCAAAAAAAGAAAATAAAATGAAAACTGCGCGTGAACCCAGCACCCAGGAAAAGATGTTGTTTTTGTATTATTTCATCATACCTACACCTTCTCATGTAAATGTTTTTAAAGGTTTAAATCTGATTGGTACCTAACACTTTTTAAAGGCCATGGACAGTTTTATGGAGCTCAATGTCTTGCTCTTTTTTTTTTTGCAGTGCTGTCTGCTTCTTTTAAGAAATAAAAAGTTTATCTCCTACCTCTGCATCTCCTCCTCAGAATTCTCTCCAGAAGCCTTGTTCCTGTGGGCAACGCATCTCTGACCCGTTGGCAAGGCTGTTTTCTCTCCCTGGATTTCTCATGCTCACTCCCTTGCTTGTCTTGACCCCCCCCAGGGCCCCCAACTCCCACACATCTGTCCCTGGGGGCCTCCTTCCCAGGGAGTCCCGAGGCCGCCAGGGGTCCCGTCACTGGGTGGCTATGGGTGGCCTGTTGAGCACGAGGTCTTCTCCCTGCAGATCCTGATGGCCAGTGCTACGGTGGTGTCGCTTCTGCCCAAGATGAGGAGCCCCTGGCCTGCCCGGACGAGTTCGATGACTTCGTCACCTATGAGGCAAGTGGTTTTCACCCAGGAGCTTGGGGGAAGTCTGGCATCCACCTCTTCCTTTATGCCCTACAGCTCGTGCCTCCTGCCTCCGGGCTGTCTTCCGTAGAAGCTGGCGTGAAGGAAGGGCCTCCCGCCCTGTGTGCACCGTGGGGCTCTGTGGCTGTGACGGGAGGCCCACAGTTGTCTGTCCCACACGCCCTGTCAGCCTGGGCAGGAATCCTCCCCCAGGGCCTGTCGCCAGCAGAAGTGGGGTGGGCAGTGATGTCATGACCACCCGCTGCCAGGCTGGCAGGCACAGGCGGAGCAGAGGGCTTGGGAGGATTCCTTTTGTCAACTTGCAAATGATTTTCTGTGTTTGGGGATGCCTGACTAATGCCTGCCCCTGCTTGGCTGTCCTCCACCCTGCTCCCAGATGCAGCCAGGGTTGTCATGGTGACGTGGCGTCTCCTGTGTCTCCTGTCACTGTGGGTCCCTTGTTCTCAACATAGCTGGGGAGAGGGTCTTCGAGCACAGCCGTGGTCGACAGAGCGTAACCATGTCCGCCGGTCTGGAGGGTTAGATTCCAGGAGAGCCACGTGGCTGCAGCAGAAAATGCATGAAGTTGAACTTGAGCCCTTGGGGGCCGCCGGGAAGGTGGAGGTGGCAGCCGCCAGTCCTGGTCAGCCTGCTGCCGAGCAAGGGTACCAGAAGTGGGGCTGAGCTGCTGGCCGGTAGGGCCTGGGCTTCTCATGTCAGTCCTCTGAGCCCTGACTCCTCGAAAGCTGAGGCTGGCACAGGGTAGTTTTTGAGTTGCTTTTGGACGCCACTGTACCGTGGGAGCCATGGTATTATACTCAGTTCCCTGTTCCGAGAAGCTGCCCCAGGGATTAGTCACCCTCACCCTTGGGTGGGCAGCTTAACTTCTGCCCACACAGACCCTGGGGGTGGTTCTGCCTTACGGCGGTGTCCCAGTTATCAGCTGGGCTGCAGCTTCTGGGGCCAGGGCGCCCACCGTGGGTCCCATGTTTGGCCTTGGTGTGCTCTTTCTGCACGTGAGGCAGCAGTGAGGTGCTGGCTAAGAGGGCGTGTGGTGGGAGTTGGACCCTCTCGCATGGCTGCAGTGTGCAGAACGTGCTGGGAGACCCCAGGACTACAGACGGTGGCTCCTGTGCCCTGAGAAGGACCCGGCTTCTTCACGAGGAGATGCCCAAGGCTCTGCAGGGTAACCCAGAGCCCTTGGTCTGCAACGTCCGGGGAACTGTGTGTTCCTGGGCGTTCATGTGCCTGTGCACTCTTTCTCACGTGTATCCGTCTTTTTGTTCCCCTCTCATGTTTGTTAGGGCATTGTTGATTGTTTATATCCTATGTATGGTGCAGTGGCTGAAGAGTGGCCTCTCAAAAGATATGTCCACCCAGCAGCTGTGGATGTGGCCTTATTTGGAAAAAGGGTCTTTGCGGATGTAGTTCATTAAGGATCTCAAGGTGATATCATGCTGGTTTGGGCCCTAAATCCAGTGACAGGTGTCCCTGGAAGACGGGAGAGACACACAGGGGGAAGACCATAGGAAGACAGGGCAGAGACTGACCAGAGCCAGGGAACTCCTGGGGCTCCCAGAAGCCAGCAGAGGCAAAGATGCATCCTCTCCGAGAGCCTTAGGCAGGAGCCAGCCCTGCTCACACCTTGGCTTTGGACTTCGGGCCTCCAGAACTGAGAGGATAAACTGGTGTTTCTTCACGCCCCGTGGTCTGTGCTAGTTCGTTATGGCAGCCCTGGGCAGGGAAACCTTGAGTGACGTTACTCGAGGCACCAAAGGCACCAGTGCATTTTATCCTTAAAGGCCCACGTGGTCTGAAGGGTGTGGCCGAGCCTCACGCTTGTCACTTCAGAAGGGTGGGAACCTGACATGTCAGAGCTAATCCTTCTCATATTTTTAGATCCTGATTTCTTTTTTAGAATGGAAGAAAGTTTTTTGACTTAAAAAAATGAATATGCTTCATGTTTTAGAGCAATTTTAGGTTTACAGAAAATGGAACATAGTGTAGAGCATTCCGGGATCACGTTACATGATTATTTGTTTTGTTTTGTTTGAGACGGTCTGCTCTATTACTCAGGCTGGAGTGTGGTGGTACAGTCTCGATCTTGGCTCACCACAACCTTCGCCTCCTGCGCTCAAGTGTTCTTCTTTCTCAGCCTTTCCAGTGGCTGGGACCACACTCAGTAACCACCACGCCCAGCTGATTTTTTGTATTTTTTTTTTGTAGAGATGGGGTTTCACCGTGTTGCCTAGGCTGCTCTCAAACTCCTGAGTTCAAGCGATCCACCCGTCTTGGCCTCCTAAAGTGCTGGTATTACAGGCGTGAGCCACCGCACCCAGCCTGATATGTTAGTATTAGCCAAAGTCCGTAGTTGAGGGTTCACTCTTGGTGGTGTGTATTCCGTGTTTTGACAGGTCCACGATTATAGTGTCACAGAGTCGATTCAGTGCCGGCTCATCCCTCACACCAGCCCCCACAACCACCGATCCTCCGTGTCTCCACAGCTCTGCCTCTTCCAGAACGCCACGGAGCTAGAACCATCTGGCATGCAGCCTTTTCAGATGCGCCTCTTTCCCTTAGTGAATACGCAGTTACCTCTCCTCCATGTCTTGCTTTGCTTTTTAAGGGTGGGATGTAATTTTCCACAAAGTGGAGTTCGATACTGTGAAACTTATGGAAAATTTGCTCTTTTAAAAAACAGCTTGCACATCATGTCATCTTAAAAAAAAAAAGTCTAATAAAGATATGAGTAGGGAGTATGTGTTCCATCCAGATACCCTATTCGGGGACCCTCCACTGGTAGTCTTCAGGTAAATAAACCTTTGATTGATTGGTTGATTGGTTGATTGATTGATATTCTGAATGGTTCCAGTCAGACCCATTTCTCTTTACTGGGAGCATCGCAGTGCTCACACCGGGGTGGTCGGGTAAAATGTGCAGTTAGTCATGGCCGAGCTAGTGGGTCTGCTGGCTCGCACTGTTTTCCCAGGGATCCTTTCAGCAGGCAGCTTATAACGGGAAAGTTGCTGCTATGGTGTCTGAGTAAGTGGGGAGAGTAGAAGGGGATGGACTGTGGCGCCGCTGAGTTCCTGGGCATGGTGATGTCTGAGGATCTGAGCAGGTGGAGCCCAGGGGGTGGTGGGGCTGTTTGTCGGGTTTCTGGAAGAGCGAAGGGAAAGTCAGGGAGTGTAAGGCGCATCTCACAGAATCGTCGGGCCGCGCTCTCTCCCGTCCTCCCTCCTTCTCCCACTACTGGCGATGTCTGGAGCAAAGAGCTGCCTTAGTGAAATGATAGTGAAATGTGTCTTTTGTGCAAACCATTATCAGCTTAGGAAGCCAAAAACAAAAGCCACTCTGTTTTCAGCCCTGACTGACTAACCGTTTTTTAAACCAGCAAGGACACTTCCTGAACTTTGCCTTCCCCTCCCTGGGCAACACCAGCAGGAGGTTTATTAGAGCGTGTCTGGGAGCAGGTTAAACTTTCTCCTAGGTGGTGATGTGCCTCCAGGTGAGCGCACAGGCTTTGCAGAAACCCCAGCATGACAAGCAAGTAGGAAGGTGACATTGTTGTTTGAGAAAAGCCAGTGACCCGGTTGGGACGGAGACACGATGGGGAGCCGGTCTCCAACAGCATGCCCTTCCTGAAGGTGTGTACAGAGCCAGGCCCAGCCTGTGAGGCCACCCGGGCCAGCATCTGAGGGTAAGAGGAGGCAGTAGTGTGCACTGTGCCCAGTATTCCTATTTCTGTGGTGGAGAGAGGCTCAGGGAAGAAGGAACTGTGACGGGGACAGTGTTGGCCCCACTTGAGTTACTGATGGCCCTGAACGGGCTTTTTCTCTGTCCGCTGGTGATTTAGGGGACTTGTTAATTAGTGAATGTAACGTTTCAACATAGCGACGTTTTCCAAGATGCACTTTGATTTTCAAGCGAGTTCATCTTAACATTGGTAATTTGTAAAAATGTTAAAAAGTTGGTAGCATAGACTTGATGGCTTCTGGGCAAGGCCAGGTCCTGGCTGGCTGGCAAATAAAATAAACTGCCGGGGCCGGTGTGAGCTGTTACTGCATTTTATCCAGGAGGCCGGGAGTGAGCAGGCACCGTGCTCTGAGGTACATTTTTGTCTCTGGAAAGGCAGGTGATGGCTGCCCTGGAAAACTCCATGTAGGGAGGCCTTGAACTGCAGAAACCAACCCGCAGGGCTGAATTGGGAAGTGAGCAGGTGGGGTGGCTCCTGTGAGCCTCATGAGCTGTCTGGAACCCCCAGGGCATCCAGCCGGCCAGGGGCTCTGAGTATCGATGGCGATGGCATGGAAGTGGACGTCCACAACCCCAGAGCAAATAAAGGGGTGGGTGCAGTCACCGAAGCCGCTGAGGAGTGGAACTGTTCATCTCTGTGGGATCTACAGTGCACGGAGCCACTCTGCAATGGCAGGGAGGCCCGGCTTACTTTATTTTTTATTTTTTAAATTGTTTTTTGAGATGGAGTCTCACTCTGTCACCCAGGCTGGAGTGCAGTGGTGCGATCTTGGCTCACTGCAACCTCCACCTCCCAGATTCAAGTGATTCCATGCCTCAGCCTCCTGAGTAGCTGGGATTACAGGCGCCCGCCACCACACCCAGCTAATTTTTGTATTTTTAGGAGAAACAGGGTTTCACCATATTGGCCAGGCTGGTCTCGAACTCCTGGCCTCAAGTGATTCACCCACCTTGGCCTCCCAAAGTGCTGGGATTACAGTGAGCCACTGCGTCTGGCCCTCAGGCTTACTTTAGAAATGAGAAGGTGAAGGTGGGTCCAGAGCGGAGCGTGTGAGTTCCAGGCTTGGCAGGGTGCCCTGGCATCCAGCTTACAGGGAGTCTGAGTTTGTGTAGAATCTGCCTCATTGTTCCTGTGTCCGTGGAGAATTCTTTCCATCCCAAACCATCCTGTCTAAGCTCTGAGGAGGCACAGGTGGCTCTAAGGCGGCACTGGCTTTTGCCTGCAGGGGCACCATCCTCAGCTACAGGTCTAACAGGAACTTGGTGAAATAAGCAGGCCCCACTGCCCGGACCTCCCTCCCTTCGTAGGACAGATGCTCTGCTCAGGGCTCCATGAGCTGTTTGAGAGAAGGTGTGGGTTTGTTCTTAGAAACATCATGCTTTCTGTTGGGGACTTAGGGTCCACACTGGCCAGGGAAGGGCATCGGGCATCTGTCAGAAGTACCAGTCCATTGACTTTTTAAAAGCTGGTCCAAGGTCAGGTGCGGTGGCTCATGTCTGTAATCCCAGCACTTTGGGAGGCTGAGGCAGGAGAATTGCTTGAACCCGGGAGGTGGAGTTTGCAGTGAGCCGAGATTGCGCCACTGCACTCCAGCCTGGGCGACAGAGCAAGACTCTGTCTCAAAAAAAAAAAAAAAAGAAAGAAAAAATTTTAGGCTGGGCATGGTGGCTCAGGCCTGTAATCCCAGCACTTTGGGAGGCCAAGGTGGGCAGATCACAAGGTCAGGAGTTCGAGACCAGCCTGACCAACACGGTGAAACCCTGTCTCTACTAAAAATACAAAAATTAGTTGGGTGTGGTGGCGTGTGCCTGTAATCTCAGCTACTCAGGAGGCTGAGGCAGAATCACTTGAACCTGGGAGGTAGAGGCTGCAGTGAGCTGAGGTCACACCATTGCACTCCAGCCTGGGTGACAGAGCAAGACTCCGTCTCAAAAAAAAAAAAAAAAAAATTAGTCAGGCATTGTGGCAGGCGCCTGTAATCCCTGCTACTTGGGAGGCTGAGGCAGGAGAATCGCTTGGACCTGGGAGGCAGAGGTTGCAGTGAGCCAAGATGGCGCCACTGCACTCCAGCCTCGGCGACAAGAGCGAGACTCTATCAAAAAAAAGAAAAAAGAAATTTTAGGCTACGTACTGAACCACTGAACCTGATGTTGTAATAACCACACTTTTTAGAGTCAGCAGCGGGTCTTCCTGGTGCCCCTGGGGTGAGTCTTTGTCACTGATGACTCTGGGGCAGTGTGGCCCCTGTGAGTGTGCAATCCTGTTGGGGTAGCTGGCAACTGCCCTCAAACCGTCTCGGACCTGTGCGCTGGGCTTCGCATCCTGCCCCGTCATGCCTTCCCCACAGGCCCAGCCTCTGACAGACATCCTGGGCCTGCCTGCTTTCCTGGCCACTCCCGCCTTTTCCTGCCTGGCGTCCCGCAGGCCCAGCACAGGCCAGCCCTGTCCTGAGTGGGCCCTGGGCCCTGCCGTCCTGCAGGAGTGGGAGCTGCCCAGGGACGGTGAGTAGCACGAGAGCTGGGGTTTCTTACAGTGCTCTCCTGGTTCTGGATGTTACAGTGGATGCTCTTGAGGAATGACTTAGTTTTTATGAATTACTTCCTTAGATTGTAGGGGAGATTATAATTGGACACCCAGAGTAGGTACACTTCACAGCACTCCCTGTTCCCTTGTGGCTTTAGAAGCAGCTGGCAGGGATTTCCCACCCACCAGTGACACTCGCACCCTGCAGTCCTTGTTTCTGTGCTTTGAAAAGCACCTTCCTGGGTTGTCTTTCTTGGTTCCATGAGGTGGCCACCTTGTGAGACGAGAATTTATAACCCCCGTTTGCGGCAGGGCTCCAGGTGGTTGAGTCACACGTCTGAGGTCACACGGCTTTTAATAAAGGGGCCAAAGATGGAACTGCGGCCTCCCGCAAGTGCGCCAGGCTCCTGGCAGCTCGGCCTGGCCCTTCACGTCTCTTCCAGTGAGGCTCAGGTGGGTGCAGCCTGGGGTGGGACCCTCTGGTAGCCCTCGCAGGTCTTAGCACACTGTCTACTTCTTTTTTTTTTTTTTTTGAGATGGAGTCTTGCTCTGTTGCCAGGCTGGAGTGCAGTGGCATGATCTTGGCTCACTGCAGCCTCTGCCTCCTGGGTTCAAGCGATTCTCCTGTCTCAGCCCCCCGAGTAGCTGGGACTGCAGGCACGTGCCACCACGCCTGGCTAATTTTTGTATTTTCAGTAGAGATGGGGTTTCACCATATTGGCTAGGCTGGTCTCGAACTCCTGACCTTGTGATCCACCCGCCTCGGCCTTCCAAAGTGCTGGGATTACAGGCATTAACCACGGCGCCCAGCCACTTTGTCTGCTTCTTACGATACTAGAACTAGAGTGCAAAGGGCATCTTTTTCTGCTGGGACTGCAGCTTTTCTGAGATCTTGTTTATTTGCAAATTGTTAACCTCAGAGTCTTCTGAGCATGAAATGTTGGCCACTTTTCCTAACCAGCAATTTCATTTTCATTAAGGTTGAAATTATAAATTGAAAATGTTGGCTGGGCACGGTGGCTCACGCCTATAATCCCAGCACTTTGGGAGGCTGAGGTGGGCAGATCTCTTGAGGCCAGGAGTTCAAGACCAGCCTGGGCAACATAGCAAAACCTCGTCTCTACAAAAAATACAAAAATTAGCTGGGCACAGTGGTGCATGCCTGTAATCCCAGCTACTTTGGTGGCTGAGACACAAGAATCACTTGAATCCGGAGGCAGAGGTTGCAGTGAGCTGAGATGGTGCCACTGCACTCCAGCCTGGGTGACAGAGTGAGACCCTGTCTCAAAAAACAAGAACAATTAGAAAAAGAAAAAAAAAGTTCTGTTTAATAGTTCTTTAGTTTTGTGTTCATTTGTATGATCCACAAATATTTACTATCTACCTATACCTGGTCCTATGCTAGATGCTAGATACTTAAGAGTAAAAACAAGTTGGGTGTGGTGGCTTATGCCTATAATCCCAGCACTTCGGGAGGCTAAGGCAGGCAGATCACTTGAGCTCAGGAGTTTGGGACTAGCCTGAGCAACATGGCAAAACCCCATCTCTACAAAAAAATACAAAATCAGCGAGGTGTGGTGGCTCACACCTATAGTCCCAGCTACTCAGGAGGCTGAGGTAGGAGGATTGCTTGAGCCCAGGAGTTTGAAGCTGCAGTGAGCCAAGACCGCACGACTGCACTCCAACCTGGGTGTCACAGTGAGACTCTATCTCAAAAAAAACACAGCAGTAAAAACAGTAAAAACAATTGGTTGCGATGGCTCACACCTGTAATCTGAGCAGTGTGGAGGATCACTTGAGGTGCGGAGTGGATGACCAGCCTGGGCAACAGAGTGAGACCCTGATTCAAAATAAATAAATCAACAAACAAACAAACAACTGAGCCAGGTGTGGTGGCACCTGTAGTTCCCAGCTACAGCTAGATCCTGTCTCTATTTTATTAAAATAAAAAAGAAATTACTCTGCCAGGCTCAGTAGCTCACACCCATAGTTCTAGCACTTTGAGAGGCCAAGGCTGGTGGATCACTTGAGCACAGGAGTTCAAGACAGCCTGGAAAACAAGGCAAAACTCCATTTCTACAAAATTTCAAAAAATTAGGCATGGTGGCTTTTACCTGTGGTCTCAGCTACTCAGGAGGCTGAGGTGGGAGGATCACTTGAGCCCAGGAGATCAAGGCTGCAGTGAGCTGAGATTACACCATTGCACTCCAGCCTGGGTCTCAAAGAGAGACACTGTCTCAAACAACAACAACAAAAATTACTCAGAGTACCTTGTTTTCTGCTCTCAGACATGTACCTATTTTTCATTTAAAAAAAAGTTGAATTCAGCCAGGCACGGTGGCTCACGCCTGTAATCCCAGCACTTTGGGAGGCCGAGGCAGGTGGATCACCTGAGGTTAGGAGTTCGAGACTGGCCTGGCCAACGTGGTGAAACCCCATCTCTACTAAAAACCCAAAAATTAGTGGCGTGGTGGCACGCATCTATAATCCCAGCTACTCAGGAGCCTGAGGCAGGAGAATCTTTTGAACCCGGGAGGTGTAGGTTGCAGTGACTGGAGATTGCACCACTGCACTCCAGCCTGGGCAGGAAGAGTAAAACTCCTTCTCCAAAAAAAAAAAAAAAAAAAAGTTGAATTGTGTTTTATTCATTTTATTTTCATTTTTGAAATAGAGGCTCACTCTGTCGCCCAAGCTGGAGCTTAATGGCATGATATCAGCTCACTGCAAAATCTGCGTCCCAGGTTCAAGCCATTCTCCTGCTTCAGCCTCCTGAGTAGTTGGGATTACAGGCATGTGCCACCACACTTGGCTAATTATATTTATTTATTTATTTATTTTTGAGACGGAGTCTTGCTCTGTCGCCCAGGCTGGAGTGCAGTGGCGTGATCTCAATTCACTGCAACCTCCACCTCCCGGGTTCAAGCGATTCTTCTGCCTCAGTCTCCCGAGTAGCTGGGACTACAGGTGCCCGCCACCACACCTGGCTAATTTTTGTATTTTTAGTAGGGACAGGGTTTCACCATTTTGGCCAGACTGGTCTCGAACTCCTGACCTTGTGATCTGCCTGCCTTGGCTTCCCAAAGTGCTGGGATTACAGGCGTGAGCCACTGCGCCCGGCCTGTATTTATTTATTTTAATTTTTTTTTTTTCAGACAGAGTTTTGCTCTTGTTGCCCAGGCTCGAGTGCAATGGAGTGATCTCAGCTCACCACAACATCCACCTCCCTGGTTCAAGCAATTTGCCTGCCTCAGCCTCCTGAGTAGCTGGGATACAGGAGTTCGCCACCACACCCGGCTAATTTTGTATTTTCAGTAGAGACGGGGTTTTTCCATATTGGTCAGGCTGGTCTCGAACTCCCAACCTCAGGTGATCCTTCTGCCTCGGCCTCCCAAAGTGCTGGGATTACAGTCGTGAGCCATTGCGGCCAGCTGTTATATTTATTTTTAATTAATTAATTTTTTTGAGATGGGTCTTTATCACTCAGGTTGGAGCACAGTGGTGTGATCACATCTCACTGCAGCCTCGACCTTTTGGGCTCAAATGGTCCTCCTGGCTGGCGCTGTGGCTCACTCTTGTAATCCCAGCACTTTGGAAGGCTGAGGTGGGTGGATCACCTGAGGTAAGGAGTTTGAGACCAGCCTGGCCAACATGGTGAAACCCCGTCTCTACTAGAAATACAAAACTTAGCTAGGCATGATGGTACATGCTTGTCTTCCCAGCTACTCAGGAGGCTGAGGCAGGAGAATCACTTGAACACAGGCCACGTAGGTTGCAGTGAGCTGAGATCATGCCACTGCGTTCCAGTCTGGGCGATAAGAGTGAGACCCTGTCTCAAAAAAAAACCCCCAAAAAACAAAAAGCAAGCTCCTCCGTCAGTCTCTTGAGTAGCTGGGACCTACAGGCAGGTGCCACCACACCTGGGCAAGCTCCTCCGTCAGTCTCTTGAGTAGCTGGGACCTACAGGCAGGTGCCACCACACCTGGGCAAGCTCCTCCGTCAGTCTCTTGAGTAGCTGGGACCTACAGGCAGGTGCCACCACACCTGGGCAAGCTCCTCCGTCAGTCTCTTGAGTAGCTGGGACCTACAGGCAGGTGCCACCACACCTGGGCAAGCTCCTCCGTCAGTCTCTTGAGTAGCTGGGACCTACAGGCAGGTGCCACCACACCTGGGCAAGCTCCTCCGTCAGTCTCTTGAGTAGCTGGGACCTGCAGGCCGGTGCCACCGCACCTGGGCAAGCTCCTCCGTCAGTCTCTTGAGTAGCTGGGACCTGCAGGCAGGTGCCACCGCACCTGGGCAAGCTCCTCCGTCAGTCTCTTGAGTAGCTGGGACCTGCAGGCAGGTGCCACCGCACCTGGGCAAGCTCCTCCGTCAGTCTCTTGAGTAGCTGGGACCTGCAGGCAGGTGCCACCGCACCTGGGCAAGCTCCTCCATCAGTCTCTTGAGTAGCTGGGACCTGCAGGCAGGTGCCACCGCACCTGGGCAAGCTCCTCCGTCAGTCTCTTGAGTAGCTGGGACCTACAGGCAGGTGCCACCACATCTAGGTAAGTTTTGTATTTTTGGTAGAGACAAATTTCACTTTGTTGGCCAGGCTGGTCTTGAGCTCCTGGGTTCAAGCGATCCACCCACCGAGGCCTCCGAAAGTACTGGGATTACAGGCGTGAGTCACCGCGCCCAGCCTGAATTGTGTTTTATAAGTAATGTCTCTGCTTAGAGACAGTTGGGACTTCAGGCGTCAGACCCCTCCCTCCACACTGCCCTCTCCAGGGCCTTGCAGCAGTGAGGTGTGGGGCGTTCGCAGTTCCCCTCCCAGCTTGTGCCCGCTGACTGCTGGCGCACTCTCTCCTAGGCCAACGAGGTGACGGACAGCGCGTACATGGGCTCCGAGAGCACCTACAGTGAGTGTGAGACCTTCACGGACGAGGACACCAGCACCCTGGTGCACCCTGAGCTGCAACCTGAAGGGGACGCAGACAGTGCCGGCGGCTCGGCCGTGCCCTCTGAGTGCCTGGACGCCATGGAGGAGCCCGACCATGGTGCCCTGCTGCTGCTCCCAGGCAGGTCTGTACCCCGCCACGGGCCTCCTGGAGAGGCCTTGGGATGTGGCACCCTGTGGAGGTGTCTGATGGGCAGACTGGGGTCTTGGAGGAGTGCGTGCTGGTTAGCATCCATTATGTGGGGGTGGGGCTTGGCCCTGCAGTAGCTCCTGACCTTCCTGGGATGAGCCCACACCGTCCTGCCCGCCTTGCCCGAGCAGTCTCCCTGTTCCAGCTGACTTTCCTGTCAGGACGACTGTGGTTTCAAATGTTGCTCAACATCTTTAGCTGTAGAGATAGAAATTATAGAAGTGAATGTCTCGGCAGGGTTTTGGAACCCGTTCACCTTTGCAGCACCCCTGAGGAGGCCATGTTCTCTCCCCACCTGTCCCCCACCCTCAGGATTTCTGTAGCCCCCGTATTTCGAGCTAGTTGGGGCCGGAGTAGAGGGACGGGCAGAGTCTGGGAGAAGGTCAGATGAAGGAGGTGTCCAGTGGCTCACGTGGACCTGCTTTCCGTGTTGCCCCTGCTACTGGAAAGTCCGCTCAGCACGCTGAAGTGTAATTGTGAAGCAAAAATTAAATTCTCAGCCTTCAGCCAACTGATGGACCCCCTCTCTCAGCCTCAGGCGTTGCTCAGTCAACCTGAAAATGTAGTTCAGGCCATGGTTAGGGAGGTCAGGCAGGCCTCATTGGGCCCCTCCCTTTGGAACTGAGGCCCAGCTGACCAGCATTCACATTAAACAGACTCTGACAAAGGCGGACTTTTTATAGCAGCGACAGCACACCACATTCCAGCCTGACTCTAGTGTAGCATCACATGACAGGTGGCAGGCCCTGAAAGAAATCCGAGTATTTTACCCCAAAATAGATTTCTTTGACATTTTTCAGAATGGCTCTACAGGACTGTGTCTTGTGGGGAAAGTCTGCACCCTGTAGAGAATCTCCTCCCTTCCCAGGTCTTTTCCCTGGTGCAGGAGGGAATTAACTCGGAGTCTGGCACCTTGTGAGGTCTGCTGCCTGCTGCCTGGAGGCCTCATCTGCTTGATAAAGCCTTGGTCTCCACAGCCCCTTATCTTAAGCCGAGGCATTCCTTTCTATTGATTCCAAGTCTTTAGATAATAACTCTTTCAAACAAACAACTGCCAGTCAGAAGATCTTCGCATCTGCTTTGACCTGGAAGCCCGCCCGTCCCCCGCTTAGAGCCGTCCCATGTTTCCTGACTGAAGCAGCATCTTGCATGTAGGGTTGATGTCTTCTGTCTCCCCAAGATGCATAAACCCGGCCCTTGGGCACATGCTCTCAGGGCTTCCTGGGGCGGCATCACGGGCTGTTAGTCACTCTTATCTGGCTCAGAATAAACCTCTTCAAATATTTTACAGAGCTTAAGTCTTTTTGCCAACATAATATACCCACAAGTAAGTGCCCATGTTGTAAGTGCACAGCCAGCAGGTTTTTCAAACTGACCATTCCCACGGCCCTTTTCTCAGGCAAGAACAAAACACTCCCGCACCCAGGGTCCTCCCAGGCCCCTGACAGCAGCCAGCTCTCCACCGGCCCTGCATCTTCCTTAAGTTCCCCCACACAGGGAGGTCCTTCCTGTGCCTGGCTTCTTCCACTTGCTGTTGCGCTTGTGGATTTAGCCATTTTTTTTTTTTTGAGACGGAGTCTCGCTCTGTCGCCCAGGCTGGAGTGCAGTGGTGCGATCTCAGCTCACTGCAGCCTCCGCCTCCCAGGTTCCAGCGATTCTCCTGCCTCAGCCTCCCGGGTAGCTGGGATTACAGGCGCCCGCCACCACGCCCGGCTAATATTTGTATTTTTTAGTAGAGACGGGGTTTCACCATGTTGGTCAGGCTGGTCTCCAACCCCTGGCCTCAGGCGATCCGCCCGCCTCGGCCTCCCGAAGTGCTGGGATGAGAGGTGTGAGCCACCGCGTCTGGCCGTATTCAGCCCTATTTTTGTGCATTGCTGTAAACTGTTGACTTTTATGATTCTATTGCGAGAGCGTGCTGCGACTCTAGAGTTGACTCTCCTGTCGGCGGCAGCGGGTAGTTCACTGTCGTTGGCTTTGAGGGTGAAACTGCTGTAGGGATTCCATGTCTTTGGGAGCATGGTACGGCCCTAAGCAGGATGGTCATCGGGAGCACGTCCCTTCAGCCTTGCAAGTTCCTGCAGGGGCTGCAGGGTCACCAGCCTCCGGCATCTGTGGCTCCTGGGCTCCCTGACCTCAGCAGCATGTGGCCATGTCTGCTCTCCTGCTCACCTTGTGGGGGGCATGCAGAGACCCTGCCACATGCTTTTTACTTGCGCTTCCCGGGTGACTAATAAGGCATGCACCTTTTGTCAGGGTGGGAGCTCCTCTGCCTGCTCACTGCTTGCGGGAGGGGTCTGCAGACTTTTTCTCTAGAAGAGTTGCAGGCCACGCAGCCCCCGTGGCAACTGCTCAGCCCGGCTGTTGTGCTGCAGAAGCAGCCAAAGGCACGTGGGTCAGTGAGCGTGGCTGTGTCCCAGTGAAACAATTTTCAGAAACAGGCTGCGCAGGATTGGCAGGACTTGGCCTGCCCCTGGTCTGTTGGGTCCTCTGTCTTTTTCTCACTGATTATAGGAGTCCTTTCGATATGAGTCCCTTATGGGGTGTGGGTATCACAGATCCTTTTTGCTGCTCTGTGGGTCTCCTTTTCACCTTTTGAGGAACAGATTTTTGTTTCTGTTTTTTTGTCAAGATGGAGTCTAGCTCTGTCGCCCAGGCTGGAGTGCAGTGGCGCCATCTTGGCTGACTGCAACCTCTGCCTCCCAGGCTCAAGTGATTCTCCTGCCTCAGCCTCCCAGGTAGCTGGGATTACAGGCACCTGCCATGGCGCCCAGCTAATTTTTGTAGTTTTAGTAGAGACAGTGTTTCACCATCTTGCCCAGGCTGGTCTCGAACTCCTGACCTTGTGATCCACCCACGTTGGCCTCCCAAAGTGCTGGGATTACAGGCATGAGCCACAGCCCCTGGCCAGAACAGATGTTTTTAATTTTGCTATAGTTGAGCTTATCCATTTTTCTTTTATGTTTATTAGCACTTTTGTGTCCCACTTGATAAATCTTTGCTTACTACACAGTCACTATGATGTTTACTTACGCTTTCTTTTAAAAGTGTTATTGTTTTACCTTCATATTCAGATCTGTGATCGCTACATAATTTTTTTATTTTGTTTTGCTTTGTTTTGAGACAGTCTTGCTGTGTCACCCAGGCTGCAGTGCAGTGGCACAATCTTGGGTCACTGCAGTCTCTGCCTCCCAGATTCAAGTGATTCTCTTGCCTTAGCCTCCTGATTAGCTGGGACTACTGGCGCCCGCCACCATGCCTGGCTAATTTTTTTGTATTTTTGGTAGAGATAGGGTTTCGCCATATTGGCCAGGTTGACCTCAAACTGCCAGCCTCAAGTGATCTGCCCTCCTTGGCCTCCCAAAATGCTGGGATTACAGGCGAGTATTTTCTCACTAGTTTTTAAGCAGTATAACTCTTGGTGGGGCATGCCTGTAATTCCAGCCCTTTGGGGGGCCGAGGCAGGTGGATCATGAGGTCAGGAGTTTGAGACCAGCCTGGCCAACTTGGTAAAACCCCGTCTCTACTAAAAATACAAAAACTAGCTGGGCCTGGTGGCACGCACCTGTAATCCCAGCTACTCGGGAGGCTGAGGCAGGAGAATCGCTTGAACCCAGAGAGGCAGAGTTTGCAGTGAGCCGAGATGGCACCACTGCATTTCAGCCTGGGCGACAGAGCGAGACTCTATCTCAAAAATGAAAACAAAAGTATAACTCTTTTGGGGGACACACATTTTGAACAGCTCATTTGTGGCTGGATCTAACTGCTAGCTAGCGCGGCTCATCTTCTGTGGACCGTGGAAAGCACGTTGGGCGTCTGGGTGCAGACCGTCCGGTTCATACAGTCTCTGCCGTGTGGCCTGGGCCTCTTGGTCCTCAGTGTGACGTTGCATGTGGGCCTTCTCTGTTCCCGTCAAGCATCAGGAAGAAGTGTCCTGAGGAGAGGAGGAGATGGGGTGGTGAGGGGTGCTGAGCCCCTCGTCATTGCTTCTGAGGGAGTAGCAGGTTTCACCATGGTGGCCCGGGGAGGCGGGGAAGGGCCTGCTGGCCGATGGACCAGTGTGTGTTTTCCTCTCGCTGATTCTCCTCCCCTCAGAGGGCAGTTTTCTGTCACAGTATCTGAGCCTGTTGGTAAAACAAGCACCCAATCATAAGAAACAGAAAATAAGGTCTTCCTGTAACGTAGCCTAATTTTAGATGGCGGCTGTGGAAGGGAGCCACACCTCCCTGTCACTGTGTAGGAAGGAAGGGGCTGATGCAGACAGGCAGCGCCAAGTTGAAGACCCTATTGGGAGGCCATGAAGTGGCACAGGCCTCCTGGTTTTGGTTTCTTTTTTTTTTTTTTTTTGAGACGGAATCTGGCTCTGTCGCCCAGGCTGGAGTGCAGTGGCGCGATCTCGGCTCACTGCCATCTCCGCCTCCCAGGTTCACACCATTCTCCTGTCTCAGCCTCCCGAGTAGCTGGGACTACAGGCACCCGCCACCACCCCCAGGTAATTTTTTGTATTTTTAGTAGAGACAGGGTTTCACCGTGTTAGCCAGGATGGTCTCGATCTCCTGATCTGCCCGCCTCGGCCTCCCAAAGTGCTGGGATTACAGGTGTGAGCCACCGCCCCCGGCCCTGGTTTAAGCCTGCGTGTTTGAGGCCATGGGATTCATCCTGAGCTGTCCCAGCAGTGGTGCGTGGTGGGCATTTCTGCGGGTGTGAAATTGGAACTCCTCACGGCTGAGCACAGTGGGTCCGGGCGGAGCAGAGCGCGCGGTCCTCCTGACTCTGCCCCCTTCTCCTGGGCACGAGGAGTCGCCTCACTCTGCCAGGCCCCTTTCTTTCCTGGAGTGGAGCAGCGCCGGGCCTGCACAGAAGGTTCTCCCGAGGACTCCTGCGGGAGGGTGGGAGTGGGGACCGCTAGGGCACAGGAGCCGCTGAAGGCACAGCTGTTTCACATGGCCCCCGGCCGCTGTGTTTTCCAGAACTTGGCTGTGGAGGAGTCACTCCCTTCAGAAGGAGGGTGGGTATTTGGAAGCCCCTTCCTTTCCCTGTCGCAGCTGCTGTTACGTTTTAGCTTAAAGTAGAGTTTGAACGGCGCCCCCCAGTGGTTGTGTGAGGACAGCAGCTCCCTAGGGAAGAGGCAGAGGTGCTTGAACCCAGATGCTGCTTTGTGTCGACCTGTGCTGTCCTGTGTGGGGCTGCGGAACTTGTGACGTGGGAGGGCACACGAGTGAGGAGTGTGAAGAGGCTGGAGGTTTTGAAATGACTGCGTGTTGGGCTAAGTAAAATTTTTTGTTAAAATATATTCGGGCCAGGCGTGGTGGCTCACGCCTGTAATCCCAACACTTTGGGAGGCCGAGGTGGGTGGATCACGAGGTCAGGAGATCGAGACCATCCTGGCTAACACGGTGAAACCCCGTCTCTACTAAAAATACAAAAAATTAGCCGGGCGTGGTGGCGGGCGCCTGTAGTCCCAGCTACTCGGGAGGTGGAGGCAGGAGAATGACGTGAACCCGGGAGGCGGAGCTGGCAGTGAGCCGATATTGCACGACTGCACTCCAGCCTGGGCGATAGAGCCAGACTCTGTCTCAAAAAAAAAGGTAAAGAAACAGATTTATTTATTTATTTTTTTTTTTTGAGACAGGGCCTTGCTCTGTCACCCAGGCTGGAGTGTAGTGGCATCATCACTGCTCACTGCAGCCTTGGCCTCCCAGGCTCAAGCGATCTTCCCACTTCAGCCTCCCGAGTACCTGGGACTACAGTCGTGCGCATCCATGCCTGGGTGATTTAAAAATGTTTTTTGCAGTTGAGGCCTCCCCCTGTTGCCCAGGCTGGTCTCAAACTCCTGAGCTCAAGCCATCTGCTCGCCTTGGCCTCCCAAAGTGCTGGGATTACATGTGTGAGCCACCGCATCCAGCCCACTTTTTTTTTTTTTTTAAACGTGGCTCCCAGGACTCACGTGTGGCTTGTAGCACACCCTATGGAAAGCACCTTCCACACCCTCAGCTCGGGGGTGCCCTGGCCTTCAGTCAGAAGACATCATTTCTGTTTTACTTTGCAGGCCTCACCCCCATGGCCAGTCTGTCATCACGGTGATCGGGGGCGAGGAGCACTTTGAGGACTACGGTGAAGGCAGTGAGGCGGAGCTGTCCCCAGAGACCCTATGCAACGGGCAGCTGGGCTGCAGTGACCCCGCTTTCCTCACGCCCAGGTAATGACGCCTTGTTCCAGCACACCCTCCTCCCTCTTCTTCCCGTGGTTAGTAGTGGGAAGTTTCCCTTTTTGGTTCGTGCATTGGTGAGAGAACTTGCTTTCCTTGACGTCATGTGATTAAGTAAACCATATTCAAACATTTTAAATTTATACCTGGATTTATGAAAGTTGGGAGAAGTCCCTCTTCTCCAGCCACATCCCCAGATCACTCTACATTTCTGAGGCTTCAGCAAAATCCTGTGGCACAGAGCTGTGTTTGCACACTTGGCTTGCGGGCTCCTTTGCTGTGGGCCGTGGATCACATGGTGGTCTGTGCAGGCTTTTGAGGGAGGCCTCATGATCATAAGTGAGTCTTCAGATTCATTTCCTTATAAATATCTGACATCCCCAAACTGGAAAGCTGTGACTCTGAATAAATAGAAGCACAACACGCAGTGGGCGAGATGCCCACTCACAAATGTCCAGAGTCACTCTAGGGAGTCCAGAGTCCTCTTGGCTTGGATCCGAACATGGGGGTCTGGGTACGTACTTCTGAGGGCTAGGGGCTCCCACGTGGGAGTCAGTCCCTCTAGGACGCTCCTGACTTCAGGGAGACCCTGGGCTGGCCGATGGGGTTGTTACTTCAATCCCTTCTCCCCTTTGCTACTAGGTTGTCGTCCATCTTTGCCAGCAGTCAAGGCCGAGCCTCTTTAAGCAGCCACAAGAGTCTTCCCTTGCCTGCTGCCCGCCCGCTGTTACTGAGGCCCAGGGAACCTGGGTGGAGGGCGGTGCAGGAGGGGCTGAGCAGCTCGTCTGCCCATAGGGTCCCCCTCCTTTTGTTTCCCATGTGCCCTCCTTGAAGCCGCCCGTCAGCCCTGGGTGTGGGGACCCTGCACGGATATCCTGTGTGCTCTGGTCCCGGCGAGCGTCCTGGGAGAGCTGTGCATGAGTGAGGCATCACAGACGGTCCTCAGAGGCAGTGTGCTTGTCTTAGGCACTTTCCTCTCCCAGCGCGTGGTGGTGTCAAGACAAGGGCCAGAGGACTGGGGCGTTTCTAAACTTGGGTCTCTGTGCTTGGTAATCACCTCTTCCTACGTGTTTAGTTTGTCCCTGTCTCCTGTTCAGTGTTTTCATTGTTACCTGTTTGAAGTGTAATGTCTATGCTACATTGTATGTTTCACTTTTCACCTTTCTTTACTTGAGCTTCCAAATGGTTTCCCACAGCATGTGGGTCCCAGCGCCCGCGATGAGGCTGCCTTTGCTCCTTTGCCTTCGCGTCGCAGACGCAGCACCCCTGCCAGTGGCCCAGAAGCCCTTGGAGGTGAAGTCACAGGGAGGTTAGCTAGCACCACCACAAAATCTAACACTGAGTTTCGACAGGTCGGTCTTTTTGGGGGTTTTTTGAGACAGGATCTCACTTTATTGCCCAGGCTGGAGTGGTGCAATCATGGCTCACTGCAGCCTCCACCTCCCTCAGCTTCCTGAGTAGCTGGGACTACAGGTATGAGCTACTACGCCGGGCTAATTTTGTATTTTTTGTAGAGACGGGTTCACCATGTTGCCCAGGCTGGTCTCAAACGCCTGAGCTCAAGCGATCCACCCAAAGTGCTGGAATTAGAAGCAGGAGCCACCATGCCCGGCTTTAACGCACATCTTAAAAAATCACAAAACTATTGTAGATTTATCATTCATGCATAGTTTTTGCTAGAGGTGGTTTTTGGAGTAATCATAAATATAGTACAGTAAGTACAAGTTTACCCGGAGACATGGTTCGCTATCACATTGATGTGTTTTTGGCAAAAGAGAAAGCAGTATGGTTTTTTACCTTCTTGTTAAAGAAGGGCTTTTGCTTTGCAAGGAGGCTCTCAGGCTGCCCCTGCTTTCTTCTGGGCACCCGACCCAGAGGAGCAGGTGTGTGCAGGGCCCCCTGAGGCTCGAGCTGGTGCCTGTCCTGGGCTCCTGGAGGCAGCTGAGGGATGTGGGCTCACTGCGGTCTAAAGGCAAGAGCCAGAACATTGCACAGCTCATTCTCTCTCCACGTGCTTTTGTTCCACACCATGTCCTGTCCTGTTCCCCTCGGCCCCTCGTGCGGAGTCACAGATGACCACACGGGTCCTCATCCTCTCCTGAACGGATGCTTCTGTCTCTCTAGCACTGACCCTCTTGCCGCAAAGCTGCACAGCATCCTCACTGATGAGGCGTTTGAGTTTTACTGTAGCCAGTGCCACAAACAAATCAACCGCCTTGAGGATCTTTCTGCCCGCCTGAGTGATCTTGAAATGAATAGGTAACTGACCAGCGCCTGGCCTTGCTGTCTGTTCCCAGGGTGTGGGGGACTCCGGATACCCACAGCCCCCTTGAGGGCCTGCCCCGAGGCGACCAGGAGCCTCTCAGGCAGCGGGACTCTCCCTGGGGCCCCGCCTCCCACCCTGCACGCTGTGGGGCCACCAGGGCCCTGCCTCCTCCCCTGCATGCGCAGCCCAGGCCAGTGCTTGTCTTGGTGGGAGGAAGTGATCGGTCTTTGCAA
Organism: Homo sapiens; assembly: GCF_000001405.40. Lineage (NCBI taxonomy): Eukaryota > Metazoa > Chordata > Mammalia > Primates > Hominidae > Homo > Homo sapiens. The sequence goes on from NC_000016.10 coordinate 491,509, forward strand.
GCTGTGCTGTCTGTCCTGTGTGTGAAAGAGGATACTTTCTGCATTTTACTAAAAGATTTCTTTCATTGAGCTCATGAGACAGAATTGGGAAAGTTAAAGATTTAGTCTTTAAGAACAGATATGTAAACAGCTTTCAGGATTGTCAGTTTAAATGGAGTTTTGAATACTCACAGTGAGCGTGTGAGGGAGCTCACTGTGTCTCAGCAGGGGAGCTCTTGTGGCTGGCCCTCATGTCTAACTCCCAGTTACAGAAGACGGTTTTGAGTGCTTTGCACATATTGACGTGCCCGTTGGGCATCGTGTTGATTTCGCTTGCGGTGAAGCCCCTGGGTGGGCAGCTCTCCAGAAGGGTCTGGTGAAGAAACGGGCCACTTTGGAGCTTTCCACAGCAGCCCTAGCCTAGCAGAAGAGGTGAGTGAGCATACAGGCTCATGCTGGCAATCTGGGACGGCTTCCTGAAGAACGGGACCTGGCCTGTGGGGAGGGTTTGTAAAGGTGGCAGAAAGGTGAGTTATCCTGACGGTTCTAGCATGTTTAGAGGTATCTGTGAAACTGCTTACCTGTCTTGAGCCTGCCCTGTCCCTGCCCCAGGGGGCTTCTGCCGAGGCACATCCTTGCTGGCGGGCGCTCACTGCCCACGGCCTTATTGAGGCTTCTGTCCTGCCTCTAGTTCCATTTCCAGGGCACTTAACTCTTCTTATGTTCTGTGAAATGCTGTGAAGCACAGGGCCCCCAGCCAGTGCCCATTCAGGTGGAGAGGATGGGGGTGGGGCCCGGCACTGATGGCCATTCTGGAGCATCGGGGGTCTTGGCAGCACTGGTGAGAAAGCAGAAGTGCTCTTTGAAGAGGGTCTTCCCGGGAGACCCGAGGCCGCCCAGAGCCCTCCCCGGGAGACCCGAGGCCGCCCAGGGCCCTCCCCGGGAGACCCGAGGCCGCCCAGGGCCCTTCCCGGGGAGACCCGAGGCCGCCCAGGGCCCTCCCGGGAGACCCGAGGCCGCCCAGGGCCCTCCCGGGAGACCCGAGGCCGTCCAGAATCTTGGATTCCAAAGATCCGCTAACCTCTGTTTTAGGGGAAATCAGTTTCTGCCTGCGTGTGTGTTCAGCTAGGGGTTCAAGGCCCGGCGACGATGGCTCAGCCTGCTTGGGGAGGGGCCATTTGTTCTTCCCACGCAGAGACTTGCCCTCCCACTCACCGATAAGTTGAGTGCAAGCATGTCATCTCCGTACATGAAAGTAAGCCTGAAGACTCAGGTCTCGTCTCTCATTTTCTGAAGATTTTTGACATAGAACTGATTTTTTCCCACATTGAGAACTAGCTCCAAGATGGCCATGGTCGCCTCTGCTGGGCTTTGTGGGGGCAGAGAAGGGACTAGGATGTAGCTAAGTACAACTAGCAAGTCCTGTGGAGCCTCACGTCCAGGTTCTGCTACCCCTTTTCCTAAGACTCTATGAAGCGGGCCAGGCGCAGTGACTCACGCCTGTAATCTCAGCATTTTGGGAGGCTGAGGAGGCAGGCAGATCACTTGAGGCCAGGAGTTTGAGACCAGCCTGGCCAACATGGCGAAACCCTGTCTCTACTAAAAACATAAAAATTAGCCAGGCATGGTGGCACATGCCTGTAGTTCCAGCTACTTGGGAGGCTGAGATGGGAGGTTCACTTGAACCCAGGAGGTGGAGGCTGTGGTGAGCCAACATCCTGCCACTGCACTCCAGCCTGGGCAACAGAGCCAAACTCTGACTCCAAAAAAAAAAAAAAAAAAAAGACTCTACCAAGTGGTTAATATGCTATTCAATTCAACACAATCAGGACACACAACTGCCAGTCAGAACATCCTCCCCATAACCCTTAGTGGAGGAGATCTGAATCTTGCGTTTTAGTTTCCATGGACTTGCCTGAAAGTAAGCTTATTTGGTCATGCTTTGTGGGTGGCAACAGGTGACTTAGTCCAGACCACCTCTGGAAGCTTTGATGTCAGATACGATGTCCAGTCGCCTCAGAACAGGCCAATAGCTGTTGCATTTTCCAGGTACCCTGCAGCCTCTAAATACATTTCATTTTGTAGGAACTAAGAAGTGTGCCTTACCTGGAGGTATATTTTCTTTTTTCTTTTTTTTGAGACAGAGTCTCGCTTTGTGACCCAGGCCGGAGTGCAGTGGTGCGATCTCGGCTCACTGCAACCTCTGCCTCCCGGGTTCACTCCATTCTCCTGCCTCAGCCTCCCGAGTAGCTGGGACTACAGGCGCCCATCACCACACCTGGCTAACTTTTGTATTTTTAGTAGACACGGGGTTTCACCATGTCTCAATCTCCGGACCTCGTGATCCGCCCGCCTTGACCCCCCAAAGTGCTGGGATTACAGGCTGAGCCACTGCACCCAGCCTGCCTGGAGGTATATTATCTTTTTCTTTTTTGAGACAGAGTCTCGATCTGTCACCCAGGCTGGAGTGCGGTGGTGCGATCTCGGCTCACTGCAACCTCTGCCTCCCGGGTTCACTCCATTCTCCTGCCTCAGCCTCCCGAGTAGCTGGGACTACAGGCGCCCATCACCACACCTGGCTAACTTTTGTATTTTTAGTAGACACAGGGTTTCACCATGTCTCAATCTCCGGACCTCGTGATCCGCCCGCCTCGGCCTCCCAAAGTGCTGGGATTACAGGTGTGAGCCACCGCACCTGGCCACCTGGAGGTGTATTTTCAATTATAAATCCTGTTGCTGGGCTGCCAGTCCAGGCCCTGAAAGGTCAGTAGGTAAACTGAACGATGAGTCTGTCCTGTCCTATTAGTTCTAGGGAGTCTCAACAATAATAAGATAAAATTAAATTTGTATTAAGGCTGGGTGCGGTGGCTCATGCCCGTAATCCCAGCACTTTGCGAGGCTGAGGTGGGCAGATCACGAGGTCAGGAGATCGAGACCATCCTGGCTAACACGGTGAAACCCCATCTCTACTAAAAATATAAAAAATTAGCCGGGCGTGGTGGCGGGCGCCTGTAGTCCCAGCTACTCGGGAGGCTGAGGCCGGAGAATGGCGTGAACCCGGGAGGTGGAACTTGCAGTGAGCCGAGATCATGCCACTGCACTCCAGCCTGGGTGACACAGTGAGACTCCATCTTAAAAAAAAAAACCTGTATTAAAATATACATTATTAGTCTCCAGTCGAGAAAGGAGAGCCACACAGTAATTTGAACAGGGACAGTTTAATACTACAAAGAATGGGCTGAGTGTGGGCTGAAATCGCAGTGCTTTGGGAGGCTGAGGTGGGAGGATCACATGAGCCGGGGAGGTCGAGGCTGCAGAGGTGGGAGGATCACATGAGCCTGGGAGGTCGAGGCTGCAGAGGTGGGAGGATCACATGAGCCGGGGAGGTCGAGGCTGCAGAGGTGGGAGGATCACATGAGCCGGGGAGGTCGAGGCTGCTGAGGTGGGAGGATCACATGAGCCGGGGAGGTCGAGGCTGCTGAGGTGGGAGGATCACATGAGCCGGGGAGGTCGAGGCTGCAGAGGTGGGAGGATCACATGAGCCGGGGAGGTCGAGGCTGCAGCGAGCTGTGGTTGCACCACTGCACTTCAGCCTGGGCCACAGAGTCATACCTTGCCTCTAAGAAAAGATAATGCAAACAAACAAACAAAAAATTTAAAAAATCATTAGGGAAAGGAAAAGAATGTCACAGGCTATGGGAGTAATGAGGCACTGGTTGGGATGAGTAAAAAGAACTCTGCAGAGTGTAGGGACAGCAGGCACAGGAGCAGCCGCCACCCAGGGCCGGGGCAGAGCCCCCCAGCTACAGTCACTGCCACCCAGGGCTGAGGTCTGCACCAGCTGCAAACGGCGTGGTGGGGACACCACCGTGCTGTCAGGGCTTGTGGGGAACCTGCCTCCTGGCTGCCAGGAAAGCTATTCTGTTGCAGGACACTTGGCAGAGGCACCCCTAGAGAACAGCTACCCGAATGGGGTCGGGGAAGCCCCTGGCTCTGGCTACAGTGGGCAGGATGCTCCCTGGAGTAGGTACTGGGGAGACTGCAGGTGTCGGAGGGCCCTGCAGAGAGTGGTCAGAACCAGGAGGCAAACCTCTTCCTGCTGTGTTCACTCCTCGGCTCCCTCTGCTGATGACACGCAGCATTGTGGAGGAAGAGCCTGCTAAGGGCCCAGCTCTGTTTCTACAGGGCAAGTAAAAAGGATGGACTTAGAGCTGAGGGGCTCTACGTTAATACCTGGCACAGCAGCTGATTCTCCTCCAGTAGATTTCTTTTTTTCTTTGAGACAGAGTTTCACTCTTTGTTGCCCAGGCTGGAGTGCAGTGGCGTGATCTCGGCTGACTGCAACCTCTGCCTCCCGGGTTCAAGCGAGTCTCCTGTCCCAGCCTCCCGAGTAGCTGGGATTACAGGCATGCGCCACCATTCCCGGTTATTTTTGAATTTTTAGTAGAGACAGGGTTTCTCCACGTTGGCCAGGCTGGTCTCGAACTCCCGACCTCTGGAGATCCACCCGCCTCAGCCTCCCAAAGTGCTCAGATTGTAGGCATGAGCCACCACGCCCGGCCCCTCCAGTAGACTTTTCTGCCTGACCCTGGAAAGAAAATCAGAGGTGTTTTTGAGACAGGTAAGCTGAAGAGAGACGTGGCTTTGTGAGTTCCAGGACCGTGATGGTTCCCAGGCCCCAGGGGTGAGGGTGTCTTCCTGCAGGCTGAGGCTAATAGTTCAGCAGCTAGACTGTAAAATACAACTTTGGACCTCAGAAATGAGGGAGAAGGTAAGTTTGGCCCATGTGCCACTGCAGATGGTTAAATCAGACAGCTGATGTATAATTGGCTATATTTACTGCCCTGAAATGGCAACGGGAAAGGTTTCCAAACTGATGCCTAGGCAGGCGTTCTGAGCATGATGCATCAGTGCCTGAGTCGAAGCCAGCGGCAAACTCTCCTGTCACAGCGGGGCCTGGGTCACTTTTCACTTGGGGGCCTCCGAAGGCCAAGCGTTTGGGGGTAATTTGGCTTCAGAAGCATTGGGACAGTGCAGCCAGCGGGTGGGACCAGGTGTGGCGCTGGCCTCTCAGTCGTGGTCTGGGGTGGCTGCATCTGGAAGCCTCTTTGGGGGCTGGAGTAACGAGACGTATGCGGCCTCACCCCAGCACTGCCGTGTCCTTGCTGTTTTGCTGAGTGAGCATTTGTGCATGGACTTGCCTGGGGGGCCCTGCATGCCGGGAGCATTGCTGAAAGGCCGCCCACCTCGTATCTCCACAGCCTGAGTTTCCTGCTTCCTCCTGCTCCTCTCTGTCTGTTCTAACAATTTTCCTGTTTATTTTGTTTTCTGCACAGTCCGACAAAGCGGCTCTCCAGCAAGAAGGTGGCAAGGTAGGTGGGTCTCTGGTTCCTGCTGAAAAACGTTCTGAAGTGGATAATTAATCATAGTTTTTTAAAAAACATTTTAAAATGTTCTTTTCCAAGGTATTTTTTAAACTCTTGCAAGTTACTTTACATGGTTTGGGGCTGAAGGTATCCTGAAGGAGTGTTGGGAAAGGGGTTTCCAGGGCTGTGAATTTGGACCTGGATTTGTGACCAGGGAGGGTACGTGTCAGAGCTTTTGGTGCTGGGCCTCTTGTGTGTTCACTAAGGTCTGGAAGGGGCCGCCATCCCCAGATGTCTGCTCTATGTTAGCTCTGAGGTAGCGAGACCCAGTGAGGAGCCTGGCTTCTCAGAGCCGGGTCTGGGCAGCTCCCCAAGGTGAGTCGAAGGTGAGGGATGGGTCTGACTCCAATTCCTAAAGACCATTTCTTCATTTTCCAGCTTCGTATAGATCTGTTGGCTTCCTGCTGTGAAAGATGGCAACATACACTTTTATCTTCCTCCCCTGCCAGTTCTTACCGAAATAAACATGCAGGGTTAAGGCCCTTCCCAGGGAGCCACTCAGTGTGGCTGCCGGGTGGCCTCTGCTGCCGTCAGAGTCTGCCTTTGTGTCTTTATCTGCTTTGCCTTCCTAGTCCCCGTCCTGCTTCGTGGCCCGGCATCTGGCAGGGCTGGGAGACGCCTCTCCAGCTTCCTCTGGAGCATCCCCTCTGGAGCCTCCTCTCTGCCCTGTTGTGCCGGGCGTTCTCCAGGCCTCGTGGCTGTGGTCCTGGACAGGTCTCCCCACACTGGTGGGTTCCTTTGTTTCGGGGGTTGGATCCTCTAGCTCCCTGGCCCCGTCTTCCTTCTCATTTGTTTTCTCTGGTTTTTGTCCAGCGTATCTTCCTGTAGCTTCTTGAGAAAAGAGGTGCTCAGGAGATAAACTTGAGCTTGGGTTGGTTTGTACTGTGAGAGTGGGATCATTTTCCTGTAAGATTTTTGACGGCATTGCTTATCTTCTAGAGCTAAAGTTGTTACCATGAAGTTTAACCTTTCTGACTCGGTTTCTTTGGGACCAGCCTGAGCAACTTAGTGAAACCCTGTCTCTACAAAAAAAAAAAAAAAATTAAAAATTAAAAATTAAAAAAAAAAAAGGAAAATAGGCAAGGTCTAGCTGCGTTGCCCAGGCTGTAGTGCAGTGAGTGGCAATTCATAGGTGCAAGCATAGCTCACAACAGCCCCAGACTCCCTGGGCTTAAGTAATCTTTCCACCTCAGCCTCCCAAAATTCTCGGATTACAGAGGTAAGCCACCACACCCAGCCAAGAACAGAAACCTTTTGTTTTCCATTTTCTTTTATTTTGAGACATTGTCTTGCTCTGTCACCTGGGCTGAAGTACCGTGGTGCAATCACAGCTCACTGCAGCCTGGACCTCTCAGGCTCACTCCATCCTCCCACCTCCTCCTCCTGAGGACCTGGGACTACAGGTGCGCATTGCCAATGCCTGGCTAGTCTTTTAATTTTTAATAGAGATGGAGTTTCACTACGTTGCCCAGACTGATCTTGAGCTCCTGGGCTGAAGGGATCCTCCCACCTTGGCCTCCCAAAGTACTGGGATCACAGGCATGAGCCGTCACACCTGGCCATGGATGAAAACTTTTTTCTTTTTGTTTCTCTTCTCTTTTCTTGGCTTTCTTTTCTTTTTGAGACAGTCTTGCTCTGTCTTGCTCTGTGAAGTGACATCATCACAGCTCTCAATAGTTTTCACTTCCCAGACCTCCCAAGCTCAAATGATCCTCCCTCCTCAGCCTCCCGAGCAGCTGAGACCACAGGCGCATGCCACCATACCCAGATGATTTTTTAATTTTTTGTAGAGACAGGCCCAGACTGGTCTTGAACTCCTGGGCTCTAGCAGTCCTCCCACCTCGGTCTCCCAGAATGTTGGAATTACAGGCAGGAGCCACCGCGTCCCACTTGTTTTCCATTTTCTGTCATTTTAGGGGCTAGGGGCTAGGGGCTAGAGGAAGCAGAGGTGAACGTCATCATGCATCTTTTTCTAACTGTCTTCTTGCTCACCCCTTTCAGAAAAGCATTGAGCTGGCCGGGCGTAGTAGGTCACGCCTGTAATCCCAGCACTTTGGGAGGCTGAGGTGGGTGGATCACCTGAGGTTGGGAGTTCAAGACCAGCCTGGCCAAAATGGAGAAACCCCATCTCTACTAAAAAAATACAAGATTAGCCAGGTGTGTTAGCAGGTGCCTGTAATCCCAGCTACTCAGGAGACTGAGGCAGGAGAATCACCTGAACCCTGGAGGCGGAGCTTGGAGTGAGCCGAGATTGTGCCATTGTACTCCAGCCTGGGCAACAAGAGCGAGACTCCATCTCAAAAAAAGAAAGAAAAAGAGAAGCATTGAGCTCTTAGGAACGTGACGTGCATCCCCAGCTACACTTCTGTTACCACTTCAGCATCACCTTCCTCCCCGCTTCATCAAGTCTTTTACTCCAGACAGGCTGCAGCTGGTGACATGAAAGACCGGTCAAGGCCAGCTAAGGCATCTGCTTGAGGCCTCCCGTGCCTAGGATGGGGCGCAGCCTGCAGTTGGCTGTCACAGCCTTGTGTCAGAAACACCCTTTAAAATTTAATGTTTCCTTCACGGGTACCCTTTGGCATAAAAAAAGCCCAATCTGAGCCGGACGCAGTGGCTCACGCCTGTAATCCCAGCACATTGGGAAGCCAAGGTGGGTGGATCACGAGGTCAGGAGTTCAAGAACAGCCTGACCAACATGGTGAAACCCCGTCTCTACTAAAAATACAAAAATTAGTTAGGCATGGTGGCACACATGCCTGTAATCCCAGCTACTCAGGAGCCTGAGGTAGGAGAACTGCTTGAACCCAGAAGGCAGAGGTTACAGTGAGCCCAGATCACGCCACTGCACTCTAGCCTGGGCGACAGAGCAAGACTGTCTCAAAAAAAAAAAAAAAAAAAAAAGCTCCATCTGCAGTTATCTGTCGTTAGAGTTTACAAAACAGAGACCTCTTCTGCAGTGTGTCTATCCACATGTAAATATATGTACACAAGATTTAATCTGTTGTTTTGCCCCAAATCTGCCACAAGAGGCTAAGGAAGAGCAAAATAAACGTCGCGATTCGCTTCTCACAGTTCTCAGCCCTTCGCGCTGAACTATTGCTGAGATGGTGGGTTTTGCCAGCAGCCATTGTAGCCCCCGGGCCTGGCTGCATTGCTCACCTCCCTCAGCCTTGTTCTGTCCCTGTCCATGAGATGGAAGTGGCTTTCTCCAGTCAGCTGTGTGTGCAGAGACCGGGGGCTCCGGGCAGAGCCGAGTCCATCAGGACTGGAGGAAGTGCTCACAGCAGGCAGGCTCCCTGGGCCCTGGGTGGGAGGCCTCAGGGATCCCCGTACCTCCTTGCTCACCAGCCAGGCTCGACCTACTGCCCTGTGGGGCAGGTCAGGCTTTTTCCACAGCTCCCTCTCTGGGAGGAGGGTCCTTCCAAGTGAGGGTGTGGTGTAGCTGGAGAATCCCTCTTTCTAGGGGATTTAAATAAGCAGCCCCAGCCGGACGCGGTGGTTCACGCCTGTACTCCCAGCACTTTGGGGGGCCGAGGCGCACAGATCACGAGGTCAGGAGTTTGAGACCAGCCTGGCCAACATAGTGAAACCCCATCTCTACTAAAAAAAACAATACAAAAAGTTAGCTGGGCATGGTGGCAGGTGCCTGTAATCCCAGCTACCTGGGAGGCTGAGGCAGGAGAATGGCTTGAACCCGGAAGGCAGAGGTTGCAGTGAGCTGAGATTGCACCACTGCACTCCAGCCCAGGTGACAGTGCAAGACTCTGTCGCAAAAAAAAAAAAAAAAAAAAAAAAAAAAATTAAATAAGTAAATAAATAAGCAGCCGCATGACCCATGCTGAGGACCCTCTGCCTCACGTTGGTGGCCACGTGTGGTGGCTGCACGCTGGGTGCCTGGGGATGGCTGTGTCCCCGAGTCAGCCCCAGAAGTGCCTACGCCTCTAGGACAGCTCAGAAGTGCTGACAGGTCGTGGCCTCTCAGGATGGGCTCTGGGTTGCAGCTTCATGCCTGGAGTGGCTCATGTTTGGGGGCAAGGTCATGGGCGTTTAAGAGCAGCGACTGGCCAAGAACATGATCTGTATCAGCAGCAGCTTTTGAGAATCTGATGAAATCCCCAGAGCCCCAGAAGGGCACCGGTGTGTTCCAGCTGGTGCACGTTCACAGGGCTTGTCTCCTCAGAGCGTTTATGGGGAAAAAGATGGAAATGTTCAAGCCCAGTCCGTACTGAGAAGCAAATCGAACTTCATACACTTGGTAGACATTTTCAGTGGAAAAATATTAACATTTTATGGAATTCTTACTCTGCTACGTCCCTAGCCAAGCTGTTTGTATGCATGACCTTGGTTAAACCTCAGTTGCCTCTAGACCCCCATTTCATAGGCAAGGAAGCTGGGAGAGGGTCCCCCCATTTCATAGGCAAGGAAACTCGGAGAGGGTCCCCCCATTTCATAGGCAAGGAAGCTCGGAGAGGGTCTCCCATTTCATAGGCAAGGAAGCTGGGAGAGGGTCCCCCCATTTCATAGGCAAGGAAGCTCGGAGAGGATCCCCCCATTTCATAGGCAAGGAAGCTGGGAGAGGGTCCCCCCATTTCATAGGCAAGGAAGCTCGGAGAGGGTCCCCCATTTCACAGGCAAGGAAGCTGGGAGAGGGTCCCCCATTTCATAGGCAAGGAAGCTGGGAGAGGGTCCCCCCATTTCACAGGCAAGGAAGCTGGGAGAGGGTCCCCCCATTTCACAGACAAGTTCAGAGAGGCTCCCCCCATTTCATAGGCAGGGAAGCTGGGAGAGGGTCCCCCCATTTCACAGACAAGTTCGGAGAAGGTCCCCCATTTCATAGGCAAGGAAGCTGGGAGAGGGTCCCCCCATTTCACAGGCAAGGAAGTTCAGAGAGGGTCCCCCCATTTCACAGACAAGGAAGTTCGGAGAGGATCCCCCATTTCATAGGCAAGGAAGCTGGGAGATGGTCCCCCCATTTTATAGGCAAGGAGTCTGGGAGAGTGTCCCCCCATTTCATAGGCAAGGAGGCTGGGAGAGGGTCCCCCCATTTCATAGGCAAGGAGGCTGGGAGAGGGTCCCCCCATTTCATAGGCAAGGAAGCTCGGAGAGGGCCAGTGCTTTTTAACGGTCACGCAGTTCTGAGCATCAGGCTGTCAGCCTGGAGCCTGGCTTGGTACTGAGGTTCCCAGGATGTATAAAGAACTGAACACGCACCTTTGCTGTTGGCTCTTCTGTGCGAGTGCTCTGAGAGTTTTCTGTACTCCCGGCAAGTTTGGGTTGGTACAGATTCACCACAGCGAATCTGACCACGTGGTGACCACAAGCACGCGCTTACTGCGCGCCTAAGTTCACACTCCCTGGAGAAGCTCCTGCCCCAAGGCCGCAGCCTATGGGCCTTTGCGTCTACTCAGGACCATGAGGCTGTGTCCCCGAGCCTGGCCCGGGTAGTAACTGGCATGGCCTGCGGTGCTGGGGGCGTGTCCACAGGAGCTGGTGCCACAGAGGACACGTGTGTCTGCTGTCTTCCTGGACTCGGTCGGACCAGTTTCCCAGTGTGTCCGTGAGGGTGACACTGAGTGAGACTTCTGGGATCCACACCTTTCCTGGGACCCTCACTCTTCCTGCCACAGAAAGCACCTGTGAAAGTCTGAGATCAAGAATGTGCACAGGGGAGGTGTCTGCAGGTCAAGGTCCTGAGCTGATGTCTCACAGGCCTCTGGTAGAGACGAGATTGTTCGTGTCTCTGCGAAGAAGGGCATGTTTTATTGCAGCCAAGTACAAAGTCCTCTCTGCCACTCGCTGGCTGGGACTGAGGTCATGTTCTGTCAGGTTCCAAAGAGCGCCAGGAAGACTCTGAGACCACAGAGCACGGCCTGCTTTCTCCCAGCCCCTGGTAAAGATGTCCAGCCTGGGACCTCCCCCTGTATATAGTGCTTTAAGTGGGAGAAGACCACCACCCAGATCAGGGGAGGACCTGTCCCCTGCAATGCTGCTGCCTGCTTTTCAGATTGACTTGGGAGTGCTTGTGCTGACGGAGCATGTCCTGTGGTTTTTCCCTTTCTTCCCTCTGTTGTTGTGCCTTTTCTGTAGGTACCTGCACCAGTCAGGGGCCCTGACCATGGAGGCCCTGGAGGACCCTTCCCCCGAGCTCATGGAGGGCCCAGAGGAGGACATTGCTGACAAGGTAGGCCCTGGAGGGCTGGGTAGGTGGCAAGTAGGGGATTTAGAACACAGCCACGCCTAAGGGCCGCTGCAGACACCCCGGGAGGTGGGGACAGCACAGCCGGAGGTGACCCCATGTCCTCCAGGGCTCCCCAGACTGTCCATCCAGCCCCGATGCTCTTTGGCAGGTTTCCCCAAGGGGTCTCGTGGCCATGTGAGAAAAAGGAGTCTTCCTGTTGTGCACGAAGGGCCAGCTGGGAGGAGTGGACTGGGCAGTGAGTGAGCACCCTCGGGTATCCCACCCCCACTGTGTCTGAGTCGGGCTGGGGGACACCCAGACATTCAGTCCACCAGGCCCATGGAGACGCGACCTGGGGCACCCATGATTTGGGAGAAAAGGGCTGGCCCTGCAGTTACTGCAGAGCCAACAGCCTGAGGAACGGGCTTCTCCTGGGGCCTTGAATGGAATGGGTGACAGCAGCCAGGGCAAGGCAGCCTTGCCGTGGTCAAGACCCGCTTTTCAGCCAGATGTGGTGGCTCACGCCTGGAATCCCAGCACATTAGGAGGCCTAGGCGGGCAGATCACTTGAGGTCAGGAGTTTGAGATCAGCCTGGCCAACATAGTGAAAACCCGTCTCTACTAAAAATACAAAAGTTAGCCACGCATGGTGGCGGGCAACTGTAATCCCAGCTATTTGGGAGGCTGAGGCAGGAGAATCACTTGAACCTGGGAGGTGGAGGTTGCAGTGAGCCGAGATTGCACGACTGCACTCCAGCCTGGGCGACAGAGGGAGACTCCGTCTCACCTTCTGCACCCCCTCACCTTCTGTGACCCCTTCACTTACTCCTGTACCCCCTCAATTCCTCCTGTACCCCTCATCTCCTCCTGTACCCCCTCACCACCTCCTGTACCCCCTCACCACCTCCTGTACCCCCTCACTACCTCCTGTACCCCCTCACTACCTCCTGTACCCCCTCACCTCCTCCTGTACCCCCTCACCTCCTTGTGTACCCCCTCACCTCCTGTACCCCCTCACCTCCTCCTGTACCCCCCCACCTCCTCCTGTACCCCCTCACCTCCTCTTGCACTCCCATCTCCTCCTGTACCCCCTCACCTCCTTGTGCACCCCCTCACCTCCTGTACCCCCTCACCTCCTCCTGTACCCCCTCACCTCCTCCTGTACCCCCTCACCTCCTCCTGTACCCCCCTCACCTCCTCCTGTACCCCCTCACCTCCTCCTGCACTCCCATCTCCTCCTGTACCCCCTTACCTCCTTGTGCACCCCTCACCTCCTGTACCCCCTCACCTCCTCCTGTACCCCCCTCACCTCTTCCTGCACTCCCATCTCCTCCTGTACCCCCTCACCTCCTTGTGCACCCCTCACCTCCTGTACCCCCTCACCTCCTCCTGTACCCCCCTCACCTCTTCCTGTACCCCCTCACCTCCTCCTGCACTCCCATCTCCTCCTGTACCCCCTCACCTCCTTGTGCACCCCTCACCTCCTGTACCCCCTCACCTCCTCCTGTACCCCCCTCACCTCTTCCTGTACCCTTCACTTCCTCCTGTACCCCCTCACCTCCTCCTGCACCCCCCTTACCTCCTGTACCCCCTCACCTCCTCCTGTACCGCCTCACCTCCTCCTATACCCCCTCACCTCCTCCTATACCCCCTCACCTCTTCCTGCACCCTCCTCACCTCCTCCTGCACCCCCATCTCCTCCTGTACCCCCCTCACCTCCTGTACCCCCTCATCTCCTGTACCCCCTTACCTCCTCCTGCACCCCTCACCTCCTGTACCCCCTCACCTCCTCCTGCTCCCCCACCTCCTCCTATACCCCCATCTCCTCCTGTACTCTCTCACCTCCTCCTGTACCTCCTCACCTCCTCCTGTACTTCACCTCCTCTTGCATCCCCACCACCTCCTCCCTACAACTTCTCTAGCATCTCAAGTCTGCTGACCCAGGCCAAGTCCTCCTCTGCTCCCTTCACTCCTTCTCCTACCTCCGCAGGTGTCTGATTCTCATCTTGGTGTGAACTCTCTGAGGGAGGGACCGAGACATGGATCTGTCTGTCCCTTGCATCCATGGGCACCTGGGCTGCCTCTGTGAGCTGCATCTGGCTGAGCAGAGACCCAACTGTGTGTTGGGGGGCTGAGTCTTGCTGCCCACCAGCCAGCCAGTCCAAAGGCACCCCTGGGCCCCGAGCCCTCAGAGCTGCGGCACTGTGTGCATTTGTGGGTCGAATGACAGTGCTCCCCAAGACCCCGGCCCCATTAGGAGCTGCACCTTTGTGGGTTTATGGGACAAGTTGGATCCAACACCAGCCTAGCTAGGTGGATCTGATTCTGTGCTGAGAAAATCCCCAGGCGGCCTCCCAGGTTGTTCCCTTGGGGGTGCAGGCCCTTCTGCTTCTGGCTGCCTGACCCTGAAGCCTGGTCTCATTGCCAAGGTTGTCTTCCTGGAAAGGCGTGTGCTGGAGCTGGAAAAGGACACGGCAGCCACCGGTGAGCAACACAGCCGCCTGAGGCAGGAGAACCTGCAGCTGGTGCACAGGTGAGCCTGGGCCAGGAGACCCGGGCCTCTGCGTGGCGCCTCCTGTGCCCGCCTGTCAGCCCCCATTTACTTCTCTTTACCTCACACAGCAGGGGCTTGGCCACCCGTCCATCCCCGTTGGAAGCCGGCTGAGGGGGTGGTGCCAGGTGGTCATCTGAGCCTACCCAGTGGGCTGCAGGCAGGCGACCCGAGGCTCTGACTGGTGCTCTCATGGAACCCTAGACACACAGAGGGCCAGAGGAGGGCACTGCCTCCCTCTCGGGAGCGCTGAGACCTGACCCACACAGAGGAGGAACTGACTGCGAACCCACGCAGTGCTCAGCCTCACCAGCAGGCCTGGAGGTGCAGCTCTCCCACCACTCTGGTCCATACGGGGTTTGCCCGTCCTGGAAGAATGCAGGTTAGAGAAGTCGCTCAGCAGCAGAAAGCGAAATGAGCAGTGACTGCTGAGTACGCGACAGGACGCGCAGTCTCATCGCTGTGGGCAGGAGTGCTGGGGAGGAAGCGAAGTGTGACGCCGTGTTTGCAGAGAAAGAGTGGGAGCTGCTTGCCTCACTCTGGTTTGCAGACTTTTCTTAGAATACCGTGTAATTCTCGGTGTTTTTCACACGAGGCACGCCATGTTGTCTCATAGCCGATTTGCAGGACTGTTTCCGGTGCAAAGTAAGATGAGCTTGTCCCAGGAGTCAGCTACCCAGGCTATGACACCTGTAGCTGGGCACCGGCAGCCTCTTGTGGGCAGAGGAGGCAGCCAGGAGGCCTATGAGGCACCTGTGGGATCTGCAGAAGAGGTTCTTCCTGTGAGCTTCTGTCCCTGCCCAGCTGCGCGGGCACATCCCGGCTCTTCCACATATTCTCAGCTCGGCCAAGGGCCCTGTCCCTTGAAGCTTCAGTGTCTTCATCACCACTGAGCAGGTAGATTCAGGGCTCTGAGCAGCCTGCACACACGTGTGTTGGCAGCAGGGCATTTGTGGTCAGCATCCCCAAAGCCCCCAAGCCCTCACCCTCACGGTACTAACATTTGTGACCATCTGCCCTGTGAGCGCTGAGAATTGGAATGCCTCATGGGATTGTGGGCATAACTTGCACATCATTTTAATTCTAACAAAGCAAAGCATGTGCTCTTGTGGAGTGAAGACCCTGGGCTTGGCGGCTGCCCGTTCTCCAGGATTCTCAGCAGAAGAGGGCCTGCTACCAGCCCCTGCTGCAGAGTGGAGAGGGGCCAGGCATGCTGGTGAAGGGGCTGGACTCCCGTAGTGCGCTACACATAAGCAGTGCCACCAAAGACCACTGTCTCCTCCTTGTCAAGGAGAATCCGGGGGGCTGCCAGATGCACTTGTTTTGTTTTGTTTTTTGAGAGACAGGGCCTCGCTCTGTTGCTCAGGCTGAGTGCTGACTACAGCCTCCACCTCCCAGGCTCAAGCGACCCGCCTCCCTCAGCCTTCGATGTAGCTGGGACTACAGGTGTGCACCACCACACCCAGCTTTTTTTTTTTTTTTTTTGAGACGGGGTCTCTCTCTGTCTCCAGGCTGGAGTGCAGTGGCGCAATCTTGGCTCACCGCAACCTCCGCATCCCAGGTTCAAGCGATTCTTCTGCCTCAGCCTCCTGAGTAGCTGGGACTTGCAGGCATGCACCACCACGCTGGGCTAATTTTTGTATTTTTAGTAGAGACGGGGTTTCACCATATTGACCAGGCTGGTCTTGAACTCCTGACCTTGTGATCTGCCTGCCTCAGCCTCCCAAAATGCTGGGATTACAGGCGTGAGCCACCGTGCCCGGCCTAGTTTTTAATTTTTTTATAGAGATGAGGTCTTGCCATGTTGCCCATGCTGGTCTCAAACGCCTGGCCTCAAGCGATCCTCCCACCTTGGCCCCCCAAAGTGCTGAAATCAGAGGCGTGAGCCACCATGTCCAGCCTAGATGCCTTTGTCGAGTTGACTGTGGAGGTTTCATTTGAGTCTGGAGTATGTTCATCTGTTTTCCGTGTGTGTGGTGTGAAGTCCACACTGCCGCCTGGCACCACCCACTGACCGTCTGCAGTGCAGCCCCGGCCACATTCAGTTCCTGTGGCTGTTCCCTGTGGTGCTCACCTCCAACGTCCTAAACAACACGTTTCCCGTTTTCAGTATCATCTGCCCGTTCTGAGCCATTTGCTCTCTAGCCCTACCATACAGCTGCCATCCTAAGAGTACGTTTCCCGTTTTCAGTATCATCTGCCCGTTCTGAGCCATTTGCTCTCTAGCCCTACCATACAGCTGCCATCCTAAGAGTACGTTTCCCGTTTTCAGTATCATCTGCCCGTTCTGAGCCATTTGCTCTCTAGCTGTGCCGTACAGCTGCCATCCTAGGAATTCCGAGTGCTTTCTCCTGTGTTTGATTCCTTATTTTCTGGGTCCCACGTTTTCTTCTGTTTTGCCAACTCATTTTCTGAGTATGTCACTGATAGTTGCCTGGAAAAGGGAGCACAGGAGCCAGATGCTCTGAGAACTGCTTGTGTGGAAGTGCTTTTTCCTCCCACCCTGCTCCAGTCCATAGTGTAGCTGGGCATAAAATTCTAGGTCAGAGATCGAATTCCCTGAGAATGTGAAGACCTCTGACCCGGTGCTGTGACTGAGGAACCTCTGGTGCCGCAGGGCCTTGATGTTCTCTGTAACTTCTGTTTCCCACCCTACATACTTGGAGGAGGATCTTGTATTATTTGCCGTGCTGTGCACCTGGTTTTCAGCCTTTATTTCGTTTTGTTTTGTTTTGTTTTGTTTTTTGAGACAGAGCCTTGCTGTGTCACCCAGGCTGGAGTGCAATGGCACAATCTCCGCTCACGGCAACCTCCGCCTCCCGGGTTCAAGTGATTCTCCTGCCTCAGCCTCCCAAGTAGCTGGGATTACAGGCATGCGCCACTGTGCCCGGCTGATTTTTGTATTTTTAGTAGAGACGGGGTTTCACCATGTTGGCCAGGCCGGTGTTGAACTCCTGACCTCAAGTGATCCATCTGCCTCGGCCTCCCAAAGTGCTGGGATTACAGGCATGAGCCACCGCGCCTGGCCTAGGTTTTCAGCCTTTAAATCTGGAAAACGCGTCCTTTCGCTGTGGGAAGACTTCTGAAGTTATTTCACCATGCGGCCTCTCCCTCTCATCTGTCTGAACATCTGCTAGTCACACAGTGGGCCTTCTGGATGTTTCCTCTCCTTTTTTAAACTTTCCTCGTCTCTAATTTTATCTTTCTGTTCTTTTTTTCTATGTAATATTCTCAGTTTTCTCCTTCAACTCTTGATCAGATCTTTTTTTTTTTTTTGAGACAGAGTCTCACTCTGTTGCCCAGGCTGTAGTGCAGTGGTGTGATCTCTGCTCAGTGCAACCTCTGCCTCCTGGGTTCAAATGATTCTCGTGCTTCAGCCTCCCGAGTAGCTGGGACTACAGGCACCTGCCACCACATCCGGCTAATTTTTGTATTTTTAGTAGATTCAGGGTTTCACCATATTGGTCAGGCTGGTCTCGAACTCCTGATCTCAGGTGATCTGCCCGCCTCTGCCTCCCAGAGTGCTGGGATTACAGGCGTGAGCCCGGCATCTCAATCGGACTTTTAAATTGTCCTTCCCACGCTTTCAGTTCCTGGGAGCTGTTCCTTGTTGTTTGTCTCTTCTGCAGCAGGCTGCCCTGACGCTGCAGCTTTGGCTCTCTGCTCGCGGAGGCCGCTGGCTCGGGGACCTTTCCCTGCTGTCTGCTGCATCATGTGTCTCCCTGGGTCCTCACTTGGTGTTTGCTTTGGCCACTTCCTGTTGAAAGCTTTCCTGTTGTGTCTGGTGATCTTTGGCCATCTGTTCACTCCTGCGTGTGAGGCACCACAAGGATGAGAGGCTCTGTGCGAGGCAGGGCCAGAGGGCGTGGGCTGTGCTGTGTCAGTGGGCAGGGCCTGTGCCCTTCTCTTTGGGATGGTTCAGTCCTGTCTCCTGCGGATGGTTGTGAAGATCTCAGGAAGGCCAGGGTCTCCCTGCCCTGTGGGAATATTCCCTTTCCCCTGTGGTCTAGCTGACACCTGCCCTGCCTCTGCTCTGAGGTGACCTGGATGGGACTGGTCTCTATACCCACTTCCCCAGCCTGGAGGGGACTGGGAGCAGAGTGGGCCCCCCCCCCACTTGTGGCCCCTCACAGCCTCTGGGGCCCGGATGTGCCCAGCTGCCAGAGCCAGACTCGTCCTGGCTCCCATGTGGACCTGGCATCTCAGGAAGCCTCGTGAGCACCTTTGGGTGATGTGCCATGAACTGACTGTACTGCAGCTGAAGGCAGACTCCGCCAGCACACTCAGTTCTCTGGTGTTCAGCTGCCGCGGACCACGTGCTCATCAGACACTCACTTCCTGGAAATGCTGTGGCCCTTGGGCCCTGGCACCTCCACGCCCCGTCCCGAGGCCCCGTGCCTCTGGGCTCTGAGCGCACGCGTTGTGTGTAGTGGCCCTGGCACCTCCACGCCCCGTCCCGAGTCCCCGTGCCTCTGGGCTCTGAGCGCACTCGTTGTGTGTAGTGGCCCTGGCACCTCCACGCCCCGTCCCGAGTCCCCGTGCCTCTGGGCTCTGAGCGCACGCGTTGTGTGTAGTGGCCCTGGCACCTCCACGCCCCGTCCCGAGGCTCCGTGCCTCTGGGCTCTGAGCGCACGCGTTGTGTGTAGTGGCTGCAGGTGGAGCAGCTGCATGAACACAGAGTGCACCAGGAGAAGTTACCTGGCGGGCTCAGGCCCTCTGAGTGCTGCGGTCCACAGGCCACAAGCGGGCAGTGCCTGTGGGTATCAGCTGGGCCTAGGTGCAGTGGACACTGCTCCGGCCACCCCAGGTGCCTTTAGTGTGGGAGGCGAGGCCATCTGGGGGTGTATTCGCTGCTTCAGAACTGCCTTGACCAGAGCTCGGGGATGCCCTTCTCGGTGCCCTACTCCCGAGTGGAGGCAGGTTCTCTGGAGGTCCTGAGGCAGCTTCTGGGCATGGGTGGAGCCACTGCACACCCTGCCTGGAGACAGCTCAGCTCCTCCCTTTGCCTTTCAAGAGCAAACGCCCTGGAGGAGCAGCTGAAGGAGCAGGAGCTGAGAGCCTGCGAGATGGTCCTGGAAGAGACCCGGCGTCAGAAGGAGCTCCTGTGCAAGATGGAGAGGGAGAAGAGCATTGAGATCGAGAACCTGCAGACCAGGTAGGCGGTTCCCAACAGCCCATCCACCCCAGAACCTGCAGGCCAGGTAGGAGACGGTCCCCAACAGCCCGCCAGCCCCAGAAACTGCAGGCCAGGTAGGCGAGGTTCCCGACAGCCCGCCAACCCCAGAACCTGCAGGCCAGGTAGGAGAAGTTCCCCGAAAGTCCGCCAACCCCAGAACCTGCAGGCCAGGTAGGAGAAGTTCCCCGAAAGTCCGCCAACCCCAGAACCTGCCGGCCAGGTAGGAGAAGTTCCCCGACGGCCCGCCAACCCCAGAACCTGCAGGCCAGGTAGGAGAAGTTCCCCGACGGCCCGCCAACCCCAGAACCTGCAGGCCAGGTAGGAGAAGTTCCCCGACGGCCCGCCAACCCCAGAACCTGCAGGCCAGGTAGGAGAGGTTCCCGACGGCCCGCCCACCCCAGAAACTGCAGGCCAGGCAGGAGAGGTTCCCGACAGCCTGCCCACCCCAGAAACTGCAGGCCAGGTAGGAGAGGTTCTTGACAGCCCGCCCACCCCAGAAACTGCAGGCCAGGCAGGAGAGGTTCCTGACGGCCCGCCCACCCCAGAAACTGCAGGCCAGGTAGGAGAGGTTCCCGACAGCCCGCCAACCCCAGAACCTGCAGGCCAGGTAGGAGAAGTTCCCCGACAGTCCGCCAACCCCAGAACCTGCCGGCTAGGTAGGAGAAGTTCCCCGACGGCCCGCCAACCCCAGAACCTGCAGGCCAGGTAGGAGAAGTTCCCCGACGGCCCGCCAACCCCAGAACCTGCAGGCCAGGTAGGAGAAGTTCCCCGACGGCCCGCCAACCCCAGAACCTGCAGGCCAGGTAGGAGAGGTTCCCGACGGCCCGCCCACCCCAGAAACTGCAGGCCAGGCAGGAGAGGTTCCCGACAGCCCGCCCACCCCAGAAACTGCAGGCCAGGTAGGAGAGGTTCTTGACAGACCGCCCACCCCAGAAACTGCAGGCCAGGCAGGAGAGGTTCCTGACGGCCCGCCCACCCCAGAAACTGCAGGCCAGGTAGGAGAGGTTCCTGACGGCCCGCCAACCCCAGAACCTGCAGGCCAGGTAGGAGTAGTTCCCTGATGGCCCGCCCACCCCAGAACCTGCAGGCCAGGTAGGAGAAGTTCCCCGACGGCCCGCCCACCCCAGAACCTGCAGGCCAGGTAGGAGAGGTTCCTGACAGCCCACCCACCCCAGAAACTGCAGGCCAGGCAGGAGAGGTTCCGACAGCCCGCCCACCCCAGAACCGGCAGTGGCTAGGAATAACCTGAAAGTTTAGAAAAAGGGGCAAAGCTATGTGGAGAAGACTTTGAAACTCTCCCAAAGACCACAAGGGATCGGTTCAAAGACTGACCCTGACGCTGTGCGGGTGCTGGTTTCTGTAAATCCATGTCTAACCAACGTATCCAGTCTTTTTAAAATACCAATCTTTTTTTTTTGGGTGGGGGTGGGTGGGTTTGAGATGGAGTCTTGCTCTGTCGCCCAGGCTGGAGTGCAGTGGCGCGATCTCGGCTCACTGCAAGCTCTGCCTCCCGGGTTCACGCCATTCTCCCGCCTCAGCCTCCCGAGTAGCTGGGACTACAGGTGCCTGCCACCACGCCCGGCTAATTTTTTGTAATTTTAGTAGAGACGGGGTTTCACCGTGTTAGCCAGGATGGTCTTGATCTCCTGACCTCGTGATCCACCTGCCTCGGCCTCCCAAAGTGCTGGGGTTACAGGCATGAGCCATCGCGCCCGGCCTTTTTTTTTTTTTTTTTTTTTTGAGACCAAGTGTCACCCTGTCGCCCAGGCTAGAGTGCAGTGGGGCGATCTTGGCTCACCACAACCTCTGTCTCCTGCGTTCAAGCAATTCTGTTGCCTCAGCCTCCCTGGTAGCTGGGGCTAGAGGCTCACACCACTGCACCCAGCTATTTTTTGTATTTTTAGCAGAGACGGGTTTCACCATGTTGGCCAGGATAGTCTTGAACTCCTGACCTCAGGTAATCCACCCGCCTCAGCCTCCCAAAGTGCTGGGATTAGAGGTGTGAGCCACTGCACCCAGCCAAAAAATCATTATTTTAAATAGAGACAGGGGTTCTTGCTGTGTGGCCCAGGCTGGTCTTGAACTCCTGGGCTCAAGCATTCCTCCCACCTCGGCCTCCCAAAGCGCTGGGATTACCAGCGTGAGCCACTGTGCCCGCCGAGGCACAAGCATTAAAGCAGCATGGTGCCTCCCTTGGTTCTCCATCTGGGAGCTCATGCTGTGGATTCCTGGTGTGTGTTTAGAAATACATTTGCAAGGGACGGTTATTGATTTTCTGTAAAAGTTAAAAGCATCAGGTAACTTAAAATATCTATAATCAGAGGACTCTAGAGTTCTCTATCCTTCTTGTGTGTCTGGGTAGTGAGGGTGGAGGAAGTTGTTTTATACAGTTGTTTGTTTGTTTGTTTGTCTGTTTTGAGATGGGGTCTTGCTCTGTGCCCCTGGCTGGAGTGCAGTGGCCCTGTCATGGCTCACTGCAGCCTTGAACTCCCGGGCTCAAGCAATCCTCCTGCCTCAGCCCCTGAGTTGCTGGGGCTCCAAGTGTGCTCTATCATACCTGGCTAACTTTTCTTTTTTGGTAGAGACGAGGTCTTGCTGTGTTGCCCAGGCTGGTCTTGAGCTCTTAGCTTTAAGTGATTCTCCCACCTTGGCCTCTTTTTGTTGTTGTTGTTGGGATTTTTTGTTGTTGTTGTTTTTCCTCTCCATACTCTCAGCAGAAGCACCTCAGCCTCTTAAAGTGCTGGGATTATGGGCATGAGCCACCTCACGTGGCTTTTTTAAACTGAGCATGTACTACTTTTAGATTTTGAAATACAGTAGTTTTAAATATTCATAAGAGGATTTCAGGTTCTTTTGCTTGTGTTCCTTCCAGCTCTTAAAGCTAAGATACTTGCCTTATCTAAGAAGAGCTCCTAGGCATTTTCAAAACTGGTGGCAGGAAGGGGCCTGCACTGAGAGAGCTGTGCGGGACGCCCCACACAGGGAGGCCTCCGTGCCTGCCATTGCAGTGGGGCGCCGTCTTCTGGGGAGCAAGGTCAGGGCAGCCAGGACAGTGTTTTCCCCGGGCCTTGGCACAGTGCAGTTGAGTGGGCTCAAAATTAAAGTACGTTTCTCGTCTGTGAGCGCCAGGGAGCACCTCCCATGGGACCTTTCCGCTGGGGCTGAGGTTGGGGCACAGCCGTGTGGACATCCTGCCGCCTCTGTGTGCTCTGGTGTGGAGGGGCACAAGATAGGGGTCTCACGAGGCCCTCAGGGAGCAAGCAGGGCCCAGTGTCACTGCCTCTTGTGAGCAAGCCGCCTGCCCACCCTAAGCGCTTGGGGTCAGTGCCACCGTGTTCTGGGCCTCCTGCAGCTTCCTGGAGTGGCCACCAGGAACCTTGTGGTTCTCAGGGCTGCTCAGGCCGTCAGAGGCCCCTGCAGCCCCAGGTCAGCAACCTGCGGTCAGCCCAGCACGAGGCCTCTGGCATCTTGGGGACTTCCCCAGCCTGGCCTCTGCCCATCTGGTGTACAGGAAGACCCTGGTCAGTGCAAAGACACTGTCTCAGTCCGGGGTCCTCAGGAGCAGAGGATCTGGAGGCAGGACTCCCAGCACCTGCGTCGGAACCTCCTGGGAACAGCAGGGGCGGGTGGCTATGCAGTTGCAGTGCCTAGAAAACAGCTGGATTTCAGGAGTGGAGCCTCAGTAGAGATGAGAGTTAAAGCTGAAAGGGCATAGAGAAGATGGAGGAGTGGAGAGGCTGGAGCTTTGGACATCCTTGTTTAGGGACCGGGAAAGGAGAATATGTGTCATCAGCAGAATGGGGCTGTACGAAGGTCACAGGCAGAGATCTGAATCTCAGGACACAGGGC
Source organism: Homo sapiens (assembly GCF_000001405.40). Lineage (NCBI taxonomy): Eukaryota > Metazoa > Chordata > Mammalia > Primates > Hominidae > Homo > Homo sapiens. The sequence goes on from NC_000016.10 coordinate 514,671, forward strand.
CCGGGAGAGGTTCTAGGAAAGGCCAGGTACCTCTGGGAGTGGGGCCCCCAGGGGCTTCCAGAAAGTATGGGAGCCCCTGGCAGGCTGCAGAGAGCTGGAGTGAAGGCTGATGGGGCCACAGTGGCATGTCCACAGAGACCGGGGCCTGATTTGCAGCTTGTGGCACCTGCCGAACCCCCGGCGTTGGGGTACATGGCCCATCATCAGGCACAGAGTGAACTGGGTGAACGTGGCCCTGGTGTGTGGTGCTTTCTAGCAGCACGTGAGCCAAGGAAGCCCAGGGAAGCCTTCGCTTGTGCCACGTAGCATAGCTCGTCCTTCCAGAAAATGTGAGTAGACTCCCCTGAGCCTGATAATGAAAGGAGAGAAGTCAGAAAGACTGACCCCAGCACTGGGCAGAGCCGAGTGTGTCTGATGGACAGCGAGAGGCTGGGGCAAGGAGGAAAGAAAGAGGGGTCAGGCCTCGGGAAGGCAGTGCTGCTGTGTGTGAAGCTGTGCGGCTCTTTATTTTCTTCTCTTTGCTTATCTGTAGTTTTGAAATTCAATAGAATTAAAACATAATTTGCTTTCATAATTATGAACAAAACATGCAAGTGTTACTTTGAAAGGAGAAAATAGCTGTGGGTAGAGCCGTCTGGACTCCAGGGTTAGAGGCGGAGAGTGGAACTTAGTATGCTCCACTCAGCAAAACAACAGGAAAGGCAGATGGCAAAGGTGCAGCCCAGAAAGCACAGCTGCACACACTCCTAACGCAAACAACACCCTGCGCCAGCAGCTACACCGGTGTTTGCATCTCGGAGCAGCCACATGGCTGACACGGACCGGGGTTCGCATCTCGGAGCAGCCACACGGGCGACACGCACCGGTGTTTGCATCTTGGAGCAGCCACACGGGCGACACGGACCGGTGTTTGCATCTCGGAGCAGCCACACGGCTGACACGGACCGGGGTTCGCATCTCGGAGCAGCCACACGGGCGACACACACCGGTGTTTGCATCTCGGAGCAGCCACACGGGCGACACGCACCGGTGTTTGCATCTCGGAGCAGCCACACGGCCGACACGTGTTGGGGTTTGCATCTCGGAACAGCCACACGGCCGACACGGACCGGGGTTTGCATCTTGGTACATGAAGGCTCAGAAGTGGGTAGCACCAGGAACCGTGGAAGTTGGATAAAGGCGAGGCTCACACAGGAGGGTCCCCACCCACATACAGCTGGATCACACCCATCCCCACCCTAGAGGAGGAATCGGGACTGCAGGGCGCCAGCACACACCAGAGTGGCACCACCGAGCGCCCGGGTCCTCCTGACGAACACCTGAGGCCAGGGGTCTGACCAGCCCCAGACAAGTCCTGGGAGCGTGCCTGTCCCGGGCACCCCGTGGCCTCCCCGGCAGTGCAGAGGCCGGCCGGTGCTCTTTGGAAGGGGTTGCATCTGCTTTGCCCCTGGTCTCAATCATCAGTTTGCAAAGCAAGAGCAAGTCCCCTCCTGGGTAGAGGACACCTTAAGCCCTTCCCGCCCAGCCCTGTGCTGCCCCTGGGTTTCCACTTACACCAAATTCTGGGTGTTGGTGCAGGTTGGATTGAATTAGAAGGGACGGCAGGGTAACGGGATGGTGAGGACAACTGGATTATGGAGAAGATCCAGGGTTCCTTGGAGAAATGGCCAGTTCTGAGGCTGGGACAGGCTAAGCCTGCAGCAATGTGTAGTATCTGAAAATGAGGTGCTTACACTAAAAACCCCCCATGAGCACAGACACTGAGGTTATCTCAGAGGGACATGGGCCAGCTGAAGGAGTTGCCAGACGCCAAAGCTGGAACAGTTTAACAAACTCATAGTGACAGCCTTGGATTACAATCCAAAGCATAAAGTGCGTGAGTCCATATGACACAGATAAATTATCATCAACGAACAGAAAAGAGGGCCGGGCGCGGTGGCTCACGCCTGTAACCCCAGCACTTTGGGAGGCCGAGGCAGGTGGATCATCTGAGGTCAGGAGTTCCAGACCAGCCTGGCCAACATGGTGAAACCCTGTCTCTACTGAAAATACAAAAATTAGCCAGGCGCGGTGGCGGCCGCCCGTAATCCCAGCTATTCGGGAGGCTGAGGCAGGAGAATCACTTGAACCTGGGAGGCAGAGGTTGCACTCCAGCTTGGGCGACAAGAGCAAAACTCCATCTCAAAAATAAAATAAAATAAATAAATAGAGAAGACACAAATCTTCCTCACAGAGGAATTCCACATAATGTCCGCAGACACTCCCTCCAGGAGGCGGGGGCTGGACCCAGTGAGCGGCTTCCAGAGGACAGAGCGGGCGGGAAAGCAGGGACCTGTCAGAGTGCACACCTGGCAGGCAGACCTTGGCCAGGTGATCAGAAAGCCGTGCGGACGTCAGGACCCTGATACGGTGTGACGGGAAGGGCCCCGCACCTCTGTGGGCATCTTCCCAAAACCCATCACCCAGTCTAATTGCGAGAAAACACCAGACGGACCCAACGTGGGGGACGCTCTACAGACACCATGACAGGCCTGCTCGACACCGTCAAGGTCGGAAAACACAGGAAAGTCTGGGAGACTCACAGACCAGGGGACGGAGGAGACAAAATGCAGTGTGGGCTGGGCACGGTGGCTCACACCTGTAATCCCAGCTCTTTGGGAGGCTGAGGCTGTTGGAACCTTTAAGCTCAGAGTTGGAGACCAGCTCAGGCAACACAGCAAGACCTTGTCTCTGCAAAAAATTTAAAAATTAGCCACGTGTGGTGGGGCACACGTGTACTCCCAGCTACTTGGGAGGCTGAGGCAGGAGGATCTCCTGAGCCCGGGAGGTCGGGGCTGCAGTGAGCTGAGATTCCACCAGTGCACTCTGGGTAACAGAGCGAGACCCTCTCTCAAAAAACCAAACAAATGCAGTGTGGTTGCTGGATGGGGTCCCAGAACAGAAAGGGCACGCATGGGAAAGCCACAGTCTTCAGTTAGTGTGGTCTGCAGAGTGTCCCAATGTGGCTCTGTGACTGTGACACATAACACCACAGTGAAGAACAGTGACCACACCAAGGGAGGCCAGTGCAGGGCCCACGGGGACTACACTGTGTCTGCTACTTCTTTTTTTCTTTTTGATACAGGATCTTGGCCGGGCGCGGTGGCTCACGCCTGTAATCCCAGCACTTTGGGAGGCCGAGGCAGGTGGATCACCAGGTCAGGAAATTGAGACCATCCTGGCTAACACAGTGAAACCCCGTCTCTACTAAAAATAGAAAAAATTAGCCGGGTGTGGTGGCAGTCGCCTGTAGTCCCAGCTACTCGGGAGGCTGAGGCAGGAGAATGGCGTGAACCCGGAAGGCGAAGCTTGCAGTGAGCCGAGATGGTGCCACTGCACTCCAGCCTGGGCAACAGAGTGAGACTGTCTCAAAATAAGTAAATAAATAGATACAGGATCTTGCTTTGTCACTAGGCTGGAGCGCAGTGGCGGGATCACAGCTCACTGCAGCCTTGTACTTCCAGGATCAAGTGATCCTCCTACCTCAGCCCCTCAAGTAGCTGGAGCTACAGGCATGTGCCACTATGCTCGGCTAATTTTTGTATTTTTTTATAGAGATGGGGGTCTCACTATATTGCCCAGGCTGGTCTCAAACTCCTGGGCCCAAGCAATCCTCCCGCATTGGCCTCCCAAAGTGTTGGGATTACAGGCGTAAGCCACTGTACTCGCCTTCAACTTTTCTGTAAACCTAAAATTATTCCAAAACCCAAAGTATATTAAAAAAACCACCGTGGATGGCCGGCGGGGTGGCTCGCGCCTGTAATCACAGCACTTTGGGAGGCTGAGGCAAGCGGATCATGAGGTCAGGAGTTCGAGACCAGCCTGGCCAACATGGCGAAACCCCCTCTCTACTGAAATTACAAAAATTAGCCGGGCGTGGTGGCAGGCGCCTGTAATCCCAGCTACTCAGGAGGCTGAGGCAGGAGAATCGCTTGAACCCCGGGAGATGGAGCTTGCAGTGAGCTGAGATCACACCACTGCACTCCAGCCTGGTGACAGAGTGCGACTCTGCCTCAAGAAAAAAATAAAAAAATAATACTAAAACCTTCAAGGATTACGGAAAAGCTGTGCCCTGGAGCACATGGGTGGGCACATAAGGATTGGCCCTGGTCGTTTGGGGGCGTCTGTTGGTCACAGGGCGGCCCCAGCAGGGTTTCCCTGAGACACAGGGCACACTGGCCCTGTAGAGGCGAGCTTCCTGGAGTGAGTTTCAGCTTTGTTCTTGTGTCCCAGGCTACAGCAACTGGACGAGGAGAACAGTGAACTCCGGTCCTGCACGCCCTGTCTGAAGGCCAACATTGAGCGTCTGGAGGAGGTGAGCTGCCAACAGCCTGGAGCTGTGGCCAGTGGGGCCAGCCCATGCCCTGCCTGTGGGGCAGCTGAGGTAGCCCTGAGCTCTGTGCTGAGCGGGATACTGTGCTGTGTGTGAGGGAACGGGGCCAGCTCAGGGCCCAGGCCGCTGGAAGACACTGGACCGTGCTCCACCCACAGGAGCAGGGCCCAGAGGCTCACTCCTAGATGGACCCAGGGCTCTGAATCTGGGAATTGTCCTCCAAGGGGAAGGCATCAGCCAGCCACTTATGCCCCAACCACTGCCGACGTGGAGGCAGAGGCTACACATGGGGCTCCCACACCCCAGCTTGTCACTGCGAGACCTCCCTGCCCCCACCTCACCAGGTGTGCTCTGGGAAGCTCCCAGGAAGGATATTCTCAGAGCACTTGGGCCCTGACTCCCATGAACCAGAGGAGCCCGGCTGGAGGTGCCCACAGCCACTGAGTCAGGTCCTGTCCACACAAAGGTCCTTCCTGCCCCTCGTGAGAAACGGCCCTCGTGGCCTGCGTGTGCGCCTCTACCCAGAAGCAGGTGGCCTTGACCTCCACTGAGAGGCAGGAAGGCTCAGACCCAGCCCTGTCGCGCTCCAAGCACGGGCGCCACCGCGTTGCTGTTGGGAGACTCAGAGATTGGAGGGACAGACGGCCGGGGCAAGCTGCATGCACAGGTAGGTGCGTGACCCGCATCCAGGGCAGGTGTCCACCCCTGCAGGAGAAGCAGAAGCTGTTGGATGAGATAGAGTCGCTGACGCTGCGGCTCAGTGAAGAGCAGGAGAACAAGAGGAGAATGGGGGACAGGCTGAGTCACGAGAGGCACCAGTTCCAGAGGGACAAGGAGGCCACCCAGGAGGTGAGCACCCACCCTGCCCCACGCCCAGTCCTGCGCCCAGCCTGCCCCACGGGGAGCCTTTGTTTCCTGAGACGCTAGCTCTTGGCTGTGCTGCTTTGGGCATAGCCGCTGGTGTGTGTCGTCCTCCCGAGAGACGGCCAGATCAACCCTGAGGTTCTACAGCCAAGTGATGGCTGACGGTGGCCCCTGGGAGCCCAGGCCCCCCGGCTCACTGCACGGTTGCCCTGCAGCTGATCGAGGACCTCCGAAAGCAGCTGGAGCACCTGCAGCTCCTCAAGCTGGAGGCCGAGCAGCGGCGGGGCCGCAGCAGCAGCATGGGCCTGCAGGAGTACCACAGCCGCGCCCGGGAGAGCGAGCTGGAGCAGGAGGTCCGCAGGCTGAAGCAGGTGGGCAGGCCTGGGCCTCCCTCCCTCACACTCCTGCAGAAGCTTCCACAAGACTGGTTGGGAAGGGGGGGCCGTGGAGGGTCAGCATCTGAGCTGGAGGCCTTTTTCCCCGGGCAGTCCTTGTCCCTGCTCAGCCACCAGCAGGGGCCACAGCCCAGTAGTGATGTTGCTGTGCCTTCAGGACAACCGCAACCTGAAGGAGCAGAACGAGGAGCTGAACGGGCAGATCATTACCCTCAGCATCCAGGGCGCCAAGAGCCTCTTCTCCACAGCCTTCTCTGAGTCCCTGGCTGCAGAGATCAGCTCCGTCTCCCGAGATGAGGTAACACATCCCGTGTCTGCACGGTGTGGCCTGGGGTCCACAGTCTGCACTGTCTGTGCGCTGTGGTTTATGCGCTGTGGCCTGTGGCCCATGCGCCTCAGCTCTGACCACCTGCTTGCCCTACAGCTCATGGAGGCGATTCAGAAGCAGGAGGAGATCAACTTCCGCCTGCAGGACTACATCGACAGGATCATCGTGGCCATCATGGAGACCAACCCGTCCATCCTGGAGGTCAAGTAGAGGCAGGAAGGTCCAGCCTGAGCTGGATTCGGGACTCCAACACCCTGGAGTGGTTCCGTCAGACCATGAGGAGCCAAGACCAGCAGGTCCCACAGCCGACAGTGCCCAGAGCATGCAGGGAACCCTCGTGCAGCTGAGCTGGGGCCGCCAAAGACCGGGGCTGCCAAAGGGGCAGAGGGTGGTGGAGAGGAGAGGGAGAAAGGGAAGTCCCAGGGCCCGGGGTCCACAGAGGATGAGGGTTGTGGCAGGGCCGTCCATCAGCGCTGACCTTCCGGGGGCCCAGAGCTTCCCAGCCCTGAGTCAAGCTGGCCATGAACGCGTACACTTCAGTTCAGCAGGATGGGCTGGAGAGCCTCTCTGTGCAGCGGTGTGGGGTGAGCCCTGCTGTGGCCTCCTTGTGGTGGTCCCTCTTCCCACGTGCAGCCCTGTTGGGAAGAAAGGAAGAAAACAGGTCCCTCCAGGGGTGCTGCTGCCTAAGCCACCCACATAAGTACGCTGGTGCCGTGTCACCCATGTTGAGCCGCTCCTGATGGCTGACGGGCTCCCAGACCCTCACCTCGGACATGGTGGTGGGGGAAGGACGGGTGGGCAAGGCTGGTGCGTTCCCCAGCTCTCCCTACGCTGCTCGGGCCATTGCCCAGCCAGATGTGGTCACCTCAGTCCAGCTCTGGGGCCTCCAGGCCATGTGGCTGTTCCCACGGCCCAGTCCTCGCTGCAGTAACCCCTGGGGGCTCTGACCACCTATGGGGGCCGGGCAGGAGCCTCTGGGGCCTCCACTCCGACATCAGGACCTGAGATGACCGCTGTGTGGCGCTCTCTCCCTGGGCAGGGTGGATGCCACAGGCCCCTCTGGCTCCCAGGTGCTGCTTCTCCACAGGTGCGGCCTGGCCCGGCCTCCTAAAGGCCACACCCTCCCCACGCACTTCCCAGGCCAGAATCCAAACATCGGGAACCCTGTTTTCTTCTGGGTGTGTCTCACTTAGAAATCGTGGTTCTTCCCCGAGGGTGCATGTTGCAGGAGGGAGAGGGCAGGGAAGACTCACAGCAGAGCAGGAGGGGGCCTGTGCTTCTCGGGGTCTGCACCCCAGGCACAGCGGTGTCACCCCGCAGGACCGCGGGCCTGCCCCAACCCCCAGCATTCCCGGGTGGGCCCAGACCCCATCACCAAGACTGGCCACCCGCTGCGTGTGTGTGCGCGCGCGTGTACGTGTGGCCCCACATCCGCCGCCTTCCACGCTAGGATGTAAGAGGTCGCCTCCTATTGTACATTTGGGGAAAGCCTTGGGTGTAAATCAGTGTAAACTTGGAGGAGAGATTTTTCTATCATGTAGAGTAGGTATTTTTTATAGATTGAAGGTTGATCAATTTTTTAATACTTTCAAGAGAAAACTGTGTATACACATGAAATATATATATATATATATATATATATATGTATAATATATAAAGACTGGCACCCTGCCTCTCTGTGCCCAGGCCCAGCCCTGGTGACATGGCACCACTCAGCAGTGCTGTCACTGTAAGCATGGACTCCCAGGAGACAGTGTGGGAAACGCTCCTGCTTTAATTCCCCGAGAAACGGCTCTTCCTGCCTGGATGCAGGAGGGCAGGGGCCACCACAGATTAAAGCTGTTACTGCACACGCAGAGGCCGGCTTCTTCCTCCAGGGGGGCCACAGGGTGGGGTGGGAGTCTTCTGGGCCTGGCCCAGCTTCCCTCAAGGCGTCCGAGGCCATCAGTTGTCTGAGCTCAGAACCCAGCAGACCTGCCTGGCTCTGCAGCTTGGTCAGACTAAGACCCTTCCAAGGCCGTAGGATTGCACCTCCAGGCCCAGTGGAGCCTGGCAGCTTTCCAGCCAGGTTCTGGATCCTGACGAGCTGCTGAGACAGCATCAAGGTGGGGCAGGTGGGGCGGGGCAAATTGGGCAGCACAGGGCTGTGTGGGCATCAGGGCTCTGGGTCACACGCCTCTGGGGACGTACGTCCCATGTCGGGAGAGCCGTCAAAACGTCCCCGGGATTAAGAGAAGAGTGGGGGGCAGGGCGCAGAGGCTCACGCCATAATCTCAGCACTTTGGGAGGCCAAGGCAGGAGGATCGCTTGAACCCGGGAGTTCAAGACCAGCCTGGGCAACATAGCAAGGCCCCATCTCTAAAAAATAAAAAATTAACCAGGCATTGTGGTGCGCACCTATAGTCCCAGTTCCTTGGGAGGCTGAGGTGGGAGAATTGCTTGAGTCCAGGAGACGGAGGTTACAGTGAGCTGTGATCACACCGCTGCACTCCAGCCTGGGCGACAGCGAGACCCCATTTCAGAAAGAATTTAAAAGGGCAGTGATGTGCAGGGTGGTGGGAGGACATCCCCCAGAAGAGGGGGCAGACACAGTACCAGCACCACAGGCACGGGAAGGTGAGGAGGCAGGTCCCGACGGAAGTGGGCTCCCGAGGTCATGGGCAGCCAGGGAGTCTGAGAGAGCTCAGTGCCACTGCAGCCACAAAGAATGGCCTGCGGGGAGTGGTCCCATCTGATCAAGAGTCCCCCAAAAACACAAGCCTTGAAAACTGGACCACCTGGTCCAGCATCCAGGAAGCGGACTGTGCATCTGCGGCTCTCGCTCTCCCGCCCCCCGCGCGAGATGCCCGCCTGCCTGTCACTCTCAGATGCAGATGGAGATGGAGAAACCAAGGCCCAGGGAAGCTGAGGACCCAGGTCTGCCAGTCCCCTCAGCCCAGCTGCTGCTTGCGGGCTGGTGACCAGAAGAGGACCAGGCGTGGCCTACAGTGAGGAGTCCTTGAACCCTCAGTGCAGGTGCAGCAGAATGGTTCCAGGTCACAGGGCCCAAGAACCCTGATTGCTTCATGAGTTAGAACTGAGGAGTGACAGGCCGGGCGCGGTGGCTCACGCCTGTAATCCCAGCACTTTGGGAGGCCCAGGCAGGCGGATCACAAGGTCAGGAAATCGAGACCATCCTGGCTAACATGGTGAAACCACGTCTCTACTAAAAATACAAAAAAATTAGCCGGGCGTGGTGGCCGGCACCTGTAGTCCCAGCTACTTGGGAGGCTGAGGCATGAGAATGGCGTGAACCTGGGAGGTGGAGCTTGCAGTGAGCAGCGATCACGCCACCGCACTCCAGCCTGGGCAACAGAGCGAGACTCCGTCTCAAAAAAAAAAAGAACTGAGGAGTGACATGGGCGGTGTGGGTGTGTCCAAGGCCAAGTTCCTCCTCCCAGGAAAAAGACCTGCTCTCCCACCTACCCAGGGGTCTGTGTGGTGCCAGTAAGACCCATCTCTGCCTAGAGGGAGAAGCTGGAGGTGGGGAGGGGAACTCACTCCACGCTGCCAGGCCAGAGCCAGGGAGGGGAAGGGGAGCAGCTTCCTCCTCCTGATACCCCACTGTGGTCTAGGAGCACCTCAGTTTCCACGCTAGATTTTAAACATGGGGCTGTCCACAGTCCAGCTGGCCCCACCTCGATGACCCACTGGGGTCTCCAGCCCAAAGGAGTTTGAGACAGGAGGACACAGGATGAAATGGAAACATTCCCGGAAGGGCTGCCAGAGACCTTGTGGGTGAGCGAGAGCAGGGTGGGGTGGCCGGTGTGCATGCCTGGTGGACGTGCCCAGAAGCCTGCACCCCCCAGGAGGCCCGAACGTGTCCCTCTGGAGTGTCGCCCCCACCCCCAGCTGTGCAGTGGGATGGTCACTGGGCCTGCCAAGTCTCCCAAGGCAGATCCTGTCCCCAGCTGGCTCCTGACATTGAATGTTCTGAGTCTTGGTCAGTTCTGCCCGATGGAAGAGCACCAAGGAGTCTTGCCCGGCAGGATAGAGAGGAGCGGCTCTGCCCCTGCCCTGGAACAAGAGCCCCGGACGTGGGTGCAGAGCCCCTCACATGAGGACCGCCCCATCCTGCCTCTGCTGAAGGGCAGGTATAGGAAGGCTGGACCCCCTCAGCGGCCCCCCGGATGTGGGTGCAGAGCCCCTCACATGAGGACCGCCCCAGCCTGCCTCTGCTGAAGGGCAGGTATAGGAAGTCTGGACCCCCTCAGCGGCCCCCCGGATGGCACCCTGGCCCCTCTACCTGCTGGCAGTCCAGTAACCTGGAGGTGGTGGCCCAGAGAAAGGCGGGAACTTCTCCCAGGGCCCCGTCCATTGTTATTTTCACCTGTCCGGCCGCCCATTCTTTTTTTGAGACGGACTCAGTCACCCAGGCTGGAGCGCCATGTGCCATCCCAGCTCACTGCAGCCTCAACCTCCCGGGCTCAAGTGATGCTCCTGCCTCTGCCTCCCAAGTAGCAGGGACCACAAGCACACACCACCACACCCTAATTATCTTTTAAGTGGAGACAGGTTTCGCTTTGTGTGTTGCCCAGGCTGGTGGTCCGTCGTCTTTTTGACCCAGGCCTGTGTGGCTCACAAAGCAGGCAATTGCAGGGTCATCCCATCAAATCTGAGCATGGCACCAGAGCACACAAGTCAGCCACCTGCGGGCCTTGGCACCCTCGTGCTCCACGCCAGGGTCCCTGTGTGCTCAAGTCTGGGCTCCATGATGGCACTGGGGTTTGTTCTGTTTGCTGCTTTGTGCGCGTGAGGCTTTCTCTGGGTGCCTGAACAGATGCCTCCAGTTTCAGTTCTTTCTGTTTGGCCCTCCCCATCCTCTTCTCCTCCAGGGGGGATTCATGGCTCGCCTCTTGGCTCTTCTGGGCACTTGGCGAGCTTCTGCGCACTTGCGTTAGCTGCTCAGGTCTGTCTGGATGTGAGAGTCGTGTCCTCAGGCCAGGAAGCACTGGCACGGAGCAGGGCTCGGTCAATGGTCTGGATAATCCAGAGTCACTTACCTTCTGCTGTGCAGTCATTTACAATTCACGCCTGTGTGCCTGATGTCTTGTGACTCAGAATCTTCAAGACAATCACAGGCTGGCCTCACGGAGGCACGAGTGACTCATTTCTCTCATCGCACCCATTCCCTCCAGCACTCTCCTTGTGCGGGGAAACCTCAGTCACCTTGAAGACGCCTCCTGAGGCCCTCTTCTGGGTGAATGGGCTTCCTCCTTCACCATGACAGGCTACTGGGGAGAGCTGGGGTGCTCCCACCCTCTCCTCACCCCAAATGGGCCTGGCCTAGCAAAACTGGCCAGAACTGGCCACTCTGCAGTGAGCTGGCAGGGCCCTCAGCATCAGATCAACAGGTTCAACTGCAGCTGCCTCTCTGGTGGGGAGGTTATAAGGCCTGCTGGCTAGACCACTGGCCCCTGGCCAGGGAGCCACCTAGGCAGTGCCAGGGAAGGACTGGGAAGGGAAGAGAACCTGCGGTCCCTGAGTGAGGCCTTGACTGCACCCTCTCCTGTGGTTCGAAAGCCACACTTGGCCAGTATCCTGCCATGCAGGTGAGGAAGCTGGGGAGGACAGGGTCCCAGAGCCTTGTCCAAGTTGCAGAGAGGAGAGCCAGCTCTCACTCTGCAGCCCTCTGTGCCCCCAGACCCCCACTGGCCCCCGGGGACACATTTCCTGCCCTTGGGATGCTTTGGCATGGATATAGTCTGGGAACAAACGGCACATCCAGCTGCCCTGCCTGTCTCCACAGAGGGGGCAGCAGACCTAGGGGGAGGTGTCCAAGACACAGGAATGAAGTGTCCTTACCAAAAGCTTCCGAGGACAGAAATAAACCCCTCCTGCCAGCTTCTGCACTGACTGCAGCTAGAAGCCGAGCTCCACGTGGGACACAGGTGTCCCTGCTGCGGCATCTCAGCATGACGGAGGCCCATCCTTGGCTTTCCTGGAGCATGAATATCCTCTGAGGAGCACTGGCCCTGGCCTTGTAGGTCTTGCTGAGACTGGCTTAGATTTTCTGGCCCAGGAGCAATCGTCACCCAACCTCCCACTTGTAAATCTCGCCACAGAATCGGCCCACAACCGTCTCTCCGGAATCTCGGCGGACCAGCCCTGCTCCTGTGTCTCCCTCTCCCGCAGAGCCACTGCCTTCTCAGGCTCCTCAAGTGCACCTAAGAGCGGGAGTCTGGCTGCCCTCAGCACTCGCGTCCCGCCCTGCAGCCTGATAAGCTTGACGCCAAGGCATTCTCCCGAGAGCCGGCCCAGCAGCTGCTGGCAGGAGAGTGGCCTCAGGGCAGCGGGAAGGGGACCTCCGGGGAGAGAATGAGGCCTGCGCAAGGGTCCTGGAAGGACCCAGGAGTCGCCCCGGCTTCCCTCCCCCAGGCCCTGGTTGGGCGCCGTGGGCCGCGTCCCAGTTGAGCCCGGCGTGGCCGTTTAATGGCGTCCCTCCGCGACCGAGGACGAAGGGGCCTAGAGAGGCTGTGCCCAAGCGACGCTGCGAGGCCAGGCCGCGTCTCGGGCCAGGGCGGTCCCCTTGCCACCGCCGCTCTTGGCCGCCAGGACCAAGCACAGCACGCAGCGTCGCGAAAGGGGCGGTCCTGGAAGGCGCGAAGGGGTCTCCGGGTCTCGCGAACACGGCGGGGTCGGGGCGGAGTCGTGGGTCCTCGGTCGAGCGGCCGCCCAGAGCCCCGCGGGACACGGACGGCCCCAGCCCGGCTCCCCGCGAGCCCCACGCGTCTGTGACGCCGCTGATGCGCAGACGCCGCGGCTGCAGGCCCCGCCCCTCCGTGCCCCTCGCAAGGCCCTCTGGGAGTTGTAGTTCCAGCTCCTCCTCGGGCCGCCCCACTCCCTGATAATCCTGGAGCGCGGCGCCTCCCGGGGACCGAGGCCTCGGGCCCGGCCGTCTCCAGCAGCGAGGGCAGGAGAAGTGGCCCGGGCGGTCGGCGGACTGGGAGGGCGCCACCCGAGGACTACAACTCCCGGCCTGCCTCGCGCAGGCACCGCCCCGAGCTTCCGCCCCGTCGGCGCCGCGCAGCCCTGTGGGAGCCGTAGTCCGGGCGCGCGATTCACAGCGCCGCGTGCGCCCCGGGCGCGCCGTAGCCGCGGGGCCCGGGCCGGGCGCTACGCTACGAAGGCAGCGTAAGGCGGGCGCCGGACGCGGGCAGGGGCCGGGGCCGGAGCCGGGTCGGGGCGCCCCGCGGCTGAGGAGCGGGAGGCCGTCCGGGCAGCGCGGCCGGCGGCGAGAGGGGCCCCGCCGCTCTCCGGAGGCAGAAGTTGTGGATCGGCCGGCGGGGGCGAGCGGGCCCGGGGGCCGGGGCCGCGCTGCCCGGGCCGCGAGGACGAGGCGGCGCCGCCGGGCTGTGGAGGTGAGTCCCGTCGGCCGGGCCCGGCCGGGCGCCCAGCCGGGGACCCCGGGCGGGGAGCGCGGGCCCGGAGGGCGGCGGGGAGCGCGGGCTCGGCGGGGCGCAGGAGGCCTCGGGGGCCGGGCGCGCCGGGCTCCGAGCCAGGGCAGGGACGGCAGGGCCCCCGGAGTGGGGTCAGCCCGCCGCCCGCTGGCGCCTCCAGGCTGGTGGGGGCCAGGGCTGGGCGATGCTTCGCAGAGGAACCCAGAGGAAGGCGGGAAGTCGGCAGGGACCTGGGCCATGTGGGTCACTTGAGGCCAGCCCCGGGGGCCGCGCACACCGGAGGCGGCCTCGGCCCTGCCTGCCCTTGAGTGCCCTTATATCCGGGCCCATCGTGCGGTCCTGGCCGCCTTAGGGATGTTGTGCTTGGTGCGGGCATCACTCCCCTCACTTGGGGAACGGCCTGGGGGCGGCCACCTGGCGTGGAGGGGCTGGCGGGAGCCCCGTCTGTGCCAGCCATGCCAGTGTTCTCTTCCGTGTTCCTCTGGGGCTGCTGCGGCACCAGCTGGGAAGTTGCAAATCTGCTGTCCTCCCGCTGGCTGCAGAAGGGGCCCCTCTAGTCCTGACCGGGGGAACTCTTGTGTGGTCAGCTGGCCCTGGCCGGGCGAGCTCTCGGGGCCCCCTTACTGCTCTGGAGTTTGTTACCGGACTGCAGGTAACAAGACCCGGAAAGCAATGGTGAGGCCCAGAACCTGAGGCCAGGCCTGGGTGTGTGGGGCCAGTGGGGAAGACTGGGACTCCGTTGGGTGCTGAAGAGTTGTGTGCTTCTCCTTCGGGAAACCCGGATCTCTTCCTCTGCCCAGGTCTGAGGGGTGCGGAAACGTGAGTCACAGTTCAGTGTGGGAGTGCCCCGTAATTGCCTCCGCGTTTCCAGAGTCTGGGGCTGGGCAAGGATATAGGGGTGATTCTCCCTTCCGGTTCTGAGTGACTTCTCAACTGTGAAGTGGGGCAAGAGAAATTGTTTTTCTGGCCTGTCTGGGGGAGGCAGGTCCTGCAGGAAACCAGCTTGGCCTGGCCTTGGGTTGGGTGTGCCTTGCCTCCTCCGAGGTCCTTCTGCTTGCGGGAGGAGCACCCCTCTTTTTCCTGCTTCTGTCTGTGTCTGAGGCTCTCCAGAGCTCCTTGATTGGCAGAGGAGCCAGTGACCTCTGAGTCCCCAGGAGAGCCCGAGGCTCAGTAACTGCATAACTGCGCAGGGCCTCTTGTCTGGGCCTCCACAGACCGTGGTCTCTGAGAGCAGGAAGTGGCTGGTCCCCTGTAATGCTGCATCTGTGTGACAGCCTCAAGCCCTGCTGGCTCTCTCTCCGGGCACCCCTCACTTGCTTCTTGCCCTGGCCTTGGGCAGCACTCCGGTAACCCCAGTGCCACAGGTGAGGAACCGAAGCTGGAGACAGCTGTTCATGGCAGGGGAGGGGCCGAGGGAGGCTGAGCGCCTGGTCTCTCCCTCCTGCTGGTTCCACCAGTTCACACGAGGCAATTGGAGGGAAGGATTCTGCTGCCCGGAAAATCCTCCGGAACCACAGGTGTTGTTCATGGGCCTGAGCCGCTCAGTGAAGAACTCGGCCGTTGGTGGCCGAGTTGCCCCTGGTCCAGCCCTCTGGCCCGCGGTGTGATGCCTCTACTCATGGCAACAGGCGTGGACAGGTGCTGAGAAGGAGGACGACATCATTAAACAAAACAGCTTGGGGTCTTTGAAAAACAGTGACAGAAACCCAGGAAGGCTGGTGACTTGTCAGGTCTGTGTCTGTCCTGGGTGGCCACTCGGCCCTGGACCGTGAGGCTGAAATGACAGGAGACACGGAGGGTGGGCTTGGGTGGTTTCCTCATAAGACACAGAAGAAGGAGGCCCCCAACCCGGGGGCTGCCTCGTGCGCTTTGCTCTCCTGTTTTCCTGCTCTGTCCCTCTGGTCCTGCCCTCTGACCCCTGGCACAGCAGGAGTGCCCAGAAGCCCAGTGGGACTTGTTCTCTGCCTAAAGCCCTTCCGCATCCCTCGTACCCACTCGGTGTGGATGTGGGTTTTCTCACCACCAGGCTGTGCCTCAGCTGTGTGGAGCCACTGGCCTCTCATGCCCCACGCTGGAGAGAACGCTGAGGTCTGTGCGGTTCTCATGTGACCCTGTAGCTGGTCCCTGGCTCCCCACTGTGGGATCTGCCTGCAGCACTTACACTTGGGACCGCCCTGTCTCCCTGCTGGATGTGGCGCCGAGGGCAGGGTCCGTTTCTGTTTCTTGGTAGGCCTAGTGTCTAGCGCTATGCAGCCGTGCGCAGAGCAGGCGGTCAGTGAGCACCTGGGGTTGGCCCTCACCACAGGCAGTTCTGAATACCTGGGTTCTGGCAGCCCAGGGGGACTCCTGCGTGCTCCAGGAAAGTAGCACAGCAGCCCCTGTGGCGTGGACACGGCCACACCTGAGCTCGGCCTGTTTCTGAGTCTGAGAGAACAGGCTTGCTGGCCTGTGATCTTTGCATGTGTGTCTCGCTGCAGGGAGGCTGTGGGTTGGGGCTGGACCTAGACCCGTTCAGCCACACCCTGTCACTATGTGGGTCACACACAGCTGGGTGGAGACCTCCCGGTGCGTGGCCCAGGGAGGTGTCTGGGCGTGGAGTCTGTGGACAGCCACATTGTACCACTAGGACAGGGGCTGCTGCTGGGCCCACAGGGTGCACGGAATGGGGTCTGTGGGAGGATGGGGGCATCCTAGCCCAGGGCAGGGACCCCGTGGGCCCCCCAAGATGAGCTGCGTCAGGCTGTTGCTTTGCACACTCTGAGGGGCCTGCCTGAGTGCTGCATGGGAAGCCAGCAGTGTGGCCGCCCTCCCCAGAACTCATCCAGGGCACCAGGGTGGACCCATGAGTCCCGTCGGGTCATGGGCATCAGCCTCGCCATCCTGGCCTCCAGATACAACGATTTGTCAGATTCCCTGAGGTCAAAGGGAAGCTTCAAGGGTTGCCATCCCCGCCTCCCTGGCGGTCCTAGACGGGATGTCAGGAGGACGCAGGGCCATCGCTGCTTTTTAAATGTCACAGTGACTGCAGCGTCTGCTCCTCTGTGGAAGGAGCTTGCTCCGCTAATGAGGGAGTTCCTCCTCATGGCCTTCCCCTCACTTCTCTTCAAAAAGTTGCCCTTTATTTTAACATTTTTTAAGTTTTATTTTTTTGAGCCAGGGTCGTGCTCTGTTGCCCACGCTGGAGTGCAGTTGCAATCATAGCTCGCTGCAGCCTCAAACTCCTGGGCTCAAGTGATCTTCCTGCCTCAGCCTCCCAAATACTGGGACTACAGGTGGGCGCCACCACACCCAGCCTCTGCCCTTTGTAAGTGAAGTCCCCCAGGCAGGTTGAACCTCTTACACCTTCTGCCCCTGCCTGATCCCCACTCCCTACCCCCCACCTCCCTGTCCCCTGTAATGAGAAAGGCAATAAGTTTTGGAGCTTTCTGGAGTTCCTGCCCCTCCTGAAAAGGTGGCTGCAGAGAGGCTGGAGCTGATGGGGAAAGAGGTGCCACGAGGCCTCCTCTGGGTTAGGGCCACACGGCTCCCAAGGCCCCCGTCTCCTTCTCTGGGGTGACAGGTGCCCCCAGGGCCACACGGCTCCCAAGGCCTCCGTCTCCCTCTCTGGGGTGACAGGTGCCCCCAGGGCCACACGGCTCCCAAGGCCTCCGTCTCCTTCTCTGGGATGACAGGTGCCCAGGGCCACACGGCTCCCAAGGCCCCCGTCCCCTTCTCTGGGGTGACAGGTGCCCCCTGTGTCCCAGAGGCTTCTGCTTGGCCACCAGTGAGGTCACCGGGCTGCCCAGACCAGGGCTGCTTCTGCCACCACATGGCAAGCAGAGAAGTAGAGAAGTGCCAAAAACCACGAGTGCTTGTCTGGTCCTTTTTTCCTGTTAAAAATAGAAGTCGGGGCTGGGTGCGGTGGCTGACACCTGTAATCCCAGCCCTTTCAGAGGCCGAGGCAGGTGGGTTGCCTGAGGTCAGGAGTTCGAGACCAGCCTGACCAAAATGGCGAAACCCCATCTCTACTAAAAATAAAAAAATTAGCTGGGTGTGGTGGTGTGTGCCTGTAATCCCAGATACTCAGGAGGCTGAGACTGTAGAATTGCTTGAACCTGGGAGGCGGAGGTTGCAGTTAGCCGGGATGGCACCACTGCACTCCAGCCTAGGCGACAGAGCTATACTCCGTCTCAAAAAAAAAAAAAAGAAAAAAAAGTAGAATTCGGTTGGGCTCAGTGGCTCATGCGTGTAATCCTAGCACTTTGGAAGGCCAAGGTGGGTGAATCACATGAGGTCAGGAGGTAGAGACCAGCATGGCCAACGTGACGAAACCCCCATCTCTACTAAAAATACAAAAATTAGCTGGGCGTGGTGGTGTGTGCCTGTAATCCCAGATGTTTGGGAGGCTGAGACACTAGAATTGCTTGAACCCGGGAGGCAGAGGTTGCAGTGAGTCGAGATGGCACCACTGCACTCCAGCCTAGGTGACAGAGTGATACCCTGTCTCAAAAAAAAAAAAAAAGCCAGCCGCTGTGGCTCACGCCTGTAATCCCAGCACTTTGGGAGGTCAAGGCGGGTGGATCACCTGAGGTCAGGAGATTGAGACCATCCTGGCTAACACGGTGAAACTCCATCTCTGCTAAAAATACAAAAAAATTAGCCGGGCCTGGTGGCAGGCGCCTGTAGTCCCAGCTACTCGGGAGGCTGAGGCAGGAGAATGGCGTGAACCCAGGAGGTGGAGCTTGCAGTGAGCCGAGATCACACCACTGCACTCCAGCCTGGGCAACAGAGCGAGACTCTGTCAGAGAAAAAAAAAAAAAAAACAGGTGATGCCTGTGCCACTGGACACACCTGCACACCATCCTCATGCTGATCACAAAAGAGGGTGAGGGGCCGGGCATGGTGGCTCATGCCTGGAATCCCAGCACTGGGGGAGGCCGAGGCGGGTGGATCACCTGAGGTCTGGAGTTCGAGACCAGCCTGACCAACATGGTGAAACCTCGTCTTTACTAAAAATACAAAAATTAGCTGGGCACGGTGGCGGGCGCCTGTAATCCGAGCTACTTGGGAGGCTGAGGCAGGAGAATAGCTTGAACCTGGGAGGCGGAGGCTGCAGTGAGCTGAGATTGCACCACTGCACCCCAGCCTGGGTGACAGAGCGAGGCTCTATCTCAAAAAATAAAATAAAAAATTTAAAACCAACAAAAAAGAGGGTGATGGCTGAGTGAGGAGTCCATGGTGGGCCCTACACAGGGCCCAGGAAGGACAGGGCGGGAAGCGTGAGCATCCTGCCCACCGCAGTGGGTCCGCCATGGAGAGCATGACCTTAGAGAAGCAAAGCCGCCTGGCTCGAAGCAGTGGCCGCCCTGCTGACAGCTGTAGTGGCCGGGTGGCACTCGGGCTGGGGTCCGGGGGAGTCTAGGTGGCCACCTGGCTGTGTGCCTGTGCCTGCCCAAGCTGGGCACCTTTCCCTGGCAGTGCCTGGGAAGCTCGGCCGCCCTCCCTGGCTGGTGCTGCTCTGCAGCCCCGCTCATGGACTCTTGCCCACGGCCTGCTCCTTGTAGCAGGGTCGGGCCGTGGGAGGTCCGGACAGGATCTTGAATGGCCCTGTCTGCGGTCCTGGCTGGCCGGAGGTTGACCGCACTGGACAGGTCAAGGGCCTTAAACCAGGGTAGTGAGGAGCCTGCTGAGCCCCTGCTGCTCCCCGGGCTGCCTTTGGCGCTCGGACAGACACCCAAGGACAGAAGCTCGGACAGCTTCTAAGGCGAAGGGTCTCCCGGGGCTGATTTCCCGGGACTCTGGCTCCTGCAGAGAGGGCTGGAGGCGGGGCTCTGTGTTCCAGGGTCAGAGTCCTCCTGGTGGAAGCTGAGGTGCCTGATTAAATGCCTCCCTTTCTAGGCAGCAGCCCAGACGCGGCACAGAGAGGGCCTGGGAGCTTGCTGCAGCTTCAGGTGAGTTTGTTCCCAAGCCCTGCGGCTCGTTTATGGGTTTGCTTGCGCTGCAGAACTGTTTGTGGAGCAGCAGGGTTGGAGTGCCCACGGCTGGGGGGCCTCTCGGAGCCCTTGATTCACAGAACCCCTGGAGGCCGGCAGCCCTGCCTGCCCTGAAGAGCCTCGTTCTCCCAGCCGTTTGGGCCGTGGTCCTGTCGTGGGAGGCGACGGTGAGGGCGGCCCGGGGTCCCGACAGGGGTGTTTGTCCCTTTGGGGACCTCCCCTGTGCTGTGGCCCCGGCCCCCAGATGGAGCTCCCCATCCCCACGGCAGCGCTGGGGCTGGGGCTGGTGAGGAGCCTGTGCACGGCCCCCACCGCTATCCTCAGCCAGGAGGGTGCCTGGTCCCTGGGGAGCGGCCTGCACCTGTTTCTGGAGAATGCTGTCCTGCCAGTTGTCATTTGGGGCGGGCGGTCGGAGTCCACGTCCTCCCCCAGGGCGGGGCCCTGGCCTTGTTTCTTGTAGGGACGATGGGAAGCCCTGTCCTCAGCCCTCCCACCCGACTCATGCAGGAGCTTCCTGTCCTTGGGGTCATCTCCTCCACAGGGGCCTTAGCGTCAGTGGGGACAAAGGCAGAGTTGCCTGTCTTCAGGTTGTGGGCACCGACTGAGCTTCGTCCCGGTAGTGGCTGGCTCTTGTTTCCTGCCTGGACCAGCAGCCTCTGGTCTGGTGGGTGCAGTTTTAGGGCGCAGTGGGGTTGCCGTGGGGCAAGGCCAGGCCACCAGCTGCCTGGACACAGGGGCCCCCGCTTTCCATCTGCTGCCCCCCACACCCCCAGCTCGGGCAGGGGTGACACCGGGGCATCCTTGTTGGGGTCGCTGTGGTTCCCATGGTGGCAAGATGGCTCTGTGAAAGATTGACGGAGATGTAGGGCCCAGGAGCAGGTGCTGTGTGAGTGGGACACGCCTGTGTCACCTGCGGGGCAGGGGAGGGCTCGGGGGTACAGCCGTGTACATGATTAGTTAGCGAGACAGTGAGGAGTGTATGCGGAGTGGACACAGCTGTGGGTGCCGCCCGCGCAAGGCTGGGGGTCGCTGTGCCAGCCCTGCTCCCATGTGGGCTCCCAGCTCCCCAGGTAGGGACGCTGACCCCGGGAGGTGCCTTTGCCTGCATCCACTGGAGCCTCAGGAGCATGCGTTCCGTCCCCACGGGTCACCCCCACTGAGCCCACCACCTACCGAGAGGCACCTCGAGACCCTGTCCTGCCACGGGTGGGCTGTCAAGGCCAGCACCAGAGACCCCCAGCAGACCTCAGTGGCCGCAGATGGAGCGGGGCGGCAATGGTCACCTCCGGGACTCAGCCCTGTGCTGAGCCCCGGGCAGTGTGATCATCCTGGCCCTTCTCGTGCACGTCCCCTGGCTGGATGCTCCTTGCTGCCCTCACGGGGTGTGTGTGTGGCATACAGGACAGGGACCGGCCAGTTGGCCCTGCTCATTAACCACTTGTCCCCACAGGGCAGTGGCGGCCTCACCTCTGCAATTCTCTGAGGCTGGATCTAGGCCACCGCCCCGTTTAAAACTAGGGCATCGGCTCCCAGGGAGGGCGGGGAGCTGCACAGTTGGACTTGTGGGGGTCAGGCATGGATCCACACAGCCCGGGGCCCTCCGCACCCTGCCCCTCCAGGGAGCCCAGAGGCGGGCGTGGCTGCAGCCTGGCTCTGTGGCAGTCATGAGTCACGGCCACTCTTGAGGCGCCGCCCTGAGAGTCAGCCCTGTGGTCACGGCTCCTGCTGGTTCCCATTCGCGAGCACCTGAAACAGCCTGGCCCACAGCAGAGGCCCGGGGGGCACATGCAGCTCACGGGAGCAGCACAGATGCTTGGCCGGCGGCAGGCCCTACAGGAGCAGCAGCGGCCCAGGGCATGTCCCTGGGGTCAGGGGTCAGAGTTCGGCATGCTCTGCGGGGGCCTCACCCTGCTGTCCCTCGGCCTGGCCTGGGCACACTCCTTGGTGACAGTGCCCCTGCACGCCCCCCCCCCCCCCCGGTTATTCAGACAGGGAGCCAGGATGGGAACCACGGACTGACCTGACCTGCGTCCTCGGGGCCACTGCACTGGGTGATTCACGTGTGCCCAGGCCCTGAGGTGGGCCGGACCTGGGAGTGGCAGGTGAGCGTTCCTCCCAAGAGCCTCTGGCTGGCCGCAGCAGGCCCTGTCCCTGCTGTCCTCAGTGGCCCTGGACATGATAACCCCCCTGCCGAGGTCTGGCCGGAGCCAGCACCCACGGCCGAGATGCAGTCAGCCCTGGCTGGGCGCTGTCCCTGGGGGTGGCTGCTGGTGCTGCCCTCCCTCCTTCCCACCACTTCTTGCTCCTCTTTCCTGGGGCCCTCCCATCGGAGTCTTCCTCCTAAATGCAGTTCCCTCCCTCTAGGGGAACGCGGGCTGGGAGCCTATTTTTTTTTTTTTTGAGACGGAGTCTCGCTCTGTCGCCCCGGCTGGAGTGCAGTGGCGCGGTCTCGGCTCACTGCAACCTCCGCCTCCCGGATTCAGGCCATTCTCCTGCCTCAGCCTCCCAAGTAGCTGGGATTACAGGCGCCCGCCACCACGCCCAGCTAATTTTTTGTGTGTTTTTAGTAGAAACAGGGTTTCTCCATCTTGCGCAGGCTAGTCTTGAACTCCTGACCTCGTGATCCACCCACCTCGGCCTCCCACAGTGCTGGGATTACAGGCGTGAGCCACTGCACCTGGCCTGGGAGCCTTTTCCGTAGCTGCTCATCCTGTACTAGCATCTGTCCATCATGAGTGGACGGAACACAGGGGGACCCAGGACCCACAGCTGCACTCGGGAAGGCCAGCAGGGTGGATTTCGGGAAGAGCATCGGTGCCAGTTTCCCACAGTCACCCTTGCGATGGGACCCTCAGGTTGGCACGTGGCTGGCAGCTGTGTCCCGGGAGCTCTTGCTCCTTAGTGGGCCTCGCCAGCCAGGGCAGGGCCCCCGGCACCCCTCACGGGGCTCTTGACTCCTCTGGCAGCGGATCGGGGCGGTTCAGCGATACCATCTCTGGAGATCCCCTGGCGTGTGCTGGAAAAACCCCGGAGAGGGCTTAACAGAGCCAGCTGTCCAGCCTCTGTGACAGGGACGTTTGCTTTTCTCTGCAGGGTCCTCTCTTCTCTTCCGAGCACCCACGGGAGGGGACTGTGCTGTCCCTGCTCTCCTAGGACAGGCCTCCCTCCTGTCCAGATGGGGCCCACAGGGTCAGTTGCCTGAGACTGGCTCCAGCTCAAGAAAGGTTTTCTGAGTGAGCGCAGGGGAGCAGGAGGCTGGTGAGCAGCTCGCTTCCTGCCCTGGGTGCAGCTGGGCACCACTTCTGCCTTGGGCCTAAAGGCATCAGTGAGGAGCAGGCGGGGCCTGGTAGGAGCCTGTGTTTCTAGCGGCACGCGTGACCCCAGGTGCCACGTGGGTGAGTGCGTGGGTGGGTGAGTGGCGAAGGAGCTGAGGTTGGCCCTGGCAGGTGTGCAGTCCTCACACAGAACGGGCAGGGCTCCTGTCAGAGCCAAACCAGCTCAGGGCCCAGTGCAAGCAGCTTCTGTCCCGTGGCACCTCCGCTAGTCGCCGCTCCCACCCAAGCCCTGCCCCGCCCTGACCCGCTCAGGGTTTGGCTACAGAAGGGGAGTGTCGGAAATGCCCAACCCGTCTCCCGTGAGGGACTCCTGCGTGGCCTGGGCTGGGGAACGCAGGGGCCGTTTGGGTGGTTCCGGCGTCTGGCGTAGCCACGCGAGAGGCCCTGGGTTGATGCGTGGGCTCCCTGCTAGCGAGCCTGCTCCGTGCGTGCTGGGCTCCCGGCCTTGCTTCCGTGTGGCATTCGAGACCCCGTGGACCTCGCCTGCGTCCTGCATGTTTGAGCGCTGCCCCTTGTGGAGGCCGCCAGCACTGGTGGCTGCAGGGCCTGTAGTGTGGCACGTCCAGAGACCCGGCCTGGAGAACGGGTCCTGGATGTCTCCGTCATGTTTTACGTTCGCTTCACACGGACGCAGCGATGTCTCAGATACCTCGGATCACACAGAGCACGTCGCCAAGGCTTGTTTTGTCTGTTCCTTTCCACCTGTCTTACGTGGATACCAGGAGATCCGCCACGACTCCCGTGGCCCCGTCCACACTGCGCGGCGCTCTCCGGCGTGGCCGCCAGGTGCCCCTTCGAGGGCAGGTGTGAGTACAGGGTGGTCCCTGTGGAGAAGCGCCTGCAGGCGAGTGAGCCAGGCTGTGCCCTGCTGACCCCGAGGCCTGAATTTCATGGAACTCCCACCTCTCACAGAGTATTGTTTTTTTTTTTGATTTTTTTCCAACCATTTAAAAATGTAAAAGCCATTGTTGACTTGCGGGCTGGACCAGGCTTAGGGCTGGGCTCTGGTCCGCACCCCACACTGGCCCCGTGTGTCCTGTGACCGTTCTGCCTACGGGGCAGGCCTGAGCCACCACAGGATGGCAGGGTCTCCAGGGTGCAGGGCCCGCAATGCTTCAACCCTCCCACGACCCCAGCACCTTCAGAGAAAACGGACCCTCGTGCCGAGTGAAGTGGTTCAGGCGAACGTTATCACCACACGGGGGACTCGGCGGCTTCTGCCCCAGGCCTCAAAGGAGAGGGGATCCAGAATTCTCTGTCTCACCCCCTCAGCCCCTGCCCTTGAAGCTTCTGTCCCCAAGGCTGTGGGGAGGAACCAGGGAAGGGCTGGCGCGTCTGCTGTGCGATCCCAGGTGCTCGTGCCTCGCTGAGCTCAGCCCCTGTGGCCTCAGAGCTGCAGGCCCCTCCCGGGTGTCAGAGCACTGACTGGAAAGGCCCCCCACATCCCTGCCCTCTGCTGCTCCCCATCGTCGCGGGGGAGAAGCTGGAACTGCACCCCCACCCCCCCCAGCCCGCTCACCTAGGGCTGCCCCCAGGCCTCCCTGAGCTCCAAAGGATATGTTCTTTGGTGCTTTTTTTTTTTTTGGCTCTGTCTCCCAGGCTGGAATGCAGCTGTGGTGCTCACGCCATCCTCCCACGTCAGCCTCCTGAGTAGCTAGGTCTACAGGTGCACACCACCACACCCGGATAGTGTTTAGTTTTCTATAAAGACAGGGTCTCACTGTGTTGCCCAGGCTGGTCTCAAACTCTTGGGCTCAGGTGATCCCCCACGCACGGCAGCTTTGACACTTACTTGACCCTTTCCTCCTAAGCTCTACCCTGACGCTGGCTGTGTGTCCCAGAGACTTAATCAGAAGCTGGAAGAAGGGCTGTGACGTGTGTGACAGCAGGAACTGCTGGTCAACCCACAGCCGGCCAGCCTGCCGGGACGCCATCTTGGCCCCAATCTTGGCAGGGAGAGGGGAGTGTATCGGACTCTGGGGAGAGCAGCTGCCTGCACGGGCAGGGTCCTCCCGTCTCAGGATTAACGTTCTCAACTGTATTTGATTTCTCCTCAGCCAGAGGGGGTAAGGTGGCCTTCCCAGAAGCACAGGTGGGCCGCGTGTCAGAGGCCCTGGACAGCCTGTGCCTCTCCCAGGCCTCCCAGCAGGGGTGGCTCTCGCCCCTCTGGAGGGGAGACCCCAGGAACCGGCCCCCGCCCTCAGCCATAGCCTCACAGGGTCCTTGTTTCTCGGGGCCTGGCTCTGTGGGTGCACAAGGCATGGTCGGGCTCCCGTCCTTCTGGAAGTCTCCAGAGTGGCATGTGGGCAGCTGTGTGAAGCGGCCCCCCAGATCTTCATCCAGCCTGGCCTGCAGCAGCTCCCTACGCCCTCTGCTACCTCCCCTGCCTACCTTTGGGTAGACGTTCTCTTGACCCTTCCTTCTGTGATAAAGCAAAAGCGTGTGATCTCTTTTCTCACCAAGGAATAAAACGTCTCTGAATACCACAGACGTGATGCCGGGCTTTTGGGGGCCGGGGGGTGTCCTAGGGCCCCGAGGGAGGAGCCCTGTGGGTGCCGAAGTCGGGCCGCAGGCCCTGCACTGAGATGTCCCCTCAGCCTACCCCAGGCGGCTGGGCATGCTGGGAAGTCCTCCCGGGCTGTGTGTGTGAATCATGCTGTTTCTTCTCTATTTTCTCTCTCTGTCTGTTTATTTTTGTTGTGTGTCACTCTGCCCAGCCGGCCGTCCTGTCTCTTCCCTCCATGCTCCGCTTCGCCCGCTGCTGGCCAGAGGTGACCAGGTCCGGCTCTCAGCACGGCCGCCGGCCGGGGGGCCATGGGGAGCTCCGCCTCCTCCCTGGCCGCAGAGACCGAGTCGGACCACAGCTTCCCCGGGGGACCGCCCTACCCGGGTCCCCCGGCAGCGGCTGGCTGGTGTAGGAGCGGCCCAGGGGGGCCCGTCTGGGGAGGTGCCCTGGTCAGCCGGCAGCACCAGCCCCCACGGCCCCGGGCCCGAAGGTAAGAGGTGGGGAGGGGTGGCCCCGGAGGGCTCCCGGGGGCAGAGGGCCTCGTTCTCAGGGTGCCCCCTCCTTGGCAGAGGTGCTTGCAGAGAAGTGGGTCCCTGCTCCTTCCAGTTGTGGCAGCTCTCTTCCCCAGGGTGCAGGAGCTGAGCAGGTCTGAGACCCCGGCCTCGGCCTGGCTGGTTGGTGGTGGGGATGGGGGCTAGTGCGCCCAATCCCGGCGGCCCTGTGTTTCTCACAGGCTGTGCTGCTCCACGCAGAGAAGCTGTTCCTGAAGCTTCTTTTTGGGCTGGGGTCGCTGGCGGCTGCAGGCTCTGGGCATATTGCCTGCTGCCCACGGTTTCAAAGCTGCCAGCACTCGCTGGGCTCCGCCTGCTGCCCCCCCGGGGGTCACAGGCCACATGGCTTGGTGGCCGAACTCCACGTGCTGGCTCCTCACAGCTGTCACCATGGCCTTGGCTACCCGCTGCGTCCCTCAGGAGCTGCCATCAGGTTCTGAGGTGCCTGGTCTGGAGGCAGTCCAGGTGGTGAGGTCTGGACTGGCTGGACCCCACCGATGCTCCTGCCGTCACCCCGTCCTGGCCCTCACTGGAGGCAGGGACACTCAGGGGCCCGGGGCCTCGGGGCCAGTGCTGCAGTGGCCGCCGTTGCTCTCACAGCGGGTCCAGGCCTGGCTTCTGAAGGCAATGTGCCTGCGTCTCACACTCAAAAGGGCCTGCCAGGCTGCACCTGGCGGCAGCTCCCACGGGGGACGATGTCCTGCTGTCTGTTGGCCCCCAGGTGGGAGGGACGGGCGTGGAGCTGCAGGCAGTGGGCAAGGCCATGGCAGGTGGCCAGGCCTGGGAACCAGCCTCCAGGTGGCATCCACGCTGAGGCCTGAGCTCCGGCCGACAAGGACTGGGGATGCAGGGGATTAGCCAGGGGCTGTGTGGGGGAGCCCTGGAGCCCTGTCTGCGAGTTACCCCGATGAACAGGGAGACGCGGCAGAGGCAGGGCCGGGGAGGGGCCGTGTGGGGGAGCCCTGGAGCCCTGTCTGCGAGTTACCCTGATGGACAGAGAGACGCGGCAAAGGCAGGGCCGGGGAGGGGCCGTGTGGGGCCTGGTGGTCGGCAGAGGAAGGGTCTGTGCTCCTCCTGCGTGTGGTGGCACCGGAGCGCCTCCCAGTTCCTGGTGTTACCGCACCAGCCGCCTCCCAGTGAGCATCTCCACGTGTGCCGACAACAGCTTTGTTGAGGTAGAACTTACCAGACTCACCTGTTAAAAGAGTGCAGTTTGGTCACTCTTAGTGGTTTGTAGAGTTGTGCAGCCGTCATTGCAATCCAGCGTTGCAGCATTCCACAGCCCACAGGGACCCCCAGCCCCACAGTCCAGTGTTACAGCATCCCGCAGCCCAGAGGGACCCTCAGCCCCAGACGGCCACTGACCGGCTTCCTGTCTTGGTTTGCCTTGTGCAGAAGGTGCGTGGATGTGGGGCCACAGGACGTGGCTGGCTGGGTTTGCCTTGTGCAGAAGGTGCGTGGATGTGGGGCCACAGGACGTGGCTGGCTGGGTTTGCCTTGTGCAGAAGGTGCGTGGATGTGGGGCCACAGGACGTGGCTGGCTGGGTTTGCCTTGTGCAGAAGGTGCGTGGATGTGGGGCCACAGGACGTGGCTGGCTGGGTTTGCCTTGTGCAGAAGGTGCGTGGACGTGGGGCCACAGGACGTGGGGCCCCGTGTCTGGCCTCTTCACTCGGCACCGTGCCCTCCAGATTCATGCACCTGCAGCCCGAGGCAGTTTCATTCACTGCTCCTTTGCGGGATGAACCGCATTTTATCTATTCATGGACGCTAGGACTGCTTCCACGTGGCTTCTGTGGACAATGCTGTGAACATTGTTTACGAGGTTTTGCGTGGACCTGTTTTCATTTATCTTGCATAGATACCTAGGAGTGGGATTGCTGGGGCGTGTGGTGAACTTTCATAATGTCTTGAGGAACTGCCAAGCCATCTTCCGCAGCGGCTGCATTACCTAGTTCCCACCGGCAACGCTGGGGAGGGTCCTGGCGTCTCCACTCCCTCGACAGCTCCTGCCGTTGTCTGTCCTTGTGATTCTGGCCGTCCCAGGGGGTGGGAGCTGGTGTCCCCTTGGCTTTGATCTGCGTTTCCCTGGTGGCCAGCCATGTGGGGCCTCTCTCCCTGTCTCATCCACCCGTGCCTGTCTTTTTTTCATTCATTCACTTATTTATTTATTTAGAGACAGGGTCTTACTCTGTCACCCAGGCTGGAGTACAGTGGTGTGATCACAGCTCACTGCAGCTTCTACTTCCTGGGTTCAAGAGAACCTCCCATCTCAGCCTCCCAAGTAGCTGGAACTACAGGCGTGCACCACCATAGCTGGTTAATTAGAAAAAAAAAATTTGGCCAGGCGCAGTAGCTCACGCCTGTAATCCCAGCACTTTGGGAGGCCGAGGCGGGTAGATCACCTGAGGTCAGGAGTTCAAGACCAGCCTGGCCAACATGGTGAAACCCCATCTCTACTAAAACAAAAATTAGCTGGGCGTGGTGACGGGCACCTATAATCCTAGCTACTAGGGAGGCTGAAGCAGGAGAATCGCTTGAACTTGGGAGGCGGAGGTTGCAGTGAGCCAAGATTGCACCACTGCACTCCAGTGTGGGCGACAGAGTGAGACTCTGTCTCAAAATAAAAATACAAACCCTGAGCTTGGGAGGGTCCAGGCTGCAATGAGCTGCGATCGTGCCACCGCACTCCAGCTTGGGCGACACAGTGAGACGCTAGACGGTGTCTCAAAAAACTTAAACAGAAAAATGTAGAAAGGATTGTCGTTCCCTTTCTCGTTTTCCAGAGGGCAGAGGACTCTCGGCCCCTGCTTTTTGAGCACCAGGCCGAGTTTCAGACCTCGGGATGGCCTCTCCAGTCTGCAGCTCCCGGCAGCCTCGGGCCACACTCCCGGGATCCCCAGGGACTGGCCTGGGACTACCGGGGGTGGCGGCCGTGGCTCTGGCTATGGGGAGGGAGGCAGAGCCGCGGGGCAGGCGTGGGGTCTGCTGTGCCGGGTATGTGGGGCGTGTGTTAGACTTTGGACCTGGCCTGCGGGGTCAGGCCGTGGTGTATGATGACGCCACGCCGCTCTTTCTCTTTCACCCTGGCCTCCTGCCTGGCCCTCCCCTGGGTCGGCATCCCTGGGGCCACTCCTGCCCGTGCCCGCTGCTGTGGGGCCTGGGCTCCAGGCAGCTCCTGTCTGCTGCTGCAAACAGGCCCCCAAGGTGCATGGTGAGGAGACCCCCAGGCTAGAGATGGGCGAGAGCGGTGGGCGAGCAGACTGCGGGAAGGCAGCTGGGCCTCCACACGCGGAGCCCTCCCCACCACGTGCATGCACAGGCGACCCCTGCCGTGCTCCGACGGAGGGCGCCGGGACTGGGGAGGGTCAGCGCGACAGCCCTGGCGTTTACTGAAGAGCTGCCTGCCTGGCTCGCTGCCCTGGTGGCCGCTGAATTCTCCCAACGCCCCAGGACAGCAGGTGCTGTGGCCCCATGACCGCTCCCCCACATGGATGAAGGGGTGGTGCACAGGCTGGTGGAGCCTGGGAGAGCCAGGGCAGCCTGCGGCCATGCGGCCATGCGGCCGGCGTGGGGCTGAGGTCCCTGTACAGCTGACAGAGTGCCTGGCGCCCTCAATCAGTAAGTCATCTACGGGCCGGGCACCGGCGGCTCAGCACAGAGAGGCAACAAGGGTAGACCCCCCCTGGCAAGGCTGACCGGCGCCGGGCTGTGGCCAGACCAGGAGACTGCAGCCCAGCTCGAGGGAGGCACCACGCCTGCCCCTCAGAGCACTGAGCAGAGCCCCCCATGGTATCCCCCGCCCTGGGCACAGCAGGAGGAGCTGCCGACCAAGTCTGGCACCCCGGTGTGCCCCGAGAGCTGTCTGGGCACAGGTTGCGGGGCTGCCCCGGCCGGACGGGGCATCTGTGTTTCTCGGTGTGGCCTCAGGGCTCTGGTGGCTTTGACCGAGGCCCCGGGGGACAGAATGCAGCTTCCTGCTCCTCACTTTTCCTAAGAAAGGGGCCGCCTCCCAGGACTGGGGCTGCGCCAGTCACAGGCCCGCGGCCTCCACGCTCCGGGTGCTGCTGTCCCGGCTGCTTCAGGGCGGGCTCTGTCTTGCACGCAGCGAGCGGCTTCATCACCTCCCTTTTGAATTGGAGCTGAGTGTCGGCAACGCCCAGATAACTGGGGCGCGCGGGTCTTTTGTGCTGGATTTTTCTGTACAGTTGCCTCGATCTTCCATCCAGCTTGGCCTCTGTGCAGTAAGGAGCGGCCCGTCGCCTCCCCCACGTCGCCTCCCCCACGTCGCCTCCCCCACGTCGCCTCCCCCACGTCGTCGCCTCCCCCACGTCGCCTCCCCCACGTCGTCTCCCCCACGTCGTCGTCTCCCCCACGTCGCCTCCCCCACGTCGCCTCCCCCACGTCGCCTCCCCCACGTCGCCTCCCCCACGTCGCCTCCCCTCACGTCGTCGTCTCCCCCCACGTCGTCGTCTCCCCTCACGTCGTCTGCCCTGAGCCCGCTCCCTTCGAAGGTAACCATCCTGCAGTAGTGAGGGCTCCTTGCTGAGCACGTGTGGCTGCGACTTCAGGAGCGTTCTGGGTTGAGAATTCCAAAAGGGCTTCGCTCAGGCCTGGCTTTGGGTCTTTGGGCTCCTGACGCGAGCTTTTACTTCCAGGCTTTGGCGGTCTGGCCTCAGGAGGTCAAGGCTGCAGTGAGCCGTGCGCGAGCCACTGCACCATCCTGGGCAATCAGACCCCATCTCTAAAGTTCAAAACAACATCTTTGTAAGGGTTTCGGGTCTCTGAGCCCATGAACCTGCCCAGGCCCTGCAGAGGTGAGGGTGGCCCTAGAGTGGCTGGGGGGTTGTGGAGACCAGAACCAGGGCAGAAGGGCAGGGAGGGTGGGGGCCCTGCCGAGGTCTCCCACCGCTGACCCCTGACCCCTGGCCCCCTTCCACCTCGGCCCACCGAGAGAGGCCGGCACAGCGCAGACTGCGGGGTCAGTGACACTCCCCTCAGCGTCTCCAGCCACAGAAGGGCCGTGGCCTGCCTTCGCCCTCCTCACCCGTGTCCCGGGGCCACGTTTGAACTTTAGGCCTTGTTCTGACTTCATTGAAACCCTCCTGAAGTGCAGACGTCTTCCTGACCCACCTGGGTTTTGCCAGGATGACTCCGAAAGGTGTCTCCCAGCAGACACACCCCGCTGGCGATTGTTTGGTCCTGGGGACCCGGGTTCTCATTCTCCTCTCTGGAGCTGGTGAGGCTGTCCTTGCTAGTCGGTGACAACTACAGGGCCAAAGGGAGGGTGTGTCCCAGGAGGCCCAGCCCACCTCTGCCTGCACCTGCGGTCAGCGGGGTGCAGAGTCTGTGAAGGCACCTCCCGGAGTGGGGGCTGCAAAGATCATGGCCACTGTGCCACCCACAGGGGCCCAGGCCGGACGCCTGGGCTGTGCCGCCTCGGCAGCCAGGCCGAGGAACGTGCAGGTGCGGCCGGGAGCCCGCCGGCCACAGCTGCATCCATGCCCTTCTCCGAGTGGTGATGGCGGGGAGAGGCCTGGCTGTCTACGGGCAGATTGCTTGGGCTTTCACAGAAGCCCGCTGTTAGAGCAGATTCCCGGCCTTGGGTCTCTCTGCTCCAGCTGGACGCCCTGAGCCTCGCCGGGCCCAGTCCACCCCCGTCCACTCTGCCAGGGGCAGCTCAGAGCCCTCGCCACGCGGGGCTGAGCGCAGGGAAGGCAGCATCACGGAGTTCGCTCGGCTCCACAGAACACCCGTGTTGCTCGCGGAGACTTTTTGTTTTTGTGCTTCTTATGAAGAGGCAGGTTTTCTTTCTTCCTGAACCAAAAGGGTTTAGATGGAGCACAAGATTCAGGCCATATTTACAAGAACAATTGATTTTTCTGCCAGGCAGAGCAGCCAGTCTGTCTCGGAGGCTGTGCTGTGGTGTGGGGAGGCCCCTTGCTCAGATCAGCCTGTGCCTTCCCCAGGCCCCGGCCCATGCACCTGCCCTTCCGTAGGTCTGAGCACCTGTTCTTCCACGCCCAGGACGACCTGGTCCTGAGTTTGGCCGGGACCCCCTGCTATCTGCCGTCCACAGGCCTGGTGACAGAGAAAGCAGTGCCCTGGAACAGCAGCCCGGCTGTGGGGTGCTCAGCCCTCTCTGTAGGATCCTGTGTGGCTCAAGGGGTCTGCTGAGCCTCCAACGGGCAAGAGGGGCCCTGAGCCATGGATCCATTCTGGGTGGAGGCAGCCCCCACCGCCGCCTGCCTCAAATGCTCAGCCCTAGGCCCTCGGCCCCGTAGCTCTGCAGCCACAGACGGGTGCCTTCCCCAGGCCGAGAGGAGGGTGGGGTCCAGCCACTCAGGACCTCACAGGGTGGCCCTGATGAGCACCTTCCCTTGCAGCCACACCCACTCGCCCGGGTCTATGGCCACGGTCGGAGAGTGGTCCTGTGTGCGCTGCACCTTCCTGAACCCGGCCGGCCAGCGCCAGTGCTCCATCTGCGAGGCTCCCCGGCACAAGCCCGACCTCAACCACATCCTGCGGCTCAGCGTGGAGGAGCAGAAATGGCCCTGCGCCCGCTGCACCTTCCGCAACTTCCTGGGCAAGGAGGCCTGCGAGGTGTGCGGCTTCACCCCGGAGCCTGCGCCTGGGGCTGCCTTCCTGCCAGTCCTCAACGGGGTCCTCCCCAAGCCACCCGCCATCCTGGGGGAGCCCAAGGGCAGCTGCCAGGAGGAAGCAGGTCCAGTGAGGACTGCGGGGCTGGTGGCCACGGAGCCCGCCAGGGGGCAGTGCGAGGACAAGGACGAGGAGGAGAAGGAGGAGCAGGAGGAGGAGGAGGGAGCGGCGGAGCCCAGAGGGGGCTGGGCGTGTCCGCGTTGCACGCTGCACAACACGCCCGTGGCCAGCTCCTGCTCCGTCTGCGGGGGCCCACGCAGGCTCTCGCTGCCACGGATCCCTCCTGAGGCCCTGGTGGTCCCGGAAGTGGTGGCCCCGGCCGGCTTCCACGTCGTGCCTGCCGCGCCTCCACCTGGCCTCCCCGGGGAAGGTGCCGAGGCCAACCCCCCAGCCACCAGCCAGGGCCCAGCTGCCGAACCAGAGCCGCCCAGGGTCCCGCCCTTCAGCCCCTTCTCGTCCACCCTGCAGAACAACCCCGTGCCGCGCAGCCGACGCGAGGTTCCCCCCCAGCTGCAGCCACCGGTGCCTGAGGCTGCCCAGCCGTCACCCTCTGCCGGCTGCAGGGGAGCCCCCCAGGGCTCGGGCTGGGCTGGGGCCTCCCGCCTAGCAGAGTTGCTGTCTGGCAAGCGGCTGAGTGTGCTGGAGGAAGAGGCCACGGAGGGTGGCACCAGCCGCGTAGAGGCCGGCAGCTCCACCTCGGGCAGTGACATCATTGACCTGGCCGGAGACACCGTGCGTTACACGCCCGCCAGCCCCTCCAGCCCCGACTTCACCACCTGGTCATGTGCCAAGTGCACGCTCAGAAACCCCACAGTGGCCCCCAGGTGCTCGGCCTGCGGCTGCTCCAAACTGCACGGCTTCCAGGAGCATGGCGAGCCCCCCACCCACTGCCCCGACTGTGGGGCCGACAAGCCCAGCCCCTGCGGCAGAAGCTGCGGACGGGTGTCCTCGGCCCAGAAGGCCGCCCGCGTCCTGCCCGAGCGCCCGGGCCAGTGGGCCTGCCCTGCCTGTACCCTGCTCAACGCACTGCGGGCCAAGCACTGCGCCGCCTGCCACACGCCTCAGCTCCTGGTGGCCCAGCGGCGGGGGGCCGCGCCCCTGAGGCGCAGGGAGAGCATGCACGTGGAGCAGCGGCGGCAGACAGACGAGGGCGAGGCCAAGGCACTCTGGGAGAACATCGTGGCCTTCTGCCGGGAGGTGAGGCGCCCCCTCGCCCTCTTCCTGCTCCTGAGCCTCCTGCTCCCGCCCTCCCCTTCCTAGGCTTTGGGCTCTGGCGATGGGCTGGGGAGGAGCCCACAAGGCCTAAGACGTGATGGGGAGGGCAGCACCCTCCGCCCCGAGGCTCCAAGCTCCCAATGGCCCTGGGGTCCAGCTTGGCCTCCTGACCCTTGGTCCTTGCTGGTGACCGAGATGCACGACCTTCACCCCCCTCAACCCTCCACCGTGGCCAGGAGGGCCCCGAGCCCCGTCTGATGTGCCGCAGGAGGCGAGGGCTTCCCAGGGGCAGCGTGGAGACCCCGCTGAAGTGCGAGGTCGGGATGTACCCGTGCTCCGCCCTCTAGAGTCCAGGATGGCATCACCCACGGGTCAACTGGGGCGCAGCCTGCACCCTCCCCAGCAGGGCCAGGGCCAGAGTCGTGCTGCCACCCACTGGGGGCTGCGCTGTCCCCCTGGGCCCACACGTCCCCTGCTCCTCACCTGTCGCCAGCCGGTGGCCTCTCCACTAGGGCTGAGGGCTTCCTCGACACAGGGCCGGCGCCAGGTCTGTGGCTGTCCACGCTCCACCCGTCCCTTTGGGGCTCAGGCAGTGCTTTTGGGCGCTCTCCTGGGTGGGGTCTTGTCCCTGCCAGGTGGAGCGAGGCCACCCTGCCCAGCCTGAGCACATGGCCGTGGTCTCTGCAGAACAATGTGAGCTTCGTGGATGACAGCTTCCCTCCCGGGCCCGAGTCTGTCGGCTTCCCCGCGGGTGACAGCGTGCAGCAGCGTGTGAGGCAGTGGCTGCGACCCCAGGAGATCAACTGCTCCGTCTTCAGGGACCACAGGGCCACGTGGTCTGTGTTCCACACACTGCGGCCCTCAGACATCCTGCAGGGGCTGCTGGGGAACTGCTGGTGAGGCCTTCTCCAAGGCCGGGGTGGGGCGGGTGGGCGGGCGACCGGCCGCGGTCCCCGCGAGGTCACCCTGAGGCTCTGCGCAGGTTCCTGAGCGCCCTGGCGGTGCTGGCGGAGCGGCCGGACCTGGTGGAGCGGGTGATGGTCACGCGCAGCCTGTGTGCAGAGGGCGCCTACCAGGTGCGGCTGTGCAAGGACGGCACGTGGACCACGGTGCTGGTGGACGACATGCTGCCCTGTGATGAGGCCGGCTGCCTCCTCTTCTCACAGGTGGGGCGGCCTGCAGGGTGGGCACGGGCGGCAGGGGCAGCCTCTGACCCCAGCCCCGAAAACAAGGCCGGCTGCTTCCTCTTCTCCCAGGGCGGGTAGTGTGGGGGGCGGGCGGGGGTGGCCTCTGACCCGGCCCTCTGCAGGCGCAGCGGAAGCAGCTGTGGGTGGCCCTCATCGAGAAGGCGCTGGCCAAGCTGCACGGCTCCTACTTTGCGCTCCAGGCGGGCCGCGCCATCGAAGGCCTGGCCACGCTCACCGGCGCCCCCTGTGAGAGCCTGGCGCTGCAGCTCAGCTCCACTAACCCCCGCGAGGAGCCCGTTGACACTGACCTCATCTGGGCCAAAATGCTGAGTTCTAAGGAGGCTGGGTAAGAGGAGGGGCACTGCGTGGTCAGCCGCGTTGGGAGGAGAGGCGAGGCGGAGCGGTGGGAGATGTGGGGCTGGTGGCCCCTGACCCAGTTCTGCTTCCACGAGGTGCCCCTGGCGTGGGCTGACCCCGCGTGGCCAGGCCACAGCCCCAATCACCTCCCCCTCCCTGGGCGGGGCTGGAGCTGGCCTTCTCATGCCAGGAAGGCCACATCCTGGCCAGGCCGTGGGGCGAGACCGATGCCGTCACCCCGGAGCAGGTGTGAGCGGCGTGTCGAGTTTGACCTGGGCCGTGGGGCGAGACTGATGCCGTCATCCGCCTCGGGGCAGGCGTGAGCGGCGTGTCGAGTTTGGCCACACTCTGGTCAGCGGGTCTGTGCCTCGACCCCCAGGGGCCTCCTCGGAGTGCCCCGGTGCGAGCACCTTGAAGCTCCCGGAGCCCTCCTCTCAGCTGACCCTGGGCAGTGCTGCTGCCCACCCCCCACCCGCCCGGGAGCCACAGAGCCCAGAGCCAGCCCCACAAGGCCTCCAGGGGACCCAGGCCTGCCACCCCTGACTCAGGCCCTGTGCGCTTCAGGCATGGTGGAGGGGGCTGGTCCAGACCCTCCTGAACACTTCACGTGGTCCCTACAGGCAGGAGTGGGCCCTTCTCTGCTGCGCCTGCCTGTCTTGGTGGCAAGGTCGCGGCCAGCGAGGGCACTGGTCAGCAAGGCCCCGGTCAGTGAGGGCCCCGCTCAGCCATGCCCCCAGTCGGTGAGGGCCCCACTCAGCCATGCCCCTGGTTAGTGAGACCCCCTGTCAGTGAGGGTTCCCTGTCGGTGAGGGTCCCCGGTCGGTGAGGGCCCCCAGTCGGTGAGGGTCCCGGTCGGTGAGGGTCCCCTGTCGGTGAGGGTCCCCGTCGGTGAGGGTCCCGGTCGGTGAGGGTCCCCTGCCGGTGAGGGTCCCGGTCGGTGAGGGTCCCGGTCGGTGAGGGCCCCGGTCGGTGAGGGTGCCCCGTCGGTGATGGCCCCGGTCGGTGAGGGTCCCGGTCGGTGAGGGTCCCCTGTCGGTGAGGTCCCTGGTCGGTGAGGGTCCCGGTCAGTGAGGGTCCCCTTTCGGTGAGGGTCCCCTGTCTGTGAGGGCCCCGGTCGGTGAGGGTCCCCTGTTGGTGAGGGTCCCGGTCGGTGAGGGTCCCCTGTCGGTGAGGGCCCCGGTCGGTGAGGGCCCCGGTCGGTGAGGGTCCCCGGTCGGTGAGGTCCCCGGTCGGTGAGGGCCCCGGTCGGTGAGGGTCCCCGGTCGGTGAGGGCCCCTGTTGGTGAGGGCCCCGGTCGGTGAGGGCGCCCCGTCGGTGAGGGTCCCGGTCGGTGAGGGCCCCGGTCGGTGAGGGTCCCCAGTCGGTGAGGGTCCCGGTCAGTGAGGGTCCCCGGTCGGTGAGGGTCCCCTGTCGGTGAGGGTCCCGGTCGGTGAGGGCCGCTCTGCCACACAGGTTCCTCATGGGTGCCTCCTGTGGCGGGGGCAACATGAAGGTGGACGATTCGGCCTACGAGAGCCTGGGCCTGCGCCCCCGGCATGCCTACTCCATCCTGGATGTCCGAGATGTCCAGGGCACCAGGTAGGGCCGGCCTGGCTGAGGGTGGGTGGGGTGCCGGTGAGACTCGGGCAGTGTGGTTCAGATCCTCACCCCTGTGGTCTGCAGGCTTCTGCGGCTCCGAAACCCGTGGGGCCGTTTCTCCTGGAACGGCAGCTGGTCCGACGAGTGGCCACACTGGCCGGGGCACCTGCGTGGCGAGCTCATGCCGCACGGCAGCAGTGAGGGTGTCTTCTGGATGGAGTACGGCGACTTTGTCAGGTATCGGCACCGTGGGGCGGTGTGCACGCCGCCCCCGCCCTCCTAGGGCCGAGTCCTTCTCTGGAGAACAAGCCTGTCCCTCCTGCTGACCTGGGGTGGGGCGGCTTGTTCGTGGCCCAAATGGGACCTGGAGCTTCAGCTCCAAGGTGCCAACCTCAGAATTCAGGTCCACCCAGGTCAGCAGATTCCAGCGCCCTGAAGAGCCGGCCCTGGAGGGCTTCCTATTATAGGCCTCAGGGATGGGCCCCCGGGGGCCGGGCTGCAAGAGGACGGTGACGGAGCAGCTGGCACCTGCTGGGGTCACCGGCCTGTGGTTGCGGTAGGCGCTGAGCCACGGAGGTGTGGGCCGTGGTAGGCTCAGGGCCCCGTCCTCCCGCCACCTGCAGGTACTTCGACTCCGTGGACATCTGTAAGGTGCACTCGGACTGGCAGGAGGCGCGGGTGCAGGGCTGCTTTCCCAGCTCGGCCAGCGCGCCCGTGGGGGTAACAGCGCTCACGGTGCTGGAGCGGGCCTCGCTGGAGTTCGCGCTCTTCCAGGAGGGCAGCAGGTGGGTGCTGCGGGGCCCCATCGGGCTGGGCTGGGCTAGGCTGGCGGCCGTGACCACGCGTGACCCTGGCCCGTGGTGTCTGGCGCAGGCGCTCGGACGCCGTGGACAGCCACCTGCTGGACCTGTGCATCCTGGTGTTCCGGGCCACGTTCGGCAGCGGCGGCCACCTCAGCCTGGGCCGCCTCCTGGCCCACAGTAAGCGCGCGGTCAAGAAGTTCGTCAGCTGCGACGTCATGCTGGAGCCTGGCGAGTACGCTGTGGTGTGCTGCGCCTTCAACCACTGGGGGCCGCCCCTGCCGGGCACCCCTGCCCCCCAGGGTACGTGGCCCCTACCCCAGGCTCATGCCCCAGGCCCACGGGGAGGGCTGCGGTTCACACGCCCGTCCTTGTAGCCTCCAGCCCCTCGGCAGGGGTCCCGAGAGCCTCCCCAGAGCCGCCGGGCCACGTGCTGGCTGTGTACAGCTCGAGGCTGGTCATGGTGGAGCCCGTGGAAGCCCAGCCGACCACGCTGGCCGACGCCATCATCCTGCTCACCGAGAGCCGCGGAGAGCGGCACGAGGTGGGTGGGGGTCCCGGGGGAGGGTGGCGTGGGGCAGGGGGAGTATGCCCCAGCACCTCCCCTGCCCCACAACTGCCATTCCTGTGCCCAGGGCCGTGAGGGCATGACCTGCTACTACCTGACACACGGTTGGGCGGGGCTCATCGTGGTGGTGGAGAACCGACACCCCAAGGCCTACCTGCACGTGCAGTGTGACTGCACCGACAGCTTCAACGTGGTGTCCACACGCGGCAGCCTGCGTACCCAGGATAGCGTGCCACCCCTGCACAGGTGCGCCCCCGCCCCTGCCCCCCCACCCCTGCACAGGTGCCCCCTCCCCTACCCCGCTGCACCCACACCCAACTCGTGCCCCCCCACCCCTGCACAGGTGCCCCCTCCCCTACCCCGCTGCACCCACACCCAACCCATGCCCCCCCCACCCCTGCAGAGGTGTGCTCATACCCCTGCCCCCACCCCTGTACGGGTGTTTGTCACCCCACTCCTGCTCCTGCCCCTGTACAGGTGGGCACAGCCCTGCCCCCATCCCCACCCTGCCCTCCACAGGTCCTCACCGGTCCCCTCCCCCAGGCAGGTCCTGGTGATCTTGTCCCAGCTAGAGGGCAACGCCGGCTTCTCTATCACCCACCGCCTGGCACATCGCAAGGCAGCCCAGGCCTTCCTCAGTGACTGGACAGCCTCCAAGGGGACCCACAGCCCCCCACTCACGCCAGAGGTCGCCGGTCTGCATGGGCCCCGACCGCTGTGACCACCATGCCTGGGGCAGGGGCTGTGCACAGACGGACCCCCCACCCCCACACGCACTTTATGAGGGAGACCCCGACAGAGGACGCTTGAGCCAGAATCTCAGGACCCCGCCCAGGGAGCTGCCAGCCCAGGGCTCAGCTTCCCATGGGCCCCCCGCCCCCCTCCTTCCCCTCCCTGAACCCCACAGTCCGCCTGGCCAGGCCTCCTGGCCGCCACGCAGAATACCTCGAACCAGGCGGGCTGTGAACCAGCCCCGCTCACCTGCCAGCCCCAACACCCGACGGGGGCCGAGGCCAGGCTGCCCCTCCCTGTGGGCTCAGGGTCTCCTGCGGGCTAGGCAGCCAGGAGCTCTGTCCGCAAAACCAAATCTGGGTGTCAGAGGCCAAGACCCTGGGGTGGGATCAGGGACCACCCCTCACGGGGCATAAGGTCAGTTTTCCCCCAGAGCCCGGGTCCCTGTCCCCCACAGGGCAGGCGGGGTCCCTGGAGCCCTGGTGTGGAGCGGCGAGTCCCGGGGCGGTGCCTGTCTCAGAAGAAGGGGCCCTTGGCCAGCCCCCCAGCGACACTATGCAAATCCTGGAGTGCCCGCCAGGATCGAAGCCATGACTGGGTGCAGGCGGGCGCCAGGCCCGCTGTGGGTGGGCACCAGTTCTCAGCACCGCTCACTGCTGCCGGGCACACTGGGACCAGCAGGCTCCTCAGCCAACCCTGTCCCTCGGCCCGGCCCTGCCAGAGAGGGACCCCAGCACATCGTGGGCACGGGCAGGGCTCAGCCGCTCCCACCTCCCCACAGAAGCCCAGGAGTGTGTGGACGTCTGAGCCCAGCTTTCTGCGTGCCCTCCTGGCCCCTCACTCCCGGCAGCGGGCCGGCCTCGCCCCCACTCCCCCTCCTACCCCGGCAGGGGCTTCCGGGGCCTTTTCACCTGGAGAAACATTCCCACTCCCCTTTGGCCTCCCTGTACTCTGAGCTGTGAATATTTTTAACCCTGTAAATACGGCCAGCTCTTGTGACACAGAGACTATTTTATCAATTGTCAGTCCCGTTCCTTTACCATAGGATTCTCCACAGTGGCTTCCGACTCAGGCTCCAATGGACCAAATAAAAGCGTTTTGTTTTGTAATCACGCCTCCTCCTCCTGCTGTTGCCCCGCGCAGGGCCCTGTGGAAGGGCGGGGAGGTTGCAGGTCTGAGGGGTAGGCCCTGCCCAGGCATCCCGGGCAGGCGGACGGGTGGGGGCCCCTGGAGATGGCCGTGGTGGGGTGACTCACAAGCTTGTAAGGGGCAGCCGGCCCTGCCAAATGGACGCAGCCAGGAAGGACGGAGTGACTGGGCGGGGGCAGGGGTCAGACCCTGCGGCCGCAGCCCCAGGGCCGGGAAGGACTGGGCAGACGGGACAGCAGCGCATGCAGCTTCTTCCAGCGAGGCATCCGCACGGGGGGCTCTGTCTGAACCCATCAGTCACCCGGCAGGAGCAGATGGAGTGAGGGGGCGCGTGGGGAGAAAAGTTTCCTGTCCCCTCCCAGCCTCGTCCCAGGGTGGCCTCTGCCCCCACACGGGTGCTGCTGAGCAAAGCGCCCGCTCGGAGGCTCTGCTGTCTCCCTGGACGGAGTTGGGGGCTGGGGTGCGGCCGGCGCGGGGTAAGAGGCTGTCACGGGCAGCGTATCGAATGTGAAAGCAATTAAAGCCACCAGCAGTGTTCGCTCCGGGCGGGCCTCGGGCGGCGGGGAGCTGCCAGAACACATCTCACCTCGGTGCCCGCGGACGCCGGCCCTGCTGCTCCGCGACTGCGCCACGTCACACTCCTCCTGTGGGTGGGGGCCGGGCTCGTGCCCGCTCCTGTTTGGCACAGAGCTGGCTCTGTCTAGTCCTGGGGTATCTGGGACCCCCGTTCCTCCCGAGACCCTGCTCCTCTGTCCCTGGCCCCACCCCCACCACCACCCACCTCTCTGGCTTCTGCCACCCCAGTCCTGGGGTGGCCCAGGACAGAGGCCCACAAGAAGGACCCTCCTTCTTGCAGGAGTCCCGCACAGCAGGCAAGGGGTCCGTGCCCACCCCCTCAGCTGCCCAGAGTCCCCACTAGCCCAGCCAGCAGCCTCCTCTCCACTTGAAAGCCCCCGGGAGCAGCTCCCACAGGGAGGTGATGAGGGAAAGGGGGGGCGTCTGCAGAGGACTCAGGGTCCCACAGCACAGACCCTGCCAGGTGTTGGGCCGGGGCCACGTGAGGGGCTGCTGCGGAGGCCTGGAGGAGGCGGCTGGCAGCAGGTAAGGGGAAAAGATGCGAGCGTCCTGCAGGCAGCAGGGAGGATTGGCTGGGCAGGACACACAGCCCTGGCGCGGGGCAGACCTTGGTGGCAGCTGTCGGGGCTGACTCCTTCCCACTGTCACTGCCCGGCCCCCGCCCAGCCCTCCCCTCCCTTCTCTGTGCAGGCCTCTCCCCTCCCCCGCATCTCCTCCTGGGTCTCACCCCCACCAACAGCACCATCTCTCTGGTGTATCTGGTCTGTCCCAGCCCTGTGCCCCCACGGTGCCCTCTCCTGGCCCCTCTTGTTGGCGCTGCTGGCCACAGCCTTCCCGGGGTGGGCAGTGGCAAGTTCTCACTTATGAGGCATCGCTGTCAGAAGCATTTAGTGTACAAATTAGCCGTGGCCTCCTCGCCTCCTTCCACAGCTCTGGGCTCCAGGCTGACTGGGCCGCGGCTCCAGGCCCTCTCCCGCCTGCCCGGGGCGCACTGCTGCCCAGTGTGGACCCCTGGCTGCCTGCCCATGTCCTGGCAGGAGTGCCCGCTCCCCACTGGCCGGCCAGGGCTCCTCTAGGACCCCGACCTAGACCTGGGCAGGGGTGGCCATGGCAGGCCGGGGGTGCTCAGTGAGGTTTTGGGGGGTGGGAGGCCAAGGCCCAGGACCCGGATCTACCCCAACAGTGGCCAGCCCTGGTGCTGAGGGCTATGGGGGGGCTGGACATGGGGCCCCACCACCCCACCTGCCAGTTGGAGGCCCCGCCACCCCGCCCGCCAGCCCGCCTGCCACTCAGGCGGGGAAAATCATCTGTGACAGGCCCAGGAAGGCCAGCCCCGGGGGCCGCAGAGAGACACACACAGCTCCTCTTCCCAACATATGGCTGCTGTCGGCCCCGGGCGCTGCTGGCCAGTGCCAGGCTCGGGAGCCGGTGGGGGCTCGAGCAGCCTCAGCCTCCCGTCCCACCCGCCTGGCTGGCTGCCCCCTCTGTCAGTCTACATCCCAGCCTCCTGGGACGGGGCTCACTCCCACCACAGCAGCTCAGCCCTCCAAGGAGCGTCCTGTACCCTCCTCCGTCCCAGAGGCTCAGGACACACAGAGGGTCAGCCCCGCACCCGGCCCAGGGTGGCCAGTGACCCGGCACGTCTATGAGAGTGTAGTGCATGGGGAAGGGCCCAGCTGGGGTCTTCCAGAGCCGGGAGGCGGGTGGGGAGGGGACTCTCTGGTGTGGACTCTGGGATGGTCAGGGCTGCTGGGGAGGACTATCCCTGGTAGTGCTCGAGCCGGAAGACTCCTGGAGCCCCCATTCAGGCGCCTCCTAACAGGGCCCCCGTTCCCTCAGGTGGATGGACCCAGGGACCCCAGAGCTCCGCAGGCTCTTCGTGTGCCCCCCACACCCTTGGGCCGTTGTCCTGGGCGCTCTGGCCCACTCGGTTGCCCAGCCCCCTCCGTTCTCCCCTGGCACCCCCACTGTGTACCCGCCCATCAAGGCCAGCAGCCTCAGGCTGGTGCCGAGGGCCCTCACGTGTATCCATGACCCCTTCCGCCAAGGCTGGGCTGCCCCTCTCAACCAGGGATCCTCAAGTGGGCAGCAAGGAGGAAGCCCCCAGGAGGCCTATGCTCTGTAGACCTGGGGTTCTTGAAGTGCTCAGGGTGGCCACAGGCCCTGGGGTCCGTTATTGAAAGGACAGACATCAGCTGTGTCCGGACACCTTGCAAGGTACTGACCCCACGTGGG
Source organism: Homo sapiens (assembly GCF_000001405.40). Lineage (NCBI taxonomy): Eukaryota > Metazoa > Chordata > Mammalia > Primates > Hominidae > Homo > Homo sapiens. The sequence goes on from NC_000016.10 coordinate 557,488, forward strand.
GGCTCCAACCTGCTGCCGCTGGATAGATTGCCCCGGTCTCAGGACCTGCGTGGGGCCTCCAGCCTGGCTGCAGCCCTGACACTGCCCTCACTGTGTGGGTGCAGGCACCCCGGCCCCTGCACCTGTCCTGACACTGGCTGTGTGTCGACACTGAGGGGATGAGACAGGCCTGCCCCCGGGCACTGGCCATGCCGAGCGCTGCCTCCGCTGCCTTCTCTGAGCCCAGCTCTCCGTCCTGCCCGTGAGCCCCCGGCACAGAGTCCCATTGTTAATGGAGGTGACAGGCGGGCAGCCGTGGGCAGACCGGGCAGAAGAGGTTAATGGCCAAAAATGAGCTTCTGGCTGGAGGCAGAAGGAGGGGCCATGGGGTCCCCATCCCACCCTGCACTGGGACTGGCTAAGGAGACATCAGGGCACCCACTAGGACCAGAGCAGAAGTGCCCGGACACTGAGCACCCCACTGCCCATTCTGCAGATGGGGGCCATGGGCCAGAAAGTTGGGGGGGTGGGGGCACAGGTGCCAAAACAGAGTCCCAGTCACTGCCTCAGGAAGCAGAAGCCACCTCTCCAAACCCAAAGTCAGCCCAGTGTGCAAGAGCTGGGACCAAGCAGGTGGGTCATGGCCACAGTGAGGAAGCTGACGTGCCCAGGGGGCCCTGTGGTTGCGGGGTGCTGGCACTGATATCCCGGCCTCGCCTGGCTGTTTGTGATGGGAACAGTCATCTGGGCACCCAGTGTACTGGCCTCACATGCTCCTCACCCCCCACCTCGTGCACGGCTGAATCTCAGGACCCCCACCAGCAGGTGCAGGGCCCCCTCATCCTCCCTGCCAGAGTCCTTCCGGGAGGCCAGAAACACGTCCAAGTTGTGCCCCGGGGCCCCTCTCGAGGCTGCCCCTCTTCTCTTCTCATGCAAACTTCTGCAAAGGCCCATCGGTGGTGAGGGGTGGAGGTGCTCCTTCAGCCTGCTCAGCGCTAGACACGGCCTTGTTCCCCCTCTGGGGCTCCTTGGTCCCCTGAGCTTCACTGGGCTTTATTTCCTGTATGCTGACATCTAGGTGCTCCAAGACCAGGCCTCCCTGCTCCCTACTTTCCTCCCCTGGACAATGGCCAGAGCCTCCAGCCAGTTGGTCTCCTGTGCTGTCAGCTGTGGCCTCTTCCAGACCTTCAAAGGGGTCAGTCTCGGGCTGGCCACTGAGGGACTACTGGTGTCAGGGTGACCTTGGACCCTAGTCTCCCGGGGCAGTGCTCAGCTGAACACGTCCAGAGTAGAGTCTATGTACAGAAGCAGCCGGCCTCCTGGCCCCCGCTCTCCACGGGGCTGCTGGCGTGACGGCAGCCCAAGCTGTCTCCCGGCCCGGAGCTGCCTGCACGGTCAGCTGGTCAGCTGGGCCAGGCCAGGTGGGCAGAGAGAAGGCTGGCATGCTCTGCCATCCACAGCACCCCTCCCAGTCCCCTGCCCCGCCCCAGGGACTTCCCTCAGACGGGCGTGTGCGGCTGTGTCAGGGAAGGTGGCATGGAGGCAGGAGGGAGACAGAGCCCCACGCCCACCCCAGAACCAGGGGCTGTTCCTCATGGACCCTGGGTGTGCTCTACCAGGGGGCTCTGCCAGCAGCCGGACCGGGGCCACGGAGATGCTGCTGAGCTCTCTTCTCTGCCCCATTCGAGGGGTGACACCCAGAAGCCCCGTGGGGTCCTCCCTTCTTCCCCAAGGCACCCCTGACCCCGACCTGAGCTGGGGACAGCCCGGGAGCCTGCGGCTGAGCCTGCAGAGAGCCCCAGGTCCTGGGGAGCTATGTGGGCCGGGCTCCCTGTGCTGTTTCAGAGTCAGCAGGGAGTAGCACACTCCCCTCTGGCTGGAGACCCCGAGACGCCCGCCTACCGCAAGTGTCGGGTTTAGGACGTCTCCCCTGAGCGAAGTCAGGGGCTCTGCCCCAGCCATGCCTGTGTCCGGGAGGGAGCAGGCCGGTCAGGCGAACCTCCCCTAGGCCCCAGCTGAGCAGTGGGGCTCCAGGCCTTTACGTTCTGGCAGCTCAGGGAGCTGCTTGGAACTTGGTGCAGCCCGGGAGGTGGGGCTGGGAGCAGCCCTGGCCCTGCTTCTCTCCTCCACCGCCCCAGGTCCTCTCAGGAGGGGACTCCCGTGGGGAGGGGGTCTTTCAAACAGCAGGGAAGTGCGTGGCCTCGTGGGGCAGCGCTGAGGCACCTCCCACAGGAGCCGGGAGTGAGGGCTGGAGGGGTCCGCATCCAGGAAGGGGGAGGGTGCTGGAGACCAGCCCCAGGTGGAGGCGGTCAGCCGGCAGGGCGGGGTGCGAGGGGCCGGTCCGGGCAGCCTCCGGTTTAGAGGAAAAGAGAACGGAGGGCAGGGCTCGCCCAGGGAGGGCAAGGAAGGGAGCCCGGCTCCGCTGGCTCAGTCCGCGGCACCCCTGTCCCCCAGGACAGCCCCCAGGGGCCCTGGCTCGGGTGGGCCGGCGGCTGTCAGGGGCCAGAGCCCTGATGGATAAGCGCTGACGGCCCCTCTCCCGCGCCCCGCGCCGCTGACACCCATCACGCCGCGGCGGGGACCCGGGAGACCTGGCGGCCTCTGTGCACCCCCGCGGCAGCCTGCGGGCAACGGGGGCGGGAGGCGCCGGGCGCCCCTGACTCGGCCGCACACCTGCGCCGCAGTCCGCTCTCCGTCCGCTGCCTCCCGGGTTCCCGGCCGCTCCACCGCGCGCCCCGAGAGCTGAGCCGGTCCCGGCGCACGAGGCCGGTGAGTGCGCGCCAGGGGGCGGCGGGGGGCGCGCGGGCGGCGGGGGCGCGGGGTTCGGGCCGGGGGCTGCTCCTTCCCTCCCGCCGCGAGCGCGGTCGGAGGTCGCAGCGCCCCCCGGAGCCCGGAGCCCAGGCGCACGCGCGCCCGCCTCTGCCGCCAACTTCGGGAGGTGCGAGCGGCGTCGGGGGGACGCGGGCGGCGGCGGAGGCTGCGGGAGTCGCTGCCGCTCGAGGGACCGCGGACCCGGGAGGTCCGGCTCCCGGCGCCGGGCCTCAGTTTCCCCCACGGGAGCCGCATCCCACCCCCAGAGCCCCAGCGCGTCCGCGGGGTCCGAGTCGCGGCCGGCGCGGGGCGGGGAGGGGCGGGAAGTTTGCGCCCTACACGCGGCCTCGCAGACTTGGCGGCTCCGCTCCCGGCCGGGCGCAGGTAGGAGCGGCGGGAGCCGCGGGGGCGGCCAGTTGGGCGTCGCGGGGCCGGCTGGACGCGGGGCGCGGGGGCAGCGGGTGGCCAGGCGTGTGGGGGGCGCGGGGGGCGGCCGGGTCCCCCCCACCCTCTTCTCGAAGTCCAGGAGCAGCGCGGGGGGAGGGAGGGCCGCCCTCAGGGGCCAGGCGGGGAGGGCAGGGGCCGGGTCTGGGGTCTGGGGCAGACGCCTGACCTCGCGCTCGCCGCACCCGCCTGTGTGGGGCGCCCTGCGTTCCCGGGGGGGGGGGCAGCAGGATCTGCGGGTGGCCGATCAGGGTCCCCGGCTGCTGGGTGCCCCCTCCTGCCCTGTGGGGGTGCCTGTGCCCCCCGTGCCACCGGTTCTCCCCCAGCTCTCCCCCAAACAGGGACAGGTGAGTGGGGCCGGGTGTCGGGGCCTGGCACAGGGCTGCTGGCTGCCCCGGGAGCGATTGCCGGGTCCGGCTGGGACGCGCGTGTGAGTGCGTATGCGTTTGTGTGTGCGTGTGGCTGCTGTCCAGGGGTGTCTTTTGCTCTGTGTACACACACCAGGTGGGTGCCAGCTATCCTCCGGGTCCCCAAGGGGTCAGCAGCTGCTGAGACAGCCCCTTGGACAAGCCCCTGACCCGGGAGCCCCCGGTCCCTGCTGGGAGGCGGGATGGGTTGTGGCATCGGCTGGCACAGCTGTGTGGCTCCCAGGGCTGGGTGATCGATGGCCCGGCACAGCCGCCTCTGTCGCCGGAGCGCCCACACCCATTTGTCATCCACATGGGTGGGGGGGGCGGCGGGCAGGGAGAAGGGGCCGCCTCTGCACCCACCACCCAGTCCAGGCCGGGTCTGCAGCCCCTCGGGGAGCCCCAGGACCTCTCCTGGCCCAGCCCCTGCCTCCCGACCGCCACCCTGTCTCAGCCACAGACCAGCTGGTCAGCCTCTGCCTGCCCCTGCAGCCCGTGACTGCCCTGCAGGGCCCCAAGCCTTTGGACGAGTGGACTTCTCCAGCCCTGTTGGTCGTCCCCCCAACGGCACCAACACAGTGTTTTGGGGGCAGCAGACAGCAGTGCCCCAGCCCTACCCTGCTCAACCCACTGGCCATGCATGACCACGGGTGCGACCCCCAGCCAGGTCTGCGTGTGTCCTGGGGAGTCGGTGTGTAGGGCCTGTGTGAGCATGTGAGTGCCGTGTTGGAGTGGTTTGGAAAGCCCCCCCACACCTGGATGGGTGGTGAGTGTGTTATCACGGACAAGCAGCCGTGTTCACCGTGATGGAGTGTGAGGTGTGTGCAGCCAGGGCCCCGCACTTGGTGGCAGACTCCGTTCTGAGCTTAGGTGGCACAGAGGTGGCTTCTCCGGGCACTGGGTGAGGGCTCTGTGTGAGCCTGTGGGCTGTGTACACACACCCAAAGCCCGTGTGCGCAGGCGTGCTGTGCACCCCACACAGGCGCGTGCTGGGGCGGTGGACAGCCCAGGTGGCGGCCCAGATGGAGTGTGGCGCGCATACCAGCGCCGTGTGGGGCGTGGGGAGGAGCGGGTCTTGGCTGAGTGTGGCCGCTGCAGGCTCGGCCGCTGACCTGCCCGAAGCCACCCAGATGGAGCTGGGCTGAGCAGGTGGCTGAGCCGTGGGGCCATGCTGGGACGTCCACTCCCCACAGCCTGGCCTGGCCCCACATGAGACTGACCCCCTAAGAGACCCCCAGTGCCCACCTGACGCCCTGCTAGAGCAGGCTCTGTGCCGCCTTTAGACACACACGCATACACACGCACTCACACATGCATGCATGCACACATGCACACACAATGCACACACGTGCACATGAACACAAGCATGCACAGAGGCACATGCACACACAGGCGCACACACGTGTGCACACACACGCACATGCACGCACACACACGTGCATGCACACGCACACATGCACACACACAGACACACACAGGCACACACACACACACGCAGCATCATCCCACACAGACCCTTCCGTTGGTGTCTCATCTCAGTGCCTTTTCCTAGGCTTTGAACAGGCAGATTGGCAGGGGCCAGGGTTGCTGGAGGGAATGAGACCAGGAGGCTGACGTCCACCCGAAGTGAGCTCTGGTCACGCTGATTCTTTTAGCCACTCACATGCTGTGGGGAGATGGGTGTGGGCTGAACTATCCTAGAAATTGGCCAGCAAGTCGGCCTGGCCTCAGGGGTGGGGATGTGTGTAGGGTCAACCGATAAAATAAAGGACGCCTAGTTAAAATCGAATTTCCGATAAACAATGAACACCTTTCTAGTGTGCCTTTCCAATATTGCCTAGGCTACACTTAACACTCAGAAATGACGTGCTGCTGATCGGCGTCAGATGCAGCTCGCTGTCCTGGACTTTTTTTTTTTTTTTTGGTGCCCTGGACTTTGCTGCCACCCTGGAAGTGCACGTGGGGAGGAGCCGAAGGATGGGGCTCGGGGGGCACGTTGCAGGGCAGAGGCGGCGGGGTGGGGGGAGCACCCAGGCTCCAGTCCCTGGAGCCTGGGGAGCCATGGATGGAGAGGAGTGGGGAGTTAGTCAGAGGCAGGCTTGGCACTGACTGTGGCCCCATCTACAGGTGGCCATGGTGCCCGGCCCTGCCTCATAGCAGGCTGCCATGTCGCGGGAGGCGGGCTCATGCCGCGTGGGCACAGGGGCGAGGGCGCGGTCTCGGAAGCCCAAGAAGCCACACTACATCCCGCGGCCCTGGGGCAAACCCTACAACTACAAATGCTTCCAGTGCCCCTTCACCTGCCTGGAGAAGTCACACCTCTACAACCACATGAAGTACAGCCTCTGCAAGGACTCCCTGTCCCTGCTGCTAGACTCCCCAGACTGGGCGTGCCGCCGTGGCTCCACCACGCCTAGGCCCCACGCACCCACCCCAGACCGCCCTGGGGAGTCCGACCCCGGCAGGCAACCCCAGGGAGCACGGCCCACAGGTGCTGCCCCCGCGCCTGACCTCGTGGTCGCCGACATCCACTCCCTGCACTGTGGCGGAGGCCCCAAGTCCAGGGCCAAGGGGTCCCCAGGGCCACCACCCCCTGTGGCTAGGGCCACCCGGAAGGGTCCCGGCCCCAGTGGGCTCCTGCCTGAGTCGTGGAAGCCGGGGATGGGAGGGGACCCAAGGGGCGTGGGTGCGGGGGACATGGCCTCAGCAGGCCCTGAGGGCAGCGTCCCCTGCTATCCCCCGCCTGCCCCAGGGGAGTTCCCTGAGGCCCACAGCCTCCACCTGTCTCTGCTGGGCGTCAACTACCCGCTCAGCCCCGGCCTCTTCTCCTACTTGGGGCCCTCACTGGCCGCTGCAGCCCATGTGCCCTTCCTGGCCTCGGCCAGCCCCCTGCTGCCCCCGGCCACGGCCTTCCCAGCCGTGCAGCCCCCTCAGCGCCCCACCCCGGCCCCCCGCCTGTACTACCCGCTGCTTCTGGAGCACACTCTGGGGCTGCCAGCAGGCAAAGCTGCCCTTGCCAAGGCCCCTGTCTCCCCCAGGAGCCCCTCTGGGACTCCGGCTCCTGGCCTGCTGAAGGTGCCAGTTCCAGGGCTGGGGCCCTGGCCCCGAGTCACCCCCAGGGACCCAGGGCAGGAGGGGGAGCTGGAGCGGGCAGCCCAGAGTGACCCCAGGAGGAGGCTGTCCCTGGGAAGCAGGCTGGAGCTTCCGAAGGCATCCCCCAGCCTGACAAGGTTCTGTTCCCGGAGCAGGTGGGCGTCTTGGGCTCCCGGTTCCTGGGGTGGACGGAGGGGCTGGGCGGCTGGGCATGGCGGTTGGGCGGCTGGGCATGGCGGCTGGGGTCCGTCCTGAGCTCAGTCGCTGGGAAAGTGGGCTCCAGGCCACAGAGGGGAACTGAGACCCGAGAGCCAGCGCGGGGGTCCTCGGGGTCTCCAGGAGAGCCTAGGCTCTAGGCTGGGGCCACAGGGCAGAGGCCGTGAGGGGAGAGGGGCAGGGGCCGGGGGCGCTGTGGGGGCAGTGCGGCCTCCTGACCAGCTTCCACCCCACAGCCTGCCCACCGGCTCCTCTGTGATGCTGTGGCCTGAGGACGGGGATCCAGGCGGCCCTGAGACCCCCGGCCCTGAGGGCCCCCTCCCCCTGCAGCCACGGGGCCCAGTGCCAGGAAGCCCGGAGCATGTGGGCGAGGACCTGACCCGAGCCCTCGGTGACTACGCCAGGGTGGAGCAGCGCCTGGGACAGTTGGGGCCCGCGGGGGGCCTGGCCCCGAGACCCCTGCGGGAGCAGCTGGGCAAGATCCGCCTGGAGCTGCTCACCATTCACCAGGCGCTGGAGCAGGCCGTGAGGCCGCCAGACGCACCCCTCGACCTCTCTGTGAAACGTGCGCCCGCCAAGGGGCCCCAGGCTCTTGGAGAGGCGTGGGGGCGGCCCGAGCTGGGTCCCGTGTTGACCGGGGGCACCCCCGAGCCACCCGGCATGCTGGGCCCTGCAGCGCCCCAACCCTTCTCTGGCCACACCACCAAGTGTGAGGCCGACTCCAGCGTCCCACCCCCAGGGCTCCCCCTCGCAGCCCCAGATGACCCTGTCATTCCTGGCAGTGGCTGGGGCACCTGTGTTGCGACGAGGAGTTCCCAGACCCCTGAGGCTGTCTGTGGCCTGCAGAGCCCCCAGGGCGCCGAGGTCTGACCTGCAGCGCCTGAGGTCTGACTGTCTCTGCCTGCAGCATGCCGGCCCCTCTCCTGCAGCCCCTGCCCCTCACCTGCCTGGGACCTGCCCCGCCTCCGCATGCATGTGGATAGACCCCCACGGGCCGTGGCCAACGCTTGTCCCTGGGGCCACACAGGGACACTGGAGGTCACAGTTATTTATTGATCACAATTGTGGACATTAAAACAGAAACTGTTCACACACGCCGTCTGTGCCTCCTTCCTTTGGGGCCCTAGTGTAGCCACCTGGACACCCCCCTAAGGAAGTGTCCTGGCCTGGGAGGCCTGGGTGGGCAGCAGTCCTGCTGGGCCTCTGTCTTCAGACTCGGCCCTCTCCTGTGGGCTGGGCCCTCCCCGCGGGGCTGGGGTCTGGGGGTGGGGCGGGACATCGGCGACGGGAGCTGAGCCAGGAGAGCCGTGTGGACTGGGCTGCTCGGCCTGTGTCTTGGTGTGTCGGGGGTGGAGAGGCGTGTGGACTGGGCTGCTCGGCCTGTGTCTTGGTGTGTCGGGGGTGGGCACGGACCCCTGAACATCCTCTAGCCTCTGAATCCAGCAAGGCCGCGCTCATATCAGCTCTCCTGCGGTTAAACGGTGGCCCCGGGGCTCTGTGGCTGGAGGCTGCTCACCCAGCGTGGGCTCTGCTGGCCCCTGCCAGCCCCTGCAGCCGTGATAGGTATCAGCCTTCACAGCTCACTGCCTCCCTCCCAGCAGGGCCTGGCTTGGCCCTCCCACGGGCAGGGGATGGGCAGACAGGGAGGGGCACCCGGGACCCCCACAGCAAATCACTTCTCTCCTGGGAGAGCTGGCCACACCCTCCACGCCCACCCTGGAATGGGCTCTGGAGCCCACATCGCCCCCCCAGGAGGAGAAGCAGTTCCTGCCTGCGTCCAGCCGGGCTGGGGCCAGTCCAAGCAGGCTGGCAGCGGCCCCATTAACTACCAGGGAGATAGCATCAGCCCCGACCCTGCCTCGGGGCAGCTAGAGCTGGGGTGCTGCCTGGCCAGGCGCGGAGTGCTGTGGGGACAGGTCCCAGCCGGGCCCCTCTACCCAGAGGCTTCCTGGAGGGGCTGCAGGGGGCTCTGGGCAGCCAGGAACTGTTCCCAAGTCCCGAGTCTGAGGGAGACTCCCTGTCCTCAGCCCCCGCCCCCCATATGTCCACTGCACCCCATATGTCCACTGCACCTCAGTTTCTCACCCCCACTGAGCAGACAGGTGAGCATGGCCTTGCTGGGGGCAACAGCACCCGTCTCCCAGGTGTGGAGACACGACCTCCTTCGCTGTCACCCGTGGGGAGCAGGACAGGCCTCATGGAGGGTGCCTCAGCCAGCAGGTCACCCGCCTGTGGTCCAGACCCAAGGACCCTGCTTGGGGGTGGCAGCCTGGGGCTGCCTTGCCACTTGGAGTAATGAACTTGCTGGTTGTGGGGGGACCATGGGGGACCCCTGGAGGGGGGTGGGCTGCATGGCATCTGGCCGTGTAGGGGACGTGGGAATAGTGTCCGGGCAGAGGGCGCAGCCTGCAACAAGGCGCGGAGGCAGGAACACCACAGCATGGGGAGTCCTCAGGGGACCTGGTTTTTCTTTCATAGAAGCTTCAGGGGCCAAGGCCGGAGACTGCACTCTCCCTCCTCCACCCGGCCCAGCTGCGTCCCTGCCAGTGGCTCCTCCCACTTCCTCCAGTTCTAGTTTCCAACAACAGAGGCTGCAGCCACCCAGCCCCGAAGCAGGGCCCAGCGAGACAGGGCCCAGGTAAGAGACCCCTCCCCCCGGCCTCTCTCGGTGGGGCAGGTGGAGGCCCTCGGAATAGGCTGCCTCGCCCCTAAGGGGTCAGAAGTCTCCCTGACCTAGGGGCTCGGGTAGAAGGGCTGTGTGTGGGTGACCGCCCCCCCGCCGTAGAAAGGGGTTCCACAGGCAGATGGATTTGAGAAATGTTGCTTATCTGTCTGAGGCCCATGAGCTCATCTGGGGCTCAGGGGAAAACCCACAGCGAGCTCCACGGGTCATGTGTCTCCCAGACTCAAGTCCCAGGCACCTAGACACTAGGGTGGCCGCTGGGCTTGGTGGCCAGGTAGACCCTCAGGACCAGGAGGACCCGGCCTCATAGGAAGAAACTGGAGGAGTGACTTTGCCATTCCCACACACAGTGGGGCCTTATTCTCTCTCTTGCAGCCCCAAGCGTGACCCAGCTGCAGAGAAGCTGAGACGGTGATTCGGACTGACTGGACTCTGGCCTCCAGGTGTCTGCACCTCACACTGGACCCACCTGGAGACTCCACGGGCTCCCGGCAGCTCCGGCTGCTTGGGTGGATCCGGGTGCCCGCAGGGGCTGTGGGAGGGCCCCGGGGCCTGCACTGCTCCCCCGATGGCCTGCTCTTCCTCACGGCCGGGGCTGCACCCTGTGTCCACGTGCTAGATCTGGAGGGACGCCCCATCTGCCTCCTGCCCTGCCGCACTCCGGGGAGCGGGGCCTTCGTTCCAGAGGACGTGGCTGTGACAGCGTCAGGGCTTGTGGTGGTCAGCGATCCCATCCATGGGGCTGTCCATGCACTCCAGCACACAGCCCGGGACCCCGGGGGCCACTGGGTGACAGTGGGCACCTTCCTGTCTCCCCGAGGGCTGGCTGTGGATGCCCTCAACCGCCTCCTGGTGACGGACTACTTGCCTGGGGCTGTGCACAGCTTCTCGTTGGGTCCTGCTTGGGAGCCCCTGGCCCCAGCCTCCATGCTGGGTCTGGAGGGCCCCTGCTGGGTGGGCCCAGGGCCTGATGGGGGCCTTGCTGTGAGTGAGGAGTTTGGGGATGTGAGGCTGTTTGGCAGTGCCCGCCAACCCCTGGGCTCCCTGGGGGGCTGGACGGGGCACACTTTCGGCTGCCCAGCGGGCATCTGCTCCAACTCAGAGGGCAATGTTATTGTGGCAGACGAGCAGAGGCGCCAGGTGACCCTGTTTCCCCGGGCTGGGCCACCCATCTGCCTGGTGTCAGAGGGGCTTGGGCAGCCCTTGGGAGTGGCCTGTGCACCCCAGGGCCAGCTCCTGGTGGCTGATGCCAAGGACAACTCCATCAAGGTGTACCAGGGCCTCAAGGAGCTGGCCTGACCTGAGGCTGGGTTGGAGCAGCCCTCCTGTGCCTGAGGCCAGCTCCCAGGCCCTTGGATCACCGCGGGAGGAACCCTCAGGATGGGTGGAGCCTCCAGGCTATGGGCATTGCCTGCCTGATGCCAGCACCACCTGGGCTGGGCCCTGGGCTTGGCTCGAGTTCTCCTGCTGGTGAGGCTCCGGATCTCAGGAGCAGCCCTGAGTCTGCTTCCCAGGCTGCCCCTGCCAGGCCTGCAGCCTCCCCAGCCAGGGCTGCTCTCTGCTGTCCCCATTCAGTGCCCTGGCCCCTGCATTCATGCCCCCCACACCCCCTCAGGCCCTGTGCCTGGACTTTGGGGCTGGCAGCTGAAGCCTTGAGATCCTGGGCCAGCTGCCGGCACACAGCTAGGCAGACTCTCCCACCAGGTGCCCCTGCCCAGGCCTCCTAATCGGGGGCAGACAGGCAGGGAGGGTGTGGCTGGGCTGGGCTGGGCGGGGCGGCCTGGGGCAGGGGTGTGGCCCCTAAATGTCCCCAACCTCAGAGGGACCTAGAGTCCTGAGCCTCCAGTAGCTTCTCTGGGCCTGGCAGAGGTAAGGGGGAGGCAACCCTGGAGTGTCTGGAGGCCCATGGCTGGCTGAACCCTGGATGCCTTTTCTTCCGCGTCCCCATGAATGAAAGCTGTCTGGGCCTTCATTCTGCAGACAGGGACAAACAGCTCCATGCTGTTTGTCCTCCCAGTGCAGCCGTGCTGGGAGGGTCTGGGGGAGCTTCCTACAAGGAGAGACTCCTGCTGCTTTGGAAAACTGAGAAAAAATAGGGGTCTAACCCTCTCCTCCCATTTTACAAGTGGGGAAATGAGGCGTGAAAGGAGAGGCGTCTGGGTTACTCCGTGGGTCTGGGGTCCAGGGAAGGGCCTGTATGGGGGAGGGAGCTGGGAGGGGACGGTGTCTGGCTCTACCCCTGTGGGGTGGGGAGGTGGGGCTCCCCTGTATCACAGGACATCCCCCCTGAGAGGTCCCTCATATGTCTGGGTCCTGTGGGTGGGGGACTAACTGCGCAATGTAGTTAGGTGCTCAATAAACGGAGTTGCCGCTGAGGTCTGGGCTGGGGTCTTGTTCCTGGGATCGGGAGGGGCTGGACGCCTGTGTGTTCTCTCCTGACGATCGCTGGCGGCAGCCTCTGGGCTGGTCCTACCAGGGCTCAAAATTCCCGGCACCACTGGCCTTGGGGATCTGGGGGCGGCCCCTCTGCAGACAACAGAGTGACGGGGGCGGGACCGGGCTGGGGCTGGGGCCTTCCTGGAATCCCGCAGGGCCTGGGGACCTGTTCACTTGGGGAGGCTGGGAGCCAGGCGGGGTCCGGGTTCCACGAAGGCCAGGTCCAGTCAGTTTCTCAGGTGAGGAAACCGAGCTGACGCGGGGCTGGCGGCCCGGAGGCAGGCTCGGGAGGTCCGGGCCTGGGGACTGGGCGGGCACGCTGCGCCGCGGAACGCTCGGGTCGGGCGGGCGGGCGGGCAGCCCGGGCGCCTTTGGGGGCCGGACCGTCGCGCGGCAACGCGCGGAGCCGGCGGAAGTGGGGCTCGGGTCCCGCGGCGGGGCTGGAGGCAGCGAGCGCCGTCGTCTGCCCGGGCCCGCCCATCGGGGTCCCCAACCCCATCCGGACCCCGCCGCCCGAGCGCGCGGCCCCGGAAGCACCCGGTGAGCAGGGGGGGTGGGCGGCGCGCGGCGGGACCTCGGGCAGCGCCCCTGCGGCTCCGGGCCTGGGCTGGGGGCTCCGCACTCCCGCCCGCGGCGCCGCTGCTTTCTCCTCCCAGAAGTGGGGCCGCCCCCGGGCCCGCGCCGACCTGGGCCCCTGTGGACCCTGTGCAAGGGCGGTCGGCGGCCCGGGCCTGGCTGTGGGCCCTTCGCAGTTGTCCCGGTTTGCAGGAAAGGGCAAAAAACGGAATCGTAGGCTCTTCCCAAATGAGAGGGGAAGGCCCTGCTTGAGGAAGGCAAGCAAGTTTGTTTGTTTGTTTGTTTTGAGACGGGGTCTCACCATGTTGCCCAGGCTGAACTCGTGTTTGTTTTTCATTATTTATTTATTTTGAGAGGGAGTCTCGCTCTGTCGCCCAGGCTGGAGTGCAATGGCGCGATCTCGGGTCACTGCAACCGCTGCCTCCCGGGTTCCAGCGATTCTCCTGCCTCAGCCTCCCCAGTAGCTGGGATTACAGGTGCCCACCACCACGCCCGGCTAATTTCTGTATTTTTAGTAGAGACTTGGTTTCACCCCCATCGAGGCTGGTCTTAAGCTCCTGACCTCAAGTGATCCGCCCGCCTCGGCCTCCCAAAGTGCTGGGATTACAGGCGTGAGCCACCGCGCCAGGTTGGTGTTTATTTTTCAAACAAGGCGCTGGGAAACGCAAATTCTCCAGAGCTCTTGTGGAGCGGTGGCAGGGAGGGGCGGCTCAGCCAGAGATGGCCCTGGCCCGTCCTAACTGGGCTGGGGTGCCCCCATTCCCTCATTCACGGGGAGGAGAGGGAAGTCTTAGTCTTACTACTTTATATGGTCGACCTCCCTACCTGCCTGGTCTGGGAATGGCTTCTCAAGAGCACTCGGGCTCATTCTTAGCAGAGGAAGCTCTTCTGGCTAGCCTGGCGCCCGTGTGTGTGTGTGTGTGTGTGTGTGTGTGTGTGTGTGTGTGTGTGTGTGTGTGTGTGTGTGTGTGTGTGTCTGGCTAGCCTGGTGCCCGTGTGTGTGTGTGTGTGTCTGGCTAGCCTGGCACCCGTGGCTAGCCTGGCGCCCGTGTGTGTGTGTGTGTGTGTCTGGCTAGCCTGTGTGTGTCTGGTTAGCCTGTGTGTGTGTGTGTGTGTCTGGCTAGCCTGTGTGTGTGTGTGTGGCTAGCCTGGCGCCCGTGTGTGTGTGTGTGTCTGGCTAGCCTGGCAACCATGGCTAGCCTGGTGCCCGTGTGTGTGTGTGTGTCTGGCTAGCCTGGGACCCGTGGCTAGCCTGGTGCCCGTGTGTGTGTGTCTGGCTAGCCTGTGTGTGTCTGGTTAGCCTGTGTGTGTGTGTGTGTGTTTGTGTCTGGCTAGCCTGTGTGTGTCTGGTTAGCCTGTGTGTGTGTGTGTGTGTGTGTGTGTGTGTGTCTGGCTAGCCTGGCGCCTGTGTGTGTGTGTGTCTGGCTAGCCTGGTGCCCGTGTGTGTGTGTGTGTGTGTGTGTGGCTAGCCTGGCGCCCGTGTGTGTGTGTGTGTGTGTGTGTTTCCTCAGTCTTTAAAGATGCTCACGTTGCTTTCTCCCGTCCCATACCTCCTCTGCTATCGATCGCTTCTCTTTCATCTTCCTCTGGCTGTGTGATCCCAGCAGCTGCTAGTGCAGGCTTCTTTGTGCCGCCGACCGTCCCAGAGGCTGAGGTGGGAGTGTGATGGGCGTTTGCCCCACAGTACGTTGAGTTTTCTCTCACTACTCGACAGAGAAGAGTAGCTTCTGCCCTCCCATCTCCTTCGGTAGACACAAGGCACTTTTTTTTTTTAAGGTAAACTTTGTAGATGAAGCACAAAGAATACACACAAAGAAAGCGCACAGATCGTGAGCACGTAGCTCGGTGAATTTACCCAAAGTGAGCCCACCGCAGAACCAGCTCCCCCTAGAACATCTGTTTACTGTTAGACCCATTGTGTTTCTTTTCCGACGATATCTGTGGGCAGTTTTCCTTAGTCCCTGTGAAAGCTCTTCCCCAGCAGGGCGTGATGGGTCCCTGGGCTGAGCTGGTGTGAAAGGTGGGCTGTACTGGGTGGTCCCCTATGGTGGTCACACAGCCAGACACGCTGGGCCCCTTGCAGGCAGAATCACTTTGTCCCTCTCACGATGTCCTTGGTGCCTCACGTCAGCTGGCCTCCAGGCATCCACCCGCCGCCTGCCCTCTCTGACCACTGAGGAAATGGGCATTTGAGGAGTTCTGCAGCCTGACCCAGAAGGTCCCTTTTCAGCTAGAACCCACCGCCTTGAGTGACTGGATCCTCCAGCCCCAGTGCGGGCTGCCTGCAGGGGAGGAGAGCAGCTGCACCAGGGGCCTCTTAAGCCCCAGGCATTTCCGTGTGAGGCCTCTTCCAGAGCCCCTCCAAGCTTCGGGAGAGGACTTACAGGTCACACCACCCCGACGTGTGCATCCTGCTCTGTTCCCTCGTCCCTAAGGATGTGGTGGGCTCTGAGACCTCCAGGCATCCTGGTCTGTTCCCTCATCCCTAAGGGCGTGGTGGGCTCTGAGACCTCCAGGCATCCCACTCTGTTCCCTCGTCCCTAAGGGCGTGGTGGGCACTGGGACCTCCAGGCGTCCCGCTCTGTTCCCTCGTCCCTAAGGATGTGGTGGGCACTGGGACCTCCAGGCGTCCCGCTCTGTTCCCTCGTCCCTAAGGATGTGGTGGGCACTGCGACCTCCAGGCGTCCCGCTCTGTTCCCTCGTCCCTAAGGGCGTGGTGGGCGCTGGGACCTCCAGACCCAGGCTCAGGCCAAGCTATGTCCCTCCCTCGAGTGTGGCTCCAGCGTGGGGGGTCTCTGCTCAGGGTGGCCGCTCCACTCTTCGTGCAGGCGAGATGGGGCTTTCTGTGTCTGAGGAAGGCGAGCGGCCCAGCCAGCCGGCCAGTAGTGCCCCCACCGCTAGGGAGTCCTCCTGCCCTGTGGGGCCCCGCCAGGGAAGGCATCAGTGGAGAAGGAGCCCCAGCTGGCTGCATGGCTCCGCAGGGGCCTGTGAGAAAGGGGGAGGAGAGGCCCAGGGCCTGGGAACCGCGGTAGCTCAGGTGGCTTCCTACTCAACAGCCACCTTGGAAGGCTGGTGTCCCTCAGCCTGAGAGTGCAGGATGCAGTTTCTCCACACCTCCGGGACCTGTAAGCCTCTCTCTCCCCGTTTCTAGGCACCCATGTCGTTGGAGAAATATATCCTGGAGAGAAAATGCTCCCTGAGGGAGCCCTGCCCTGGGGTGGCTGTGGGGATGTCAGGGAGGGCCAGGCACTGCCGGGTGCCACCGTGGGCGGGGGTCAGAGTGGAGGCCGAAGCCCTGTGTGCCCTGAGCAACGAGGCAGGTCCTTCCTGCCCCCAGGGAGGGGCTTGTGGGAGGCAGGGACCTTCTGGGGGGCTGCCCGCCGTGCGCACGAGGTAGTTTCCACAGCCCAGCAGCACATCATTTTACATTTTCATCTTTATTCTTGCTTAATACGTGAATCATGGTTTGTCAAGGTTTCAATTGGCGTGACCTTGCTAATGAGATTGTACAGTTCTCCTCGTGCTACACCTTTAAGCACACCTCTCTAATCAGGTTTCTTAAAACTAAGAAGCCTGGAGTTCGGTTCGGCCCCACAGCCGCGTCAGGTGGTGCCGAGGAGGCCGTGCCCTGGGCCGGCCTGGAAATGGGAGGGCAGGCCTGGTGGCTGCATGTGCGTCCTGCCTCGTGCGGGTGGGGCTGAGCTGGGCCTGGGGTGGACTTGGGGCCAGCACTCTGGCTGCCCCTTGGAGAAGCATGGCCCACGCGAGGCGGCAGCCAAGGAGCCCTACGGCGTCCACCACCGAACTTGAAGCTGAGGTGCCCCGACCTGGGGCCCTGTGGCTGCACCTGTCAGGCCGTCTGTGCAACATCCCGCAGCCCACGGTGGGGGGGCAGCAGCAGCTCTGAGCCGAGCCTCTCCTCTTCTCTTCCAGCCTCCCGGCATGGTGCTCAAGGCCTTCTTCCCCACGTGCTGCGTCTCGACGGACAGCGGGCTGCTGGTGGGACGGTGGGTGCCGGAGCAGAGCAGCGCCGTGGTCCTGGCGGTCCTGCACTTTCCCTTCATCCCCATCCAGGTCAAGCAGCTCCTGGCCCAGGTGCGGCAGGCCAGCCAGGTGGGCGTGGCCGTGCTGGGCACCTGGTGCCACTGCCGGCAGGAGCCCGAGGAGAGCCTGGGCCGCTTCCTGGAGAGCCTGGGTGCTGTCTTCCCCCATGAGCCCTGGCTGCGGCTGTGCCGGGAGAGAGGCGGCACGTTCTGGAGCTGCGAGGCCACCCACCGGCAAGCGCCCACTGCCCCCGGTGCCCCTGGTGAGGACCAGGTCATGCTCATCTTCTATGACCAGCGCCAGGTGTTGCTGTCACAGCTACACCTGCCCACCGTCCTGCCCGACCGCCAGGCTGGAGCCACCACTGCCAGCACGGGGGGCCTGGCTGCCGTCTTCGACACGGTAGCACGCAGTGAGGTGCTCTTCCGCAGTGACCGCTTTGATGAGGGCCCCGTGCGGCTGAGCCACTGGCAGTCGGAGGGCGTGGAGGCCAGCATCCTCGCGGAGCTGGCCAGGCGAGCCTCGGGACCCATTTGCCTGCTGTTGGCCAGCCTGCTGTCGCTGGTCTCAGCTGTCAGTGCCTGCCGGTAGGTGTCCCGGGACAGGCAGGTGGCAAAGAGTGGGGTCCCATGAGTGCTGGCCCATCCCTTTGTCTGCAGTGGGCACAGAGGCCCAGATGCGCTCTTCCTGGGCCCGGGCCCCCTCCCACTCCTGCAGCCCGGGCTTTGGCCCCATCCTGCTCTCCCAACCCTCGCCTCTCAGAGGGTGTCCCTCACCCCTGGGGTAGAGCCAGGTCTCTGGGCAGCCTCAGGGATTGCCAGGGGCCCTCCCAGAAGGTGTAGAGGGTGAACCTCAGTGGCTTAGGTCCCTGAAAGAGAAATCAGAAGGTGAGCACAGACATGACTACTGCTGCCTGGGGGTGCTCCTGAGGGCACACAGGCCCGCTGGCCTCCCTGTAGCCCTGCCTGTGCCCCCAGCAGGCCTCTGGACACTGCAGCGCTCATGGGCTGTGGGGGTGTCATCCACTTGCTGGCCCCGTGTGCCTGGGGGAGTGGTCTACAGGCCCTGCTTCTCTCCACAATCACAGGTGCTGCTGGCCAAGGGTCAGTTGAAGCCCAAGGGCCCTGAGGGGCACGGGGGTAGCCCCGAGCTGTGGCTGAGAACAGAGGGCCCCCTTCCACAGGGGACCTCATCTGCCTGGCGGAGGTGCCCCATGGGGAGCAGCTAGGGGTCACCTGCAGTTGCCCCCTGCCTTAGACCCGGGGGTGCATACTCTGGAAGCCTGGGGTGAGAAGCTAGGCCAGCCCAGGAGACCCCGGGCAGCTTTCTGGGCCCTGTCGGCGGGGCGAGGCCCTGGGCCCGTGGGAGTTGCTGCTGGCTGGCAGGCGCTTCTTGGCACCGGCTCTGGGAGCATGTGGTGACCAGGTGGCCCGGGGTCAGCACCTGCGAGGAGGCCAGGCTCCGTGTTAGTCACGTGCACTGTGAGGTGGGCGCGTTGAGCGCTGCCTACCACCACCTGGGCCACCGAGGGCCCCTCCCACCTGCCCCCTGTCCTGCTGAGCTCAGGAGTGTGGCCTGGGTGTTTGTGGTCCCCTGCACAGTGGGGGACGGTGGGAGGAGGATCTGGAGAGGGACACATCACTCCTCTCCACTCCCACGCAGAGTGTTCAAGCTCTGGCCCCTGTCCTTCCTCGGGAGCAAACTCTCCACGTGCGAACAGCTCCGGCACCGGCTGGAGCACCTCACGCTAATCTTCAGTACACGGAAGGCGGAGAACCCTGCCCAGCTGATGAGGTGTGGGCCTGCCCTGGTCTCTGCAGGGCTGGGTGCGTGCCCTCTGGCCCCTTCTCCATCCCCCTCTGCACCACGCTGACCCCTCCGGCCAGGCAGGCCTCCTCCTGCGGCCCCAGGCTGTGCTGGCCACCCTCATGCCGGCCGGGCCGGACCTCCCTTCCAGGAAGGCCAACACGGTGGCCTCTGTGCTGCTGGACGTGGCCCTGGGCCTCATGCTGCTGTCCTGGCTCCACGGGAGAAGCCGCATCGGGCATCTGGCCGACGCCCTCGTTCCTGTGGCTGACGTGAGTGGACTGGGGTGGAGCCCGGTGTCCCGGGTGGGCGTGGGGACCCCTCCTGGGCAGCAGAGCCTTCCCGGGCCAGAGCCACCGCCCCACAAAGCCAGTTCTACCTTCTCCATGCTCTGGAGACACGGCCCTCCCCTGAACCAGAAGCAGGAACTCCAGGGGCGCTGGGGCCTGGGCAGGGCAGGCCTCGCAGGTACACCCCCCTTTCCTTCTGAAGGGGCTGTGTGCAGGAGCCAGCCGGGCTGAGGCTCTGGGGAGCCCGCCTCTCCCTGTGGGCCCAGCGTCCTGGTATCTCCCTTGTGGTCCCTGAGATCAGCGTTGCCCTCCTGGCTCTCTGGGGCCCTCTGCAGAGCCAGGGTCATGAAACCTTTCCTGTCCAGGGAGGCCCATGTGCAGCCCAGCTGGGACTTCCTGCCCTGCCCCTGTGCTGATTCTGTAACTCCTGTGCTGAGAGCCAGAGGCACAGCTTGTCTCCCATCTCCCACCTTCCCTGCATGGTCTGTGCCCCGTTTCCAGCCGGGTGCAGCCCCCTCCTCTGCAGATCTAGTGCATTTCCATGCTGCCTCTGGGCCTTCAGCTTCTCTGTCTTCCTCCCTCAGCACCAAAGCCCCGTCTCTTCCATTAGGAGCTTGTCTTCCTGCTGGGGGTGGTACCTGACTCTTTGGCCCACCCTCGGGCCTCTGTGGAGGCCTCCTTGAGGCCTGACTGGGTGGGTCTTGTGTGGGCTGCAGGTGTGCACTGGGCCTGCTTGTGGCCAGGCCAGGCCTCTGGGGGCAGCATCAGGCACGTCTGTGTGGCTGTGGGGGTGCAGGGAGCTCCAGCCCAGAAGGAAGGAGGGGCGGGGCTGGGGAAGGGGCTCGGCAGCTTTGCCTGTGGTCGTCCGCACCTGCCACCGGCCTACTTTGTCCTAGACCTCCCTTTTGCAAAAGTGCTCAGAAATATAAATATTTAATTTAAAAATGAAAGTCTCTTCCTGCTGCCAAGCTCTTATCCTTTAAATATTAAATAAGCTCTATTTATAAAGAATGTTCTTTTCTCAGCCGGGGGTGGTGGCTCATGCCTGTAATCCCAGCACTTTGGGAGGCCAAGGCGGGCGGATCATGAGGTCAGGAGATCGAGACCATCCTGGCTAACACAGTGAAATCCCGTCTCTACTAAAAATACAAAAAATTAGCCAGGTATGGTGGTGGGCACCTGTAGTCCCAGCTAATTGGGAGGCTGAGGCAAGAGAATGGCGTGAACCCGGGAGGCAGAGCTTGCAGTGAGCCGAGATCTCACCACTGCACTCCAGCCTGGGCGACAAAACAAGACTCCGTCTCAGAAAAAAAAAAAAAAAAAAGTGTTCTTTTCTCCTTCTTGCCAGTCCTGCTGTGGCTGAGGCCTTGGCCCAGGCTTGGAAGGGGCCTGCGCAATGGGCAAGTGGGGGCCAAGGTGTCACTCACTGTCTCCTTAGTGGGGAGGCTGAGGCTCCCTTGGGGTCTGCCCGCTGGGGCACAGCCTCTGGATGCTGAGTTTCTTCCTGGGCGGCCAAGACCCTGCTTCCCTGTTTGCTCTTGGGGGTGCCTGTGCCCTCAACTTGACGCCATCCTCCCTCTGGGGACCTGTCCTCCTGCCTGGTCGCTGTGGCCCTGATGGGCTTGGCACTGTCTCGCTCACCTGTGGTCATCCCGGGCAGCCCCCAGCCTCTGCGATGGGGTGGGGCCTCTGGAGGGGACTGTGTCAGCTGTGGGCTTCCCTGCAGGGCTGGAGCCGAATCAGGGTCTGCCAGGCCTCAGTGCGTCCACGTGTTTGGGGCCGAGGGCTCCAGTGGGTCCTGTGGCCGAGGTAGTGAGAGGGGAGGAAGATGGTAGAGGTGGGTGCAGGCAGGGGGCCACGCGGATGCCCTGTGGGCCCGGCCATGTCACCCAGGCCTGCAGAGAGAGGCCTCCAGACCAGCCTCCTCAGACCCCAATCCCGGAGCCATCTGTGAAGGGGAGCCCGTGTGCTGTCCACGCTAGGACGCGGTAGACCCTGGAGGAGGGAAGGCTGGCCAAGGTGGGAGCCCATCACGAAAGAGCCTGGGGAGATGCAGGTGCTGAGCCTGGCTGCCCCCGCCCCAGCGTGGCCCCTGTGTCCCTGCAGCACGTGGCCGAGGAGCTCCAGCATCTGCTGCAGTGGCTGATGGGTGCTCCCGCCGGGCTCAAGATGAACCGTGCACTGGACCAGGTGCTGGGCCGCTTCTTCCTCTACCACATCCACCTGTGGATCAGTGAGTGCAGGGCAGGCGGGGGCCCCAGGGACCCCAGAGCTTGCTGAAGAGGGTAGGGACCCAGCCAGACCCCGCCCCCTGTGCCCCCAACTCTGCTCCCCAGCGTCCTGTGTGTGTGAGGCCTGCTGTGCTCAGCTGAGGGCTGGGGCCTGGGCACCTCCCGAGGGCTGACCCCACCCTGCCAGGCTACACGCACCTCATGTCCTGTGTGTGTGAGGGTTGTGCTGGGCCGAGGGCTGGGGTCTGAGCGCCTCCTGAGGGCCTACCCCACCCTGCCAGGCTACATCCACCTCATGTCCCCCTTCGTGGAGCACATCCTTTGGCACGTGGGCCTCTCGGCCTGCCTGGGCCTGACGGTGGCCCTGTCCCTCCTCTCGGACATTATCGCCCTCCTCACCTTCCACATCTACTGCTTTTACGTCTATGGAGCCAGGTGGGCGTGGGCTTCCCCCTCCCCACCGCCCCCTGGGAGGTGCAGAGGCTCCGGCTGGGCGGGCGTTCGAGTGGGGCGGGGGCGGGGCGGGGCGGGGCGGGGCCGGGCCCGACAGCACTGCGTCCTGTAGGCTGTACTGCCTGAAGATCCATGGCCTGTCCTCACTGTGGCGTCTGTTCCGGGGGAAGAAGTGGAACGTTCTGCGCCAGCGCGTGGACTCCTGTTCCTATGACCTGGACCAGGTATGGGGCAGGGTTCGTGGCTGGAGGGGCTGACTGCCTCCGGCCTGTGCCCGCTGGGCCAGCGCGGTGCTTGGGCACCACAAGGGGGCAGCCTGCTCCCGTCCTGCAGCTGAGGCCGCGCACAGGCCCTGGGAATAGATAAGTCTGCGGTGTGGGCTGCACGTGGGGCTCTGAAGCAGCGCAGAGCTTCCCTGGGCCACAGAGAAGAGACAGACACACAGCCCCGAAGGTGGTGCAGGCACAGGCCCTAGAGGTGCCCCGGGCCCAGAGACTAGAGATGCCCCGGGCCCGGAGACTAGAGGTGCCCCGGGCCCGGAGACTAGAGGTGCCCCGGGCCCGGAGACTAGAGGTGCCCCGGGCCCGGAGACTAGAGGTGCCCCGGGCCCGGAGACTTGAGGTGCCCCGGGCCCGGAGACTAGAGGTGCCCCGGGCCCGGAGACTAGAGGTGCCCCGGGCCCGGAGACTAGAGGTGCCCCGGGCCCGGAGACTAGAGGTGCCCCGGGCCCGGAGACTTGAGGTGCCCCGGGCCCGGAGACTAGAGGTGCCCCGGGCCCGGAGACTTGAGGTGCCCCGGGCCCGGAGACTAGAGGTGCCCCGGGCCCGGAGACTAGAGGTGCCCCGGGCCCGGAGACTTGAGGTGCCCCGGGCCCGGAGACTAGAGGTGCCCGGGCTCGGAGACTAGAGTTGCCCGGGCCCGTCTGCTGCTCACACTTGCCGCAGCCGCTGGATGCTGCCATGCAGAGCATGTTCTTGGTGACTGTGTGGCCACGCACCGTCTTGGGTGGTCTGGCCCCCACCTGTCTCCCTGCGAGTCCCCTAGTCCGTGGGGTGTGGGTGGACAGCCCTCCTGCTACTGGGACTGCTTCTGAGCAGGCCATCCCGAGTTCCCTCAGGAAGCCGCAAGGTCCCGACTGCAGCTCCGGGATGGGGGAGGGCACAGTGCTGGGCCGTCCCTGGGCGCGGGGTCCTGCTGATGCCCGGTGTGCTGGCCCCTCCCTACAGCTGTTCATCGGGACTCTGCTCTTCACCATCCTGCTCTTCCTCCTGCCTACCACAGCCCTGTACTACCTGGTGTTCACCCTGGTGAGCTGAGCACCCACAGGCTGGGCCTGGCTGCAGTGCTCTGTGTGGCTTCTGCCAGCGCTGCCTGGGAGCAGTCAGCTGTGGGGCGGGCTGTCTCCTGCTGCAGGCCACGTGGGTGGCCTTTCAGGACCCTCTGGGCAGTGAGTGCTGCGCTCTGGAGTGGGCGAGGCCCTATCCTGGCCAGTAAGACACCCTCACTGCCCTGGAGCACGCAGCTGGGTGCGTGGTGGAAGGACCCCACGGCAGGTGGGGTCACGCAAGAGGCCTCCCCTGGTGCCTGGCACTGGGGCAGACAGTGGGAGGTGAGCAGAACCACCTCCAGCACCTGCTTGATTCCCAGGCCTCGATCCCCTCTGCATGTGAGGCTGTGGGGAGGCACCTCTGACCTGGTGAGAGGGCCGGGTGCTCCGCCTCCAGCTTTGCTCCAGAGCAAGGCCCAATGGCAGACTCCGTGCCCTGCTCAGGGTGGGGTCCCTGCTCTCCCCAGGACCCTGCAGCCTCTGGGCCCCCTTCATCGTGGCCCAGGATGGGGTCGGACTGCTCTGCCCCCAGGCGCGTCTGGCCGGGCCGGTCCTAAATGCTCCTCTGCCACAGCTCCGGCTCCTGGTGGTCGCCGTGCAGGGCCTGATCCATCTGCTCGTGGACCTCATCAACTCCCTGCCGCTGTACTCACTGGGTCTTCGGCTCTGCCGGCCCTACAGGCTGGCGGGTAAGTGCTGCGTATTGGGCAGCTGGCCCTGGGTAGGTGGAGGGGAACCACACCTGTGGGCCCTGCAGAAGCAAGGACAGCATGGGCCACTGTGCCTCCAGCCTGGAAGCCGTGGTATGCATGCGCAAGCGGGCAGGGAGGACAGGGCCTCCTAGTCCCAGAGGTCTGCAGGACCAGCTGCCTCCAGGGAGGTGGAGAGAGACTCAGAGACTCACCTGCCGCGCAGGTTCAGAACCCTGGAGACCTGAGGCCACAGGCCTTTGTTCTTCTGCCTTGGGATTTTCTGGGCTTGGGAGTCTGAACTGCAGGCCAGGGGCCAAGCGCGGCAAAGTCAGAGGCACTAGGAGCCAGCAGGGCGGCCACCATCCAGTAAGTGCCCCGTCCGCTGTGCCGGAAAACCCCGTCCACTCAACAGCACAGCCTGCGCCCGTCCCTCACTGGGGCTCTTCCCTGCTTGCCGGACACCTGGCTTCTTTCAGTGGAGTCTGCAGGAGGCTTTTTTTTTTTTGAGACGGAGTCTCACTTTGTCGCCCAGGCTGGAGTGCAATGGCGCAATCTCGGCTCACTGTAATCTCTGCCTCCTGGGTTCAAGCGATTCTCCTGCCTCAGCCTCCCGAGTAGCTAGGATTACAGGTGTGTGCCACCACGCCCAGCTAATTTTTTGTATTTTAGTAGAGATGGGGGTTTCACCATTTTGGCCACGCTGGTCTCGAACTCCTGACCTCGTGATCCTCCCACCTCAGCCTCCCAAAGTGCTGGGATTACAGGCACGAGCCACCGTGCCCGGCTTTTTTTTTTTTTTTTTTTTGAGATGGAGTCTTGCTCTTTTTGCCCAGGCTGGAGTGCAATGGTGTGATCTCAGCTCACTGCAACCTTCGCCTCCCTGGTTGAAGCGATTCTCCTGCCTCAGCCTCCCAAGTAGCTGAGATTACAGGCACACGCCATCACACCCGGCTAATTTTTGTATTTTTAGTACGTATGGGGTTTCACCATGTTGGCCAGGCTGGTCTTGAACTCCTGACCTCATGATCCGCCCACCTCCCAAAATGCTGGGATTACAGGCGTGAGCCACCGTGCCTGGCTGCAGGAGGCTTTGATGCCGGCCTGGCAGCCAGCTCCAGGAGTTGGGCGACGGAGGGGGCGGGGAGAGCTTCGTGGGTGGCCACGGCCAGCAGCACCCGGGTGCCCCTCAGAGAGGAAGGTACCTGCAGCCTCTGCTCATGTGTGGGGCCAGCCCCCACGCGTCCCCTCGTCAGCCGCTTGCTATCCTTGCAGCTGGCGTGAAGTTCCGTGTCCTCCGGCACGAGGCCGGCAGGCCCCTCCGCCTCCTGATGCAGGTGAGGCCCCTTGTGGCCAGGACGCCCCTACGCTGCTGCCCCTGTTCTGGGACGGTGGGGTCAGCTGGGTGTAGTGTCTGGGTGGCACCACGCCAGCCTGCGATGAGGTACAGGGAGGGCCCAGTGGAGCTGAGGGGGAAGGCCCACGCGGGACCCCCTCCCCCTTACCCCCAGGGCCTGAGGACACTGGTGTGGTCCTGTGGATGGGGCCCATTCTGCCCTGTGTCGGAGGCGCCCTTGGCTGGCTGGGGCTGCCCTGGGCCCCACAGGGCTCAAGTTCTGGGTGGAACAGAACCGACTGAGTGAGTCCTGGGGTGGGGTGTGCGTCCCTGTGGCACGGCCCCTCAGAGTTGGGCAGCCCCGAGGGGAGATGCAGCTTCTGCCTCCCCCCAGCGCTCCCTTCTGGCTGCAGGCTCACTTGCCTCCTTGGGAACTGGGACTGGCTTCTCCCACAGGCAAGGGAATGTCTGAGACAGCACTGGCCCTGCCTCACAACTGCCCGCCCCCACCCTCTCTCTGCAGACGGGGTTGGAGCTCAGACCACCCCACTGACCGCTGCCCTTGTCCTTCCAGATAAACCCACTGCCCTACAGCCGCGTGGTGCACACCTACCGCCTCCCCAGCTGTGGCTGCCACCCCAAGCACTCCTGGGGCGCCCTGTGCCGCAAGCTGTTCCTTGGGGAGCTCATCTACCCCTGGAGGCAGAGAGGGGACAAGCAGGACTGAGGGAACTGCTGGCTCGCCTGGCACCACCACACGGCCACAGCCAGCCATCTGCTCTGCCAGGGTGGCACCAGCTCAGCTGGCGCATGTCCTGTGCTTTGTGGACGCTGCTGTGTGCTCCTGAACACGGCAGGCCCTGCTATCACACCTTGGGCTTGGAGGTCATTGGGAGTGAGCAGATGTGGGGGTGGCCAGCCAGGCTGGCCGCACTCCATCACTGGCACTGCCTGCCTTGGGACCCGCTTCCCACCTGCTGCGGTCACCATGGTGGCGAGCACAGCAACCCCAGGTGTCCAGAGCACTGCCCCATGCCCACCCTGTGTACCCAGGTCCAGAGGGTCCGTCCACCACAGCAGCCCCAGGTGGAGGGCTGGTCTCCCTGGGGGCTCCCCAGTGGCTCTGCCCTGGCTGTGGGGGTGGAGGGACCTTGCCAGGATGAACCCCCCAGTCCCAGGCACCCTCTAGCTCCCTCAGCCGAACAGCACCCTGCATCTGGGGGATTGAAGCAGTCGCTGACCCCCGTCCCCAGCGGGCCCGGGCCCTCACTCCCTGAACCACACGGGGTTTATTTGCGGATGTTCCCTGGAGAGGTCGCTTTGTGAAGAAACCATCAGCAGGCTGTGAGCATCGCCAGGCTGCTGTGGGGGCGGGAGCAGCCTCAGTGTCAAGGGCCCGCCCACTGACCCAGCCGTACCTATTCGTCCACGGTGCCCCGTAGCAGCAGGTCCTGCGGCCAAATCTGTCTCCCTTCATGGGCCTCCCAGGGAAGGAGGAAGCCCTGCTGTGCAGACACCTCTGTGGCCCCCCAGGAGTGTGAGTGGCCTGGGGAGGGGGCCGTGGCACTGAGGCCGAAAGTGCCTGCCAGACGGCACGGTCTGGGTGCGGGTGTTCCCTGTGAGCCCGAGTCCGCTTCAGGAGGGGAGCCTGCAGGTGCCGGCTGGTGAGGGGATGACGCGCTGTGGGTGGGAGGAGGCAGCGCCCATCTCAGCAGCACCAGGACTGCCTGGGACTCCCTGGCAACCCAGCACCGGGGAAGCCGTCAGCTGCTGTGACAATAAAACCTGCCCCGTGTCTGGAGCGCAGGCTCGGTCCCGGGTCCATGTGCAGCGCGGGTCCAGGGAAGCTCTGGGGGGGGGGTGTGTGGACGCTACTCGAGGGACTTGGGCTGCCTCACGTGGGTCTGCCCTGCAGAGTCTACACCGGCCTCCTGCTGGAGGCCCTGACGACGGCTGATGGGACGGGCTCACAGGCCCTGGGCCCTTGAGGACTTTGGTGTAGGCAGGTGAACCCGGGCCGCCCACCCTGGGGGCCGCCCACCCTGGGGTCGTGGCCTTGCCTCGACATAGATGGTGCAGGGGTGTAGGCCTCCAGGGGTGGGGCGAGCAGCTCCTGCTCTGAATCTGTGGACTCCATGTGGGGTGGGCCCCTCGTGGGTCCTGGCCCAGTACAGCCTGCGACTGCCACAGCTGCTAAGAATGGTCTCTGTCGCCTGCAGTGCTGGGGGCCCAGCTGGCGGGCCCCACAGCCCGTTCCCAGCCCGAAGTGTACAGGCCTCCATCCAACCTGGACTTCCAGGCAACCAGAGGCACTCAGGGCCCACCAACCCCCTACCTGTGTCCCCTGCCTCCCCCCAGCTGCCCACCTGGCCCACCACCCCTCCCATCTGTACTCTCCCCCACTCACCCTCCAGTTGCCTACCTGGCCTACCCTGCTCCTACCAGCTGCCCACCTGGCCTGCCACCCCTCCCACCTGTGTCCCCTGTCCCCCAAAGCTGCCCACCTCGCCCCCCACCCTTTCCACCTGTACCCCCAACTCCCCCTCCAGCTGCCCACCAAGTCCACCAACACCCCCAACCTGTACCTCCCGCTCCCCCCAGCTGCCCACCGGGTCCACCAACACCCCCAACCTGTACCTCCCGCTCCCCCCAGCTGCCCACCGGGTCCACCAACACCCCCAACCTGTGCCTCCCGCTCCCCCCAGCTGCCCACCGGGTCCACCAACACCCCCAACCTGTGCCTCCCGCTCCCCCCAGCTGCCCACCGGGTCCACCAACACCCCCAACCTGTGCCTCCCGCTCCCCCCAGCTGCCCACCGGGTCCACCAACACCCCCAACCTGTGCCTCCCGCTCCCCCCAGCTGCCCACCGGGTCCACCAACACCCCCAACCTGTGCCTCCCGCTCCCCCCAGCTGCCCACCGGGTCCACCAACACCCCCAACCTGTGCCTCCCGCTCCCCCCAGCTGCCCACCGGGTCCACCAACACCCCCAACCTGTGCCTCCCGCTCCCCCCAGCTGCCCACCGGGTCCACCAACACCCCCAACCTGTACCTCCCACTCCCCCCAGCTGCTCACTGGGCTGCCACGCCTCCTGGGGCTTCCACCAGGTCAAGGTCTTGACACAGCTCAGTCCACTGCTCTGTGATGGCCATGTCATGGGTCGTGCCTGGCAGCGGTCACCCCCTCTGCTGGGCACTGGGCTGACTGCCTATCCCGAGGGCCAGCTAGGTTTGGCGCCAGAGCTGGCCAATGGAACACCGTCACCCCAGCCACTCGCAGCCACCAAGAGGTGCCGCCTGCACCTGCAGGCTCCGTCTGTCCTTGCTGCACAGCCCCTGCCTGGAGACAGCCTACACCTGTGGGGTGCCCCTCATCCCTCCACCAGAGCTCTGGTCCCCCCTGCCTTGCCGACCCAGACAGGGCAATGGGCTGGAGCTTTTCCAAGGCCTGCCCAGGACCATTTATGGACCCTCAGGGCACCCTCAGAAGCAGACACCTTCCCTTTCAGAGTTGGGGCCGCCCACAGAGAAGGGTCTCACCAGTACTTCACAGATTCAGACTTACAGAAATGCTGTGAGAATAACACAGATGCTTCCAGCACCCTTCACCTACATCCCCCCACGACCACATGCCATGTGTATGTTTTCACATTTTTTCTTTTTTTTTTTTTTTGAGAGCGGGTCTCTATTTTCCAGGCTGGAGTGCAGCCTTAACCTTCCTGGGCTCAGGTGATTCTCCCACCTCAGCCTCCTGACTATCTGGGATTACAGGCACCCACCACCACGCCTGGCTCATTTTTGTACTTTTAGTAGAGATGGGGTTTCACCGTGTTACTCAGGCTGGTCTCAAACTCTTGGGCTCAAGCCATGTGCCTGCGTCGGCCTCCCAAAGTGGTGGGATTACAAGTGTGAGCCACCGGGCCCAGCCAGCACATTCTTTATGTTTTTCTGCACCATTTGAGTCAGCTGCCCATTTTGGCTCTGGAATTTTCAGCGTGCATTTCCTCAGAACAAGGCAGCCAGTGCGGTGCTCAAACCCGGGGCTTTTGCAGGGATGCCGTCCAAGCCACCGACCCCATTCCAGCGTGTCCCACGTGTCATGGGCCAGTCTCCAAAGCCTCTGGGGGCTTAGGGATGGAGCCCGTTACTCAGGAGTGTCCCTGGCTGGGTCTGCTGGTGACCCTCATGATGAGATGCCACTCATGCTTGTGGCAGCAGCAGAGGGCACCACCCAGGGTGGCACACAGAGCCCACCTGTTCATCCCAGTGATGCCAACGTGACTACTTGGTCGAGGTCTTGTCTGCAGGATTTTCCGCTGCAAAGCTACATTCCCTTGTCATTAATTTGTCCACAGAAATGGGACCATGTTGACGCTCCATCCCTCACTGCCCTCATCCACTGCACGCTGTGTCCACCAAGGTGATTGGCTCTGTCCACTCATGGGATGTGAGTGAGGCCTCCCCTTGGCAGCAGGCCAGGACTGGGGGGGGTCCCTGAGTAGCTGAAACTTGTAGGTGCTCCCTGGGCACAGGGCTTCAGGGGCCAAGGCTTGTCTGCCCCACTGGGCAACTGTCCACCCCCTTAGCAGGACTTTGAGGACATCCCGGCGGCTGCTGGGCTCCCCGGGGGCAGGGTGGACACCCCAAACTGCTCCCTTTGTCTCCCAAGCCCCTCACTTGGACAGAGGCTCCGCTTAGTGTCCTGGCCCGTCTCTGCCATGGCCATTGAGTGTGGGGTGTGGCAGAAGGGGGCTGTCAGGGTCTCCACCAGACACTGCTCAGGCCTCCGAGATGGGCCCAGAAATACCCTGACTGCTCAACAAGTGGGTGCCCAGGTGGTGGCTCACCCCAAACTTCTGGGTGGAGGTCTCTTCCCACACTCCACTGTCTTTGGCTGCCCTGTCCCTGGCCTGAGATCTCTCAGCTGCAGGGATGGTGTCCTGCCCCTGCCCAGGCCTGGCTTGGCCATGGTGGACCCCAGGACACCCTGCGTAAGTGCACGCAGCTGCCCCTCGGTCCACAAGGCCTGGATGCCAGAGGATGGCACCCCTCTGTCCATCCCTCCCTTCACTGGGCCTGCTGCCCCAGAGTCCGTCCCTCCCTTCACTGGGCCTGCTGCCCCAGAGTCCGTCCCTCCCTTCACTGGGCCTGCTGCCCTAGACCCATCTGGGTTCCCTGGGACACTTTTCTGCTCGGAGGCTGGGAGGTCAGAGGGCACAGCAGCTTTCCAAGGATCTCACCCTATGGAAAGGTTCCTGAACCCAGGAACCCAGGACAGGGCTGTGTCCACAGGCTGTGGTGGGCAGCTCCAGTGGGAGAAACCTGACTTCTTCATCAGCCAGGGGATGACCCTTTCTTGTCCCAGGAGGTGGGAACTAGGCAGCAGTGGCCCACGGCTGGGTCTGGAGAGCGTTTTACTTTGTTTTTCTTTTTTAAAAAAGTTTATTTTTGTGAAGACCATAAGAACATTTTTAATTGTTTATTTTTGAGGCACTTTTTTTTTTTTTTTTTTCCTGAGACAAGAGTCTCACTCTGTAGCCCAGGCTGGAGTGCAGTGGCACAATCTCAGCTCACTGCAACCTCCGTTTCCCGAGTTTAAGCAATTCTTCTGCCTCAGCCTCCTAAGTAGCTGGGATTACAGGCACGTACCAACATGCCTGGCTCATTTTTGTATTTTCAGTGGAGAGGGGGTTATCACGATGTTGGCCAAGCTGGTCCTGACCTCAGGTGATCCACCCACCTCAGCCTCCCAAAGTGCTGGGATTACAGGCATGACCCACCGTGCCCGGCCTCAGAAAGCGTTTCTGATTTATGTTCTCAGGAAAGGAGGAGACGGCTGCTCACCACTATCCACCCCCCGCTTCCAGGCAGTCTCAGAAACCGAGGAGGAAACATCACATCTTTGGTGCTTCCCGTCCCTGGAGTGAGGGGCCTCAGGGACTTCACAGCCAGGGCTCAAGTCTGGGCACAATGACCTCTGAGCAGAAGAGGCTCTCCCTGACCCGCCAGGTTGTTTCCGGGTTAATGCCTGGGGAACTTGGCAAGGCGCCATCTCTACAAAAAATACAAAAGGTAGCCGGGCATGGTGGCGCCTGTAGTCCCAGCTACTCGGGAGGCTGAGGCTGGAGGATCGCTTGTGCCGGGGAGGTAGAGGCTGCAGTGAGCCGAGATCGCGCTACTGCACTGCAGCCTGGGCGACAAAGGGAGACCCTGTTTCAAAAAAGAAAAAACTGGTGCGTCGATGTGGTCGCCGCTTAGTCAGGCCATGTCTTCAGCTCTGGGGGACGGGAGGTCACTGGAGGTGTGGGGCTGCCCGTCCTGGCGTCCCTCTGTGTAAGCAGCACCTGCTCCCGGAGGCACAGCCCTGGTCGGGGCCCCTCTGGAGGAGGGTTCTTGCCGGGCTCTGCTCCTCGCCGGCGGGGCAGACGTGACGGGCTCCGCACCCGGTCTGGAGAGGGCTGCGCTGGGTCGGCGCTGACGTTACTGCTTTTACTTACGACTGTAACAGCGCTACTGAACGCAGAGCACGTATCACAAAGCTCACCCGTTCCGAGTGAGTAACTTCACCGAGAGAGGCAGGACCATCCCCACGACGGTAGGACCTTCTCGTCACCCCAGAAAGAACCACGTGCCCACTCAACCCCCGACCCCACGCCGGGGCCCGCGGACGCAGCCGCCTCGCTCGCCCACGCACCTGCGGCAGCCGGGCCCGGCAGGGACGAGGGCTCGGCGGCGCCCCCGGGAAGAGCGCGGTCCGGGCCCTGGGTCCCCGTCCAGGAGGCGCCGCTGCCGCAGTGAGCACGTCGGGCCGGGTCTTGAGCTCGCGCCGGCCGCGCTCCCCGCGTCCCGAGCTGTGGCGGCCGCGTCCCCGGGCGGAAGGCTCACGCTCGGTGACGCCGCGCTGTCCCAGAACCTCAGCGACTTTGCAGACTCACTGGTGACCCAACGGTGCGCCCCGCCGCCGCCGGGCGGAAGTCCCGCCCCTGCCCCGGAGAGGAAGTTCCGCCTCATCGAGCGCCGATTGGCCGCACCGCCTTAGAGAGGACGCGCCCGGGGCCACCCCGCCGCTCCCTCCGAGGGTTCTGCGGAAGCAGGCGGCACAGCCTGCGAGGGGCTTTCGTTTCCCGGACTCAGCCGCATCGCCTCGGCTCGGGCGCGCCTGCATCCTGCCGCCCGTCCGCGCGTTGAAGGGGCGGATACAAACAACGTGGACTTCCGAGCCCCTGATTGGCGAGCGTGTAGGAAAGGGGCGGGGTTAGCAGAGCCGTGATGGACATGCAAGCGACCCAATGGCGCCGGCGACGGGGCGGGCGAGGACAACGGCGTTGTGGGCCGGGGGCGGGGCGGCCGGCGGCTCTGGGATTTCTCTGGGAGGCAGCCGCAGGGAAGGGAATGATCTTGGTGAACTTATAATCGAACCAATGGTTCCGGGAAAGCAGGAGGCGAGTGGCCAATGGCGACGGCGATGAGGCAGGCGTCCGCTGTCTCCGCAACGCCGTGTGGGAAAGGCGGGGGAGGGGCGGTCATGACAGACGTGCAGACAGGCCAATGGCTGAGGGAAGGAGGGCGGCGGGCGACCTCTGGTGACTACGGGAAGGCAGGGCGGGGTGGTGAAGAGGCGGTGCGACCGGAGGTCTGGCGGCGCCGTGTGGAACGCCGTGAGGGCGGGGAAGTCGTGACGGACGGGCGGGTGGGCCAATGGGCTCGGGAGGGCGGGCGAAGGGTGGCCAATGGCGGCGGCGCGGCCGGGGGTGGGGCGGCGCGGCGGCCCTGGTGGTGCGGGAAGCGGCGGGGCGGCGGCGAGGCTGAGGTGCGCCCGGGCGCGGGCGGGGCGGGGCCGGCGCTGGGCTTCGGGCGCGCCCACTCGGCCGCCGTGGGGCGGACGCAACGGGCGCAGGTGCGGGGCGCGGGCTCTCTCACGCCGCGGCCTCACCCGGCGGTGCTTCGGCAGGCGGCCGGCGCGGGGCGCAGGCGGCGCGGCCATGGGCTCGCAGGGCAGTCCGGTGAAGAGCTACGACTACCTGCTCAAGTTCCTGCTGGTGGGCGACAGCGACGTGGGCAAGGGCGAGATCCTGGAGAGCCTGCAGGACGGCGCGGCAGAGTCCCCGTACGCCTACAGTAACGGTAAGGCCCGGCCCGCGGCGCGCGCTGCTACGCGGGGCCCGAGCCCGGCGAGCTGGGCACGGAGCTCGCCCTCGGCCCGGCCCTTCCAAGCGCCGCCGAACGTTCCCAGGAACGCCTTTGCCTGGCTTCCAGACTCGGTAGCTCGGTGGCTGCGGGGTGCCCGTGCTCCAGTCCCGAGGTGACGCCGGGGGGCAGGAGGACGGACCAGAGGGACGCGCCCAGCGGGGACGGTGCCATGGACCCGGGGTCTGGGGGACGGTGTCACGGGTCCGGGATCTCAGGGGAAGGTGTCATGGGTCCGGGATCTGGAGCCCAGGGGAAGGTGTCATGGGTCCTAGAGAAGGTGTCATGGGCCTGGGGAAGGTGTCATGGGTCTAGGATCATCTGGGGTCCGAGGGAAGGTGTCATGGGCTCGGGGGAAGGTGTCGTGGGCCGGAGGGAAGGTGTCATGGGTGCAGGATCTGGGGTCTGGGAGAAGGTGTCATAGGTCCGAGGGAAGGTGTCATGGGTCCAGGATCTGGGGTCCGGGGAAAGATGTCATGGTCCCGGTAGAAGGCGTCATGGGCCAAAAGGAAGGTGTCATGGGTCTAGGATCATCTGGGGTCCGAGGAAAGGTGTCATAGATCTGGGGGAAGGCATCATGGTCCTAAGGGAAGCTGTCATGGGTCTGGGATCATCTGGGGTCCGAGGGAAGGTGTCATAGATCTGGGGAAAGGTGTCATGGGTCTGGGATCTCAGGGGAAGGTGTCATGGGCCTAAGGGAAGGTGTCATGGTCTGGGATCTCAGGGGAAGGTGTCATGGGTCTAGGATCATCTGGGGTCTGAGGGAAGGTGTCATAGATCTGGGGGAAGGCATCATGGTCCTAAGGGAAGGTGTCATGGGTCTGGGATCATCTGGGGTCCGAGGGAAGGTGTTATAGATCTGGGGAAAGGTGTCATGGGCCCGGGGAAGGTGTCACGGACCCAGGTCTGGTGGCAGGTGCTGCTGGGCTGCTCTTGGGACCCTGTCTCGAGCGTGCACAGATGACAGGTCCTTATAGGCACGCTGTTCCCCTGAGGTATTTGCTTACTGCTGAGGGAGTCAACGCTTTGTGCTAGAAGAAAATACCTCTGTAATGAGTTACTGAACATTTGTTTTGTTTTGTTTTCTTTTCTTTTCTTTCTTTTTTTTTTTTTTGAGACGGAGTCTCACTCTGTCGCCAGGCTGGAGTGCAGTGGCACAATTTCAGCTCACTGCAACCTCCGCCTCCTGGGTTCAAGCGATTCCCCTGTCTCAGCCTCCCGAGTAGCTGGGACTACAGGTGTATGCCACCACGCCCGGCTAATTTTGTTGTGTGTATTTTAGTAGAGACGGGGTTTCAGCATGTCGGCCAGGATGGTCTCAATCTCCTGACCTCATGATCTGCCCACCTCGGCCTCCCAAAGTGCTGGGATTACAGACGTGAGCCACTGCGCCTGGCCTGAACGTTTGTTTTTAACTTCCAGTGGCATGGCTAAAATACACTAGATAGGTGGCATCACTGGGGCTTGCCTGCCTGAGCATGCCTCTTAATTTAGGTGGTTAACAGAGTGAGTGAGACGGTGTGGTCCTCATCCCCTCTCATGGGGGCCTGGACCCAGCCGAATGGGATGTGGCCCCAGATGAACTGGGAGCAGTCAGCATCCAGCCTCCCCAGAGTCCATCTGCGCTTCAGGGAATGCCATCTACGCTGGCGAACTTACCTCTCCTGGTCCCTGCCCTCTCCCCTTGCTTTGTTTCTTGGGCTCTTGTCCGTCCTGTCTGACTGCCCTGAGCGTCTGCTATTTGCTGAATTGTCTGCCTTTGGCTGCTGAGAGTGTGGGCGCAGCATCCCCCACTCTCTCAACTCGGGGGTTGGCAGAGCGTGGGATTACCTGGACTGAGGCTGAGCGCGCTTCCTCCTGGCATGGCTTCAGCAGTGGGCAGCAGCACCGGGGGCTCTGGAAGCTTGTGCTCCTGGCTTCAGCCTGGAGGAGGGGTTGGAAAGGGCCAGGGAGGAAGAGCTCTGTGTCCATTTTGAGGTGGGGGAAGTGTAAGGCCCACTGGGGCATTGGGGGCTCACACGTTAGGCCCCTGCACCTGCCGCCTCCTGGTCCTGCACTTGACAGTGACTGCCCCAGAATTGGTAACTCCTGACTCAGGTGGTGGGCGGCCAAGTTGATTGTGAAGGTGGCGTTGCCTTCTAAAGCTTGGCTCCAGGGGCGCTGCGCACTCCCAGGAGGCTGGCGGCGTGCGTGTTTGTGCATGTTCAGAAGAGCACGGGAAGGATTGGGTTTCATCAATCGGTGTTTTCCCAGGACATGAAGGCGTGCTTCTGAGGGCCGGCTCAGCCATGCTGGCCAGCTCGCCTACCCAACTGCACCACACAGCCAGGAGCTGGAGAGACAGGACCCTCCTTCCTCCCTGTCCCCTTCGTCGGGCTGTGGGGCATTGCCACACTTCCTCTGACATGCTCACTGAAGTGGGGCCAGTATTGTGTAAGACGTGGAGACCTGCCTGCTTGCAGAGACTTCAGAGGCTCACAGTGGCTTGGACCAGAGGCAGAGAGGAGAGTCCACTCTTAGAAAGACACCACGTGCTCTCAGGGCCCGGGGCACACTTCCAGGTCCCCGCAGGAGTCCTGTGGCCTCGAGCAGAGAAGGAAGCGCCTCTGGGCTGTGGAACGCGCTTTCTGTGTCTAAGGTCTCAAGGTTAAGACGTGCACAGCACAAGGAGCAGGTCTTTGTGGTCAGGTGGCAGCTTGCCAACCTCAGGGGCCAGCCCTCTTCATCAGGGTGAAGTTGGTGGATCTGAGGGTTTCCCAAGGGGGCTATTCAGGGTCTCAGAAGCTCAGGAGCAGCTGGTTCTCAGGACTCAGCATCTTGAGAATTTATTCTCCTTTGAAAGAGTTGTAGCAGGAGCTTTAGGCCTCTGGCCCTCGTGGGAAGGACGTACGTGTTAACCTCCATTGCTTTCTCTCCTTTGTTGGGAGGTGCCCTCTGTGTTTCCAGCTTCCGTGTTTCTTCAGGGCTGCCTGCTGGGCAGTGGGTGCCCTTGGCAGGGAGGCCCCTTCTGTGCAAGGCTTACTGCTTCAGCATGGCCCACAGCTCCTTCAGCTCACACCGGATCGCTTACCTGCCTGGAAGTCTTGTCTGGCATGTTCCTCAGACAGGTGTGTGAGCGTACATTGCCCTCTCCAGCTTCACAAACAAATGAGTCATCGAAGTGACCTTTTTCTTAGTACTGGCACCTGAGGCAGTGGCGTGTGACCACACGCCCAGCACCTGTGGGAGCCCCTGTGAGCTCTTCCGTGTCTCCTAATGTGGGTGTGCGCTGGGTTTCTGGATCTCTAGGTCTGGAAAGGCTTTCCTTTCTTTGACACCCAGCAGTGATCTTAGGGAGTGCTTCATGCTCTCTTCAGGATGGAACAGAGCGCTTTGCATAGAGTGCCCCTGGGTGATGGTGGCGAGTTACCCGGCAGGAATTATGCTTCATCCAGGAGTGTGGGTGGTGCACGCGGCGGGGAGGAGAAAGCTGCAGTTCAGGAGCGAACCTGCAGTCAGGCTCCAGGGTGTGGGCCAGGGTGGTGGGCCCGTGTTGGCCCCCAGGAACCACCCGCACAGGGTGCACACCCTTCCCCAAGCCCAGCCGCTCCCGCTCTGCAGGGGGCATCGAAGGTCCTGGATTAAGGCAGTTCCACCCTCGGCACCGTGTCCCCACAAACCTTCCTGGGAGCAAGTTTTCCTCCCGCCACGTTGGTCAGGGTGTGTGTGCCCGGGTCCTGGAAGACTTCAGAAGGGGTTAATCCTGGCTTGACTTTATTTCTCTCTCTGCTCTTTTGGGGTTCAGTGTTGGTGGAAGCTGCTGAGTGACACTCCGGTCCTTTGAGCCTGGCAAGTTGTGGGGAGAAACGGAGGGAGGCGGTTGTGGACATGGCGAGGCTAACATCACGGTTTGCTGTGGATGTTGGGGCCTGGTGGTCACTGAGATGTCTGTGGGGCCACACGCTGCCTGCTGTACCCATGGGAGCGAGGGCACCCTGTGTGGGTGTCCCAGCTTCTTCGGCTTCACGACTCCCTGAGCTTTCTCCAAACAGTTACAAACGTTTCTTCTCATCTGGCTTGAAGTTCGTGGCTCCGAAGTGGCCAATTCCAGGGGACACTATCTTGAGAGGCTCCTCCGTGTTTCATTGTCCTGATGTGTCGTCGGCTGCTTATCCCCAGGGCTAGCTGAGGGTTTCGTGGGAGGTTCTAGCTGTGTGTCTTTAGGTGACTGGACAGCCGTGCGTGGCTTCCCTGTGCCTACTGTTGGTGTTGGGCACCACTGACCACTGCAGCCCAGAGTCCCTTCTCCTCCCCTGCACTTGATTAGGTTTTGCTCGTCTTCCTTTTTTTTTTTTTTTTTTTTAGACGAAGTCTTACTCTCTTGCGCAGGCTGGAGTGCAGTGGCGCGATCTCGGCTCACTGCAACCTCTGCCTTCTGGGTTCAAGTGATTCTCCTGTCTCAGCCTCCTGAGTAGCTGGGATTACAGACGCCTGCCACCATGCGTGGCTAATTTTTGTATTTTTAGTAGAGGCAGGTTTCACCATGTTGGCTAGGCTGGTCTCAAACCCCTGACCTCAAGTGATCCACCTGCCTCGGGGGTTTTGCTCGTTTTCTGGGGCAGTGTTTTGGGGTTTGCCTTTCCTCTGTGAGGTGCCGGGTTTTCCAGCAGGGTGGTGTTGTGGGAGGAACGGGGTGTTCACCATGGCAACAGCTAATGCTGCCAGCGTGTGATGAGTGTTGCCTGCCAGCACCGGTGGGCGCTTTCCGCTGCCCCCGTGTAGCCCCCACCACCACCTGTGAGAAGGCAGCACCACCCCCACTGTGCAGACGAGGGATTGAGGCTCAGGAGGCGGCAGCTGTAGGGGTGGGCTTGGGGTCCGGGAGGAGCCGCCCTGCAGGCCTCCTGTGAAGCAGCGGGCTTCATGGCTCTTCCCCTGTCCTCCTCACGTCCACCTGGGCCTGGGGACGGCTGCCACACACCTGCTTCTGCTGCACCGCGCACACTAAGTTCTCCTGAGACCCAAGCCTCAGAGGACCGCCTCAGGCCCGGGATGACCCTGGCTGGCATCTGAGAACCCATGTGGTCAGGAGGTAGGACTTCTGTGGGTCATTATAACTTTTTTCTTCTTTTTTTTTTTTTTTTTGAGACGGAGTCTAACTCTGTTGCCCAGGCCGGAGTGCAGTGGCACGGTCTCGGCTCACTGCAAGCTCCACCTCCCGGGTTCAAGTGATTCTACTGCCTCAGCCTCCCGAGTAGCTGGGATTACAGCCACCTGCCACCACACCCAGCTAATTTTTGTATTTGTAGTAGAGATGGGGTTTCACTGTGTTGGCCAGGCTGGTCTTGAACTGCTGACCTTGTGATCCACCCTCCTCGGCCTCCCAAAGTGCTGGGATTACAAGGGTGAGCCACTGTGCCTGGCCTCTAATTGTGCTGTTTTATAAGTTGGACTGGCATGGCCTTACTTAAATTTTCAGGAAACTGTTGAGTCAGTAGGTAGAATATTGAATGTTAAGTTTGTCCAGAGGCCAGATGCCAGAACTTTTGGACAAGTGAGTTAATGTCCACCTCCAGTCCTTAGCACTTGCTCTAAGCGCTCACAGGCAACAGGGCAAATGCTTGCATGGCAGGTGCACGGCAGTGCCAGCCAGGTCTCTCGCAGGGTGGTGTGGACACAGATGACTCGTGTCGAGCACACGTGTTGTGGCCTGCACGATGAGCTAAATTGAACAGTGTTTCAGGAAGGAAGCCACATCGGGGAGCTGAGAGGTGGGCGGGAAGGACACAAGGGAGGGATCTGGGTCCTCGCAGGTACTTTTGCCTCTTGTTCTATTTGAAGATTGCAGCTGAGAAGGCGCGAAGCTGCTGGTCCCTGAAAAGCTGCCGCCTACCCTGGTCTGGAGCCCCTGCGAGCTGGCGTAGAGCAGGAAGGGGTTGCATCACAGCTGAGTCCTCCCCTGCGCAGCACATGGTACGATGCCACCCCACCGAGGGCCGTTCTGGGGCCCAGGGGCCACGTCAGCCAGGGTGTCATCCGCCGGGCGTTTGGAGTAAGCAGGGAAAGGTGTCGGCGTCCAGCATCCTGGTGCGGAGAACGCTGCCGAACCACTGTGAGAAGGCGGGGAGACTGCTTGTCAGGCTGAGCTGACTTCCTGGGCGGTCGGGAGAAGGATGTGCAGACTGTGGAACTGGCGGGTGTCAGGGACCAGAAGTTACGAAGGCGGTGGGAAGAGGAGCAGCTGTGGGAAGAAGGACTGGCTGCCAAGACCATGGGCTGTGGGCATCCTCAGGGCAGGAGCTGGGTGGAAGAGGGGCCTCTTCAGTCCTCTTGGCAGTGAAGGTAAACAGATGTCAGCAGGGTGGACTCGCACTTTGAGCCTAAGGTAG
Organism: Homo sapiens; assembly: GCF_000001405.40. NCBI lineage: Eukaryota > Metazoa > Chordata > Mammalia > Primates > Hominidae > Homo > Homo sapiens. Next base: position 596,865 of record NC_000016.10, read on the forward strand.
CGAGGAGGCTTCTGAGCCGACCTGGGGATGGCGGCGCACTCTGATACAGGCAGTGCGCGGCTGTCTCGTGCTGAGATCAGGATTTTGAGTAAAGCAGAGATTTCTGGACGTTTGTCCTTCAGAAATTAGCGGAGGGACAAGGGCATTGGCGCTGTGGAGAGGTAGGGACCCATGGGTATGGGGCGGAAGACCAGGGCACGACCAGACACCGCCAGGGTGCTGCACATGTAGGTAGCAGGGGGAGGTGGTCCAGGCAAGATGGGATGGGAGGGGCTCAGGAGCAGCCAGGTTCTAGTGCTGGTGATGAGGTGGGTGGTGGCAGGGGCATGTGGAAGGGTCTTCTGACCATGGCTTACAGAGGGCTTGGTGCTGGGGGGCCTGGAGTTGTGGAAAGGGTGAAGGGAAGAGTTGGTCCCATATTCCCAGATGGCAGAGTGGAAACAGAAGCACTCGGCCCCTGAGCAGCCTTCGCCGTCTTTACAGTGAACACAGTCCTCAAACCAAACTGGGAAGGATTCGAATCCTGGATGGGTGATGTGGTCCTGGCTGTGTAAACTGACCCTGATGAAAGACATGCCCATCCTGTGAGAGGGACAGCCATCTAGCATCTTTTTTTTTTTTTTAATTTTTATTTTTTGAGACAGAGTCTTGCTCCGTTACCCAGGGTGTAGTTCGATGGCACTATCTTGGCTCGCTGCAACCTCTTGAGCCTCATGGGTTCAAGCGATTCTCCTGCCTTGGCCTCCTGAGTAGCTGGGATTACAGGCATGCACCACCACACCTGGCTAATTTTTTACATTTTTAGTAGAGACAGAGGTTTTGCTGTGTTGGCCAGGCTGGTCTTGAACTTCTGACTTCAAGCAATCCGCCCGCCTCAGCTTCCCAAAGTTGGTGGAATTACAGGCATGAGCCACTGTGCCCAGCCCAGCTCAGCATCTTTGGAAAAGAGCAGAGGGCTGGGCACGGTGGCTCACACCTGCAATCTCAGCACCTTGGGAGGCCGAGGTAGGCGGAGTGCTGGAGCCCAGGAGTTTGAGGCCAGCCTGGGCAACACAGTGAGACCCCATCTCTACAAAAAAAAAAAAAAAAAAAAAAAAAAAGGCCGGGTGCAGTGGCTCACACCTGTAATTCCAGCACTTTGGGAGGCCAAGGTGGGTGAATCACGAGGTCAAGAGATTGAGACCATCCTGGCCAACATGATGAAACCCCGTCTCTACTAAAAATACAAAAATTGGCCAGGCATGGTGGCTCACGCTTGTAATCCCAGCACTTTGGGAGGCCAAGGCAGGTGGATCACGAGGTCAGGAGATCAAGACCATCCTGGCTAACATGGTGAAACCCTGTCTCTATAAAAATACAAAAAATTAGCTGGGCATGGTGGCGGGCACCTGTAGTCCCAGCTACTTGGGAGGCTGAGGTACGAGAATGGCGTGAATCCAGGAGGCAGAGCTTGCAGTGAGCCGAGATCACGCCACTGACTCCAGCCTGGGTGACAGAGCGAGACTCCACCTCAAAAAAAAAAAAAAATACAAATACAAATACAAAAATTAGCCGGGCGTGGTGGCGCATACCTGTAGCCCCAACTACTTGGGAGGCTGAGGCAGGAGAATTGCTTGAACCTGGGTGGCGGAGGTTGCAGAGAGCTGAGATTGTGCCACTGCACTCCAGCTTGGTGACAGAGCGAGACTCTGTCTCACAAAAAAAAAAAAAAAAAAAGAAAAAAGAAAATTAGCTGGGTGTGGTGGTGCACGTCTGTAGTCCCAATTACTTGGGAGGCTGAGGTGGGAAACTCACTGGAGCCTGGGAGGTGGTGGCTGCAGTGAGTCTGACTGTTGCACTACGTTCCAGCCTGGGTGACAGAGTGAGACCCTGTCTCAAAAAATAAAAAATAAAGAAAAGAGGATGGAAGAAGAGAAGAGCTGAGTCCTGGAAATGGGCAGGTACTTTACAGTTTGTACAGCGGCCGGATGTAAGAACCTCATGTCAACCCTGAGTGAAGGTGTAGGCCGGGCGGTCAAGCACAGCACTCTCCAGCAGCTCCAGCAGCGTGGGTAACCCGGTGGGAGCCTGTGTGCTGCTTTCCCTGCCCGGGGCCGGCGGCTGCTGCTGGGCTTTCGCCTGACTTCCTGGTCAGCAACGTTGTCGGCCACCTGGGCACAGCAGGTACAGCCTGTGTGTCAGACCTAGCTGGGAGGGGCGGTAATAGGGTAGATGACATCAGGATTCAGGACTCTGAACACAAACACAGTGACACTGATCAGGGTTGCCGAGGTGCTGTGTTTCGGTCCAGAAAGTCACTGCTGCAGGGGAGGGGAGTATGGTCACAGCCCAGGCCCCGGCCCCGGCCGAAGCTGCCACTGACAGGAGACCCTTCTCTGCCTGTGCCACCAGCTTTGCTCCGAGGGGTGTCTGTGTCCTCAGGCTCTGCCAAGGCAGTGTCAGGCTGATGCCTGCCCGTGTCGGCCGGCCACAGCCCTAGTGGCTGCCCGCAGAGTCTTGCGCCCACCTGATTCCTGCCTGAGAGGAGCCGCCAGGTCAGCTGATGCCAGCAGGACCCACTTCACCAGGTCAGCAAGGAGGAGGCAGCTTCCCTTGGGGCCACGCCGTGCCTCCTCCGTGTGCGCTGCTGCCATGGCTGCTTCTGTCGATAGGCATGTACGTGAAAATGCACACCCGTGGGTGTTCGCTACTGTCAGCGTGGATTCAGCAAGGTTTTGTTCCCTCGTGGCATCAGTCAGCGTGGATTCAGCAAGGTTTTGTTACCTCGTGGCATTAATCAGCGTGGATTCAGCAAGGTTTTGTTCCCTTGTGGCATCAGTCAGCGTGGATTCGCAAGGTTTTGTTCCCTCGTGGCATCAGTCAGCGTGGATTCGCAAGGTTTTGTTCCCTCGTGGCATCAGTCAGCGTGGATTCGCAAGGTTTTGTTCCCTCGTGGCATCAGTCAGCGTGGATTCGCAAGGTTTTGTTCCCTCGTGGCATCAGTCAGCGTGGATTCGCAAGGTTTTGTTCCCTCGTGGCATCAGTCAGCGTGGATTCGCAAGGTTTTGTTCCCTCGTGGCATCAGTCAGCGTGGATTCGCAAGGTTTTGTTCCCTCGTGGCATCAGTCAGCGTGGATTCGCAAGGTTTTGTTCCCTCGTGGCATCAGTCAGCGTGGATTCGCAAGGTTTTGTTCCCTCGTGGCATCAGTCAGCGTGGATTTGCAAAGTTTTGTTCCCTTGTGGCATCATACTCCTTTCCTGTTTGGTTTGGGACTCCCATGGCCCCCTTGATGTTGGAGCCTCTTCAGGTGGCACCTGCGTCCTGGGCTATGCCCTGAGTTCCCGGAGCTCCCTGTGTCCTGGAACAGTCTGTACTTCCAGCAGATGTGGGTCCTGCCTGCCCTGGAAACGGCCATCTCTCTGAAGAGCCTGTGTCCTCCTGGTGGGGAGGGATAGCTAGTATGTCAGCTTCTTAAATTACTTTATTAAAAATTGAGTATATGCAAAATAGTAGTCATAATAATAGTAATAGTAGCAAGTGCAAAGTGTAAGTAATAGAAATGGATGTCACCTAACCTGCCGAGTTTAAAACATTGTTGTTGGACTTTTTTAAAGAGCTTTGGTGCCGGATGGGCACGGTGGCTCACGCCTGTGATCCCAGCACTTTGGGAGGCCGAGGCGGGCGGATCACAAGGTCAAGAGATCAAGACCGTTCTGACCAACATGGTGAAACCCCGTCTCTACTAAAAATTCAAAAATTAGCTTGGCCTGGTGGCATGCACCTGTATTCCCAGCTACTCAGCAGGCTGAGGCAGGAGAATCGCTTGAACCTGGGGAGGCGGAGGTTGCAGTGAGCCGAGTTTGCACCACTACACTCCAGCCTGGGCGACAGAGTGAGACTCCATCTCAAAAAAATAAAAATAAGAGCTTTGGTGCCTACGTGCGTCACACAGACAGTTTAACACATAATTCATTATCAGCAAGCGGTGACTGCCCAGGTTTTGCCTGTGGGGAAACAGAAAGGTTTTGACTCCAGTCTCTGTCTTCTGAAGAGCTGGCAGTCACAACTGTGGCAGAGCCTGGTGTGTGGCAGCTGCGTGAGGCTCTCCTGGACTGCTGTGGAGGAAGGGGCCCTCTGGCACCCCAGGAGCAGCCTGCCCCTCTGTCTGCCTCTGCATTTAGACCCTTAGCCTCCTTGCAGAGCCACCTCCTGGTCATTAGCGTTAAAGCTCTTCTCTCCTGATGTAGTTTTCCTCACCGTTCAGTAAATGGGCCTGCTGCTTGTGTTTGGAACAGAGATAGAAGCTGTAGCTCCCACGTGTGTGTGGAGCTGGTTTGACTTTTAAAAAATTGTAGTACCAAAAACTATGATTTTTTGTGTGTTATCCACACCATCAAGGCTGTATCACCGAGTATCTGCTCATTCTGAAAGTGTGCATCCTTTCTGAATTGAAATGAAAGAGCAGGAGAAACCGTCTGTGTCCAGCCTGTTAGAGGTGTTACATTTGCCCTAGGTGGGCTGGGCAGAAGGCTGTTCTGCTCGGGAGCAACAGTGTCCACACGTCAGTTTCCAGAGCCCGGGTCGCCAGGATCCGGCTCAGAGTGTGAGTTTGCTCAGGTGTGTGCTGAGCACCCCTGGGTGCCAGACTCCGGGCAGGTCCCCGCCGCAGCCGCGTCAGCAGAGCAATGTGATCGTTGCTGGGACTGTTCCCCTAGTCTCAGTCAGTTCACTAGGGCCATGCATGCAGTGTTCAGACAGGAGATTCTCATGAAAAATAGAATTGTTATCCTAAAATTACATGAGAGGGAATGCTTATAAGTTTATCAAATAGTAAAACATCACAACACAGGACCGGGTGCGGTGGTGCACGCCTATAATCCCAGCTACTTGGGAAGTCAAGGCAGGCGATCCCCTGAGGCCGGGGGTTCAGACTAGGCAACGTAGCAAGGCCCTATCCCTGCAAAAAAAAGTAAAAAAAAAAAAAAAAAAAAAAAAAAAAAAGGCCGGATGCGGTGGCTCACGCCTGTAATCCCAGCACTTTGGGAGGCCGAGGTGGGTGGATCACGAGGTCAGGAGATTGGGACCATCCTGGCCAGCATGGTGAAACTCCGTCTCTACTGAAAATATAAAAGTTAGCGGGGTGTGGTGTCGGGCACCTGTAATCCCAGCTACTCAGGAGGCTGAGGCAAGAGAATCGCTTCAACCCAGGAGGCAGAGGTTGCAGTGAGCCGAGATTGCACCACTGCACTCCAGCCTGGGCAACAGCTCTCAAAACAAAACAAAAAACTACTGATTTGGAGGCACATTTAATGATTATTCAATGAAGTGTATATGCTTGATATCTTAAGTATGTAAAATAATTGTGGAATGAAATATATGACAACATTAGCAGTGGTCATCTCTGTTTTTTTTTTTTTGGTTTTGTTTTTTTTTATTAGAGAGACAGTTTCACTCTTCCAGGCTGGAGTGCAGTGATCATAGTTCACTGCAGCCTCAAATTCCAGGGTTCTAGTGATCCTCCCGCCTCAGCCTCTCAAGTAGCTAAGACCATAGGCATGCACCACAACACCTGGCTAATTTTTTAATAAATTATTTTTTTATTTTTGAGACAAAGTCTTGCTCTTGTCCACCAGGCTGGAGTGTGATGGCACGATCTTGGCTCACTGCAACGTCTGCCTCCTGGGTTCAAGCCTCTTGCCTCAGCCCCCCGAGTAGCTGGGATTACAGGCACCTGCCACCACGCCCGGCTAGTTTTTTGGTATTTTTTTAGTAGAGATGAGGTTTCACCATGTCGGCCAGGCTGGTCTCGAGTTCCTGACCTCAAGTGATCCACCCACCTCGGCCTCCCAAAGTGCTGGGATTACAGGCGTGAGCCACTGTGCCTGGCCAATAAATTATTTTTTGTAGAATTGAGGTCTTGCCATGTTGCCTAGGCTAGTGGTCTTGAACTCCTGGGCTCAAGTGATTCTCTCACCTTGGCCTCCCAAAGTGTCGAGATGACAGGTGTTAGCCACCAAGCACAGCCAGAAATGAGTCTTAAAGTGGACATGAGATTGGGGTTTAAGCCACACTAAGCTGGATTTGTAATCATTGAAAGTAATCTGAGAGCTATGGGATCTGCTCCTTAAAAGATGGGAGAGGAGAATTTTAAGAGATAGGGTCTCACTGTGTTGCCCAGGCTGGTCTTGAACCGTGGCGCTGAAGCAATCCTCCTGCCTCAGCCTCCTGAGTAGCTGGGGCCAGACCTGTGTTTTTTGTTTTCTTAATGTTCTGTGTTTAGCCAGGTGTTCTGTGCCAAGTGTGCCTGCTCTTTGTAGACACGAGAGCCCTTTTGGCTTGTTGTGGGTTTTAAGGCGTTAAGTAAAAGCTCTAGCTTCGCAGGAAACCAGTCCACAAACTGCCCTAGAATTTCTTCTGACATTTGGCATGCTGGTGTACACAGACACATTTGAAATTTGTTAGATAACTTTTCCTTCCTTTACTGTCCTCCATCAGGCAGGCGCCGGTTTGCCTGCAGTGGGGTTGGTGGACGTGGGCTGTCCTTGTCTCAGAAGACATCCGAGGGGAGTGGTATGCCGGAAGATTGAATGCGGAGCGCCGGCCCCGCACGTGAATGACTTAGAGCCCCAGGTCTTCAGGGACAGGCAGTGCCTTCACATCTGGCTCTGATATGTGTTCAGGCTGTCTTGTAGGGTAATCCGGTCCCCTAATCCTTAGACCTCCAAATTCAAAGCAGATCAATGCCCTGTGGGTTTAATTTTTTTAAATCAATTTTATTGAGAGATGATGTCTATTTAATAAATGTACCCTCTTTGCATGTACAGTTCTATGAGTTTTGGCACATATATGTACCTATGCAGCCAGTACCCTCATCCAAATCAGGAGCACATCCACTCTCCTCCCAGAAAGCCCCTCAGGCCCTGCCGAGTCAGCCCCCAGCCCCCAGCAGTCGGCTTCCATCACATGGGCTGCTTTTTCCTGTTCCAGACATCATGGATACGAAGCAGACCCTGGTTTCTTTTGCTCAGCAGTTTTGAAACTTATTCATGATGTACAATAGTAGATTCTTCTTTTTTTGTTCCCAAGTGGTATTCCTTTGCACAAATATACCCCAGTTTGTTTATGCATTTACCTTGTTGATGCACATTTGGGTTATTTCCTGGTTTGGGGTATTACGAATAATGCTGATGTGAACGAGTTCTTCTTTTTTCTTTTTCTTTTTTTTTTTTTTGAGACTCTCGTTCTGTTGCCCCAGCTGGAGTGCAGTGGTATGATCTCAGCTCACTGCAGCCTCTACCTCTTGGGCTCAACTGATCCTCCCACCTAGCAGCTCCCTAGCAGCTGGGACTACAGGCATGTACCACCACACCCGGCTCAGAGCTAGTTCTTTTAAATTTTTTTTTTTAATTATTTTTCTTGTAAAATACAGAAAACACGTCATTTTAGCCATATGTAGGGATACAGTTCAGTGGCACTAGCACTAAACTATAACACAAATACGCACGAGGCCTTCTGAAGGTGTTTCTCTAGAATACACGTGAATCCTTCTGAAGGTGTTTCTCTAGAATACACGAGTCCTTCTGAAGGTGTTTCTCTAGAATATATGTGAGTCCTTCTGAAGGTGTTTCTCTAGAATACACGTGAGTCCTTCTGAGGGTGTTTCTCTAGAATACACGTGAGTCTTTCTGAAGGTGTTTCTCTAGAATATATGTGAGTCTTTCTGAAGGTGTTTCTCTAGAATACACGTGAGTCCTTCTGAAGGTGTTTCTCTAGAATATATGTGAGTCTTTCTGAAGGTGTTTCTGTTCCCTTAGGTAGATCTAAGAGTGGAATTGCTGTCATATATGAGTGTACGTTTTAATTTATAAGCTTGCCCAGCCTGGGCAACATAGTGAGAACTCGTTGCTATAAACATATTGAAAAATTAGCCTGGGGCTGGGTGTGGTGGCTCATGCCTGTAGTCTCAGCACTTTGGGAGGCCGAGGCAGGCAGATCACTTGAGGTCAGGAGTTTGAGACCAGCCTGGCCAACATGGTGAAACCGTATCTCTACTAAAAATACAAAGTTAGCCTGGTGTGGTGGTGGTGCTTGTGGTCCCAGTTACTTGGGAGGCTGAGGCAGGACAATCACTTGAACCCGGGAGGCGGAGGTTGGAGTGAGCTGAGATCATGCCACTGCACTCCAGCCTGGGCGACAGAGTGAGACTTTGTCTCAAAAAAATAAATAAATTAGCCTGGTGTGGTGACGCACACTTGTAATAGTCTTAGCTACTCAGGAGGCTGAGGCAGGAGGATCGTGTGAGCCCTGGAGTTGGAGGCTGCAGCGAGCCGTGATTGTTCCGCTGCACTCCAGCCTGAGCAGCACAGTGAGACCTGATCTCAAAAGAGAAAACTGTTTGCTCAAGCAGCCCCATTGTTTCATAGTCCCATCAGCAATGCATGAGAGTTCCAGGTGCTCCACATCTTTGCCAACATTTGATGTTGTCAGCTTTCCGTCTTTTAATTAATCAGCTTTATTGAGGTGTAATTTGTGTACAAAAAAACCCCTTTAAAGTCTGCAATACAGTGAGTGCGGACAGGCATGCCGGCCTGAGAAAGCATCAGCCCTCGCAGCCTCGCCCTCTGCAGGCCTCTCACACTCTGCCCCCGGCCTGGCATGTCACTGTGGACTCATCTGCCTTGTCTAGTTTTCACGTCAATGGAGCCACACAGGGCAAACTCTCCTGTGTCCGGCTGCCTTCTTTCCATGTCTTCTGGGTGAGCTTCGGCCACGTGGTTGAGTGCAGTTGCTCCCTCCTTCCCCGCGCCGAGTGGTCTCCCGTGTGTCAAGGCTGCAGTGCATTGGCTCCACTCCAGATGGGCTTTGGGATGGTTTCCATGTTGGGTGACTCTCACAGGGCTCCTGTGAGGAGTCTCAGACGCGTTTGGTCAACACAGGTGCCCATTGCTGTTGGGACGTACTGAGGAGTGGAAGCTGGGCTGTAGGGCCTGTGTAGATGCTGCCAACCCGTTCTCCAAAGCAGTCACACAGTTTCTGTCCCACAGGAGAGAGGGAGAGTCCTGTTTGTTCTAAGTCCTGCCTTCCTTTTAGCCATGCTGATGGCTGCAAGCTTGTTTCTTTGTAATAGCCATAGAACATTTCTATTCTGTCAGTAACCATTCCCCAGTGGGTGGATTTTTAGTTTGGATTCAGTTTATTTATAATAAATACAGGGCCGCAATAGATGGCCTTTCTACTCCTTTTCTGTTATTGCTGACACATAGTCCTCTCGGTCCTCAGTCCAGTGTGGGTTTCCCTGGGCTGAAGTCAAGGTGTTGGCTGACACACAGTCCTCTCGGTCCTCAGTCCAGTGTGGGTTTCCCTGGGCTGAAGTCAAGGTGTTGGCTGACACACAGTCCTCTCGGTCCTCAGTCCAGTGTGGGTTTCCCTGGGCTGAAGTCAAGGTGTTGGCTGACACACAGTCCTCTCGGTCCTCAGTCCAGTGTGGGTTTCCCTGGGCTGAAGTCAAGGTGTTGGCTGACACGCAGTCCTCTCGGTCCTCAGTCCAGTGTGGGTTTCCCTGGGCTGAAGTCAAGGTGTTGGCTGACACGCAGTCCTCTCGGTCCTCAGTCCAGTGTGGGTTTCCCTGAGCTGAAGTCAAGGTGTTGGCTGACACACAGTCCTCTCGGTCCTCAGTCCAGTGTGGGTTTCCCTGGGCTGAAGTCAAGGTGTTGGCCAGGGCTTTGCTTTTTGCAGGCCCTACAGGAAGATGTTCTCTTGCTCGTTGGGAGGTTGGCAGAATTCCGTTCTTGCTGGTGGTAGGACTGGCAGTAGCACCTTGCTGGGTGCAAGCCGAGCCTTTCCCGGCTTCTCCAGGCCGCCTGCGTTGTTCACGGAGGGCCCTTGCCCATCTGCAGAGCCAGCACTGGCGGGTGAAGTCCCTCTCATGCTTTGACTCTCCTTCTGTCTCATCTGTAGCTCAGCCAGGAAAGGCGGTTAAGGACTTATGTAGTTAATTGGCCCCACCCAGATAATCCCGGATAATCTCCCACCTCGAGATCCGTGCACCTTAATCCTGTCTGCAGAGTCCCATGCTAGCAACTCAGCAGCAAACAGCCCCTGCACTGTGCCCTGCAGGAACATGGCTGCTGGTGGCAGGCCGGCCCAGACAGACAGACTACCACCTGAGCCAAGGAACCTCCACTCAGGTGGCCGAGGGTCCCACTTCCGAGCCGAGGGTGCTACGCAGGCTCAGCAGCCAGCCTCCCTCGGCTGCCTTACAGCAACTCTGCTGACAGTCCCTGGGCAGATTGGCCTCCATGGGCAGGGGCACAGGTGCCACGTCCACTCCCCAGACCACCAGCACGTTGATGACTGTTGAAAACAAAGTCGCCTGGGCACGGTGGCTCAACCCTGTCATCCCAGCGCTTTGGGAGGCCGAGGTGGGTGGATAACCTGAGGTCAGGAGTTTGAGACCAGCCTGGCCAACATGGTGAAACCCCATCTCTACTAAAAATACAAAAAAAAAAATTAGTTGGGCATGGTGGTGGGTGCCTGTAATCCCAGCTACTCGGGAGGCTGAGGCAGGAGAATCACTTGAACATGGGAGGTAGAGGTTGCAGTGAGCTGATATTGCGCCACCACACTCCGGCCTGGACAACGAGAGTGAAACTGTCTCAAAAAAAAAAAAAAACGGGGGGCCGGGCGCGGTGGCTCACGCCTGTAATCGCAGCACTTTGGGAGGCCTAGGCGGGCGGATCACAAGGTCAGGAGATGGAGACCACGGTGAAACCCCGTCTCTACCAAAAATACAAAAAATTAGGCAGGCGCGGTGGTGGGCGCCTGTAGTCCCAGCTACTCGGGAGGCTGAGGCAGGAGAATGGCATGAACCCAGAAGGCGGAGCTTGCAGTGAGCCGAGATCGCGCCACTGCACTCCAGCCTGGGCGACAGAGCAAGACTCCGTCTCAAAAACGAAAAGAAAAGAAAAGAAAGTCGCATCTGGTAAAGCAGACAAAAAAGAAAAAGAAAAGAAAACGAAGTCGCACCTAGTAAAGCAAACGCCTCAGTGACATTTTCAGACCCCTTCCTCCCCCTCCACTGCCCGTTTTCAGATTGATGCTGTGAGACCCCCTCTGAAGGGTGCCTGAGTCTGCAGCCAGGCAACGTGCTGTGCCCGTCCCCACCTCCCTCCACACGTTCCTGGGCAGCCTCCACGCCCATGTACTCACCTGTTCTCACGCTGCTAGGAAGAAATACCCCAGACTGGGTCATTTGTAAAGAAAAGAGGTTTAATTGACTCACAGTTCCGCATGGCTGCAGAGGCCTCAGGAAATTTACAGTCATGGCGGAAGGTACCTCACACAGGGCAGCTCCAGAGAGAATGAGTGCTGAGTGAAGGGGGAAGCCCCTCCTAAAACCATCAGGTGTCGGGAGAACTCACTCACCCGCACAAAAACAGCAGGGGGGAACCACCCCCATGATTTAATTATCTCCATCTGGCCCCGCCCTCAACCTGTGGGGATTAGTCAAGGTGAGATTTGGGCGGGGACACAGCCAAATCTTATCACTCCTGAGCCTGCTTAGCTCCCACCTCGTCCTCTGTCCTTTTTTGATCCTGAAGGGCTAGGTGCTGTGCCAAACCTGGGAGGCCCAGGATGCTGGCTTCAGGCTGCCAATCTGTGGCCCTCAGCGCCATCAGACCCAGGCCCCTTCTAGACAAATGGTTGTGGCATTCCCTTTACCATCCTGAAAAGAATGAAACTCGGCTGGCCATGGTGGCTCACGCCTGTAATCCCAGCACTTTAGGAGGCCGAGGCAGGCAGATCACTTGAGGTCAGGAGTTCAAGACAAGCCTAGCCAACATGGTGAAACCCCATCTCTACAAAAAATGCAAAAAAAATTAGCTGGGCATGGTGGCGGGCACCTGTAGTCCCCACTCCTTGGGAGGCAGAGGCACAAGAATCACTTGAACCCAGAAGGTGGAGGTTGCCATGAGCCAAGATTGTGCTACAATTGTGTGGCGGCTCATACCTGTCATCCCAGCACTTTGGGAGGTCAAGGTGGGCAGATTGCTTGAGCTCAGGAGCTCAAGACCAGCCTGGGCAACACAGCGAGACCCCTGACTGTACAAAAGATACAAAATTAGCCAGGTGTGGTGGTGCACACCTGTAGTCCCAGCTACTCAGGAGGCTGAGCTATGAGGAGCACGTGAGCCTAGGAGTTGGAGGCTGCAGTGAGCCTTGGCCTCACCACTGCACTCCAGCCTGGGTGACAGAACGAGACACCTTCTCAAAAAATAAAAATAAAAACGTGGACTGATAGGTGAGAGAGGTTTGATGGTTTGGGAACAGCGGTGCTGCCACGGCTGGGTGAGGGGCCATGCGATCTGCTTGGAATGCCATGTGAGGGGAAGGGGAGGTCAGGGCAGTGCCTGGTGTGGTTCCCAGCAGGGAGCACAGGAGGTTTATTCTCTGGGAAAATTGAGTCGTGGACAGCAGACACCACTGGGGATGGTGGGGGACAGGGTGGCAGGGGACAGGGTGGCCTGAGCAAGCCCCTCCTTGCCTGGGAACTCAGGGCCTCCTGATATGCAGATGGGAGCCCGTGGCAGGATGATGGCAGGATAACCGTCAGCCCAAAAGAAGCGGCCACGAGACGCCGCCGAGAGCCCCAACTTAGAAGCCAGAGTCACCAGCTTCCTGGCTAGGGTCTGTCCTTGAGGGTCACCAGAATGTGAGGAAAGACCCAGACAGGCAGGAAAAGAGCTCAGGGAAGGACATCTTACCATTGGCGTCATCAGAGATACCGCATCCACGAATGAAGAGCCAGACGCTGCCAGAGGGGAACGCTCAGAGCACCGGAAGGAGCTTTTAGAAATTATAAATAAGCAGCACATTTTAAAAAAGCCATAGAAGGGCTAGAAAAGAAAGTTGAGGACATCTCCCAGAAAATAGAACAAAAAGAGATTAAAAAACAACTGGGCAGTCCCTGCAGAGGTCACCCTGGCTGGCGCGGCTCAGGATGGAGGGCGGGAGCTGTGTGCCTGGAGGGGGGAGCTGAGGCACGTCAGGATGTGTCTCCAGACTGCAAGGGCCACAGAGTACGAAAAAGACCACCCAGAGCAATGTGGTCAAAGACCATGCCTTAAAAGGTTTTAGGAAACAGAATGGGTCCCACGGGAGGGTGGGGATGTGAACGGCACCAGCCTGGTGGCTCGGGTGCCAGGCCAGGGCCAGATGTAGCCTCATACCAGCCCAGCTGGGAGTCCGCTTGCTGAGACTTGGTCTCCTGTAGCTGGTGGGGAAGCGGCACCCTGTGCGGTAGACAGAACCAGCAGCCGAGGCGCCGGTGGCTTTGCTCTGGTGGCAGGACAGGTGTTCTGACCTCCCTGCCTCTGTCCCCTGAGGTCAGAGCGCCTGTCCTGTGGAGCGGCTCTGACCAGGACAGTGCCGTGTGTCTCATGGGGTTGTGTTCAGGTCGGCTGAGAGGCAGCGCCTGGCTGGGGCTAGATGAACAAGAGGGTTATTGGGAACAGTAAACCTGAGGTGGTGAGCAAGGCCTGTGGCACCCAGCAGATGAGGAGGAGAGCAGGGGGAAGGGTGGCAGGAGTTGCTGGTGCTGCGTGAGGCCTCAGTGGGCCTGCACGGAGCAGCTGACCTTCACTGGCGCCCTTGCCTTTTCACTGAGCCGGGTATTAGCTTAGCTTATTTTTGAAAAGACATTTCAACAGGAGGTAAAAATGAACAGCACACCAAGAGAATATGTCACAGCTGATGCCTAGGGACCCCCTTATGGGGTAGTGTTGAGCTCTGCAGCCGGAGCCCACTGCCCCTGCCCCTGCGCCGTCCCCCAGCGCGGGCTCCAGGCCTCTCCTGGGTCACTGCTCTGTGCCTCCAGGAGCTCCTCCCTCTACCCCGCCCTGCCCCACCCCGTCACCTGCTTGCCCTGACCCTGCCTGGATAATTGAGACCTTCCAGGCCAAGGGCCCCCTCCCCAGGATCCTGACACCTGTCCCTCTGAGAGTCCAGACCTTTTCCAGAGTGACATCCTGGGGCCCTGTGTGGTCAGAGGGCTCCATGTGGTCAGTGGCTGTGGCTTGCTGGGAACAAGACACTCGGCTGACTGTGCTTAGAGAACAGGCCGCTGTTTGTGTCTAAATGGTATCCATGGGGACGTTGTTTCATAGTCTTCTTACACTTTTCCTCTTCACTGTTGCTGAGAATCCTGTTCTGACGCGCACCGTGGGCAACCGGGTGCGGAGCCTGCAGGATGGGTGGGACGCAGACGTCCAGCGGGAGGAGCATCCCAGAGCAGCCTCTGATTCAAGAGCAAGGTGCTCTAGAGGCCCCGGCTCTGTGGGTGGGTGACGTGGTCCCCAGGCTTTTCCCGGCATCCCCGTTCCTTTTGCAGCAGCCATGGCTCCTGGTGGCCCTGGGCCATGGCGCCATCTAGGGGTGGCCTAGGGGAGTCCCCGGGCCATCAGCATCTGTCTTGTGGGTGTTGCTGGCGCCTGCCTGCTTGGCCACATTGGCACGTCGAGGTGACCGTCAAGGAGAAGCAGCTATGGCCTTTGTGGCAATCGTGGTGTCCAACTTTGGCCTCTCAGGTCAGCCTCATGGGGGCTTCAACAGCCAGGACCAAAATGACCAAGGCCCCTCCGTCCCTGTGTCCCTGCTTGACAGAACCACCGGAGGAGGGAGGTGCGGGAAGGGTGTTGACGGCCTGAGCGCGGTGCCTCCCTGAAGAGTGTTGTTTCACTTGTGAGTGTGCACGGGACAGCCGCCCTGGCCTGTAGAATCAAGAGCAGGGACAGCCGCCCTGGCCTGTAGAATCAAGAGCAGAGACAGCCGCCCTGGCCTGTAGAATCAAGAGCAGGGACAGCCGCCCTGGCCTGTAGAATCAAGAGCAGGGACAGCCGCCCTGGCCTGTAGATTCAAGAGCAGGGACAGCCGCCCTGGCCTGTAGAATCAAGAGCAAGGGACAGCCGCCTTCGCCTGTAGAATCAAGAGCAGGGACAGCCGCCCTGGCCTGTAGAATCAAGAGCACGGGACAGCCGCCCTGGCCTGTAGAATCAAGAGCACGGGACAGCCGCCCTGGCCTGTAGAATCAAGAGCAGGGACAGCCGCCCTGGCCTGTAGAATCAAGAGCAAGGGACAGCCGCCCTGGCCTGTAGAATCAAGAGCAAGGGACAGCCGCCTTTGCCTGTAGAATCAAGAGCAGGGACAGCCGCCCTGGCCTGTAGCATCAAGAGCAAGGGACAGCCGCCCTGGCCTGTAGAATCAAGAGCAGGGACAGCCGCCCTGGCCTGTAGAATCAAGAGCAGGGACAGCCGCCCTGGCCTGTAGAATCAAGAGCAGGGACAGCCGCCCTGGCCTGTAGAATCAAGAGCAGGGACAGCCGCCCTGGCCTGTAGAATCAAGAGCAGGGACAGCCGCCCTGGCCTGTAGAATCAAGAGCAGGGACAGCCGCCCTGGCCTGTAGAATCAAGAGCAGGGACAGCCGCCCTGGCCTGTAGAATCAAGAGCAGGGACAGCCGCCCTGGCCTGTAGATTCAAGAGCAGGGACAGCCGCCCTGGCCTGTAGAATCAAGAGCAAGGGACAGCCGCCTTCGCCTGTAGAATCAAGAGCAGGGACAGCCGCCCTGGCCTGTAGAATCAAGAGCACGGGACAGCCGCCCTGGCCTGTAGAATCAAGAGCACGGGACAGCCGCCCTGGCCTGTAGAATCAAGAGCACGGGACAGCCGCCCTGGCCTGTAGAATCAAGAGCAGGGACAGCCGCCCTGGCCTGTAGAATCAAGAGCAAGGGACAGCCGCCTTTGCCTGTAGAATCAAGAGCAGGGACAGCTGCCCTGGCCTGTAGCATCAAGAGCAAGGGACAGCCGCCCTGGCCTGTAGAATCAAGAGCAGGGACAGCCGCCCTGGCCTGTAGAATCAAGAGCAGGGACAGCCGCCCTGGCCTGTAGAATCAAGAGCAGGGACAGCCGCCCTGGCCTGTAGAATCAAGAGCAAGGGACAGCCGCCTTCGCCTGTAGAATCAAGAGCAGGGACAGCCGCCCTGGCCTGTAGAATCAAGAGCACGGGACAGCCGCCCTGGCCTGTAGAATCAAGAGCACGGGACAGCCGCCCTGGCCTGTAGAATCAAGAGCAGGGACAGCCGCCCTGGCCTGTAGAATCAAGAGCAAGGGACAGCCGCCTTTGCCTGTAGAATCAAGAGCAGGGACAGCCGCCCTGGCCTGTAGCATCAAGAGCAAGGGACAGCCGCCCTGGCCTGTAGAATCAAGAGCAAGGGACAGCCGCCCTGGCCTGTAGAATCAAGAGCAGGGACAGCCGCCCTGGCCTGTAGAATCAAGAGCAGGGACAGCCGCCCTCACCTGTAGAATCAGCAGGGACAGCCGCCCTGGCCTGTAGCATCAAGAGCAGGGACAGCCGCCCTGGCCTGTAGCATCAAGAGCAGGGACAGCTGCCCTTGCTTGTAGAATCAAGAGCAGGGACAGCCGCCCTCGCCTGTAGAATCAAGAGCAGGGGACAGCTGCCCTCGTCTTTAGATTGAAGAGCAGGGACTGCCGCCCTCGCCTGTAGAATCAAGAGCAGGACTGCCGCCCTGGCCGGTAGAATCAAGAGCACAGTGCAGCAGCACGCAGCACACTCAGCGGATGGAGGGCCTGGCTTCTGCACGCCGGCTGGCACTTGCTGCCAGTTGCCCTTTTCTGCGAGGCTGGATCGTGGTGCGGTGGTGGCTTGGATGGGTTTCTCTGCTGAACGATGATGTGGAATGCCTTTTCACTGCTTCTTGGTCGTCGGTTTTTCTTCTTTGGGGAAATGTCTATTCAAGTCCTTTGCCCTTTTTTTAAAGTATAATTTCCGTATTTTTTTCCCCAGAGGATAGTTTGTCTTTAGTCCTTAAGGACTCAGCTCCTTATGTGGGTCTTAGTGGGAGTCGTGGGCAACACCCAGGTCTAGACCCAGGTGGAATGCATGGTCTTGGGGCCTTGGTGGGGGTCGTGGGCAGCACCCAGGTCTAGACTTGGGTGACGTGCATAGCCCTGGACTTGAGGAGCAGGATTCCTGACTGGCTTGCTGTGAAGGGCACCACTGGGGCAGTGACGCAGCTTCACACGCAGCTCGGGAAGCACACAGTCGGCGCAGATGCTTCCAAAATGTCTGCAAGGCTGCGGCCTCTACTGCATCCAGATGGTGAACTGCCTAACTCTACCGCGTCCCGATGGTGAACTGCTAACTCTGCCGTATCCCGATGGTGAACTGCCGAACTCTACCGCATCCCGATGGTGAACTGCCAAACTCTACCGCATCCCGATGGTGAACTGCTAACTACCGCATCCCGATGGTGAACTGCCGAACTCTACCGCATCCCTATGGTGAACTGCTAACTCTGCCGCATCCCGATGGTGAACTGCCTAACTCTACCTCGTCCCGATGGTGAACTGCCTAACTCTACCACATCCCGATGGTGAACTGCTAACTCTGCCACATCCCGATGGTGAACTGCTAACTCTGCCGCATCCCGATGGTGAACTGCCAAACTTTACCTCGTCCCGATGGTGAACTGCCTAAACCTCGTCCCGATGGTGAACTGCCTAACTCTACCGCATCCCGATGGTGAACTGCCTAACTCTACCACATCCCGATGGTGAACTGCTAACTCTGCCGCATCCCGATGGTGAACTGCCAAACTTTACCTCGTCCCGATGGTGAACTGCCTAAACCTCGTCCCGATGGTGAACTGCCTAACTCTACCGCATCCCGATGGTGAACTGCCTAACTCTACCACATCCCGATGGTGAACTGCTAACTCTGCCGTATCCCGATGGTGAACTGCCAAACTTTACCTCGTCCCGATGGTGAACTGCCTAACTCTACCTCGTCCCAATGGTGAACTGCCTAACTCTACCACATCCTGATGGTGAACTGCTAACTCTGCCGCATCCCGACGGTGAACTGCCAAACTCTACCTCGTCCCGACGGTGAACTGCCAAACTCTACCTCGTCCCAGTGGTGAACTGCTAACTCAGCCGCATCCCGATGGTGAACTGCCAAACTTTACCTCGTCCCGATAGTGAACTGCCTAACTCTACCGCATCCTGATGAACTGCTTAATGGCGTTGTCCCTGGGTACACATTGGGTGCAGCTCCTGCAGTCATGGGCTGCTCACAGCCGTGGCCCTTTTGGCACAACCATTGTTCCTTCTTGTCTTGGAAACGAGGACCCGAGGGAGACCATCCGTCCATCCTAAAATTGGGACGTTTGGTTTTCTGTTGTTGAGTTGGAGTTATTTGTAGAGTCTAGAGATCAGTCTCTAGGAGACGTGTGATCTGCAGACATTTCCCTCCATCTCTGGGTTGCATTTTTCTGTCCATTGATGGTGTCCTTCGATGCATGAGAACAGCCTTTGATGTACATGTAGGGGTTGGTCAGGCAGAAGGACGGTGTGGGTGGAAGCGCTGATGCCTGAAGAAGGGCACCGTAGGCAGAGAGACCGCATGGCTGGCTTGCAGGGCTGGGCCCGCACGGAGAGACAGATGTGCACAGACACACACACAAGCCCACTGGGCAGGTGCACTCCGTGGGAGGGCGTCGCTTATGTTTAAAAAGTGCCCGTTTCCAAGCCCCTTGGAGAAAGTGTCATAAAAAGACAAAACGTGAATGGTGTTTCTAAGGTGGGGGAAGGGGCTGAGCCCTAAAGGTAGAAGCTTCTGGAAAGTTTCCAGAGGGCCCAGAGCCTGTTTAAGATGTCGTGCCTGCGTTAAGTGTCCAGAACTGTCTGCTCCTTTCAGTTTCTCTTGGACTGACCTTTTCCTATAAAACTGTAAGGAAATAAAAAGTAATGATGTGATGTGGGCCGGGCACGGTGGCTCACACCTGTAATCCCAGCACTTTGGGAGGCCAAGGCGGGCGAATCACCTGAGGTCAGGAATTTGTGACCAGCTTAGCCAACGTGGCAAAACCCCGTCTCTACTAAAATTATAAAAATTAGCCGGCTGTGGTGGTGGGCACCTGTAATCCCAGCTACTTGGGAGGCTGAGGCAGGAGAATCGCTTGAACCCGGGAGGTGGAGGTTGTAGTGACCCGAGATTGTGGCACTGCACTGCAGCCTGGGCGACAGAGTGAGACTCCATCTCAAAAAAGAAAAAAAGGCCGGGTGCAGTGGCTCACGCCTGTAATCCTAGCACTTTGGGAGGCTGAGGCGGGTGGATCATGAGGTCAGGAGATCGAGACCATCCTGGCTAACACGGTGAAACCCCACCTCTACTAAAAATACAAAAAATTATCCGGGCATGGTGGCGGGCGCCTGTAGTTCAGCTACTCAGCAGGCTGAGGCTAGATAATGGCGTGAACCCGGGAGACGGAGCTTGCAGTGAGCAGAGATCGCACCACTGCACTCCAGCCTGGGTGACTGAGCAAGACTCTGTCTCAAAAAAAAAAAAAAATACCAATGTGGCAGGCAGGCTGGTGGCTGTCTGAGGTCAGTCCAGAGTCCGGAGAAGCAGCATTTTATTTATTTATTTATTTATTTATTTATTTATTGAGTACTGTCACCCAGGCAGGAGTGCAGTGACATGATCTCGGCTCACTGCAACCTCCACCTCCCAGCTTCAAGTGATTCTCCTGCCTCAGCCTCCCGAGTAGCTGGGATTAAAGGTGCCCACCACCACACCTGGCTAATTTTTTGTATTTTTAGTAGAGACGGGGTTTCACTGTGTTGGTCAGGCTGCTCTCAAACTCCCGACCTCATGATCCGCCCGCCTCGGCCTCCCAAAGTGCTGGGATTACAGGCGTGAGCCACCGCGCCCGGCCAGAAGCAGCATTTTTAAACTTGTTTGGCCCTCCCTAACACCAACCTTGGCAGTTCCTGGGCTGCAGTAAGCCGAGACTTGGAAATACATTCGCCTTGGAGAATTCAACTTCAAAATGCATACGAAGTAGGTCAGGGTGGAAATAAAGGCACTGCCCTTTCTCCAGGCACGCTGGAGTCCACGCCCTGCCTTTGCCCAATGCCCTCTGAGGGAGAGGCCCTGTGCCTTGCACCCAGCGCGGGCCACAGGCGGAGGCCCCATTCCAGGCAAGCCGTGCCCATGGAGAGGCTGGCCTGCTAGGCTGTGGGGCCCGATGGCCTGACACTGTATGGACCACGCTCCTGCCCTGCCCTGCCCCGCCCTGCCCGTGGCCCGTGTGCAGAAGTGGGCAGGCCTGGGTTGCTGGGCCAGAGCCCCGAGATTTCCCCCTGCCCCACTGGCTGAGTGTGGGGGAGCTGCTTCTCCACTTCCGCGTGGGTCTTGGCCCTGGGAGGCCAGTGGCCGAGGCTGGTCTCGCGGGCGCTCGCTCCAGGAGTGGCGCGTCCCCTCAGCGCCCTGTGCTTCCTCGCAGGGATCGACTACAAGACCACCACCATCCTGCTGGACGGCCGGCGCGTGAAGCTGGAGCTCTGGTGAGTTGGGGCTGCGGCACTTCAGTTCCTGGGTGAGGACACAAATGCCGAAGGGAGAACAGAACCCTTAGAGAAACAGGAAGGCGTCCTGTTTGCATTTCACTTGGAAGAGCCACTTACACAGCCCCTGTTTAAACATAGAATGGATTTTACTCCAACAGGAAAAAGACAGTCTGGGACACTGTGTCCCTAGAGATCGCGGCTCCCCTCCTGCCCCGGAAAACCTGATTCCGTGGTGGCTGTGAGCCCCTTCCCTCCCCTTCTGTCGGCTTCACCTTAAAAAGCATTTCCCAGCGGGGTGTGGTGGCTCACGCCTGTCATCCCAGCACTTTGGGAGGCCGAGGCAGGAGGATCACCTGAGGTCAGGAGTCCAAGACAAGCCTGGCCAACATGGTGAAACGCCATCTCTACTAAAAATACAAAAATTAGCCAGGTGTGGTGGCGGGCGCCTGTAGTCCCAGCCACTCAGGAGGCTGAGGCAGTAGAATCACTTGAACCCGGGAGGCAGAAGTTGCAGTGAGCTGAGATTGCACCACTGCACTCCAGCCTGGGTGACAGAATGAGACTCCGTCTCAAAAAAGAAAAAAAAAAAAGCATTTCCCAGAACGTCAGCGTTGATGAGACGTGAATGTCCACAGGGTTGGGGTTCCCCAGCCTGGCAGGACAGTCTCCTGGAGCTCCCAGGCTCATGTGAGGAGCTTGCTCACTCCCCAGGTGGGCGGGGGCCCCTTCTGCTGCCTGCCTGGCTCAGCGGCACGGCGCCAGGCTGCTGTGACCTGTGCAGACAAAGCCGCTTAGCACAGCCTCATTGGCACCTGTCCTGGCCGCCCCGCTCCCCTCAGGACATCCAGGTGGGTCGGCAGAGGAGGGAAGGAGGTGAGCCTCTCACAGGGACCACAGTCCCGGCCCCTCCCCTCCCCGTATGTTTCAGGGACACGTCGGGCCAGGGCCGGTTCTGCACCATCTTCAGGTCCTACTCCAGGGGCGCTCAGGTAAGACCAGCACCGCTCTTTCCATTGCTTTTCAAAGGATGTTTCTCCTGATTCTTTCTGAATGTGAGTTGTTGTCCTGTCAAACTCCCAAGGACTTTCTTTCTTTATAAGGATATTCTCACATTGGTTTGTTTATTTGTTTGTTTTGAGACAGAGACTCACTCTGTCACCCAGGCTGGAGTACAGTGGCACAGTCTCGGCTCACTGCAGCCTCCCCCTCCCGGGTTCAAGCGATTCTCCTGCCTCAGCCTCCCCAGTAGCTGGGAGTACAGGCGCAGTGGGTGTACTTGGAGCTGTGTGTGTGCACAGGTGTAGTGGGTGCACTCAGGGCCATGTGTGTGTGCAGCCATGTGCACAGGTCTGGCGGGGGCACTGGGGCCATGTGTGCAGTGTGTGCGCAGGTGTGGTGTACTTGGAGCTGTGTGTGTGCACAGGTGTAGTGGGTGCACTCAGGGCCATGTGTGTGCAGGCATGTGCACAGGTCTGGCGGACGCACTGGGGCCATGTGTGCAGTGTGTGCAGGTGTGGTGTACTTGGAGCTGTGTGTGTGCACAGGTGTAGTGGGTGCACTCGGCCATGTGTATGTGCAGGCATGTGCACAGGTCTGGCGGGGGCACTGGGGCCATGTGTGCAGTGTGTGCTCAGGTGTGTACTTGGAGCTGTGTGTGTGCACAGGTGTAGTGGGTGCACTCAGGGCCATGTGTGTGCAGGCATTTGCACAGGTCTGGCGGACGCACTGGGGCCATGTGTGCAGTGTGTGCAGGTGTGGTGTACTTGGAGCTGTGTGTGTGCACAGGTGTAGTGGGTGCACTCGGCCATGTGTGTGTGCAGGCATGTGCACAGGTCTGGCGGGGGCACTGGGGCCATGTGTGCAGTGTGTGCTCAGGTGTGGTGTACTTGGAGCTGTGTGTGTGCACAGGTGTAGTGGGTGCACTCAGGGCCATGTGTGTGTGCAGGCATGTGCACAGGTCTGGCGGGGGCACTGGGGCCATGTGTGCAGTGTGTGTGCAGGTGTGGTGTACTTGGAGCTGTGTGTGTGCACAGGTGTAGTGGGTGCACTCAGGGCCATGTGTGTGTGCAGCCATGTGCACAGGTCTGGCGGGGGCACTGGGGCCATGTGTGCAGTGTGTGTGCAGGTATGGTGGGTGCGCTTGGCCACCCTCGTTTCTGTCTCCTCTGGGCCCCCAAGCACGCTTTTGTGCTGACTGGATCTGCTGGCGAATGTGAGGCCGGAAGGAGGGCAAGGACGTGAAGCCCATGTAAACAGACCTGTCATGGCCACTGTTGTTGCTGCTTCAGTGGGAGGGATTTGAGCGGGTCTGTCCTGTCTGTGATGCCCCTAAGAGTTCTGGAAGAGCCAGGAGAGCCCCTCCGGGGCCAGTTCGTGAGCCTGGAGCCCCCCATGTGGGCCCAGGGAGGCCGCCTGGGTCTGGGTCTGGATCCTTCTTGGGGGAAGGTTCAGGTCTGTGCCATGCAGCTTCTGGCTCAGGTGGGTCCGCTCTGGGCAGGAAGCTGCCCAGGTGCGAGGGGGATGGACACTGGAGCTTCGTCCCATGGCAAGCTCATTTCCTTCCATTTCTACACTGAAGTGTAGTCGGTGTTGGATCTGATGTCTTCTACCTGCTGGCGGTGGGTGGGAAGGACGCCAGGGCGGGCTGGGTCGCACCCTGTCCTGGGAGTTCCCTCGGAGATGTTGGCAGCTCCCTCATGGGAGCAGAAGGGCCTGCAGGCTCCGTGCCATCCCTGTGAGAACTGGAGCAACATGGCCGTGATTCGTGGAGCAGGCAGGTGGAAGACGGGCAGGCTCAAGGATGCATTCCATGGGCCCTGCCTGCTATTGAAAGAGGAGTTGGGGCTGGTGCGGTGGTTCACGCCTGTAATCCCAGCACTTTGGGAGGCCAAGGCAGACAGATCACGAGGTCAAGAGTTGGAGACCAACCTGACCAACATGGTGAAACCCCATCTCTACGAAAAATACAAAAATTAGCCGAGCATGGTGGCGGGCGCTTATAATCCCAGCTACTTAGGAGGCTGAGGCAGGAGAATCGCTTGAACCCAGGAGGTGGAGGTTGCAGTGAGCCGAGATTGTGCCATTGCACGCCAACCTGGGCGACGAGTGAAACTCCATCTCAAAAAAAAAGGAGGAGCTGTGTGGGTGATTTACATCTACAAAAATGCCTTCTTGTCTTCCTTTTGCTTTTAAGTATTTCGTGATTTTTCTGCAATAAACATATACTATTTTGGTATTAAAAAATATGGGGCGCAGTTATGTTGGATGACAATAAAGGGTTGTTGGGGAGATACTGGAAAAGGCAGCAGGGAGGCTGAACCTGACAGGCTCCACTGCGGGCATCCCAGCCCCCCCCGACGGGCTCCACCGCGGGCATCCCAGCCCCCCCCCGACGGGCTCCACCGCGGGCATCCCAGCCCCCCCCGATGGGCTCCACCGCGGGCATCCCAGCCCCCCGCCGACGGGCTCCACCGCGGGCATCCCAGCCCCCCGCCGACGGGCTCCACCGCGGGCATCCCAGCCCCCCGCCGACGGGCTCCACCGCGGGCATCCCAGCCACCCCCCCCGACGGGCTCCACCGCAGGCATCCCAGCTCCCACACAGGGAGGTCTGTGGGACACGAGGCCAGTACAGTCGTGATTTCTGTTCAGCTGCATGAGAACTAAAAAAGAAAAAAGCAGTTCATAAGCTCTGCATTTGCCAGGCTGAGGTCCTGGAAAGCAAGCTCTGTTATCATCTCCGTGTTCTTTCCAAAGCATCTGGCACAACTGGTTATGTCTTTGTTTTGTCTTGTTAACTCTGGAAATTCTGAGCTGTCATTTTCCACATGCGAGGAGCAGGTTACAGACCCAGGTGCACATGTTGGTCCTGGGTTGAGGGTGCCAGGTGCTTCCTTGCCCCGGGAGAAGCACCTGAGTCTCCAGGCGGGCCTCTGACCGCCGTGACTGAGCATTTGGGCCACCCCGGGAGCCCAGCCCTGTCCTGTGTCTCTCCTGCCTGGTGAGCAGCGGTGAGGTGCGGGTGCATCCAGCCGAGGTGCAGAGCCCAGGTTTGCAGCAGGGTTTCTCCCGCCGCCCCTGATGAGACACAGACTAGCAAGGACTGTCTGTCCCAGCCGGGATTTGTCACTCTGCCTCCCTCCGTTAGAGAGTGGAGAGGCCTGGAAGGTCCCCGCGGCCTGGGTCTTGCAGATGGCACCAGCAAAGGCCACCGGCCACTCCCCGCTGCCGTCACCTGTCACACAGCAGCAGTCCCGCGGCTCTTCCCGCGAGGCCCTTCACGTGCCGCCGAAGGCCGGGCTCCCTAGACTTCATGGTCGTGTTTGCATATTCTGTTGCTGTGATCTGAGACGGCCCCTCTCAGAAGCGGGTGCCACAACCCGCTGGTGGGATGAGTGGGTCACCCAGGTGCAGGTCCCTTGGTGTGTGGAGGGTGGGGTAGGCTCCTTGTAACTGCAGTGTGGCTGACGGGATGTGCCATCCTGTTTAGCTGAGAATTTGGGGTCAGCGGGCTTAGTGCCAGGAAGGCTGTGGCCAAGTGCCATGTCTGCTTCAGGACAAAGGTGTGGATTTGTTTCCCTGAGAGGGGGTTTATGTGGAGCGTGGTACGGGAGGCACACGTGCTGCTGGCTTGTCGGCACACAGGTGGGCGGGTGGATGTGAGTGGGCGCGGCTTGGCAGTAGCTCCCATTTTACATGTCAGTTGCTCCTGGGCAGAGCCTGGGTGCAGGGATGCAGGAGGAGGGCTTCACTCTCGCTGGCTGTACCTTGGGAGCTTCAGCCACATGGGTGGAAGGGGCATGTGTTTGTCAAAATTCATCAAAATGTTCAAACCTCGGATCTTTGTATTTTGTGCTTTGTAAGTTACAGCTCAGTAAAAAATGATAGCAAAAAGGACACCCACTCTTAGGCCCAGCAGTTCTACTTCTGGGAATTTATCGTGTAGGTCGAGTTGATCAAAAAAAGGTGTAAACGTGCTCAGATGCATATTGCCACCGTTACCCAAGAGCTGGCGCAGTACCAGTTCACGAGCAGGCGGGGGTGCTGGGCCTGAGCTCAGGGCGTGCGGGTGGGAGCAGCGCCAAGTGCCTCCACCCCCTTGACCCCGCCCGCGAGGCATGAGCGGCACCGTGGACACGTCTGTAGACGCTGAGGAAACTGACTGTCAGGGCGGCTCCTAGAGGGGCCTAGAGCAGGGCGAGCGCGCGTCCTGACTCATCCCCTAGAGCACTCGCTCGTTCTTTTGTTTTGTTTTTTGAGACACGGTCTGGCTCTGTCGCCAGGCTGGAGTGCCGTGGCGCGATCTCGGCTCACTGCAACCTCCGCCTCCCGGGTTCACGCCATTCTCCTGCCTCAGGCTCCCGAGTAGCTAGAACTAGGTGTGCACCACCGCGTCCAGCTAATTTTTGTATTTTTAGTAGAGACGGGGTTTCACCATGTTGGCCAGGATGGTCTCCATCTCTTGACCTCGTGATCCGCCTGCCTCGGCCTCCCAAAGTGCTGGGATCGCAGGCGTGAGCCACGGCGCCTGGCCGAAGTCGCTAGTTTTTTAAAAATCAGATCAGTTTTAGAAAACAGAAGGCAGTGGAAGAGTCTGTTTGTCCCGTGCTCTGCCCCTTGAGACACGCAGCTGAGGGTGCTTAGGGTGCCGTTCGTTAGGCGGCTGCTGGTCACCGAGAGTCTCCTTTTGGTTTCTCACTCCGTGGTCATTTGGGTCCCTGCGGCCTCACTGTGACCCACGCCGGAGCAAGCCTCCGGGTCCTCCTGTGCCATCGCCCCTGCCCGTAACCCCTACTCCTCAGACATGGCCATCCCAGGAAGTGGGGGCCCGCTCAGGGCAGCAGCCGGGAGGTGTGGCCAGGGCCCCCCGCGTCACAGCACACTTGGAGCCTGAGGCAGCCCATCAGCCGGGAGGCGGGCCTTCTGCTCTCTTTCTAGAGTTTTCAGTGTCATGCGAATAGGGGTGTTTGCCACAGAAAACAGGTCAGCATCAAAAGTTACCCCTCTCCAGCCTTTTAGCATTTGTTTTATGTCCATATAAACTTCTTCAGTGTAATGTGTTGTGTGTTCATACTTTTATTTTTTAAAAATCATGCTGGGCCGGGCGCGGTGGCTCACGCCTGTCATCCCAGCACTTTGGGAGGCCGAGGTGGGCAGATCGGGAGGTCAGGAGATCAAGACCATCCTGGCTAACACGGTGAAACCCTGTCTCTACTAAAAAAAAATACAAAAAAATTAGCCGGGCATGGTGGCGGGCGCCTGTAGTCCCAGCTACTCAGGAGACTGAGGCAGGAGAATGGCGTGAACCCGGAAGCGGAGATCGTGCGGCTGCACTCCAGCCTGGGCGACAGAGTGAGACTCCGTCTCAAAAAAAAAAAAAAAAGAAATCATGCTGGGCTGGGCACAGTGGCTCACACCTCTGATCCCAGCACTTTAGGAAGTTGAGGCAGGAGGATCACTTGAGGCCAGGGGTTCAAGACCAGCCTGGGCAACATAGCAAGATCCCATCTCTAAAAAATGTTTAAAAAAACTTAGCCAGATGTGGTGGTTCACACCTGTATTCCCAGCCACTCAGGAAGCTGAGGCTCAGAATATCAGGCTGCAGTGAGCCATGATCGTGCCACTGCATGAACCCCAGCCTGGCTGACAGAGTGAGACCCTGTTTCAAAAAAAAAGAAAATGCCATCCGCAGTGCTGGGACCTGCGTTCTTACCTCACCTGGGTTGCACATCTCTCCTTGGCCAGCATGCACGCTTTTACATGCACTGCTGCTGTCTTCAGCATCTGCACGGTACATTTCACTGCCGCTTACTCAGCTGTCCCCTGAGGCTGGACATTTAATTTGTGTCTGGCTTGTCGTTGTTATCAGCGCCACTGTGACACACATCCTCAGTTACTTCTGAGTTGTGGGCTTGCCATGCGGGAGGTTGCCATGCGGGAGGTTGCCACTAGGGAGAGTGGGCTGTGTTGTACGCTTTGGTGGCCCACTCCCCAGTCTCTCCACCTCCCCCAGCAGCAAATGAGCCAGCCCCAGTCCCTGTGCCCCAACCTCCAGGGTTAACCCCTGGGTGTGCATTTGTTTATTCTGAATCTTATCATTTATCGCCCACCAGACTGACTTGGCCATCTCTGGCCTCGAAGGGTCTCCCTCAGCGAGAGGTGTCCTTCCTGAGCTGTCGCTCCATCCTGAGCAAGGCCTTCGCCCTGGGAGCTTAGTAATGTCAACCTTGTTCTAAACAGGACCTGGGGCTACACTTCAGTCTTCCAGATATCGAAAGATGGTTCTAAGAGGCTCTAAAAACCCTAATTTTCAGATGGACAGTGCCCTCTTCTTTCAGCCTCAGCCTCTTGTGTGATAGGCTCTTCCATTACGTGAAGGTTTTGTCAGCCTAGGAGTAGGGTGGATCACAGCTCATTGGCTGGATCTGGTTGCAGAATTGTAGGGTGGGAGTGGACGTTGGGGAGAGGCGGGCATAGGGGAATGGGCCTGTGATGTCACCGTTTCGCCCGACAGGGCTCTGAGTGTGAGCAGTGTGCTCCCCTGTGCTGCTGGAGAGCCATGACTGTCACTGCCGAGATATTTAGGGCAGGTGGAAACAGCCCAGAGCTGAGCTCCAAGTAATTGGTCTCTAAGGGATGTGGCAAAAAGTCCCCGTGGCAAAACCTGCTCTGCCTGGCTGGGGGAGCTTCACAGAAACTGTCCTGGAGGGACTGGCATTCTGCTCTGCAAGTTTTAGGTTGGAAAACTCAGAAATGCCCCCACTCAGCTCTGTCCCAGGTACTCCCGGGGGGATTCACTGATGGACTGGCCGAGAGGACACTTAGCTTCCACAGCTGCACGTCCCCCGGCTGCCAGAACCCCGCATCTGCCTGCCCAGGAAACTTCCACAGGCTGATGGCTCCAGGGGAGGGAGGGGAAGCGGCATTTCTGACACCATGGAAGGCGCCCACCCCCCTGCTGCAGTCCTGCCAGGTGAGGGCAGGGGTGAGGGGCAGGGCTGCACCAGCTCTGCCTGGAGGGCATGGCTCATCTGCCCATCCGCCAAGTAATAAGCATCCTTGGCCCTGCCCGGGAACTGAGGCCCCTGCACCTGAGCGTCCCTGGGCCTGGGCTGGCCATGCGTGTCAGTGACCCCTGATGACCCCCAAGTCTCTGTTGCAGGGGATCCTCTTGGTGTATGACATCACCAACCGCTGGTCCTTTGACGGCATCGACCGCTGGATCAAGGAGATCGATGAGGTAGGCCTGGGTCCGGGGAGCCCTCCCGGGGAAGGCAGGCTGGATGGAGGTACCTGGGCCCCGGGTAGGCTCTGGATTCCCGCCTGCCGCCCCTCCTGTGGCCCCGGCTCTGCACCCTGCACTGTCCCACGGCCTACGCCTGGGCATGCTGGTCACTGTGCACACGACAGTCGGGCGTGGAGCCCAGCAAGACCAGGAGCTACGGGGCCACCCGGAAGGGCTGCACTGTAGGGCCTGAGCCCTGGGGTCTGCCCACCTTGACCTCCGCCCACCTTGACCTCCCACGGCCCTCACCCCATCATAGTCCAGACAATGAGGGCGGGCCCTGCTGCGGCTGAGGGGTGGGTGGCACCCTGCGTTTGTGCGTCTGCTGAGTTCTGTGCCCCCAGCATGCACCCGGAGTCCCCCGGATCTTGGTTGGAAACCGGCTGCACCTGGCCTTCAAGCGGCAGGTCCCGACGGAGCAGGCCCGCGCGTACGCAGAGAAGAACTGCATGACCTTCTTTGAGGTCAGCCCCCTGTGCAACTTCAACGTCATCGAGTCCTTCACGGAGCTATCCCGCATCGTGCTCATGCGGCACGGCATGGAGAAGATCTGGAGGCCCAACCGAGGTGGGTGGGCGGGCGCCGGCCAGCCCTGAGGTCCCCGAACCTGGGCTGCCCTGATCACATGGAGGCTGAGGGGGGCCAGGGGCCAGTGAGGGAGGTTCAGGCAGGTCCCTTGGCAACGCGCAGTAGGGGCTCGGCCGGCGGCAGGTCAGTGACTTGGTAAGAGCAGCCTCGGGGGAGAGGCGGCAGCACTGGGGGGCACAGGAGCAGCTGATGACCCCCCCTCAGGGTGCCGCCGTGGCCGCTGCACTCTGCCATGCCTGTGGGTCCCTGGCATTGCTGGTGTGGGCAGTGTGTGCTCGCTCCTTCCTGGTTCCGGGGCTGGTCCTGCTGTCAGGGGAGCACAGGAGCCGTGCCTGCAGCTTTGTGTTGTGTCATCTGCTCTTCCTGGGTAGCCACATCCTTGATCAGAGGCTCCCGTGAAGCCCCCCTCAGGGAGGTGGTACTGTTGATTTTGTGGTGCCTCCCAGCAGGGTTCACTGCTGAACAGAGAGAGGGTGGCTGACGGTGTCACTGTCCTTCTTAAGAGGAAGCACGGGCCTGGCACGGTGGCTCACTCCTGTAATCCCAGCACTTTGGGAGGCCACAGCAGGTGGATCACCTGAGGTCAGGACTTCGAGACCAGCCTGGCCAACACGGTGAAACCCCGTCTCTACTAAAAATACAAAAATTAACCGGGCGTGGTGACGCACACCTGTAGTCCCAGCTATTCGGGAGGCTGAGGCAGGAGAATCGCTTGAACCCAGGAGGCGGAGGTTGCAGTGAGCGGAGATCGTGCCACGGCACTCCAGCCTGGCGACAGAGCGAGACCCGTCTCAAAAAACAAAACAAAAGAATGAGCGAGTGCTCTAGGGAATGAGTCAGGACGCGCGCTCCCCCGCTCTAGGGGATGAGTCAGGACGCTTGAAGGGCCAGATCACGCAGCCCTCACACTGGGAGCTGCATCATCCAGGCCAGGAACTGGGCAGAGTGCCCTCTGGAAGCCCCGCAGCAGCACCGCCCAGCGTGCCTGGCTTTAGGGAGCAAGGCAGGGGATGGGGTGCCAGTGGACACATCTGTGCTGGGCAGAGAAGTTTGGGCGTCCAGGTCCTCCAGGAGCCCAGCCTGGGAACACCTCTAGGAGTGTGGAGACCCCGCCAGGCTTCTCTTGGGCACCTCAGGTCTCCCTGCACAGGGCCTCCTCCCCCACAGCCCCATGGTCTGACACCCCCTCTGCCCCACAGTGTTCAGCCTGCAGGACCTCTGCTGCCGGGCCATCGTCTCCTGCACCCCCGTGCACCTCATCGACAAGCTTCCACTGCCCGTCACCATCAAGAGCCACCTCAAGTCCTTCTCGATGGCCAACGGCATGAACGCGGTCATGATGCACGGCCGTTCCTACTCCCTGGCCAGCGGGGCCGGGGGCGGCGGCAGCAAGGGCAACAGCCTCAAGAGGTCCAAGTCCATCCGTCCACCCCAGAGCCCCCCCCAGAACTGCTCGCGGAGTAACTGCAAGATCTCCTAGCGGGGATGGGCGGGGCCGCCTGTGCAGATGCCAGGAGGGCTCGAGCTGGACACTCCTGGCTGGACGCCAGGCCAGTGCCGCCTACGTGGAGACTGTCCACACAGCTGCCTCAGAAGCGCCGGGCTTTCCTCACACCTGAGCCGGGTGCGAGGAGGAGCATGCACGGACCAAGCGCGGCAGGCGGGAGGAGGGGGCGCGGCTGGGCTGCTGGTGCTTCCGGGAATCTTGGTCGGAAACAAGCCGGGCCTCCCCAGCTGCCTGGGCTTGACCGGCGGGGAGCCTGGTTGGCCTTTCTTATTTATATAGAGAACACTTCACTTTTTTGTACATTTTTAAGGGGCCTTCAGGGAAGCCTGGGTGTGGCCCGGTGGTGGTGCACTGGTGACTTCATGGCCACGCCAGCTGCGGGGACGCACTTGGGACTCCTCGAGAGGGGACTCGCGGCCGCGATGGCAAGGCATCCTGTGAATTCATGCGCTGCGAGTGGCGGGGCTGCCCAGAGGCCGGGGGAGCAGACAGGGCCGGTGCTCCCTCTGGAAGCTTGGGTGACCGGGGCCCTGGCTCCCACGGGATGGAGGGTGTGGTCCTGTGGTCAGAGCCCAAGCAGCACTCAGGAGAGGGGAGAAAGGAGGTGCACCTGGCAGCCCACATTTTTGTTGCTCCCCAAATCCCTCCCCACGTGGGGATGAGAACCTTCCTGCTGTGATGTGACACCTTCGGGGACATTGACCACTCAAAACTCAGATCATCTCGCCCACCCTGGAGAGTGCAGAGCTATCTGTAGACTTAGGAATACTTGATGGGCAGCGGTGCAGACCCCGGGCACCTGCGTGCAGCCTCCTGTTCTCGGCAGCTTCTGTCGCTGGCCCTGGGGTCCCCACAGCTGCAGCTCTCCTGTGAGGTTGCACGGCATCAGAACCATCCTGACCTTCTTAGGGACGTGCCTGGAACCACCTCGTCCACGTCCACGTCCACCTGGGGGCCTCGGGAGGCTAGGCCCCTCCTCAAAGGCCCACCAGCCCGGCGCTCATGCTGAGCCCCAGGCACGCAGGGCCGGCCACCTCTCTCCTGAAGCCATTGGCCGCTCCTCCACCCAGTGCTTCTGCCCATGCCTGCCCCAGCAGCCCCTCTGCACGGTCACCATCGCCTGGGCCTGCCCACAGCACTGGTGCTCACCTCTACCTCCTGTCCTCAGGCCGTGCGGCACGACATGGCCAGCACGCAGAAGGAGCCCTCCCGGGACCCAGGACCCCCCGTGGTGGACTCCGCGGCACATGCTTCCCAAGGTGGTCCCACGGAGGGTGTTACTGGGCACCAGTGGACTCGCCCCATGGCCCGTTCCTGGGAGATGAGGGCCGTGGCCTGCATGAACTACCAGATGAGTAAGGGAACCCCAGGCAGGCGGCCCTGCCACAGCCCCCAAAGACACTGGCCTCCTGCTCCAGCTTCCCTGTCCTGGCCCCACCTGTCCTGTTGCTGCCAGCAGGGCCCTTGTTTGGGATTATGAACAAACCTCACAGACTTTGAGGACCTGGATGGTCCTGCATTCACGGCATCAACACTACCCGCGCTGCTGTTAGACACTCCGCCATTCCTGGTTCTCTCCGAACCGTTCTTTGTACAGTAAATGTAATTCAGCTGTGGTCCCCACGTTTTGCTGTGTCTGGTGGGGTGGGTCTGGCAGTGGCGGTGCCCCGTGCCAGGGGCCAGTGCTGCTTCATACCCGGCAAACTGACCTCTGGCCTTTGTTTTGCCTGCTGTTCCCTGCGCTGACCGGGCTGACCTGCCGCGGTTGGCTGGGTTCGCCTCAAAGTGAGGGCTGGAGCTGGGCTGGAGCAGCTGGGCCTGGTCACGGCCATTCTCCTCTTCCCGGTGGATGGAATCCCAGCTGGGCTGTGCTGAGCCCTCGCTCACAGTCCCCGGCAGCAGATGGCCTGGGGCGGACTGTCCCCAACAGCAGCAGGACTCCAGAGGGCCAGGTCCTCCAGTCAGTCGGCCCGCTCAGCAGAGCCGCCTGCACGCTGGCCAATCTGGTGTCTGCTATGCCCGGCCCAGGGGGGTGTGGACGCCCCGGAGGTCACAGCTGAGCTGGAACGGGGCACTCCAGTTGGTACAGGGACCAGACCACAGCCTCTGGCTCAGGTGCCTCCCTGTGCTGTTTCGTGGGCATGTCCGGGCCTTAAGCCCCTCCCTGGCAGCTCCAGCCCAGCCGCCTGCTGCTGGGTCTGGCCTAGCTACCCCCACCCCCACGCTATCAGGGCCCACCCCCAGTCTCCTTGTAGAGCAGGGACTGGCGCCTGGAGCCGTCTCCGGGTCTCATTCTGACCAGACCAGGCTCCTGTTACCCTGCCTCCTGGGTCAGAGGTCAGACACAGGGTCAGGGGGACACTCCCATCCGGTCTCAAGAGAACCACTCCCTGAGGCCCCAGACATCTGGAGCCACAGAGGGTTTGGAAGGGTAGATTCCAGGCAGCCTTTTGTCCTGCTGCACCAGGCAGGCCAGCCCCCTGCCCTCCCCAACGAAGAGGAGCCAGCCTGGGGATGTGTGCCCCGCCGACGGGGGGCTGGGGCAGGGCAAGGCTCTGGTGCCCTGGGACACTTGCTCTTTTCAGCTGCAGACGCCCTTGCACTTGGCCTTCCCTCGGGCGGTGCCATCCCACGCGGAGCCACGTCCAGGGCTACACGGTGCGTGGGCCGAGGCTCCGGCATCAGCGTTTCGGGCTGTTCTTATGCTTGTGGTGGCCACAGGCCTCTTCCTGCTGCACCTGCCCCGCCTTGGGGACAGGCCTGAGCCCCAAGCCCGCTGCCTGGTTTCAGGGATGGGGTCTCTGGGAATGCAGTCCTGCCGGGTTGGGCCCCACTCCAACAGGGGCAGCAGAGCAGAGGAGGCCGGGCTGTGCTGGGCGTCCTGCAGACCCCTGTGCCCCTGAAACAGCCATGGAGGGGGGAAGGAACCTCGGAGCGGAGTGAAGCCCTCGGCCGCACGTGACCGTTGCCAGCCTGGACCTGGCCCGGGGGACCCAGGCTGTGGTCAGCCACGCTCTGCGGGGAGGGCCCGTGCCTGCCACCCCCATGGCATAGGAGCCTGGGGTCCAGAGGGCGCCAGGGACAAAAGCTGGGATCTGCTGGCCCTGCCCCCACCCTACTGAGGGTCGTCAAGGAGATTGATCTCAGCCCAGGGGTGGACGAAGGGGTTCAGGTTACAGGGTCCCCTCCCCTCCCCCTCTCCAGCCAGAGCCAGCCCTTCCCCGCCCCGGTGACCCTCATGGCCAGTGGCTCTGTGCTCATGGGCCTCTGGCCCCTCCCCAACCTCCTCCCCTCTGCCCTGTGCTGACCAGGGCCTGGGAGCCCCCGCACGGTTCAGACAGAGGGGCCAGGCTGAAGCTGGAGAGGAACCAGCGTCACACAGACGGCCTCTGAGAACTTGGAGACCCCGTTACCCACCCAGCAGGGGTGTCAGGACAAGCATCTGCTGCAGGCTTCAGCCTCAGGGGCAAAAGGGAGCCCCGGGGTCCTGGTGGGGGCACCGACCACAGGCCCGGAGGGTGGATGCCTGCAGGAAGCTGGGCTCTGTGGAGCCCGAGGAGGGGCTGGTGGCCACACCCCCCGGCCCCCTGGCTCGGCGGCCCTCATGCCCGCCCTACGTCCACTCCTGCCGCTCCTGCTCCTCCTCCGGCTGACCTCGGGGGCTGGCTTGCTGCCAGGGCTGGGGAGCCACCCGGGCGTGTGCCCCAACCAGCTCAGCCCCAACCTGTGGGTGGACGCCCAGAGCACCTGTGAGCGCGAGTGTAGCAGGGACCAGGTGAGTGTGGTCGGGCCGGGGTCCTGGGGCTCAGAGCAGCCAGCCTGGGCAAGACCCTGCTGGAGGTGCCACCTTCTGCCTGGGCTCCCCAGACTTCTGGGGGGTCTGGGTCTGGGCCCCTTAAGGGGCCCAGAGACACCCCCATCGTTGCCCTCATTTGTCTTAAGAATAAGAGCCCTCCCCACTCCAGCTTTCATGCTCCCCATGTGCCTCCACCCTGGGGCACCATCATCCTCGGCGACCACCCCCACCCCGTCACTGCCTCTCCTCCCACCCTCTCCTCCCACCCTCTCCTCCCATCCACTTCTCCCACCCCTTCACTGCCTCTCCTTCCATCCTCTCCTCCCACCCTCTCCTCCCATCCACTCCTCCCATCCACTTCTTCCATCCTCTTCTCCCACCCCGTCACTGCCTCTCCTTCCATCCTCTCCTATCCACTCCTCCCATCCACTTCTTCCATCCTCTTCTCCCACCCCATCACTGCCTCTCCTTCCATCCTCTCCTATCCACTCCTCCCATCCACTTTTTCCATCCTCTTCTCTCACCCCGTCATTGCCTCTCCTTCCATCCTCTCCTCCCATCCACTTCTCCCACCCCTTCACTGCCTCTCCTCCCACCCTCTCCTCCCATCCACTCCTCCCATCCACTCCTCCCATCCACTTCTTCCATCCTCTTCTCCCACCCCGTCACTGCCTCTCCTTCCATCCTCTCCTCCCACCCTCTCCTTCCATCCTCTCCTCCCACCCTCTCCTTCCATCCACTGTCCTCCCTGTCCTCCCACCCTCCTTCCATCCGGGACCAGTGCAGATGGTGGTGGGGGTGCTGCAGCCGATGTCCAGCCTTTGTCCTGGCCCGCACCACCTGCTGGGTGGTCCTGAGCACTGTACGCCCTCCTTGGGCCTCAGTTTCCTCGTCTGTACAACGTAAAGAATAACGGAACTTGCTTGTGGGTGTGAGGATTCTGGAAGGTAAGCCAGGTGGCACCTCTGGCGAGGTGGCTCCTCACACAGGATGGAAAGGACACTGAGTCCCCGGGGAGGCAGCCACAGAGCGGGGGGCTCCCTGCTACCCCACCTGGGCCTCCCCTTGCAGGGGCCAGGCCAGAGCCCCGGGGCGGGGGGCATTGGGGCTCCCACCTAAGTGTCCCCCATCCCCAGGACTGTGCGGCTGCTGAGAAGTGCTGCATCAACGTGTGTGGACTGCACAGCTGCGTGGCAGCACGCTTCCCCGGCAGCCCAGCTGCGCCGACGACAGCGGCCTCCTGCGAGGGCTTTGTGTGCCCACAGCAGGGCTCGGACTGCGACATCTGGGACGGGCAGCCCGTGTGCCGCTGCCGCGACCGCTGTGAGAAGGAGCCCAGCTTCACCTGCGCCTCGGACGGCCTCACCTACTACAACCGCTGCTATATGGACGCCGAGGCCTGCCTGCGGGGCCTGCACCTCCACATCGTGCCCTGCAAGCACGTGCTCAGCTGGCCGCCCAGCAGCCCGGGGCCGCCGGAGACCACTGCCCGCCCCACACCTGGGGCCGCGCCCGTGCCTCCTGCCCTGTACAGCAGCCCCTCCCCACAGGCGGTGCAGGTTGGGGGTACGGCCAGCCTCCACTGCGACGTCAGCGGCCGCCCGCCGCCTGCTGTGACCTGGGAGAAGCAGAGTCACCAGCGAGAGAACCTGATCATGCGCCCTGATCAGATGTATGGCAACGTGGTGGTCACCAGCATCGGGCAGCTGGTGCTCTACAACGCGCGGCCCGAAGACGCCGGCCTGTACACCTGCACCGCGCGCAACGCTGCTGGGCTGCTGCGGGCTGACTTCCCACTCTCTGTGGTCCAGCGAGAGCCGGCCAGGGACGCAGCCCCCAGCATCCCAGCCCCGGCCGAGTGCCTGCCGGATGTGCAGGCCTGCACGGGCCCCACTTCCCCACACCTTGTCCTCTGGCACTACGACCCGCAGCGGGGCGGCTGCATGACCTTCCCGGCCCGTGGCTGTGATGGGGCGGCCCGCGGCTTTGAGACCTACGAGGCATGCCAGCAGGCCTGTGCCCGCGGCCCCGGCGACGCCTGCGTGCTGCCTGCCGTGCAGGGCCCCTGCCGGGGCTGGGAGCCGCGCTGGGCCTACAGCCCGCTGCTGCAGCAGTGCCATCCCTTCGTGTACGGTGGCTGCGAGGGCAACGGCAACAACTTCCACAGCCGCGAGAGCTGCGAGGATGCCTGCCCCGTGCCGCGCACACCGCCCTGCCGCGCCTGCCGCCTCCGGAGCAAGCTGGCGCTGAGCCTGTGCCGCAGCGACTTCGCCATCGTGGGGCGGCTCACGGAGGTGCTGGAGGAGCCCGAGGCCGCCGGCGGCATCGCCCGCGTGGCGCTCGAGGACGTGCTCAAGGATGACAAGATGGGCCTCAAGTTCTTGGGCACCAAGTACCTGGAGGTGACGCTGAGTGGCATGGACTGGGCCTGCCCCTGCCCCAACATGACGGCGGGCGACGGGCCGCTGGTCATCATGGGTGAGGTGCGCGATGGCGTGGCCGTGCTGGACGCCGGCAGCTACGTCCGCGCCGCCAGCGAGAAGCGCGTCAAGAAGATCTTGGAGCTGCTGGAGAAGCAGGCCTGCGAGCTGCTCAACCGCTTCCAGGACTAGCCCCCGCAGGGGCCTGCGCCACCCCGTCCTGGTGAATAAACGCACTCCCTGTGCCTCAGACCTCCTGGCTTGCTGCTGCTGGTCGGGCGACCCTCATCCTTCCAGGTGCCCCATGCCCAGCCAGTTTCCGCTGGGGCCTTGACACCCACTGGGGCTTGGGCTTTGGTACAAGGTCACCAGGGAGTGCCTGTCCGCCCCTGCATCCCCAACCAGCTCCATCCTGCCTCAGCAGCTGTCTCGGCCCCAATCCCACTGCCCGAGCTCCAGCAGCAAGGATCAGGACGTCCCAAGCCCTTGACCCCACAGGAGACCCCGTCTCCCACCCAACCTCACAAGGTGCTCCTAGGAGGAGGTGGGGCAGACACCAGCAAGCCGGCAGCAGGACATGCTTTATTCTGAGCAGGCTGGGCCCTTCGGCCAGCGGCTGAGAGCACAGACTGGGTGGGGCTGTCGTCCACAAGGTCCGGCCTAGGGAGGCAGGGTTCGTGCCTCACAGAGCCTCCGGCAGGGATGCAGGTGTGCGGGGGTGAAGGAGGGGCTTAGTTTTTCCGGAAGATCAGGCATTTGTTGTTGGCTGGCATGTCCACCTGGAGAAACACTTTGCTGGAGGACGGCCCTCAACCCCTAGAGAGGTTGCCTGGGCCCCCGCTCCCCCACCTACCATCCTCTCCAGGAGCAGGCCACTGGCCTTTCCCAGGTCCTCCAGGAGGGCTGTGTCCCGAAGCCCCCATTCTGGGTTCCTGCAGAGGGTGGGGAGATGGAGTCATGGCCTGGGGGGTGCCACCCAAGCCACCTGCCACCTGAGCCAGACCCCCCGCCTCTAGCTCTGACCTGCATCTGAGCATCAGGTCAAAGTCCACGTTGCTCTGGGGGGAGATCTTCCCATTGATGGCATAGGGCTGTGGGCATGGGGACACAGCCCACTGGACCAAGGTCGGGGTAT